>NC_000007.14:130631779-131256779 GCF_000001405.40 Homo sapiens | reverse complement strand
TTATTTCCATATTTGTGTCTATGTGTACCCAGTGTTTAGCTCCTACTTATAAGTGCAGCATTTGGTTTTCTGTTTCTGCATTAATTCACTTAGGATAATGGGCTCCAGCTGCATCCAAGTTGCTGCAAAGGACATGATTTCATTCTTTTCTCATAGATGTACCGACTTTCTTATTTACCATTTCTGGTTCTCTTCATTTGTTCCTGTGCAATCAAGTTACCATCTCATGTCATTTCTTACTCTAATGTAGCTTTGCTCCCACCCACCTCATTATGCTGTCATTGTCAAACATTTTTTATACAGCTGCTTTTAAAATAATTTAAGAGAAGAAATGAGAAAGATTATGCATATATAGTGTCTTTTATAATTATGTAATTACATTTACTAGTCCTTTTTGTTCTTCTATGTGGATATGAATTACTGACTGGGGTCACTTGAATTCCACCTGAAGAACCTGTTTCTTGCAAAGTCAGTAATCTAGCAATAAATTATCTCAGATTTTGTTTATCTTGGAATGCCTTTCTTTCACCTGTGGTTGTGAAAGATGGTTTTTCTGGTATAAAACTAGTAGACAGGCTGGGAATGGTGGCTCACACCTATAATCCCAGCACTTTGGGAGGCCGAGGTGGGTGGATCACCTGAGGTCAGGAGTTTGAGACCAGCCTGGACAACATGGTGAAATGCTGTCTCTACTAAAAATACAAAAATTAGCTGAGTATGGTGGTACATGTCTGTAGTCCCAGCTACTTGGGAGGCTGAGGCAGGAGAATCACTTGAACCCAGGAGGTGAAGGTTGCAGTGAGCTAAGATCATGTCACTGCACTCCAGCCTAGGAAACAGAGCGAGACTCCATCTCCAAAATAAATAAATAAATAAATAAATAAATAAATAAATAAATAGGTCGGGCACAGTGGCTCACACCTGTAATCCCAGCACTTTGGGAGGCTGAGGCGGGTGGCTCACCAGAGGTCAGGAGTTCAAGACCAGCCTGGCCAACACAGTGAAACCCAGTCTCTACTAAAAATACAAAAATTAGTCAGATGTGGTGGCACACACCTGTAAAATCCCAGCTGCTCAGGAGGCTGAGGCAGGAGAATTACTTGAACCTGGGAGGCAGAGGTTGCAGTGAGCTGAGATCACATCACTGCACTCCAGCCTGGGCAACAGAGCGAGACTACATCTGAAGAAATAAATAGAGAGATAGATAGATGATAGATAGATAGACAACAACTAGTTGACAGGCTTTAAAAATTTTCCTTTCAGCATTTTGAATATTCCATCCCACTGCCTTCTGGCATCCATTGTTCTTGGAGAAAGTCAGATGTTAATCTTATTTGAATTTCCTTATACATTGTATGTTTGGTTTTTTGTGTTTTTGTGTTTTTCCCTTGCTGCTTTTAAGATACTCTCTTTATCTGTCTCTTTCAACATTTTTACTCTGATGTGTCTGGGTATGGTTCTCTTTGTGTTTATTGTATTTGGAGTTACTTGAACTTCTTGGATGTGAAGATAACAGATTTCATCAAATTTTAGAAGCTGTTTGGGCACAGTGGTTCACACCTATAATCTCAGCACTTTGGGAGGCTGAGGCAGGAGGATCCCTTGAGGACAGGAATTTGAGACCACCTGGGAAACATAATGAGACCCTGTCTCCACAAAATTTTTTTTAAAAAATTGCCCTGGGAAACATAGACCCTGTCTCTACAAAAAAAAATTTTTTTAAACTAGCCAGGTATGATGGCACATGCCTGTATTCCCAGCTCTGGAGGCTGAGGAAGGAGGATCCCTTGAGCCCAGGAGGTTATGGCTGCAGTAAGCCATGACTGTGCCACTGCGCTCCAGCCTGGGCAACAGAGATCTTCTTTCTAAAAAAAAAAAAATTTCAGCCATTGTTTCTTCGAAATTTTTTTCCGCTCCTCTCTCTCTCCTCTTCTTCTGGTAACCCCATTATGCAGATGTTGATGTGTTTAATGGTATTTCACATTCCTCTGAGGTACTGTTCATATTTCTTCGTTCTTTTTTCTCTCTTCTTGAGATTAAATAATCTCTATCTATCTTCAAATTTGCTGATTCTTTCGTATGCCAATTCAAATCTACTATTGGGCCCCTCTAATTAATTTTTCTCTTTAGTTTTGTACTTTTCAATTCCAGAATTTCTATTAGGTTCTTTTTTAAAAAAAAATCTATTTCTTTATTGATAATCTCTATCTAATGAGGCATTGTCATCATCCCTTCCTTTACTTCTTTAAGCATGGTTTCCTTTAATTCCTTGAACATATAAGTGCTTTAAAGTCATTGTTTGCTAAGTCTGATATCTGAGCCCTCAAGTAGTCTGTTGATTACTTTTCCCTCTCCTTATGTTATGTTATGAGTCACATAACATTTCCTGTTTCTGTGAATGTCTCGTATTTTTGTTGTTGTTGAAAACTGGACATGTTATATAATATAGCAACTCTGAATACTGATACTTCCAACCCAGGACTTACTGTTTTTGTTTATTTCTTTAGTGATGTGGCTAGTTTATTTTAGTGAAGTCTATTTTCCTGCAGTGTGAAATCTCTTAACGTTGCTCCTCAAAAGGTACAGGGTTGGTCATGTGCACAGCCCCCTCGGGATGGCAATCATTTTAGCAAAGCTCTCTTTGACTGTCTCTTTCCCTGCTCTCTCTCTGTTACGTTCTCTGCCTCTGTTGGTATAAGCCCTAGGTGTTAGGCTCCTCTAGTTGCTGGTCATTCTATTGTTTTCAACAATGCCCTAGGGTGTAAATTGTTCCACATTGTGTTCCAATTAAATTTAAGCATCTTTGCTGGGGTAGTTTTTGAGGTCAGTCCTTGAGGTTTGTTCTGACCTCAGGATGGCTCTTCTTAGCTGTCTCTTTCCCTGGTTCTCCCTGGTAAACCAATCAGCCTACAGTTTAGCTTGTTGCGCACATTGAGCTACCAGCTTCTTCTTACTTGCTTTTCATTAAATTCTCCGTTGTTTATAAGAACTCTCTGTAGCTTGAACTTCTTCATGCTCTGTTCTAAATAAAGCCAGTTCCTTTTGGAAGAGCTTCAGGCCTCTCTGTTCTCATCACCTGCCTCTTCTCTTGGACAGAATCTCTGAGACTCTGCTCTGGAACTGTGGCAGGGACAGTGACCCACTTCTCTTGGAGTGATGATTCTGTTTCATAAGCAGGGCCACTGGGTGTGGGCAGTGGTCTCTGGTCTTCTTGACTTGTATCTCCCTTTGTGGAACCTCTGCTCTGAAAAAAAGCTGGGGTGAGGACAATTGGAGCCCCAGTTTTATCAACCTACTGTATCTGGGGGAGAGCTTCTGCCCTATAGGTAGGGGCTTGTTGGAGGAATGGGATCACCCACCTCTTGGCTGCACTTGCCTAGGACTTAGCCTCCACAGCATGGAGCTGGGAGGATGAGAAATGCTGGTGGCCTGCCCCTCCCCAGGGAGATAATGTAGTCCTTGACTGGTATCTGGGAGGAGAGGGAGCTCTGTTTTTCCAACACCCCCTCAGATTGGAGCTTCCATCACACTGACCTAGTTGGGGTTGGGCAGGGAGGGAGGGAACAGTTTTTGGTTCAGATGCCATGGACTCCCAACTGTTCTTACCAGGATTTAGTAGATTTTCCTGAATAAATATTTCTTCATTTGTTGTACGCCCTTAGGACAATTTCCAGAGACTTTAAATGGTTGTCTTAAAAATAATTTTCACCAGTATGGTTGTTTCATTGGGACTGGGTCTGTAAAGCTCCTCATACTACCATCCTGGAAATCATCTCCTAATAGGATCTTGATAACACTAAACTTTTTCTTGACTGCTAACAACATTTGTCTGAGCTCCTATCCAAGGTTGGTTGAAAAATCAGCATAATATGAACACTAAATTAAAGGTGAATTTGGACATAAATGTGTTAATAGATTACCCTCTGGCCAAATAAAAACTTGGTAAGAGGCTCTAAGAACCATCCCCCTTGTGCATGCCAAGAACAGAGCACCACAGACACTAATCAAAATAAACCACTTGACCAGGAATCAGGAGACAAAACTTGATTCTTAGCTCTTTCTCTAGTTTTCTTGGTGATGCTAACTAAGCCAGTGAACCTCTTCTGAGCCCCAGTTCCCAGGAACACTATACTGTGTTAAAATATTCATCTTGCCTGGGTGCGGTGGCTCACACCTATAATCCCAGTACTTTGGGAGGCCAGGTGGATGGACCACGAGGTCAGGAGATTGAGACCATCCTGGCTAACATGATGGAACCCCGTCTCTACTAAAAATACAAAAAAATTAGCCGTGTATGGTGGCATGCACCTGTAGTCCCAGCTACTCGGGAGGCTGAGGCAGAAGAATCACATGAACCCAGGAAGCGGAGGTTGCAGTGAGCCGAGATCATGCCATTGCACTCCAGCCTGGGTGATGGAGCAAGACTCCATCTCAAAAAAAAAAAAAAAAAGAAAAGAAAAAAGTCCTTTCACTATGATCCCCAAAACAATGCATGTGGTTTACATTGTGTTTATAGTGGAGCAATTTTCATTAAATCAAGTCCATTGTTTTTCCCCCTACTGTTCTTCGTGGTGGACACCATGCATCTGTGAGGTATCTGTCCGGGCTTTTGGGCTATTGCTGCTTTGAGTTTGTGAACTCCAGACTGAAACTTGGCCTATATATAATTTGTGAAAAAAGGGGAATAGGACATTTGGGATTTCAGGTTCTGATCTTCTGGTCATGGTCTACCATTTTAAACCAGAATTATGCCTCATCTTCCCTAGGCACTGTTGTTTTTGGTTGCCTAAAATGAAGTTGGGGCTGGGAGTGGTGACTCATGCCTGTAGTCCCAGCACTTTGAGAGGGTGAGATAGGTGGACTGCTTGAGCCCAGGAGTTCAAGACCAACCTGGAAAACATGGCAAAACATCTCTACAAACATCTCTACAAAAAATACAAGAATTTCTTGGGCATGGTGGCATGTGCCTGTAGTCCCGGCTACTTGGGAGGCTAAGGTGGGAGGATCGCTTGAGCCCAGGAGGACAAGGCTGGAGTGAGTCTTGTTCACACCATTGCACTCCAATCTGGGCAAGACTTGAGTAAGACCTTATCTCAAAAAAAAAAAAAAGAAAATGTTGCTTCCTAGACAATTCACTTTACAATTATGCCCAACTAACTTTGGAGCAAAGTTTGCCTCCAGCAGAATCTTTATGAGGGCCTTATGGTCCTGACTTCATTTTTACTGATCTTAATAAGTACCGCCATCAGCCATTTGAATACCTTGGAGATGGAGGTCAGCAAGTCCCAACAGTCATTACAATGGTTAAAGTCAGTCACTTCCCAAAGACTAGGTCTAATAAGCTCATGTATAAGATGAGGACTTTGGCCAAAAACCCCTATGTGTGAATTGAGAGCAACCGGCCAAAGCCAACCCAGCTTTCTTATGTGCAGCAACCAAAACATCACCCTGCCCGGTAGGCAGTGTTGTTGCAGCACAATAAGGTCGTTTAATATCTTTGGTGCTCAAAGGGGATTTCTTGCTTAATGATTATAGAGTTTTTGTTTCGGAAGATGGTAAAGCTTTGGAAATAGATAATGGTGATGGTGGTTACACAAGATTGCGAATATACTTAATGCCACTGAATTATACACTTTAAGATGGTCAAAATGGTACACACACACACACACACACACACACACACACATCTGGGCCCCATTGCTGCTGGCTGTCTGTCCAGAACAGTCTTCAAATTGCTTAATAACAACATCTGATCTGAGGCTTCACCAGCATCTGAGTTTTCTGAAGAGCTCTGCAGGTTTTCTGTGTATTACTGCTATTAGCATGGCAAACAAAAAAAAAAATTAACTTCCCATATCTATACCTGTTTCTCCAGAAACCTGTTACTTTACTCACACTTGGGAGTGATATGCAGCAACTTGGAGTCCAGGGATGTAGAAGGACTTAAGATGGTGTACGTACATTTGGAGTTAGCCTGAGTCGGCATCTGCTTCCCTGTGCCCTCATCAAGTCGTACCTAAAATAACTAGCAGGATCATTAAGTGGCTTACCCCAATCCTTCTCAATTGTTAGACTTAATCTAGAATTATGACGATACAACCCCCAATTAACTGCAAATTGTTTTGAACATCCTTTTCTGATTGACTATGTCTTTTTCCTGTTTATCTGTTAGCCCACCACAGCCTTGTGACCCAAGGCTCTGGAATGGATCAGCCCTCCTACTCACTCCCTCCTGCGTACACCACATCTCCATGGAAACAGCTTGTCAGGCCCTGCTTGGCTGCAGGTACTAGAGACCTCTCATCTGCAGCCTCGGTCCTGCAAGATTCAGTCTTAACAAGCCAGGCCATGTGTTAGGAGCCTCTTCCTCTCTAGCTAGTGGGATCTGGAATTGTCACCAAGCCTCCTTTAGGGGACACCGGGGGAGTCCCCAACTCCACTGAGTTGCCTTGACCTTCCTCCACTAATATTCAGGCCGATGGAAGGGTCTCTTCCCTGGGTTCCCGCTTCAGCCTGCACTCATCATCTCCTTCCAGCAAGCCTTCTCCTCCCATCATCTCCCCCCAGCCACCAAAGCTGAAGCCCCTCTGAGCTCTTCAGGACTCGCCTGTGGCTGATCGCCATGGTCAGTTGGGGCAACTCCTTTATATCTCTCCCAGTCTTCTTTTTCTGCTTCCCCGTGGTCTCTGCTATAGGCTGGGCCCACATTATTTCCTTCTTCAATTACTGCATGATTCTACAAAGTGGTCCTCGTACTTCATGCTTGCTTTCTTTGCATCCAATCTTCACATTAAACCACTGAGAAAACGTCCTCAAAAGGCAGACCTGCCCCTCTCCTTCCCTGACAGAAAGTCAGTTAGTGGTTCCTGACCCTTCCAGATAGAATTCTGACCTGCCAGCATGACGGGCAAGAGGACACTTATAATCTGAGCCATGCTCCCCTCTCCAGCAGCATCTCCTGCCCCTTCCCCTGCATATTCTGATGTCAGCCACAACAACCCCCTTTGCATCCCCAAGGAGCTACGTGTTCTCTCTAGTCTCTGTGGCTGGGCACTGCTGCCACTCTACCTGGAGGGCCCTTTCTCCTCCCTTTCTGTATAAGCCTTCCATGCATTCTTGGGAGAGCGCTCCTGACTCTCCAATTTGAGGTAAGTGCTCTTCTGAATTCTCCTAATGCTTCCTGTGCTTGTCCCCATTGTGCCTCTCTGCTAAACTGTCAGTTCCTTGAGAACAAGGAATATACCAGCCTCCAGCTCAGTGCCTAGCAAGGTCAAATGTCTGTTGTATAAGTGAAAGAATGAAGAATGGGCATCTGGAATAAACATGTCTCCACACAGTGATTATAAGTACATCCTTTACCAGAGACTTCTTTTGTTGGGTGCCAATCATCCTCCAGATTGCACCAGCTGTGAGTGCTACATTGCCAAGGCATTGCAACTTGGACTGCTGGCCTCCATCCTGGAGGGCACTTCAACAAATGGGTCAGTTGCCCCAGCTCAGCTCTGGCTATCCCTGGCTGCCCCAATTTTGTTAGTCACCAGGGAGATCCTTAATGACCTCATGGCTGAACCCATGTGGCCTCTGTCAGCAGCTGGAGAGCCATTCCTAAGAGCTGAGATCGTGAGTCAGCCCTCATCTCATTGCCCAGGGAAGATTCCTTTCTCACTGGTTGTGTAACTTCACTCAGGCTATGTTTTCCTTAGTGGAGTCCAAGATTTGGAATCATTGTAAGAGGAGAAAATGGCAGGTAATCTCAGGAATGGAAAAGACCAGTTATGTTTCTCCAGGAGAGGGTTTCTTGGGGTGGGAGAAGGTGAGGAAAGTGGTAAGTGACCAGTGTTCATAGATAAGTAAGTAAATCAAAGGAAGACTTGAATGTATATGGATTCTTGTTCCCAGAGAATATAATAGATTATCTGGGAAAGAAGCCAGGACAAGAGAGACCTCTCAGCAGAGGCAGGTGCCCACCCATGTGGGTACATAGTGTGGTATTAAACAGCATTCAGCCTTCATCCCTGTTCCATCCACTTTTTCCTAAATCAGCAACACATCTCTTCTCCAGAAATGAGAAACCAACCAACTTTTCACGGTGAACCTGGACGAGATGAGAAAAAAAATGGATTTTGCTTCAGATTGAGTTCCCTTGCTACCAGTAAAGGGTTTACACAGAGGTAAACCCTTTAGGTAGAGGACGGAGCAACACAAAGGCACAATCTCACTTCTACCCCCTACAGTAAGTAAGCAAAAGATCCATTAAATGAGAAAATGTATGTGAAAGCACTTAGCACGGTGCTTGGCAAATGGATGAGAGTCAATAATATTGACTTTTTTGTTGTTGCATCTATGCTCAGTATAAGAACCCATAAGGCAATTTCGTTTGTAGAAAGGATAACTGGGGTACCAGCAGAGATAGAGGGGTAACTATCTCTAGCTGGCTGAGAGTTACATTTTTGCCAGTAGAGACTCTTTCCTTTGACTCTATTAAAAAACAAATACCAATTAGAGGCAAGACACTGTCTTCAACATTTCTATTTTACTATTAGTAGCTGATTATATTCTTTTTTTTCTTCTCACGTCTGTAATCCCAGCATTTTGGGAGGCCGAGGGAGGCAGATCACTTGAGCCTAGGAGTTTGAGACTAGCCTGGGCAAAATAGGGAAGCCTCATATCTACAAAAATAAATAAATAAATAAATAAATAAATAATAAATGTAATTAGCTGAGTGTGGTGGCACATGCCAGTAGTCTCAGCTACTTGGGAGGCTGAGGTAGGAGGATTGCTCGAGCCCGAGAGTTCACGGCTGCAGTGAGCCATGATGGTGCCACTGCACTCCAATCTGGGTGACAGAGTGAGACCCTGTCTCAAACACACACACGCACAAACAAAACAAAACAAAACAAAACAAAAAAGGCAGTAGCAGAGAGAAGTTAAAGGCATTAAACATCATAAATGGGGGAAATGTACAAATCTATTTCTTAACGCTAAGACAAAACCCTGCCAGTTCAAATGGGAATACTACTAGTCTAATAACTTCTACTATAGAAATAAATAATTTTAACAGCTGTAAGGTTCTAACAGAGATGAGACAGGAAATGTGGAAACCAAGGAACAACCCAGTCATTTGCCTCATACTGGGGCAGTTTTGATTGGACATTTAGGAGCGGTGGAAGTGGCATCAGTCAACAACTTAGAAGGTATAATTGTATTTGAGGGGGCAAAGGTAAACAGAAATCACAAGCACCTTCACACATATAAAGCTCTCAGTAAGCCAGGCATGGTGGCTCACGTCTGTAATCCCAGCACTTTGGGAAGCCCAGGCAGGCAGATCACAAGGTCAGGAGTTCGAGACCAGCCTGACCAACATGGTGAAACCCCATCTCTACTAAAAATACAAAAATTAGCTGGGCGTGGTGGTGCGTGTGCCTGTAATCCCAGCTACTCAGGAGGCTGAGGCAGGAGAATCGCTTCAACCCGGAAGGCAGAGGTTGCAGTGAGCTGAGATTGCGGCATTGCACTCCAGCCATGGTGACAAAAAAAAAAAAAAGAAAAAAGAAAAAGAAGAAAAGGTAAAAAAAAGCTCTCAGTAGGCATCTTCCAACTCTGCTTCATGTATCTTAACACAATGAGAAGTTACAACTCAGAGTACTTGGAAGTGCTCCATAGTGTTTGTTTAACCAAAATAAACAACAGAACAAAACAAAACTTGTACTTGTCAACACCAGTTTGCCATGTCCCACACTAGGTTTAATAAAGTGATCAGATTAATAGAGGCTCTGAAAACAAGCTAACTATGCCCTACATCTGTACAGTACTACCACACACACACATTCCACTCTCAACAGTGCCCTGAGATAGGTCAGCTTTACCCTCTCCATCTACAGGTACAGAAAGAAACCACATCACAAGAAGCAAAGCAGCTTGCTCAGATTAGCAAGATTGTCCTAGAATCCAAGATTCCAAACTCAGAATTTAATAGATAAAGTTAAAAGTCTAAAAACAGCCAGGCACAGTGGTTCACACCTGTAATCCCAGCACTTTGGGAGGCTGAGGCGGGCACATCACTTGAGGCCAGGAGTCCAGCCTGGGCAACATGGCAAAACCCCGTCTCTACAAAAAATTAGTCAAAAAAAAAAAAAGACTAAAATCACTTTATTGGAGGAAGGGGGATTTTCCTTAGTATTGTAATGAAGAGCTGTTACAGTTCAATAATTAAAAGGCAAAGACTGCAATAGAAAAATCAGCAAAGGACATGAACGAACAAATCATAAAAGAAGATCTCTGTAGCAATCAAAGAAATACTTTATTGTTAAACAGAATCTGCCTAAAATGTGGGTTTAGAGCTCTCTTCTAAGATAACCCAGACTAGACTTCATAGTCTAGGGTGAAGCTTTATGGGCCCTTTTTCTTGTCCTAATCCCAAACCCGAATCTTCTCATTTTAACACCCCTGGCTGGGGGTGAAGACACAAGAAAGCCAAGTGCACTTGGAAGAATTGTTTGGCATTCCCTGGGCCTCACAAGCAAACATCAGCAGCCGACAAGGCAGGGTGCAGAGGGCCGCCTCATGGAGCCTATGGCCCTGGATGTTCTCCGGTGACAAGTCAAGCCTATCTAGCTTTGTGCAGAGTGCCTGCAGCAGTGCTACTCAAAGTGTGGTCTGTGGGCTGATGGCACGGACATCCCCAAGGAGGTTATAGAAATGCAGGACCTTGGGCCCCCTCCCCAGGTGTCCAGAACAAGATCTGCCTCTCAGGGGCTTCAGAAGTGCGGCCCTAGGGCACCTGGCTTGGGCTTTGACCATCACAGGTGCACAGCAATCACGCATCTGCCCATTGAACAAAAGAGTGGACAGGATGGTCTCTGAGGTCCCTTTCAAAATAAATCATGAGACTTAATGAAAGCTGTCAGGATTCAGCTGAGTAAACTATAGTCATGCGTTGTTTAATGACAGGGATACGTTCTGAGAAATGCATTGTTAGGAGACTTCATTGTTGTTTGAACATCATAGAGTGCACTTACACAAACCTAGATGGGATAAGCCCACTGCACACCTAGGCTACATGGCATAGCCTATTGCTCCTAGGCTTCAAACCTGTATGACATGCTCCTGTACTGAATACTGTAGGCAGCTGTAACACAATAGTATTTGTGTATCAAAGCATATCTAAACATAGAAAAGGTACAGTAAAAAGACAGTATAGGGCCGGGCACAGTGGCTCACGCCTGTAATCCCAGCACTTTGGGAGGCCGAGGCCGGGGGCGGGGGGCGCGGATCACCTGAGGGCAGGAATTCGAGACCAGCCTGGCTAATGTGGTGAAACCCCATCTCTACTAAAAATGCAAAAATTAGCTGGGCGTGGTTGTGGGCACCTGTAATCCCAGCTACTCGGGAGGCTGAGGTAGGAGAATTGCTTGAACCTAGGAGACAGAGGTTGCAGTGAGCCGAGATCACGCCACTGCTCTCAGCCTGGGCAACAGAGCGAGACTCTGTCTCAAAAAAAAAAAAAAAAAAGACCGTATAATAATCTTATGGGATCACCATTGTACATGCAGTCTGTCACTGACCGAAATGTCATTATGCAGCACTTGACTGTATCACCATTTTACAAAGGCCTTTAAGTAAGATTAACAAATTAATAACAGTGATTTGGTTCTGATATTTTTGACCGTGAATTTAGAGTTTCTTATTAGTATCATGTCACTGGGCTTTTTTATATGCCCAGGAGGCACCAACAAGGCGTAAAGCCTTTTCTCATTCGTCCCTTCTAGTCCACCTCTTACAAAACAGAAAGCATTGGGATGTAAAATCAAATGAGTAGAAATGAGAACGGAGCTGCAAAGGCTGGAGGAAAGGGTGCCGCCGTGTAGGGGTGTCGCTCTTTTCCCTGCCTTTCCACAGAGAGCAGAGCCCAGAAGCATTCACCTTGTACATTCGGGCATATGTGCAGAGGAGGGGCGGATGAAGAGGGAAAGAAAAGACTAGAAAGAGGAAAGAAGGGGCCAAGAATCAAGGACCCCTGTGCCAACACAGGGGGACATGCCAAATCTGGCCACCAAAGTCCTTTTGAGGCAACTGCATGCATCATCGTCATCATCGTCATCACCGTCATCACCGTCGTCACTGTAACTCTACTTGCTGTCTGCCAACCACTTTACTGAGCAGACCATCCTAGTAGCAACCCACCTTCTAGCTTCAAGGCTGTCCATAGACCTTAGGCTGCCAGGAAACCAGTTATAAGCAGGGAGACAAAAGGGATCCAGAGGATGGAGAGGCATTCTGAGTTCCGCTAATGAGTGAGGTGAGTCACGGGCTGACTCAGACGAACAAGAAGCCTGTGAGAGGGGAGGTGGTGGGGGCCAGACTTCAGAGGAGCCCTGCTGAAACGTTCAAATGGGAGCTAGGAGGCCAGGGACATAGTGTTATTCAGAGAACTGCCTGCAGCTCTGGCGTTGGAGGGAGGAGCGGGTCATGAAAACAGGGAGAAAATTGCATTTGAAGCCAGAAGCTGAGTTGTGAATCTGTAGCCTTCTCTACTTTGAGAAATATGCAGTATTCTCTAGTGACACCCACCTGCTCTTCGGCAAATTCCCGAAAACTAACTCAATAGGCATTAATGGTCATCAGGTCCCTGGGGAGTAGAGGGAAATCGGGTACCACTCGATTTTTTTAATCTCAATTAGAAAAATGGGCCTCTTTTGACTTTCTTTAGTGTTTTACATTTGGAGAATCTTGTGATCCAACCATATTTTTTGTTTGTTTGTTTTTTTGAGACAGGGTTTTGCTCTGTCACCCAGGCTGGAGTACAGCGGTGCAGCTCGGCTCACTTCAACCTCTGCCTCCTGGTTCAAGCGATTCTCCTGCCTCAGCCTCCTGAGTAGCTGGGATTACAGGAACGTGCCACCATGCCCAGCTAATTTTTTGTATTTTTAGTAGAGACGGGGTTTCACCATGTTGGCCAGGCTGGTCTTGAACTCCTGATTTCAGGTGATCCACCCACCTTGGCCTCCCAAAGTGCTGGGATTACAGACGTGAGCTACCTCGCAGGGCCTGACATAATTTTTAAAAAATTTAAATATATGACTAAAGCGTCTTCTTTCCTGTTAATGGATAGAAGCATGGCCAATAGCAGTTAGCCGTGGTCATCTTAGCCTTGGCCAGCTAATTTTCCATTACCAGCAGATTTGCTGTATTTAATCTTAGGTGTTTTGTAACATTATTAACCTCAGTGTCTGATAATTGCAAAAACAATTCAGAATGCTCAATGTGCTATTGAGAATAGGTTTAGGATTATGATGAAAATAAAACAGATTAACAGATTGAATGTGGTAAGAAAAATCATGTGTTGCAAGCGGGTAACACATGAGGTTTTGAGTTTGCAGAGTCCAGGTTCACACATTATTACAAAGGCCGGTAACAGCATTGTT
Source organism: Homo sapiens (assembly GCF_000001405.40). Classification (NCBI taxonomy): domain Eukaryota; kingdom Metazoa; phylum Chordata; class Mammalia; order Primates; family Hominidae; genus Homo; species Homo sapiens. The sequence continues at coordinate 131,243,355 of NC_000007.14, read as the reverse complement.
CTATACGGACTGCGGAAATGACATGATTGTCTCCCGACATACTGTATCTAGGCCCCCTGAAGAGCAGGTATTTGTGACATGGCTAGACATAGGTGTAGAGTATTTGAGTGGCACAATTTTTCTTCAAGTAACTGACACAGAAATCAAACCCCCAGACTCCGCCAATTCAGACAACGTAAACCAACTGAACTATCTAAAAATAATTTTGGTTGATTACGTATTTATATGTAATTTGATGACTATTGTCTCAAATGTACTTCACTAGGACGGTACCATGGCTGTGGAAAAGTTTGGCCATCTGTGAACTTTCCTTTTTTTTTTCTGTTTAATTTTTAATGACCAAAACGAAGCATCTAAAACCGCAGCTTCTGGAAGAACCGCTTGTTCTTGCCTGTCTTGTATCTCTCTTCAAACTTGACCTTGGCCTCTCATCGGGCCTTGTGTTTAAGAGTAGGGTCTCTGAAGACATCCTTATTGATGACAGTTTTGTCCAAGGGGATATCCACAGAGTACCTTGTGGGCATTAGCTGATTGTGGTTATAAACTTTCACAAAAGACTTGATCTTTGACCTCTTAGAGATCTTCTTCTTGCCCATGGCAGCTGTCACTTTGTGGGGACAGCGGTCAATTCCAGCCACCAGAGCATGGCTGTAGGGGCGATCTAAGGTACCATCATCAATGTTCTTCACGATGATGGCTTTGCATCCAGAATAGCATCCAGCCAGAACAAGCACCACCGTCCCAGGTTTCATGAACTTGCCCATTTCAGCAGCAACCCCTCGGGCCTATAGCAAAAAGGAACTTTCCTTTTTCTTTTTAAGAGACAGGGTCACACTCTGTCACCCAGCCTGGAGGGCAGTGGCGCAATCACAGCTCACTTTAGTCTCAAACTCCTGGGCTCAAGGGATCCTCACACGTCAGCCTCCTGAGTAGCCGGGACTACAGGCATGCCCCACCATAACCAGCTAATTTTTAAAATTTTTTGTAGAGATGGAGTCTTGCTATGTGCCCAAGTTGGTCTCAAATGCCTGGCCTCAAGTGATCCTCCTGCTTTAGCCTCCCAAATTGCTGGGATTACAGGCGTGAGCCACCATACCTAGCCAGCTGTGAACTTTCACGGAGATGGAAAATACTTTCCTCCAAAAGTAAAAGTGTTTCAACTTCGCCTGCCCTCAACAGATGACAATAGCCGTTGGCCGTGGTCATCTTAGCCTTGGCCAGCTAATTTTCCATTACCAGCAGATTTGCTGTATTTAATCTTAGGTGTTTTGCAACATTATTAACCTCAGTGTCTGATAATTGCAAAAACAATTCAGAATGCTCAATGTGCTATTGAGAATAGGTTTAGGATTATGATGAAAATAAAACAGATTAACAGATTGAATGTGGTAAGAAAAATCATGTGTTGCAAGCGGGTAAGAGATGGATCCTTAGTCAACAGGGTGATTCGGAAAGACAAAAAGGTTCAAAATGTGAAAAATGCTGGCGGGGTCTATGCAATGAACAGCAATTAGCAGAAAATGAGGGAAAGTAATCAAAGAAATGGAAACAATACTGAGTATGTGATTAGAGAGCTAGCATCAACTTTGACTGCCTATCATCCAAGCATTAATTCAGATGAAAGCTAAAATTGTGTTCAAGTACTTAAAAGCTAGGTGTTGTGACAGTGCTAAGGAGTTTTTGTTTTTGTTTTGCTTTGTTTTGTTTAGACAAGATCTCACCCAGGCTGGAATGCAGTGATGCCATCAGCTTCCTTAGCAACTGGGACCACATGTGCAGGCCACCACACCTGGCTACTTTTTAAAAATTTTTGTAGCGACAAGTTCTCACTATGTTGGCCAGGATGGCCTTGAATTCCTGGGCTCAAATAATTCTCCCACCTTGGCCTCCCAAAGTGCTGGAATTACAGGCGTGAGCCACCGCCCCTGGGCTGCTAAGGTGTTCTTTTTTTTTTTTTCTTTTTTCTTTTTTTTTTTTTTAGACAGAGTCTCCTTCTGTCTTCCAGGCTGGAGTGCAGTGGTGCAATCTCGGCTCACTGCAATCTCTGCCTCCCAGGTTCAAGCAATTCTCATGCCTCAGCCTCCCAACTAGCTGGTATTATAGGTATGTGCCACCATGCCTGGCTAATTTTTGTATTTTTAGTAGAGACAGGGTTTCACCATGTTGGCCAGCCTGGTCTCAAACTCCTGGCCTCAAGTGATCCACCCTCCTCTGCCTCCCAAAGTGCTGGGATCACAGCCTAGCCTGCTAAGGAGTACTTTATGACACTTGCTCACCAAGGGCTGCCATGACTGATTTTCAGTATGTATGAAAGGATCTATTATGAATAAAGTGGCCCATGGGATGAATATCAGCAAGAAGAGGGCTCTGCCTAGTTCTAAATCTTGGAAGGACCAAGGTGTCTTTCTAAGCTTAAATCACTCTTAGCCAGTTTGTCTTAACAAGAGTCTTTCAGGATTCACCAGGTCTGTAAGGTATATACACATTTCTGTGTCTATTTTTGAATCATTCTTTTTTCTTAACATTAGATAGCAAGATTTTCCTTTAGCTTTTAGCTAGTTCTTTAACGACAACTTGGTATCCCATTTGCCTACTGTGTCATTTAATCCACCTTTTGCTGGGCTCATAAAAATTCTGATATTAATATTATTTGCCATAAATGGTTATGTTTATCTGAATATTTTATTAGGACAAATTAGTAGAGTGAAGTTACAGGTTATAGCGTATGAATGAGTTTAATGTTTTAAAATATTTCTAAATTTACCTCTGGAAAGGTTTTGCCAACTAATATCTCCATCAGAAAAATATCAATGTTCCTATTTCCATGTACTTTTATCTATATTAGATAGTATTTTTCATTTATCTCTCTTCATTTTGAGGAGAAAAAATTTTTAAACGTTTGCATGATAGTTATTGAGATCTCTTTCTATGATTTTTCATTTATATCCTTTGCCAATATTTATATTTGAGTATTTGCCTTTTAATTATTGATTTGTTAGACACGATTACTAGTAGACCTAGAGCAGCTTCACAGTCTGCTCCTTATACATTAAGGAGAGTTACCTCCCCTTAATTTGTAGGTAGCCTTTTAACTTTATAGTATTCTGAAGTGGCAGGTCCCTGGCGGGGGGGAACTTTACTTATAATAGTCACCATTAGTTTTGTTTGTTTGTTTGTGACAGGATCTTGCTCTGTCACCCAGGCTGGAGTACAGTGGCATGATCACGGCTCACTGCAGTCTCGACTTCCTGGGCTCAAGTGATCTTCCCTCCTCAGCCTGCCAAGTAGCTGGGACTAAAAGCACGCACCATCATGTCCTGCTAATTTTTAAATTTTTTATAGAGATGGGTCTCACTATGTTGCCCAGGCTGGTCTCGAACTCCTGGTCTCGAGTGATCATCCTGCCTCAGCCTCCCAAAGTGCTGGGATTATAGGCGTGAGCCACCAAGCCTGGCCTTACCTTGCTTTTTAAAAGTTAACAATATATTATTAATAGGACACCTTCAACAGAAAGGTTTTCTTTTTCTTTTAAGAGATAGGGTCTCACTAGGTTGACCAGGCTGGTCTCAAACTCCTGGCTTTAAGCAATCCTCCCATTTCAGCCTCCCAAAGTGCTGGAATTACAGGGATGAGCCACCGTATCCAATCCAGGAAGACATTTAATGTAAACATGGGATGGGATGACTCTGGTATCAAACAAGAAAACTTCAAAATTCCTTTCTGGCCATAAAAAATGAGGGCTGGGTGTGGTAGCTCACACCTGTAATCCTAGCAATTTAGGAGACCGAGGTGGGAAGATAGCTTAAGGTCATGAGTTTGAGATCAGTCTGGGCAACCTAGCAAGACCCCTGTCTCTATAAAAAATTTAAAAATCAGCTGGGTGTGGCATGTACCTATAGCCCTAGCTACTTGGGAGGCTGAGGTGGAAGGATCACTTGAGCCCAGGAGTTTGAGGCTGCAGTGAGATATGAGCTATGATCGTGTCAGTACACTCCAGCCTGGGTGACAGAGTGAGACCCTGTCTGAAAAAAAAAAAGAAAAAGATAAGCATATGAGGTAACACATAATACGTAAATTAGCTTGATTTAGCCATTCCACAATGTATGCATATATTAAAACATCATATTGTACACCACAAATATATATGATTTTTATTAGTCAATTATGAATATAAATAAATGAAATAAAAAGTTTTAAAAATAAATAAATGGAGTACCCTGCCACCCTCCCCAGCACCCCTTAAAAATTCCTGTCTTGGTTCTGCCACCATAATCATAGAATCTCAGAGTTGGAGAGTGTGGTAGAAGATTTGCTAGTGATACGTCAAAACCTGGTTCTTCTTTTTGCTAGGAAAACAGCTCAACTAAATTCTAAGCCTCCCTTGCAGCTAGATGGTGGCCATGCAACTAAATTCTAGTGGATAGAATGTGAACAGAGTTTATGTGCACCACTTCTCTGTTCTAAGGTCCAGCCCATAAAAACCTCCCCACACAATCCTCCATGTTCTCTCCCTGTCTGTTAGCAGGATGTCATTGCCTGTCAGTGCCACATGTTGAAGACGTGAAGGTGGGAGAATCACAAGATAGAAGTGGCCTAGTTCCTTGAATTACCACTTGGAAGAGAACCACCACTATCAGCCACTATTACCACACCCATGGTGAATGTCAGATAAGTGTGAAATAAACTTTCTTTCAGGCTTCAGCCATAAGACATTTTTTAGGTTTGATTATTACAGCAGCTAGTGTTCCCTTCATTAACACAGACAGCAACCTCAGAGTCCCTGTAGTCCAGACTTCTTTCTTTCCAGTGCCTGCTTCTCTTCCTTGGCATTCTACATTACTGGTCATCCTGTCTCTGCAAATAAGTGATCTCATGACCTCCAATGGACTTCTGAACTCTTTGCAGGAAGTGGCCATGTTAGTCATCATTGTGTCTTTAGTGTCTAGCAAGACTGGTATAATGCAACAGCTCAATAAATGTTTCGGGGTGAATGAAGACATGAACACCTCCTGAGGCAAAGAATTAATTCACTACTATATCAGTCACTGTAATATACTTCAATCAGCTTGAATTATTAGAACATTACTTATATGAAGCTAATATCCATCATCCTTTATCTAGTACCAATTTAGGACTGCCCTTTGCAGGCACACAAGATGAGTCTGAGCCTTCTTCAAGATAGCCCTTTAGCTTTTTGCTTGTTTTTTTTGAGACAGGGTCTCACTCTGTCGCCCAGGCTGGAGTGCAGTGGCATGATCTCAGCTCACTGCAACCTCCGCCTCCTGGGTTCAAGTGATTCTCGTGCCTCAGCCTCCCAAGTAGCTGGAATTATAGGCACCCACCACCATGCCCAGATAATTTTTGTACTTTTAGTAGAGACAGGGTTTTGCCATGTTGACCAGGCTGGTGTCGAACTCCTGACCTCAGGTGATCCACCTGCCTCGGCCTCCCAAAGTGCTGAAATTATAGATCTGAGCTACCACACCCAGCCACCCTTTAGTTATTTTTGATGATACTCCCATCCCTTCCATGACAAATCCCTTGGTCTCCAGGCTGAATAGTCAACATGTGTCAATTATTTTTCTTAGCTTGTAGTTACCAGAACTCTTATCTCCATCTTTACCTGCTTCTGGGCACACCCAGGTCTATCATTGCTTCCTACTCAATGGGTACTCAGAACAGAACATCATATCATAAACGTGGCACACACTGACCAGCCCTTGATGGACCAATTGCCCCACTTAGTCAGGACTGCATACTTCGATTATACAGCCTAATATTTTTATTGTCTCTGAGGTGGCCATATCACCTGTTGACTAATTTAGAGCTTGTGATCAAACTTCCTATCTCTTCTATCTCCTTTCCTCTGGCTCTAACGTACATCCTAATATCTACTATGTCACCTTAGACAAGTCATTCCACCTTTCTGGGAATCATTTCCTGTGTGAAAAATGAGGTAGTTGGACCAGGTGATTTTTCAGATCTTTTTTCTGCCTTCTAACATGCTTTAAGTCTAAAGCAGGAAGTTCTGGGAGACTTCACGTTGTACTTTGATGTAAAATCTCTCACTCATAGGAGTATGGGAATGTAAATCCGCCTGGAAACGTTAAACTCATCAAACAACATGAAACTGTACAGGTAATTTTTCTCAGCTGTACTACACTTGTATCCACAGGTATCTGGACATTGTGTGATAAATTGCATATATACACTAAGGCCAGTGTATGGATTATACCATACTCAGTCATCAAGAAAAGAGAAAATCAGGCATAGGCAAAAAATAAGCAAACAAACAAAAAATCAGTGAGAGCTTGGGGGGAACCAGACTGTGGTTTTCTCCATCATTTTTTTTGTCTTTTCTTTTTTAGAGACAGAGTCTCGCTCTGTCACCCGGGCTAGAGTGCAATGGTGTGCAATCATAGCTCACTGCAGCCTTGAACTGCTGGGCTCAAGTTATCCTCCCATCTAGGCCTCCTGAGTAGCTGGGACTACAGGAGTGCACCAGCATGCCCAGCTAATTCTTAAATATTTTATGTAGAGACAGGGACTTGCTATGTTGCCCAAGCTGGTCTTAAACTCCTGGCCTCAAGTGATCCTCCCACCTATGCCTCCCAAAGCACTGGAATTACAAGTATGAGCCACTGCACCATCACACCCGGCCCTCTCCATCACTACTTTTTTTAAAATTTTTTTTTGAGATGGAATCTCACTCTGTTACCCAGGCTAGAGTTCAGTGGTGCAATCTCAGCTTACTGCAACCTCCATTTCCTGAGTTCAAGTGATCCTCCCCACTCAGCCTCCCTATTAGCTAGGACTACAGGTGGGCACCTCCATGCCCAGCTAATTTTTGTATTTTTAGTAGAGTCGGGGTTTCACCATGTTGGACAGGTTGGTCTCAAACACCTGACCTCGAGTGATCTGCCTACCTTGGCCTTCCAAAGTGCTGAGATTACAGGCGTGAGCCACCGTGCCTGGCCTCCATCACTTTTTTAGCGGGGATAGTGACCACGAGAAAGGGGACATACATTTCATTCAGCAGAAAGCTTTGTTTTGTGTGTTGTCAATTTCCTTATCTCATTTCACACACTGTACAACCATACCAAAAAAGACCCTCAGCTATTGGGCAAATAAATGCTATTTGCTAGAGAAATCAAATCATATCTCTATATTTCTTGCCTTTGGTCAAATTCTTATCAAGCAGACATCTTACTGCTTACATTTTACTTACTACTTACATTTTAACTGATTAATTTCTCGTGATATTTCTGCCTGACAGCCCTCAATCCATACCCAAGAGGCTGGATCCACCTCTCACCCTAGACTAAGATTCTACAAATTATTATTTGACTTCCTTTGAAAAACTGATTGCCAGCTTTATAACTCGATCTGGGCACACTCCCCATCGGGGCCTGCATTTCCTGTGGATGATGCATTGGTTTCCAAGGTGACGGTGGGAAGGAATAGACCTGTTAGCTTGTGGCTTCTGACTCACTCACTGCAATGGACGTCATAGAATTGTAGCTGAACAAATGGATGCTGATAATAAGTATGTGCCTAAGGTAGCAGCGGGGCACCAATGGTTAAAACAATCCCATTGTACCAGCTCTCTCTCCCTCCCACTAAGCAAGCCGACAGGCCAACAGAAATACCGGAACTGAAAAAAGATACAACAGATTTCCCCAGTCATATATAAGTTCACAGTGAAGTCCTATTTACATCCCCGAGATTTTGCTCCTACGCCTGGAGAATTTCCTTTTCCTTTCCGGAATGTAGAAGTACCAGGATTCTGTAACAAATCGTCATATGGAGGCTGAAGAGAGTGTGATGGAAACAAGCCAAAAACTCACCAGAAGTCTGTTCACGAAGGTGACAGCCGCTTTTGAACTTTTAAATTTGTTTCTTGTGAGGCAATTCACAGTGGACTAACAATCATCAGAGCCCAGAATGAAACATACATTCTGCTGAGAAATTAATCTTCAGAAAAGTTGAATTTCATGAAGTCTGAAGATGCTCTCTCTCTCTCTCTCTCCCTCTCTCTCTCACATACACACACACACACAGTGTGTGTGTGTCTTCTTGTCTTCAGGCTCACTCACCCACACACACAAAGACAGAGAGAGAGACACAGAGAGAAAGAGATAGAGAGATAGAGGGAGAGACAGAGATAGAGTGAAAGAGAGAGAATGATTGAGATTGACTTTCTAGCTACGTCTTTTTGTATCAACTGATCCCAGCCACCTATAAGTCAAAGAAGACTGCCTGGAATAAAAAAAATATATATGTGAAGAGCCCCGTGTTCTTCATGTCCGAACCAGGGAAGACTGAATGGATTCTTTAGATTCTTGAGTTCCTTAAACGATGAGCAAACCTAAAGGTTCCCTACTGGAGATAATGCATCTTGTTTTCCACTGGGCCTTGCGGGATGCTTTAAATAGCATCAGCAAGCATCCGAATGAATTAGACAGCAAATGTAGGTTAGCTTTATTTAGACAGATAAAGACAAGCAGAGAAAGTTGTCTGGTTCAAGGGCAGTGCAGCCTGACACGACAGCATTTCTCTGAGGAGGGGAAATTGCTTTGGGAGAGAGAGGTATTTTGGGCAAAAAGCAAAGTTCCTTGGATCTCCAGGGAAAGTGATGCTAAATTCTTCAGTACAGAAGAGCTGGAATTGAGAATGGCTTGCCATTCATTGAAGGAAAGAGCTGGAGAGTTAAAATGTAAAGCAAAACTCAGTATCACACATCATCCCTAAGTCCACACATCATTTTTTCTCTTTCCTATTTCTTGGGAACACCACCAGAAAAGACAGGCTTCCCAGAACACAAGCTGGCCTAGCCAGTTTACACGAGTCCTCTGGAGTGTACTTGAGACCCCTGGCAATTCTGAGTCAGGAAATTAGTGCAGCTGAAGAACCCCTGGAGACTGGAAGCCTAGGAAGCAGGGAAACTGGCATATTTGGGGACATTCACACGTTAAACAGAAATGTGAATGCTTGAGAAAAAGTTACAACTAATGAATTTAGTTAATTTTCTTCTTCTTCCCCTATCCACTCTCTTAGACTATTTTTTGAAAATAAAGGCCGGGCGTGGTGTCTCACACCTGTAATCCCAGCACTTTGGGAGGCCGAGGCAGGCGGATCACCTGAGGTCAGGAGTTCAAGACCAGCCTGGCCAACATGGTGAAACCCCGTCTCTACTAAAAATACAAAAATTAGCCGGGCGTGGTGGCAGGTGCCTGTAATCCCAGCTACTCGGGAGGCTGAGGCAGGAGAATCGCTTGAACCCGGGAAGTGGAGGTTGCAGTGAGCCAAGATCATGCCTTTGCACTCTAGCCTGGGGGACAAGAGCAAGACTTCATCTCAAAAAAATAAAATAAAATAAAAAGAAAAGGAAAGAAAAATGCTTTCTTTTTTATTTAAAAAAATGCTTCTTCCTATACCCTTTCTGAAAATAAATGCCTTATGGAAGATCTAGAAAAAACATAACTCTGGTATGTGTTTTTACTATGATGTTTGTGGCTTCTCCTCTTTTTGTTGTTTTTCTTCTCAGTTGGCAGAAGCTAAAGGATATTTGATGTCTTAAAGTCCAGTAGGTCATAGCCCCACTGGTAATTAGTTTTAAAGATTTTTAAAAGTCTCAATTAGTACATTCATATTATTTGAATAAATTATAATTTTAAATATTTAATAATTCTACGAGTAAACCATTTTATACCTCATATATTTTTATGTTCCTAAAGTAACAATGAATTTAGTCTTGTAAAATATTTTTAAAATATCTAAAAACTTTGTTTTGCATAGATTTTCATTTCTTCCCCAGACTAATTTGGTAGATGTTTTCTTTAAGGGCCTCACAACTTCTGAAAAGTATACAACTTATGTATCACCAAGACAGCATCATAGGGAAAATATGTTATAACCCTGTCATGACGCAAAATATAAACTTTATTTTTATTTATTTATTTATTTATTTATTTATTTATTTTTTGGAGACAGGGTCTCCTTCTGTCACCCAGGCTGGAGTGCAGTGGCATCGTAGATCACTACAATCTCAATCTCCTGAGCTCAAGGGATCTCCCACCTCAGCCTCCCGAATAGCTAGGACCACAGGCACATACTATCTTGCCCGGCTAATAATTTCATTTTTGGGTTTTGCTTTGTTTTTTTGTTTGTTTGTTTTTTGCCAAGACAGAATCTCGCTATGTTGCTCAGGCTGGTCTCGAACTCGTGGGCTCAAACAATCCTTCCTCCTCGGCCTCCCAAAGTGCTGAGATTACAGGCAAGAGCCACCATGCCCGGTCTAAACTTCGTTTTGAATTAAACACTTACGCCACTTTCTTTGTACTTATTATTTATGCACTCATTTCACTCATTCCCTCCTTCCACAATTATTTGCTGAGTCCCCGCTTTAAGCACATAAAGTGAGCATCATACTCAGTGGTTGCCTTTCCTCATGATCAGTGCTTTTCTCTTCCTAATTATTAATTATTTTTATTTATTTATTTATTTTTTGGAGATGGGGTCTCCCTCTGTCACCCAGGCTGGAGTGCAGTGGCATCGTAGCTCACTTCAATCTCAACCTCCCAAGCTCCTTTCACTGTGTGCACACCAAGCTCACTCTCTAGTTATCTTTGCTGGTAAACTCGTGTATGTACTAAAAATGTATTCAATTGAGGAGTACAGTTTTTCATTTTAACAAAAAGCACACAAACTTCCCTAGTTCACTGCCAAAAACTCAATATTCTTTTAACTATTTGCGAGATTGGCAAATCAGTTAATCATTGGATGTCATTATAATTCTAGGAAGGTGATGGAAAGCCAATCAATATCACTATAATTATAAAGTAATAGATTCAAAAGACTTCTCTGAGACCTGGTTGCCAAGCTTATTCCAATGTTATATTAACAGTTTATATATATAAAACCCCCTCACCTAAACCAATCCTATAAATTTTTCATGTGTGTAGTTACAAGAATCTAATCAAAAGGAAAACTACTCTTTTATTTCTTTGTGGCAAAGGAGCTAACATTTCTACATGAACTGAAATGAAAAAACTTAATAACATCACTGGGATCTATAATTTTTTGTTCTGACATCTTTAATCACTTCGCTATTAGAGTATCTTTATTATAATTTCTCAATTTGTGCTAATAATGAGACCTTTTACATGTTCTTCAATAAGTCAATTTCAGAACGTGTTTTTAATATTTTTTAAATGCTGGAGAAAAATTTTTATATGGAGGTAGGAAGCAAAGTTAAAATCAATCACTGATCCAAATAAATAAAATATGATGTATATAACATTAAAAAATTATAGGAATGAATTTTTTGTTTGTGTTTTTCTGTGTCCTTCATGTTCGCTGAACTAAATATTATAATTTCAGTAATTTTTAACACTCTAAAGGAGAAAATATTGTAATAATATTTGGCTAGGTAAAATAAGAATCACACGTTTTATTTTTATTTTGCGACATTTGTGGTTCTTCAGCATGACATTGGCATTCTTCCTCTTCTGATGCAACTTCCTTCTCTGTTTCATTTTGTTTTGGTTGAAGTTGTTTCAACCTCCCCCTTCTCTGAGCAGTCTTTCAGCTTGTCTGAGGTTTTGAGCTGTCACTTTGTTTTCTGAATATCTACTTTTGTTTTTGGTGGCAACACCTACATATAAACATCTAGCCACCCATCCAAATGGACACACACCTACACACACTCAGACTCATAGACACACAGACGCAGATCTGCACGCACGAGCATGCACACATGCCCAGCCTCAACGCATCCATCCTCCTGCAGAGAGTTCAAACCACTCCAGCTGTTTCCTGGCCCTGGCCACAAGAGCAACAGTAGAGTTCTAATGTCAGTTCTCTGATTGGAACCAGCACTAATAAATGCTGCTGCTTCCAAGGAAGCCCTTACGTCACCTGGACCAAGGGGAAGACAGCTGTACAGGTTCAAGACGATGGAGCCAAGTGCTTCAGGCTGCATGTAGTGATACACAGGGGGAAGAAACGAGAATTGGGGTTGTACCTGAAGTGCTTTGTCCCAACTATCTTTTGACAGCCATGTACTGATAGGTTAAGACTCAGTTCCTAAGTATCAACTCTCTGAATCTTTTCCTGACATGCTAACTGTCCCTCCTCTGTACCGCTACAATCCTGTAGTTAAATGTTTATCTTCTCCTCTCCTGCCCTGCCAGGCCCATCAGATTTAAAACCTTTTTTTTTTTTTTTTTTTTTTTGAGACAGAGTCTTGCTCTGTCACCCAGGCTGGAGTGCAGTGGTACGATCTCCGCTCACTGCAACCTCGGCCTCCCAGGTTCAAACGATTCTCGTGCCTCGGCCTCCCAAGTAGCTGGGACTACAGGCGTCACCACCACGCCCAGCTAACTTCTGTATTTTTAGTAGAGACGGGGTTTCACCATGTTGGCCAGGTTGGTCTCGAACTCCTGACCTCAAGTGATCCATCTGCCTCGGCCTCCCAAAGTGCTGGGATTACAGGTGTGAGCCACTGTGCCCGGCCAAAAGAGACATATAAACAGAAGCCATGATGTCCCGGTCAGTCGCAAGATGAGATGGAGGCTCCCCATGCCATTACTCTCCCAGACTCAGTCAGGGCTTATATACTGTAGGGAAGGAAGGCACAGGGCAATTGAAATTGACCCTGCAGGGAAAGGCAAGAATGCCATGTGAACCTGACTAATGGTAGGATTTATGATTAAGGTTGTTTTGACCTAAGGGCAAGATGTATGGTAAATACATGCTCTTACATAAAGAACAACAGATAAACTGGAAATCTTAGAAGCCTTCCCAGAACTGGGGTTAATCAGAAGTCAACATGACGGATCAACATCCAAGGTGCTTTGGCCCCTACAAGGGACTACATATGAAAGTAACTCAGCAGCAAACAGAGCAGCTGCCTCCTCATCATCCCCACCACTGGGATTTCTTCTGGTGACCAATAAATAAGTTTGTAAATCAAATATAAAATACTAAGCCCTCCAACTAAACAGACCCCCTTTTGGCCAAGGGGGCCCCAGAAAATCCCAAAAAACTGAATTCCCAGCCATGATGAGAAGGGAGGTGGGACACACCTCCTTATACCTCCTCCCTTTTGGATTTGGGCACAACTGACCCATATTAATATTAAAATAGAGACCATAAGACTGTCAAAACAGACTTTTTATGGCAGTAAGATACCAAATTATAAACAAGACCCAAGGCCATGCCAGGCAAGGGTTAAGTCACACCCTACAAACCACAGAATCTTGTTAAATGGGTTTTTAAAAATTAACCTGGTATAATGAGGCTTACTTTCCAACCTGACTCTAATATAGCATCACAGGACAGCAGACCCTGAAGGAAATCAAAATATTTTACCCCGAAGTATATTTCTTTGACATAATTTGAAGTAGCCCTGCAAAGCCATCACGAAACAGGGAAACCTGCATCTGTAGAGAATCTCTGTTAATGCAGCCAGCCTTTGTTAGATCTAAGAGAGATTCACCGCCTAAGTGTGGTGGCTTGGGCTTGTAATCCTAGCACTTCGGGAGGCTGAGGCAGGAGGATCACTTGAGCCCAGGAGTTCGACACCAGCCCGGGCAACATGGCAAGACCCCATTACTACGAATAAAAAAAATCAGCAGCCTGTGGAGGCGTGGGCTTGTGGTCCCAGCTCCTCAGGATGCGGAAGCAGAAGGATCACCTGAGCCCAGGAGGTTGAGGAGGCAGTGAGCTGTGGTCTTGTCACCACATGTGTCCAGCCTGGGTAAGAGAGTGAAACCCTGTCTCAAAACAACAACAACAACAACAACACACACACACATGTCTGAAAAGAGACATTGACCATCTATTCTCTCAGAGGGCTGTGATATAGGAGGCTTCCTCTACGTAACAAAGCCCTTGGTCCCCACAACTCCTCTACCTTAACTCAGACATTTCTTTCAACTAACTTCAGATCTTTAGATAATAGCTTAACTCTCTCAACCAATCGGGTGTGGGGGTGGGGGATGGGCATCACACACTGGGGCCTGTGGGCAGGTGGGGGGCTAGAGGAGGAATAGCATTAGGAGAAATACCTAATGTAGATGACGGATCGATGGGTGCAGCAAACCACCATGGCACGTGTATACCTATGTAACAAACCTGCACATTCTGCACATGTACCCCAGAACTTAAAGTATAATTAAAAAAAAAAAAAGAATCCCTAAAACCCACCTACGGCTTAAGCCCCACACCCTCCCCCTACATTCTGCTTCCAGATGTCACACCTTTTTGGGCTGAACCAATGTACACCTTCTATGTATTGATTTATGTCTATGCCTGTAACCCCTGCCTCTCCAAAATGTATAAAACCAGACTATAACCTGACCACCTTAGGACCACTTACTCAATAATTCTTGGGTTTTTGTTTTCTCTGGGCTACAGTCACTTCTACTGGCTCACAATCAACTCTTTAGAAGATTTTACAGAGTTTGGATTTTCGGTGAACAAGTCCAATCCTACTTACAAGATAAGGCTTTAAAAAACTTGCGAGTACAAGTGAGAAGAAACTGTTCTATCAAGGAAGGTTGTGTTAATGATGGGAAAATGTAGCATGGATCTTTTAAATTGATTGATAAGACTTATGTTCCAGAGTACAGTGTTTCAACATTTGAACTGTTTTCCCATCAAGAGAGGGTAAGGATGAGATGTAACTATGTCTGGTTCTTTACTTGCATGATTTCACTTTAATTCTCACAAAAACCCATAAAAGAGATCTTATTGTCTTCATTTTATAGATGAAGAAAGCGAGGCTGAGAAAGGATAAGAATTAGGGAAAAACCCCTAATACTAAGAGCAGCAGAGCTGAGGTTTGAACCCAAATCTGCCTGACTCCAAAATCCTTTCTTTATTCCTCTTGATTCCTCCCAAGAGCTATTTTTTAAATGTTGACATAAGGTTTGGTGCAAGGTGGCACATCATGCCTGTAATCCCAGCACTTTGGGAGGCCGAGGTGGTCAAATCACTTGAGCCCAGATCTTGAGCTCAAGAATGTTAAGATAAGAACATCAGAATGTTCTGATAAGAATGTTCTATTGCTGAGACCAGCCTAGGCAACATGGCAGAAACCTGTCTCTACAAAAATAAAATTAGCTGGGTATGGTGGTGCACACCTGTAGTCCCAGCTACTCAGGGGGCTGAGGTGGGAGGATGTCTTGAGCCTGGGAGGTTAAGGCTGCATTGAGTGGAGGTTGCACCACTGCACTCCAGCCTGGGGAACAGAGGGAGACCCTGTCTCAACAACAACAAAAAATTGTTGACATTAACTTTTGGTTGAAAAGAGGATGAAAAACAAAGATTGGATATTTATTGAGCTCTGATTATGGGCCACACACGAAGCTGGGCCCTACTGGGGGACAGAATAAATCATCCCGCGCTGGAAGGGAAGAGCATGGAATGCAGGAAGCTGCCACATGAGCAAAGGATGCATAATAAACAATGAAATACGAGTGAAGGCCGGGCGCGGTGGCTCAAGCCTGTAATCCCAGCACTTTGGGAGGCTGAGGCGGGCAGATTCCTTGAGGCCAGGAGTTCGAGACCAGCCTGGCCAACGTGGTGAAACCCTGGCTTTACTAAAAATATGAAAGTTAGCCATGCATGGTGGTACGTTCCTGTGATCCCAGCTACTCCAGAGGCTGAGGCAGGAGAATTGCTTGAACCTGGGAGACACAGGTTACAGTGAGCCAAGATTGCTCCACCGCACTCCAGCCTGGGTGACAGAGTGAGATTCTGTCTCAAAAAAAAAGAAAGAAAGAGGGAAGGAAGGAAGGAAAAGAAAGAGAGAAAGAAAGAAAGAAAGAAAGAAAGAAAGAAAGAAAGAAAGAGAAAGAAAGAGAGAAAGAGAGAAAGAAAGAAAGAAACAAAGAAGAGAAAAGAGAGAAAGAGAGAAAGAGGGAGAAAGAGAGAGAGGGAAAGAAAGAGAGAAAGAAAGAAAAAAAAGAAAGAAAAAGAAAGAAAGAGAGAGAAGGAAAGAAAGAAAAGAAAAGAAAAGAAGAAAGGAAGTCTCCTTATCATAAAGGGGATTGTCTTGTGCTGGAGAACTAAAGGGAGGAGTGGTTGGTTCCGGTTGTGCCCAGAGGCAAGGAAGGTTTCATAGAACCCTGGAAGAACGTTCTGATAAGACGCTGAGCAGAGCAGGGAAGGAGTCCCAGGTGTCAGGACACTGCAGGGAAAGAAACGGGTTACAGGAGCTGGGTAGAAAAGCTCACATGAACTCAGTGTATGGTTGGAATAGTGAAAAGTGATGGTAGATTTGAGGTCGACCATAGAAGGTTGTGAAGAAAAGTCTGAGCATGAAATGGGGAATTCTGGAAGATTTTTGAGTGGGAAAGGCAAAGATCCAATCAAATCCTTGACCAAAACATCTCAAATTATTGCTGAATCCATTCTGACATCAGATCACAAGTACACAAGGTATACAAAGCAGAAAAATATAGAAAATCAATATTCTTCATCAAGACTCAAAAATAAATGGCCCACTTACTTCCAAAAACAAAACACAACAAAACAAAAAAAACCCCAACAAACAAAAACACACAGCAAATGAGAGGATATATACCAGAATGCATGAGCTCAAATCCAGCCTGCCCTTTTCCTTCTGTACTGGCCAGGAATAGTCCCATTCTCATGACTCACAAGACAACTTCATCAACCAAAAACCCTGGGACAACAAATACAATCCCCTGCTCCCACATAGAAAAAACTCCAATAGTGAAATGACAATTCCTTTCATTTCCTTCCTGTTCAGAAGCCAGGCCATGAAGATTTGCTGAACTATTCTCTCACCTGAATACACTAGATAAACATGCTAGGATGGGAACTGGATCCTGATGGCTTAATTGAGTTAAAAGGAAAAGTGCGGATCATCTAAAAGCCTCTCAATGGTTTCAGAGAGGCTGTCACGGCTCTGAAAGCCCTAATGGCGTTTCTCAGTTCCTTGGTTAGGGAGGAGCAAAATGAATTTCCTAGCACAGAACTCAAAAGCACTAGAAGTCAGCAGTTCTGAAAGACTGCAGAAAGGGCTTGTTTACATTTTTCTCTTGGGCTGAAACCCATCTATTTAAACTTTAACCAGAGGCAATTATAAAACCATGGTGAGCCAGAGATGGCAGCCTGCACAAGACAGGGAGACAGATGCCAACAGTCTGGCATTGAAGGAGGAAAGAGAGAGGTGTATTTTGAGAAAGGGGCCAAGGAAGAACAACAAGGAAGGTTTTAGAAGCAAAAGGTGTCACCTAGGCAGCTGGTCTTTATGAGAAGTGGCTGGGGAGAAAGTAGGGAGGGAGGGAGGGGGGAAGGCAGGCGGGGTAGAGAGGCCAGGAAGGACAGCAGGCTCTGAGGGAGTAGGAAGGGCTGGGGCTGCCACCAGCCCACCAGTTCACAAGTCCCACCCAGTAACAGCTGACTGCTCTAGCTCCTCTGTTTATACCTTTTTTCCCTTCTTGGGTCAAAAGTGCATTAGTCCAGAAAACCAGCAGCCATGAGGAGAGGCCAGCCTGGAGCAGACACACCCAGTCTGCCAGGACACAGGCCGTCTTCCTCGAAGGCCAAGCCTCCTTTTCCATGCAGGTTTTCCTGGCAAAGACCCACCGGGGAGCCTTGAGAGTAGCCCAGTGACGTCAGAGGAAATACCCAACTCGACAAAGGATCCTACTCCAGTTGCCAATAAATGGAACTGGTTAGCATGCCCTGATCTGGGTCTTAGAATTTGCTGAATCCTAAGGACAAACTCAGAAAGAGAGAGATCTGTTGCTCCAAAGTGAATGTTTTTATCTTGGATTTGAGGAGGCCCATGGACCTGACACTGACATTAGGGCCGGTTTTAGATGCATATAAAAATATGAGGTGGCTGGGACTCCAGCTGCTATGGACTGAGTGTTTGTCTCTCCCCAAATTTCATGTATTGAAAATCTAACCCCCAAAGTCATGGTTTTAGGAGTGGATCCTCTGAGCAGGGATTAGGTCATGAGGGGCTCTGATTAGTACCCTTATAAAAGAGACCTCGGAGAGATATCTTCCCTCCTTCCACCATGTGGAGACACAGCAAGAAGGTGCTGCTTATGGATCAGAAAGCAGGCCTTACCAGACACCGAATCTGCCATGACTGTGGCTTCCCAGCTCTAGAACTGTGACAAACAAATTCCACATGTTCATGAGCCATCCAGTCTATGGTATTTTATTACAGCAGCCTGAACAGACTAAAAGACACCGTCCCCCAAATCTCTAGTATTTCTTTTTTTTTTTTTTTTTGAGACACAGTCTCTCTGTTGCCCAGCCTGGACTGCAGTGGCACGATCTTGGCTCATTGCAAGCTCCGCCTCCCGGGTTCGCACCATTCTCCTGCCTCAGCCTCCCGAGTAGCTGGGACTACAGGTGCCTGCCACCATGCCCAGCTAATTTTTTGTATTTTTAGTAGAGACGGGGTTTCACCATGTTAGCCAGGATGGTCTCGATTTCCTGACCTCATGATCTGCCCACCTCGGCCCCCCAAAGTGCTGGGATTACAGGCATGAGCCACTGCGCCCAGCCAAATCTCTAGTATTTCAAGGAGCCTGTTATCCTAACCTGAGATGTTCACTCCTTTGAGGGTTTTTTTTTGAGACAGGGTCTCACTCTGTCACGCAGTGGCATGATCACTGTAACCTCCAACTCCTGGGTTCAAGTAATCCTCTGGCGTCAGCCTCCCAAGTAGCTGGCACTACAGGCACATGCCACCATGCCCTGCTAATTTTTATTTATTTTAATTCTTTATTTTATTTTATTATTATTATTTTTTGAGAAGGAGTCTCGCTCTATCACCAGGCTAAAGTGCAGTGGTGTGATCTTGGCTCACCGTAGCCTCTGCCTCCTGGGTTCGAGCGATTCTCCTGCCTCAGCCTCCCCAGTAGCTGGGATTACAGGCACTCGCCACCACGCCCAGCTAATTTTTGTATTTTTAGTAGAGATGGGGTTTCGCCATGTTGGCCAGGCTAGTCTTAAACTCCTGACCTAAGGGGATCTGCCCACCTTGGCCTCCCAAAGTGCTGGGATTACAGGTGTGAGCTACCGCACCCAGCCCCAGCTAATTTTTAAATTTTTGTATAGAAACCAGGTTTCTCTGTGTTGCCCAGGCTGATCTCAAATTCTTGGCCTCAAGCGATTGATTGTCCCCAATAGCTTCCCAAAGTGCTGGGATTACAGGTTTGAGCCTCCACACCAGCCAGTGCTTTGAGTTTTTAAACTTTTTGGTTTTGATGTCCCTGTTAAGATGCAAATGCAGGTGGGTTCAGCGGCTCACACCTGTAATCCCAGCACTTTGGGAGGACAAGGTGGGCAGATCACGAGGTCAGGAGTTCGAGATCAGCCTGACTAACATGGTGAAACCCATCTCTATTAAAAATACAAAAATTAGTCAGGTGTGGTGGTGTGTGCCTGTAATCCCAGCTACTCAGGAGGCTGAGTCAGGAGAATCGCTTGAACCCAGGAGGCGGAGGCTGGAGTAAGCCGAGATCGCACCACTGTACTCCAGCCTTGGCAACAGAGCAAGACTCCATCTCAAAAAAAACAAAAACAACAACAAAAAAAGCACATGCAGTGTATAGAGCTGAGGCTGTAACTCAGAAGTGATCAGCTCATTTCTTAGCAAGAATTCGCTATCAGTTCCAGCCAGCTCAGCATGAGAGCCCTGTGGGAAGAAGATCCAGGAAAAGCATTTTAGAGATGGAGAATGGGCAGAGGCCTTGGGAATTAAGAGCGGCAAGCTGACAGGAGGCATGAAAGAGCCACAGAAAAATCTCTGTGTAGCAATGAGGCCTGGTCCCGCAACACAAGTCAGGGTTAGTGTAGGCAGCAGAAACCCAAGCTCATCCTAACTTCCTGTAAATCTTTCTTCTCTGCTAACCCAGTTTTACTAGGCAAAGTCATCTGGGGCACAGCCAGAGGGACATATGGAAGGTTCAGAGGATTAGCAGAGTACCTGTGATGTTCCGAGCTATGGCTACGGTCTTCCAGAGTAAGGAAGCCAATGTCCTGGGCTTGTCTCCAGACCAGTTTGCTACTCTCACCAGAAAACCTGTCCTACAGCTCTGAACTGGTTGCCTGACTCCAGCCAACCATCTAAAAATTTCATGACCCTGTTCCCAAGGGTCTGAAAGGGGAATGTGGGGAAGAATCCCTATAAACTCACCCAGATTGGCAACAGATCCCAAAGTAGTATCCTTTCCTATGTAGGGGCAGAGCACTTCTTACCATGAAGATAGCATAGTGCTTGTTATATGCTGAAACTGTATTTATTTATTTTTTTTTCTGAGACAGAGTCTTGCTCTGTCACCAAAAGTGGAGTGCAGTGGCGTGATCTCTGCAACCTCCACCTCCGGGGTTCAAACCATTCTCATGCCTCAGCCTCCCAAGTAACTAGGATAACAGGTGCGCACCACCATGCATGGCTAGTTTTTATTTTCTTTCTTTTTTTTTTTTTTTTTGTATTTTTAGCAAAGAGGATTTTACCATGTTGGCCAGGCTGGTCTTGAACTCCTGACCTCAGGTGATTCACCTGCCTTGGCCTCCCAAAATGTTGAGATTACAGGCGTGAGCCACTGTACCCGGCCTGAAATTGTATTTTTAAATGTTTATATGGGTAGAAATGGCTTCCTTGTGCCCTTATCCCTGGAGAGAAAGAAGGGCAGATTCTGATGTCTTCTGCAGAATTAAGCCTGTGAACACGTGACTGCCAGTGGATACACCAGGAGGCACACAGAAGTTTCAGAGGAATACACACACTGCCCAAACCCAACAGAGAGTGTTATACCTTAGGGGAGATGCTTTGTAAAAGCAGCCATGAAATCTCCAAAGGAGATCCTGGGAGACTCTACATAAACCAGAGTGGCAGCATGGTGGAGTAGTGAAAAGCATGACTTCGGGTATTAAAGATGCTAATACCAGAGAGATGTCTTCCCTTCTTCCACCACGTGGGGACACAGCAGGAAGGTGCCATCTATAAACCAGAGAAGTAACAGCTGGGTAACTCTGAGCAAGTCCTTAACCTCTCTGGGCTTCAGTTTCCTTTTCCTCATCCATAAAATTCAGACAATAGTAGTTCTTAGCTCACAGGGTTGTTGTAAGGATTAAATGAGTTAATATTTAAAAATACTTAGAGGCCAGGCACAGTGGCCTGTAATCCCAGCACTTCGGGAGGCCGAGGTGGGCAGATCACTTAAAGTGATCACTAGATCACCCTAGCCAACATAGTGAAACCCCATCTCTACTAAAATTAGCCGGGCATGGTGGTGCATGCCTGTAGTCCCAGCTACTCAAGAGGCTAAGGTAGGAAAATTGCTTGAACCCAGGAGGCGGAGGTTGCAGTGAGCCGAGATCACACCACCACAATCCAGCCTGGGCGACAGAGCAACACTCCATGTCAAAATAAATAAATAAATAAAATAAAAGCACTTAGAACAGTGTCTGAACAGTGTCTGTCACACAGCAAGAACTATTTAAGTGTTACATTTAAAAAGTGGCAAGAGGCCGGGCATGGTGACTCATACCTGTAATCCCAGCACTTCGGGAGGCTAAGGTGGGTGGATCACCTAAGGTCAGGAGCTCGAGACCAGCCTGGTCAACATGGTGAAACCCCACCTCTACTAAAAATACAAAAAAAAAAAAAAAAAATTAGCCGGGTGTGGTGGCACACACCTGTAATCCCAGCTACTCAGGAGGCTGAGGCAGGAGAATCATCCAAACCAGAAGACGGAGGTTGCAGTGAGCCTAAATCATGCCACTGCCCTCCAGCGTGGGTGATGGAGCCAGACTTCGGTCTTTAAAAAAAAAAAAAAAAAAAAAAGTGGCATGATCAAATCTCCAGAATGGAAACCTCAGTTGGTTCCATGATTCACCCAGTCTAAGGAGGTCTTCCATTGGCTCTGTCCTGCACTTACCCTCTCAGCATACTGGCATGAGGAGGTTGGAAGATGCCTGGACACCTTTCTCCTCCAGCACTAGGCAGGGCACCTCTGCTCTACTCTGCTTCTTGGCCATGTGCACGCCCAGGGCCATGAACCAACAATGGGGAGCTCCACCCAGGGCTTGGACCAGAAATGGGCATCCCTCAATTCAAACCCCGCAGGCCCTTTCCAGGCTCCATGTCTGTACTGTCACCAAGTGTTGCAACTCAACCTGTCCATCACGCATACTGTGCACCAAGCCAGGGTTACAGAACACAAGGAAAAGCTATTCTTGAGAAAGGTAGGAAAAGCAGATAAAGGTTTGCTGCAAAATCACTGATATGAGGCAGATGGATTAACATGGGAGAAAAGGTATACAAATTGACTTCATATGCATGAAACTACCCACACAGGGTTGACAAGAATTGCATGCCAGGTTCTGGACAGAAATACAGGTATTTCATAGTGCATTCATAGAATATATTACATAATATGTTATATAATATCATTAATTAAATATAAGCATTAATCAGGCTGCACTTTGGCCCACTTCCTTGTTGCTAAAAGTCACTAGATACTGAAGATTTGTACCCTCTCTGTTCCTCCAGACGGGATATCTGACGTCAGAATCAATCATAAGGCTTTTGTTTAAGGATCACTTAAGATGTTTTTTAGACCTCTAATTCTAGCAACCAATTTGAAGACCCCCCACAGAGGAAGAGGATCAGCATGAGCGAATAGCTGCTTCATCTCCCTGTCCCATGATGTCACGCTACACTCTTCTACCAACTGATGACCTCCACACTGGCCCACTCCAAAACCCTTAATAACCCTAACTCCAAATTCCTCCTGGAGATGTGTTTGAGTTTTTCTCCCATCTCCTTGTTCAGTGACCCTATGATTAAACCTCTTTCTCTGCTCCAACCAGGTGTCTCGGTATATTGACTTGCGTGGGCATTGGGCAATGAACCTATTACGGTTACATGTATACAAGGGCCTTCAGAATGAAGATCCAGCTTCCCAATGAGATACAGAAGCTTTGATACCGTCTTGAGGTTACAGAAAAAAATGGGGGCTTGATCCTTATAAAACAGGTTATGGGAGTGGGGAGAAAGAGAATTCTGTTGAGGGGCAATAAATGATTACTAGGGAGAATGATAGGATGGGGACTAGAAATTAACTTGTAAATAGTTTTCATTGGAATAATAAATGAGTGGAAAGACAGGCACTATCTTGTGAAAGGGTCTGTTCATGTGTGGTTACATTCTTGGTCTTCCAAAGAGGGAAAGAAAACAATTGTTCTCCTTGGTAAGACTGATCTCAGGCAGATAAAGGAACTTCAATTTCTTTGGTAGAGATTGGAGGTGAGGGGGGAAGGTCGGAAGGTCAGAGAGACCTTGAGGATTCCTCAGTGCGGCATGTCAGTGCGCCATATTGTGGGATGTTGGTTTCTGAGCCCCACCATAGAGAAACTAGCAGGTGGCAGGAAGAAGGAAGGATCACGTAAGAGGAAACCAAACACACAAGGAAAAAAGTAAAAAGCTGAAGTAAGTATGAGGAAACTTTTTTTGTCTCTCTATTTTTGGCCAAGTGAAAAAAACAAACACAAGAGAATAAACCCAGTGACTAGAATCAGACACAGCCAGTGGAGGGAGGGAACAAAAGCGAGCTGCAGAATTGCAAATCCATGCTAATTACCTCACCCTTCCTCCTGTGCTGGGCTGAACCCAGGGCCCGACAGCCATTTGTACCATGGCCTAATAATGATTTCATTTCACAGACTTCCTCCCACTTTTTTTTTTTCCTTACAAAGTCCATCACAATTCTGTTTTGGGAAGTAGAAACAGTATCTATCTTTAGACAAGTTAAATGCCAAAAGAACTCAGATAAGCATATCTGAGAAGTAAAGAATAGTTGGTGTGACCAGGACAAATTTCAAATCACAAATATTCGAAATTCTTCTCTGTGCCTTGGAGAGAGAAGTGCCTTTGTTTGCTGAATTGGCTCACAGAACGACTTGGCCTTTGTCCTGTTGTGTAGGACACAGGATGGGGCACAGAAACCAAGGGGAGGCAAAATATTTATCAAGTGCCTACTATTATATCAGGCATTCTGCAAGATGTTAGAAATGCCTCTGCCCTCTGGATGCTAACACTATTTTTTTTTTTAACATTTTTAAAATTGTGGTAAAAAATACCCAAAATATAAAATTTGCCATCTTAACCACTTTTAAGTCTACTGTGCATTTGTGTTAAGTGTGTTCACATTGTTGGACCATCAATCTCCAAAATTTTCCATCTTGCAAAACTGAAGCTTTGTACCCATTAAACAACTCTCATTTCTCCTTCCTCCCCCAGCTTCTGGCAACCACCATTCTGCTTTCTGTTCCTAAGAATTGACCATTCTAGATACTTCACATGAGTGTAATCACACTCATAAATTAGTCTCATAAATGAGTCTGAAAGACAGGCACTATCTTGTGAAAGGGTCTGTTCATCTGTGGTTACATTCTTGGTCTTCCGGAGAGGGGAAGAAAATGCTTGTTCTCCTTGGTAAGACTGATCTCAGGCAGATAAAGGAACTTCAATTTCTTTGGTAGAGGTCGGGGGTCGGGGGGAAGGTTGGAAGGTCAGAGAGACCTTGAGGTATTTGTCTTGTTGTGACTGGCTTATTTCACTCGGCATCATGTTCCCAAGGTTCATCCATGTTGTAGCCTGTGTCAGAATTTCCTTTCTTTTTAAGACTGAATAATAATCCATTGTATGCACATACCACATTTTATTTATCCACTGGGAACCACCTATACAAAAATTACGACAGTGAAGGAAATGTAGCATAACTAACTACATCTTGTTTTAACCTCACAGGCTAACTTGCTCATTCCAAGCTAATTATGGGAGGAATTTAGTTCATAGTTTAACTTCAAAACAAAGACGATGATACTTCTTTCCTGAACTAACCCCCTCTACTTGCTCAGGGACCAAAACCACTTTCATATAACTAACGTAAGTCCACAAGGTTAGAATTGTGACAGAGGTCTGAATTCTGCTAAGATATACACATAATTAAACTCTAATCAGTCATTGTTTTATAACTTGCCTTTAAAAACTACTTACTACTCAGGAGTCATGTAGCGAATGGTAACAAGATTTATAACTTTTCCAATTGCCCCTATGGATAACATCATTATTGTAAAACCTAAGAATGGTATTTGAGATATTTTTCAGACCTTGTATTCCGTATGAACCAACTGGCACCACTCAGACCCATAACCTGCACCCGAGAACTGACTCAGTGCAAGAAAACACTTTCAAGCCCCTATGATTTCATCCCAACCCAACCAATCAGCATTCCCCATTCCCTAGCTCCTGCCTGCCAAACTATCCTGGAAAAACCCTAGCCCTCACATTCTTGGGGAGGCGGATTTGAGAATTATCTCCTGTCCTTCCATTTGGCTGGCCCCACATTTATTAAACTCTTTCTTTGCTGCAGAACCTGCTAGTTTTGCATTGACTTTTCTGGGCAGCAGGCAAGAAGAACCCGGTTGGGCGATTACACATTAATCTGTCATTGGACACTTAGGTTGCTTCCACCTCTTGGCTATTGTGCATAATGCTGCTATGAACACAGGGGTACAAGTATTTCTTCAAACTAACACTCTTTTAAGGAGCCTATCCCATCATATTTTGTTTTGTTTTGTTTTTTGAGACAGAGTTTCACTCTTTCGCCCAGGCTGGAGTGCCATGGCACGATCTCGGCTCACTGCAACGCCTGCCTCTCGGGTTCAAGCAATTTGCCTGCCTCAGCCTCCTGAGTAGCCGGGATTACAGGTGCCCACAACCACACCTGGTTAATTTTTGTATTTTTAGTAGAGACAGGGTTTCACCATGTTGGCCAGGCTGGTCTCGAACTCCTGACCTCAGGTGATCTGCCTGCCTCAGCCTCCCAAACTGTTGGGATTACAGGCGTGAGCCACTGTGCCCAAGCTATCCCATCATATTTGGATGATTTATTTGCCCAACAATCGGCCCAACTGGATTTTTAGTTGCACAGGGATCTGTTTTATTTATCTTTGTATCCCCATTTCCTGTACTGTGTAAGCACATAGTAGGAACTCAATACATATTTGTATTTGTTGAAAAAAATAATTTATTTTTATACTTCTTAGTCACTACTGTTGCAGCTGGCTGTTTTACATATTTTAATAAATAAGTTTTGCAATTTTAATGAATGCTATTTTGATTATATTTATATACTAAGCTAGTTTATATAAGGGGATTCATATAAAAAATATCTAAATCTCAATCAAAATTCACTTTCTAGATGAAATGCCATCGACAATTCCTTCTCACTTATTTTGCTTAAAATCAACTATCATGGTTCTTATTCCTGTCTTTTTAGCCTCTCATTTCCTCAAGCCATGGTACTGCATAGATCCTGAGGGCACTCAATAGGGGGTCTCCTCAGTTCATGGGACATCTTGTTGAATAAAGCCAGGTATGGGCCCAGAGTTTGGTTTGAGTTATTTTCGTGAGGAGGCACAGGATGAAAAAGGCACAGCCCTATCATTGGAGGAACTCACAGTCCTGTGGCTGTCTGGTTAGTAAGAGGCCTCAGTTTTTTCGGGTGCAGAAAATAGTATTTATCTCCATTCCCATTACCCAGGTGACAGACACAGACACAAGTATAGTGTTTACCAAGCACAAGGACCTGAAAGACATTGTAGAAATTGAGTAGCATTGTGTTTGGTGATAATTACTGCATGAAGTGTCGGCAGTAGTAGAAGCTAGTTCTGTAATCCTTTACAAAATAGACATTGAAATTATGATTTCTGGTCAAGGTAGCATTGCTGAACCTTTGAGGCACTCGCTCAGCTCTAAGCACAAAGCAATGGTTATTAAAATATAAAGGAGAAAAATTAAAAGACACAGTTTTCTCCAAATATAATAAACTTTCTTTTTTTTCTTTTTTTTTTTTTTTGAGTCAGAGACTCAGTCTGTCGCCCAGGCTGGAGTGCAGTGGCGCAATGTCGGCTCACTGCAACCTCCGCCTCCTGGTTTTAAGCGATTCTCCTGCCTCAGCTTCCCAAGTAGCTGGGATTACAGGAGTGCGCCACCACGCACTCCTGTATTTTTTGTATTTTCAGTACAGTTTTTTGTATTTTTAGTAGAGAGGGAGTTTCACCATGTTGGCCAGGCTAGTCTTGAACTCCTGACCTCAGGTGATCTGCCTGCCTCTGCCTCCCAAACTGCTGGGATTAGAGGCATGAGCCACTATGCCCAGCCCAAATATAAACTTTTCTTTTGACCGGAAATGCAAAGCAATAAATGGGGCTAAAAACATGGGCCGGTTCGGTTCCAGGTCTGAAAAGAGGCAGGGGATGCTAGAATGGGGCGTCTAGACTCCTTAAAGGGAACTAACAGTGACCTGCATGGAGTGAGGGGAGCGGGTGGTAAACCAGGTTCACTGCTTGAACCTATGGGCTAGACTGAGAGCCCCTATCCCCCCCAAACAAACTGGCTTGTTAGGCTAAATAAGCTGACCGCATGTGGTAATAGGCTTTACATGAAGGAATGATGGGGCAGGAAGAAAGGACACAGACAGGAAACTGGATCAAGCAACTACAGGCCTCCATGACTGAATCCATGGTATCTCCATCATCACAGTAGAGAAAAAGAAAAGACAAACTCTCCTTGTTTGGATAATGTAATCGTTTATGAAGAATATCATACAGACTATCTGAAAATAAAATCAGAATTAAAAAGACAATTCAGGCTGGGCTCAGTGGCTCACATTTATAATCCTAGAACTTTGGAAGGCTGAGGTGGGAGGATTGCTTGAGCCCAGGAGTTCAAGACCAGCCTGGGCAAGATCCCCGGATAATCTAAAAATTAGCTGGGTGTGGTGATGTTTGTCTGTAGTCCCAGCTACCCAGGAGGCTGAGACAGAAGGATCCCTTGAGCCAGAAATTTGAGGCTGCAGTGAGTTATTGTGGTGCCATTGCATACCAGGCTGGGCAATAGCCTGAGACCCTGTCTGTAAAAAAACAACAATTGTCTGGGCACAGAGGCTCACGCCTGTAATCCCACCACTTTGGGAGGCTGAGGTGTGTGGATCACTTATGGTTAGGAGGTCACGACCAGCCTGGCCAACATGGTGAAACCCCATCTCTACTAAAAATACAAAAATTAGCTGGTGTGGTGGTGCATTCCTGTAATCCCAGCTATTTGGTGGGGGCTGAGGTGGGAGAATTGCTTGAACCCAGAAGGCGGAGGTTGCAGTGAGCTGAGATCAAGCGACTGCACTCCAGCTGGGACAACAAAGCGAAACTCTGTCTTGTATGCTGATTGGTATAAGATCAACATACAAAATTCCACTGTAACCCTACATCTCAGTATTTATCACATACAACATTTACTAGCAAACAAAAGATAACATACTTAATAGCCATAAACAATATAGTGTCTAGGAATAAATATAACATGTACTTTTGTATATAAAATATTCTTATGGAAAACATTGCAGAAGATTTGAATAAATGGAAACATATACCATATTCATGAATTAAAACATTCATTATCATAAAGATGTCAGTTCTCCCAAAGTTAATATTTAATTTCAATGCAAACCCAATTTGAAAAATCCCAACCTGATTATGGAACATGGTACAGTGATTACAAAGTCCATGTAGAAAACGAAAGGGTCAAAAATTACATGCATTTGGTGGAAAGTAATAATATACAACTTAGAGTGGCTTAAGCAATAAGAGGTTTATTATTTCAGATTACAGGCTGTCCAGTGATAGGTAGCCCCAATATTGGTTACTTCAACAGCACAGCAGCATCATGGGGACCTGGGACCTTTTCATCTTTCTGCTTAGTTAATCTCTGTGTGCTGGTTTCCAGCTTGTCCCCTCAGAGTGACAAGATGGCTGCTACAGTATCAGCCATCACATTTTTCTCCAACTTTGTACAAACATAGGAAGGGCAAGTCTTTTTCTCATGTACTTTTTTCAGTATGAGGAAAACTTACCCACCCCATCCCAACCCCACTCTAGCACAATTCCACTTAGGTCTCATTGCCAAGACATGCAACAGAAGCCCGTGCCAAAACCAATCCCAAAGGAATGGGATTACTATGACGGGCTTAGACTATGCACTATGGCAGAGGACCCATGAATACTTGAAAATAATTGAGGCTAGAAAGGAGAACGAGGGCTGGGCTCAGTGGCTCATGCCTGTAATCCTAGCACTTTGGGAGGCTGAGGCGGGTGGAAATAATTATATACATATTTCCTGTTTCATGTCACAGTAAGTTTAAGTTGGTTTAAAGACCTAAATATGAACAGTAAAACTTTATACTTCTAGAAAAAAATACAAGACATTATGTTTACACCTTTGGGGTAGGGAAGAACTTATTAAATAAAACATAAAAGTATAAAACATAAAGGAAAATATGGATACATTTTACCACTTTAAAAAAGAGACCATCAAGAAAAAGAAAGCTCAGACTGAGAGGAGATATTTTGCTAGGCATAAAACCATCCATGTGTTAGTATTCAAAAATTATAAAGAACTCATGCGAAGCAATAAGAAAAATAATCAACTATTTCATACCTATAAATTGGCAAAATTTTTAAATTCTGAAAATGCCAAAAATTAGCAAAATGTGGAGAAACAGAACTTTTGGAAAGCAAAATGGTACTGTATATTAATATGAATCCTAAGACCTGTAGTTCCTCCCTTAGGTAAATTGTCTAGACTCATCGTTTTCAACCAAGGGTGATTTTCCCCACCAAGGGAATATTTGGTAATATTTGAAGATATTCTTGGCTGTTAGAGGTGAGGAATTCTGCTCAACATCCTTCCCACAGCAAAGAATTATCTAGTCCAAAATGTCAATAATACAAGGTTGACAGACTCTGGCCTAGAAAAACCTCACATGGTGTGCACCAGAAGACCGGTATTTAAATGTTAATTGCAGCATTGTTTGTTATAGCATCACTGACAACAAACTAAAAACAACCTTCACATCCTTAAGGCAAGAGGAAGGATAAGTAACCTGTATATATTCAAGCAAGAGAATAATGTACAACAATTACAAGTAATGGCTTAGTTCTTTGGGCTGCAATATAAACACATCTAAAAAATAATAATGAATAAAATACACGGCAGAATATTATATACAGCATAATATAGTTTTCCTTTATACTTTACAAACACAAAACAATACTTTGTATTGTTTATGTATATATATGTATAATATAAAAGTATAAAAGTTGCATGGGAATCACGTATTGCAACTTCCAGATAATGGTTACTTTTGTGAAAAGAGGGAAGGAGAAAAATAGAGAAATGAATGTGATTGGCGGTAGGT
The DNA here is from genome assembly GCF_000001405.40 of Homo sapiens. NCBI lineage: Eukaryota > Metazoa > Chordata > Mammalia > Primates > Hominidae > Homo > Homo sapiens. Next base: position 131,213,026 of record NC_000007.14, on the reverse strand, counting down.
AAGGGGCCTCAAATGTATTGTAAGACTTTTCACAAACAAACCCTAAATCAAGTAAGTCAAAATTAAGATCTGTTAAGGTAGGTGTTTTTTGTTTTTTTTTTTTGAGACGGAGTTTTGCTCTTGTTGCCCAGGCTGGAGTACAATGGTGCGATCTCGGCTCACCGCAACCTCCGCCTCCCGGGTTCCAGCAATTCTCCTGCCTCAGCCTCAGGAGTAGCTGGGATTACAGGCATGCACCATCATGCCCGGCTAATTTTGTATTTTTAGTAGAGATGGGGTTTCTCCATGTTGGTCAGGCTGGTCTCGAACTCCCAACCTCAGGTGATCCACCCTCCTCGGCCTCCCAAAGTGCTGGGATTACAGGCGTGAGCCACTGCGCCCAGCTAAGGTAGCTGTTTTACACATAGATGTTTGTTAAACTATTTTTCATAGTTTTCTGTTTGCCTGAAATATTTTATAATGAAGATGTTTTGAAATATTTTAAGAACTGCATTTGCAAGAATGAGTATTTCTTATATGTCTAAGGAGCAGAGAGTTGCTGGAAGGAGTCAGTGTTTCTAGAAGACACAGCATCACTCCAAAGGAAGTTAGAGAAGGGAAAAGTGACCTATAGTTAAAGAAGAGTCTATTCATGTAAACACCCTCTCCCAGGGATTCCTGGTAGGAAGAGAATTGACTTTCCTGCTGTGTGAGTGATTGGTAGGCTAAGCCTCTGTCCATGGTCCTATCCCTCTGCCTCAAAACAGCCTTCAGGGAAGGAATTTAGAGGAAGGTTCAAGTTTGCCTTGGAGGAAAGCAGTGAAGTGTCCTGGATAGAGCTGAGAAGTTGAGAGAAGAGGAAACATTTTGGATACAGTATTTAGAAAGAAGTTTCTATTCTCTGCAGTAGGAGCCAGCAGCAGAAAGGATCCTGCAGGACAGCCATTCTTTGTAGTGATGAACAGCTTCAATTGGTGGAGAGAGCTCCGCTTACACTGAGGCCTGCTTGGGAATAATGATACTGTCTTCACTCTGGCATTTCATATTTTCAACAAAGGCCTTCTCATTTCTAATGCTTTTCATCATTTCTCTCCAACACTCCTGTAAGACCATTCAATACTCATCTTTGCTTTTACAGAGATGAGGAGACACTAGTAAAGCTTCTCCAAAGACTTGGAGTCTTTCTATTAACCAATATTTTGACCTAAGCCACTTGGGATACATAAACAGTGAAAGTAACTCAACTGAGAAAGATCTTTTATGAGCCTCCTAGAGTAATCACCCATCTTTTAAAAAGAAACAACATTTCTTGAGATCCCAGGAGGTGTCTGGCACTACACAAAGTGATATGAGCATGAGAGTGCAGAACATAATGTTTGGGAACATAGTGTTCCTCTGGGGACTAAAAAATTAATGCAGATCCAAAACTGTTAAAAAAAAAAAAACACAAGGGTTGGTTGTAATAAATTACAGGAAGACAAAGTGAAAAGCGTAGGGGCAAAAACCCCAAGCATCATGGTAAACTAGGGAGCACAAAAGCAGAATATGATAAGCCAATTAACCTTAGGAGAGTACAGACTCTCAGTAAGGGCAGAATACAAGAGACTTAGCCTTTGAAGGCAATTTTGCAGACTCAGTTACTTGTACACATAGACAATCAATAGATGTTTCTGATGGCCCACTGGCAAATATATACATATATTTGTTTGCTGTAGATGAAGCCCAAGCCATCCTGCATATAATAAAGTATTTAGGAAGAAAATAAGTGGGTTGGCAAACTTTTAATGTACATAACTGGAGACCTAGTTCTGGAAAGCAGCTCTAATGGAAATAGGAGCAATTGGGTTTATAGTTGCTGATTTTTATCAGCAACCAGAAAGTGTGCTAAAAGCTTCATTTGGCCTACTTATAGTTCCCTGGGTAAGTTAGTGGGAAATTTTCACTAGATTATTTGTTATATATCAGGAGAGGAAATACAGCAGTACATGAACACTGTGTCATATAGGTAAGAAGGTATCTTCATAGAAATGTATACTCTAGTCCAGGACAGTGTTGCCCCACCATGGTGATGGAAGATACTTGGTAATGTGGGAACCTGCCTGTTCCTCAGACTGAGCTTTCCCCACCAACCCAGTATACTGTATTTCCTATTTTAACGACTTCAACCCTGCTAACCTATCAATAATAGGGAAGTCAGTCTTATATGTTGATGGTCAGCTTCTAATTTGGTCTCCCTCCTGGCCACTTCAACTTCATTCACTTTTATGCTTAATGCTCCCCTCCCCCCTCCCCTCCCTCCCTCCCTCCCTTCCCCTTTCTCTCTCTCTTTCTCTCTTTCTTTTTCTGAGACAGGGTCTCAGTCGATCTCCCAGGCTGGAGTGCAGTGGCACAAACACAGCTCACAGCAGCCTTGACCTCTCAGGCTCAGGTGATCCTCCCACCTCAGCCTCCCAAGTAGCTAGGACTACAGGTGTGCACCACCATGCCTGGCTAATTTTTTGTATGTTTATTTTTTGGAGATACAGTCTCACTCTGTCCCCCAGGCTGGAGTGCAATGGTACAATCTCAGCTCACTGCAACTTCCACCTCCCAGGTTCCAGCCATTCTCCTGCCTCAGCCTCCCAAGTAGCTGGGACTACAGGTGCACGCTGCCACGCCTGCTAATTTTTTGTATTTTTTAGTAGAGACAGGGTTTCTCCGTGTTGCCCAGGCTGTTCTCAAACTCCTGAGCTCAGGCAATCCACCCTCCTCGGCCTCCCAAAGTGCTGGGATTATAGGCATGAGCCACCATGCCCAGCCAATGCTTCATGTTTTCTAGTGCTATAATCCTATGCTAAGATTTAAAAGGTCTAGAAAATTTTATTCCATTGGAGAAAGGAAGAAATTAGGCAGTCACTTTCACATGAATATCTAATAGGCATCTCAAACCAACATGGTTAGAAGAGTACTCCTGATTCTTTCCCTTAACCTTCTTATATCAAACAACAAGATTTAAACAAATAGTTTTACTTTTTTCATAAACAAGATGTTTGGCAATAGATGATTTCCGGTGTTGACCCAGCTGCTCATCTATACTACCCAGGAATCAGGTAAATTTTTTTTTCTACTTTATCGTACCTCATGTATTGGTCTTTAATCCTCATGTCTTTTGTCTTACAGTCAGAAGATGGCTGCCATAGGTCCAACTATTGCGATGGTATTCCGGACAGCCACATCTATCCCCAGAGGCTTTCACTTAGGGCTTACTAGCCAGAAATGAGTCACCCCTAGCTGCAAAGGAGATGAGGGGATTGAGTATCTAGCAAAAGGGAATGGGATTATTATGACTGAATGACAGCAATCATAATTCATCACTTGAAGCTGGACAAACTGTCATCCTAAACAAAGTCAGGGCTGTGTTAGCAAGGAGGAAGAAAGGAACAGCTATTTGGGAGGGATTTATCAGAGTCTTCTACACTTCTTGTTCCCAGCCAACCTGTCTCACTAAATGGCATCACCATCCACCCAGTGCCCGAGCTGATAACAGAGGACATATCTTTGGTTCCTTTTTCTTATATCTTACATACAAGCCATCGGAAAGTCCCATTGACTCTGCCTTCCACATACACCCCATACACCCAGCGCTCCTCATCTTCACTGCTAGTATCCTAGACCAAGCCGCCATTGTTGGCCTGAATTCCTGTAATTGCTTCCTAAACATCTCTGGACTTCCACCCTTGCTCTCTGCAATTCATTGCCCAAACAGAAAATTACTTCCTTGCTTAAAACTTTCTGAGAGCTTCCCATCTCACTTAAAAATCCAAATTCCTTACCATGGCCAGCCATGCTTAAATGATCTAGGTCCTGTCCACTTGTCCAACTTCATCTTGTACCACTTTTGCATTTGCCACTGAGTTCCAGCCACCTAGGCCCTCTCTCTCTTTCTCAAACTCAAATTTCTTGCCATCTTGAGGATGTCGGAACCTTCTGTTCTCTCCACGTAGAGTGCTCTTCATTCTGATCTTTTCATGACCAGCTCCTCCCTGTCATTGAGATCACTGTTCAAATGTCATCACTTCAGACAGGTCTTCCACAGCCACCCAGTCTAAAATAGCCAGCTTGTCATCTATCACTTCACTCTATTATATTGCTCTGCATTGCTATCACTGTCTAACCTTTCACAGTCTAACACATCATATTTACCTCTTTATGTATCACGTAATGAAAAGTAAGTGTTTCCTCATTTTCCAACTCCCCTACACTAGAATATAAGCTCCATGAGAGCTGGGACCTCATCTGTTGTGTTTGCTGTCGTATTCCTAGCACCCAGATGAAGGCACATGGCAGGTTCTCCTCAAAGATTTCTGAATGATTGAATAAATGAAGGGAAAGATTTTTAAGTAGAAGTATTAAGAATAAAAGTAATATCTGTAACATATTACCAGTATCCTTTAGTTATTATTATTTTTCAAGACAGGGTCTCACTCTGTCACCTAGGCTGGAGTGCAGTGGTGCCATCTCAGCTCACTGCAGCCTCGACCAACCTCCCAGGCTCAGGCAATCCTCCTGCCTCGGCCTCCCAAGTAGCTGTGACCACAGGCACGCACCACCACACCCAGCTATTGTTTATATTTTTTTGTTGAGACAGGGTTTTCCTGTGTTGCCCAGGCTGCTCTCAAACTCCTGGGCTCAAACGATCTGCTAGCCTCAGCCTCCCAAAATATTGGGATTACAGGTGTGAGCCACCATGCCTAGCAGAGTTATTCTTTATAGAGCAAAATTCTTTGCCAGTGAAAGAACATACAATGTGTTGTGCTTTAAGACATCACAATGAATAAGCAACATTAACATCTTCCACCCTACCTCTTTCCTCCTGTGTCCTCCTTTCCAAAGGTAAACATGCCACTTATACCCTAATTGTATCACTCTTTCAGTGCAGTTATCAAATGCCCTCTCCACTGACTTACTTCTCTTTGCCCAATAATATGGTAGCATTTTCTCACTCTTTTCCGAAGGTCTGGGACAATTGAAAAGAAACATCTGGGAAATCTCCCCCCTCCCTCCATTTTTGGCCAGGACTTTAAGAAGGGGGAAACCTAAATATTCTGGGAAGAAGTGAGAAATATTTAGCCTCTGAAACATTTTGCCTTTTTCTTAGGTTTTTCATATTTCTATATATGTTCTTTCCAAAGGCTAAAACCATCTCTACTCCCTTGACCAGAATTTTAGATTTTTCATCAGGCTGTTCTCCAGGTAAAATTACAAGATCAGAAAAATTAATAGATCCTCTTCCTTTCTATGATCCTCTCAGCCTTTTCCAGACCTTTGCAATCCCAAGGTGACCCTCTGTGGGCCCAGGCTTCTGGATCAGTGGTTAGCTGGGCCCATGGACTCAGCCTGTGTTCTAGCCTTTAGTACATCTGGTAGGCCATGGTACATTGAAACCGTGCAGCAAAAACTTGGGAAGTTTGAATCTGTAGTAAAGGCATGGCATGCTAGTGATGCTGATCCACATGCTCCAAAATGCCTGTTTGGCAACATCCTCAAATACTGCCCATAAATAACACACATAGTCCAGCGCGGTGGCTCATGCCTGTAATCCCAACACTTTGGGAGGCCGAGGTGGGCGGATCACTTGAGGCCAGGAGTTCCAGACCAGCCTGGCCAACATGACGAAACCCTGTCTCTACTAAAAACACAAAAATTAGCAGGGCCTGGTGATGCACACCTGTAATCCCAGCTACTTGGAAGGCTGAGGCACAAGAATCACTTCAACCGGGGAGGTGGAGGCTGCAAATCACACCACTGCACTCCAGCCCGGGTGACAGAGTGAGTGAGACTCTGTCTCAAAAATAAATAAATAAATAAAAATAAATAACACACATAGAATCCCTTGGGTTTTGACCTTCTAGACTTGCCTATAGAAAACAAAAGGATTCCCATCTTCAAATATCTTCAGTGAATACATTAAAAATGGGAGTAAATGCCTCTTCTGTATTCACCAAAACCTTAGCCTCTGTCCCTTCTTCACCTGCCATCACCATCTCCTCTACCATACACACCCACACCTAGCTCCAAGCCTCGACAGTACCACTCAGACGTCCATAGACCCTTAAAAACACATGTCCCAAATCAGCCTTGGCAACATTTTAAATCATGCATTAATAAAAATAAAATATGGGGGTGAGTGCCTCCCAAAATATACTATAGTAAGGAAGGGCATGGGGGCTCATGCCCATAATCCCAGCACTTTGGGAGGCCAAGGTGGGAAGATTGCTTGAGGCCAGGAGTTTGAGACCAGCCGGGAAAACATAGCAAGACCCCATCTCTAAAAAAATAAACAAAATTAGCCGGCCACGGTGGCGCACGCCTGTAGTCCTAACTACCCTGGAGGCTGAAGCAAGAAGATTGCTTGAACCCAGGAGTTTGAGGTTGCAGTGAGCTATGATTTTGACACTGCACTCCAGGCCGGGCAACAGAGTGAGAGCCTATCTCTAAAATAATAATAATAATAACAATAATAATAATAATAATTATACACATACATACAGGTATATTAACAAATAAACATATATGTTTAAAAAACACAAAAAAGGGAAGGAAATACAAAATTAAATTCTTTGGTTTAATACTGCTGCTCATCTGTTTCTAGATTGTATCTCAGGTTAACTGAGTAACTATTTCCTTATGGTAAGCAGAGTCCTTAAGATTGCTGCCCAAGATTCCCATCCCCTGGTTATTTTGTGAAACAATAATCTAGGTACAGCTGCAATAGGATTTTGCAGATGTAATTTAAGTTCCAAATTAGTTTACTTTAAAATATGGGGATTATCCCAGAGGGCTTGGCCCAAACCAGTGAGTCCTTTAAAAAAATAGTTTTTTGAGTGGTGGCTCAGGCCTGTAATCCCAGCACTTTGGGAGGCTGAGGCGGTGGATCACCTGAGGTCAGGAGTTCGAGACCAGCCTGGTCAACATGGCGAAACCCCGTCTCTACTAAAAATACAAAAATTAGCTGGGCATGGTGGCACCCACCTGTAGTCCCAGCTACTCAGGAGGCTGAGACAGGAGAATCGCTTGAACCCAGGAGGCAGAGGTTGCAGTGAGCAGAGATCATGCCTTTGCGCTCCAGCCTGGGTGACAGAGCAAGACTCTGTTTCAGAAAAAAAAAAAAAAAAAGTTTTTCTCAGCTGGAAGCAGAAGAGGAAAGTCACAGAGATTCCAGAGGTGAGAAAGATTTAAGGGTGATTGCTGGCTTTGAAGGTGAAGATGGGGGAAAGTGCATGAGAAGGAAAACATGCAAGGCCTCTAGGAGCAGCCAGTGGCTCCTGGTTGACAGCAGGAAAGATAAAAAGGCCTCGGTGTTACAGCCACAAGGAACTCAGTTCCTCCAGCGATCTGAAGGGGCTTGGAAGCAGAGTCTTCCCCCGAGCCCCCACGTAAGAGTCTAGCCTGATGAATACCTTGATTTCTGACTCATTGGGACCCTAAGCAGAGAAACCAGCCAAGCCCACCAGGACTTCTGACCTATAGAACTGCAAAACCTATGGAATAAGTGAAATGTTGTTCCACCTCCCTGAATGTGTGATAATTTGTTACTCAACAGTAGAAAACTAATACACCCCTTCAGTTTTCATATCACCAAATAAAGGTAATAATGTCTGACTATGCCCAAGAAGCGATCGGAAAACAAATATTAATAAGATTTAATTAATATGTTTTAATTTCAACAGAAAAGAAATGTATTACATTATTTCCCAATGTTGTGATTTTTAAATTAATTATAATACCATTGAGGTTCAATCCAGGGCAATTAGACTGTTAAATCCTAGTTAGGTTTGTTTTCTCCGATTCATTGCAGTCACAGGGCAGGGCTAACTTTAGAAGCCTCATCATAAAGGTCTAGAGCATGGAATTGTTGCTGCAGAGGGACATGATTTAACTTGCAGCTTTTTCTTTTTCTTTTTTTTTTTTGAGACGGAGTCTTGTTCTGTTGCCCAGGCTGGAGTGCAGTGGCACAATCTTGGCTCACTGCAACCTTTGCCTCCTGGGTTCAAGCAATTCTCCTGCCTCAGCCTCCCAAGTAGCTAGGGTTACAGGTGCCCACCACCACACCCAGCTAATTTTTTTTTTTTTTTGATACGGAGTCTTGCTCTGTCGCCTAGGCTAGAGTGCAGTGGCGTGATCTCGGCTCACTGCCAGCTCCGCCTCCTGAGTTCACGCCATTCTCCTGCCTCAGCCTCCTGAGTAGCTGGGACTACAGGCACCTGCCACCACGCCTGGCTAATTTTTTGTAGCCAGGATGGTCTCGATCTCCTGACCTTGTGATCGGCCTGCCTTGGCCTCCCAAAGTGCTGGGATTACAGGCATGAGCCACCGCGCCCGGCCTAATGTTTGTATTTTTAATAGAGACGGGGTTCCACCATGTTGGCCAGGCTGGTCTTGAACTCCTGACCTCGTGATCTGCCCGCCTCAGCCTCCCAATGTGCTGGGATTACAGGCGTGAGCCACCGCACCCGGCCTAACTTGCAGCTTTTTCAATTCACAAAACAAAGTACTGCATTTTGTTGATGTTCTATTGGATACTACATCTACATGTCAAATATAAGGATTTTTTTTCTTAGAGATATTTCCCTTTCTAAAAAAAATTGACCTTCAACTTGGGAATACCTGTTGAAATTTGGCAAGCTATTCCTGATCCCTGATCTTGAGAAAATTATGAAAAGAAGAAGCAAAAGATGATCATACCTATTTTAATAAAATTGATCACTAAAATAAAAGAAAACCCCAAAGCTGGGCAAGAATGTTCTGACTACATATTCATTCCCCAAGTAGACCAAGATTCGATGGTGCTGAGCCTGCTAACCCAGACTTATCCTCCTGAGAACAGGTAACCAGGAAGTACTTGGATGAACATCAACCCAGGCCAGATCTAGTTTAAACAAGGCGGTCTGGGGAAGAGATTGTATACAGAGTGAGAACATTCCAATTTAGGAAGTAGACTTTATATACAGGATGAGGAGATGCAAGAAGTATAGCTTGGTAGTTAAAGCTGTATTGGTCCTAGGTAAGTGACTTAAATTCCCCAAGACTCAGTTTTCTCATGTCTAAATCAAGATAGTTTTTCAGTGTTCTTCGCCCAGGGCCCAGGACATGGAGTCATCAATAAATGAGGGCTATGTTAGGATCCAGCAATCTCTGGTGGCTAGACCCAAGCATCATGTTCAAAGCAAAAGACTGCAGGCCAGTGTTCAGGCTAGAAGTCTAAAGCAAGTCTTCCCTTAGGACAGGGAGAGACAGAGAGAGTGGGAAAGGCTATGAGAAGCCGACTCTCCAGGCAGGAGCAGGGCACTTATTAGATTCACAGAAGGAAGGACCTACAGACAAATATTCACAAATAAATATCTCTTTCTAAAATAATCCAATTTTCTGGCCCAATCAGTTGACAATGACTTGGCCACTGAAGATCATATTTTTCCAACATGGTCCGTTTTCTTGGCTTTCCTAAGTCATTAATTATGACCATGTTTTCCCAAATGTGGAAATTCCCCTTGTGCAGATGCAGCCGCTGCTGGCCAACCCTCCTTTCCTGAGAAGTCACCGCAGCACAAAAATATTTTTGTTTTCCCCAATTGCCCACAGGGAAAATTTCCTCACTCTTTTTTTCCTCCTCCCTTAAAATCCTCTGGCAATTTCCAGGAATCTAAGTAAACCAGAATTACTTAGATCATGAAGGGCCTTTTAGATGTTCTACTTCTAACATGACAAAAAAGAATCTGAAATTTAAATTCAATTATTATTAAACCAATCCCAAGAGTTCCTTTTAATAAATGAAGGCAATGCCACTGAAATCAAAATACCTCCCACTCCTGCCTAAAAATACAGTGCTCGGACTTGGGAGTTTAAATTATAAACAGTGGTAGCCAAAGTGATTAGATATCTGAATCAAATAACATTATGTGAAATGTGCTTCATACATGGTAAAGCCCTCTACAAATGTAAGCATTTTGCACCAACGTGGGCACAGTATACGACATAGATGATTATTCAAATCGTAAATTTGTATTCAAATTTGTTAGATGAATTACCCCAGTTACCTTGTTCATCCTGTGGGTTTACCAAGGTGCCTTGTACAGGGCTGACGACAGTGGAGGACTCCAGGAGATACTTTATTCTTTTCAGAACATTCATCAAGAAACATTTCTGCGCCAGAAACTAAATTTAGTTGGTGGGGAAGAGGTGGTAGAGCAATGAATCAGACTGGGTCTCTGCCTTCAAGATCTTTAAAATCTAGTAAAGAAATCATGATCTCCACACTAGCCCAGTGATTTTAACCAGGGACACTCTCTCCCCTCCACTCCACCATGGGGACATTTGACAATGTCTGGAGACGTTTGTGATGATCAAAACTGGAAGTGGAGGTACTACTGGCATCTAATGGAAAGAGGCAAGTGCTGCTGTTGAACATCCTATAATGCCCAGGACAGTCCCCCAGAACAAAGAATGATCTGGTCTAAAATGTCAGTGCCAGGGAGCCGCGGTGGCTCAGGCCTGTTGTCCTGGCGCATAAGGAGGTGAGGCTATGCATTCGAGGCCAGCCTGGGCAACATAGAAACCTCTAATCTATATAACAACAACAACAACAATTAAAAAATTTGGCAGGGCATGGTGGCTCAAGCCTGTAATCCCAGCATATTGAGAGGCCGAGGCTGGCAGATCAGAAGGTCAGGAGATCAAGACCATCCTGGCCAACATGGTGAAACCCCTGTCTCTACTAAAATACAAAAAATTAGCCGGGCATGGTGAATCGCTTGAACTCGGGAGGCAGAGGTTGCAGTGAGCTGAGATCACATCACTGCTCTCCAGCCTGGTGACAGAGCAAGACAACATCTCAAAAAAAAAAAAAAAAAAAAAAAAAAAAAAAAGTCAATAGTGCCAAAGTGGAGAAACCCCGAAAAAGATATATTAGTTAGAGCAAAACACTGATTGATTAACTAATTTCTTGACTAGTGTTGTTCCACATGGCAAATGACTTTCACCCGCAGACCCTAGTCATTTTAAATTTGTGCCTGTAACCTATTACAAGTGTTAAGTATCTTTTGAATACATAAGTACATTTAGACAGGTGCTGAATAAAGCATAAGATAAAGTGTCACCAGGCAAAATGAATGATAATTTAGAGTGAATTGTTAACCCAAAAGGACAAAAATTTTCTAGCTTGATGCCAAGCATATAGTAACTGCTCAGTGAACAGGAACTGAACATATTCAGATAACTTAGCAACACTCATTTGTCAGAAGCTAAAAGAAGAGTCATATCATTAAGGCACTCCTAGTAGTCATACAAACAGTGGTAGCCAAAATGATTAGTGTTGTGTCTGAATCAAATAGCATTATGTGAAATTTGCTTTATACGTAGTAAAGCCCTAAACAAATGCAGGCATTTGGCACCAAAGTAGATACAGTATACAAGACGGATGATGATTCTAATTGTAAAAATGTGTTAGATGAATTACCCAGTAACCTTATTCATTTTATGAGTTTACCAAGGTGCCTAGAAGTAGTAGCCTTCTTCTTGGAAATTCTTCACTATAGACTGCTAAGAATTGCATATTGTACCATGAAGAGATATGATCATGTAGTTTTATATTATAGCATTCAAAATTTTCACTAATTCAAGTTGGTGCTTCCTCAGTATGCCTTAGTGAATGCTAACGAAGTGTGAAGTTTCAAACATTAAAAAATTGAAGTGGGGCCGGGCATGGTGGCTCACGCCTATAATCCCAGCACTTTGGGAGGCCGAGGCAGGTGGATTACCTGAGGTCAGGAATTTGAGACCAGCCTGGACAACATGGTGAAACCCTGTTTCTACTAAAAATACAAAAGTTAGCCAGGTGTGGTGGTGGGTGCCTGTAATCCCAGCTGCTCAGGAGGCTGAGGCATGAGAATAGCTTGAATTCAGGAGGCGAAGGTTGCAGTGAGCTGAGATGGCACCGCTGTACATCAGCCTGGGCAACAGAGCAAGACTCTGTCTCCAAAAAAAAGAGGTGGCCACCTCATGAATTTAGGGAAGGAGGAAGTAGTGTTTTGGAAGTAGGGCTTTAACTCCTTTACATACAACGTGGCTTCTCGTTAAATACAATAACAGTAAAACAAAGTAGCAGTGGCACTGGCTTTAATCTATTGCTTGATACACATAAGCATCAATAGTAAGAGAATAGTTAAGTGCCACTCTTAGTTAAGGATCAATTAAAAGTAAAATTCTATCTTTAAATTAGAACACGTCAGTGGAAAAATATGATTTAATTTACTAAAATTATTTGCACTTTAGTTTTTCAGGAAAAATGGTCAGGTAGTCCAATGTGCTAATACTTTGAGATAAACAGAGCCATTGCATGGAAAATCTGTACTTTTGATTAAGTAATTATCTTCAATTTTGATATAATGGTTACCAAGGAAATATTGGCTTTCTTCTTCCACCTATTTGACCCATATTTTCTCAATGTAAATTGGTGACTAAGTCAGGAAATGGCATCTAATTTTGTATTAGCATTAGTCAAATGCAAGTAAGGGGGAGCTACCATACACATTTTAAAAAGAATGAATAATCTGCCATTTGCATAATCAGTATCAATGTCTGTTGAATTTAACACAGGTAATGTTCTTGATTTTTGCAACATAAAGGACCAAAGTTTTCTTTGAGTTTGAAAATTTCTACTTAAACTTTTTGCCCAAATATGAGTTTAATGAAGTTTGTTTAGGAGTGAGGAAGGGGAATTTTACTCTTTCCTTTTCATAAAGAAATAATTAAATAAATAAAAATGACTTCACCTCAGTAAGAGAAGGAATCTCAGGGTGGGAGTTTCTTAACAAATAACTGGGGTTAAAAGTAACACATTAGGTCAGGTGCAGTGGCACGCCCTGTAGTCCCAGCTACTCAGGAGACTGAGGCAGGAGGATGGCTTGAGCCCAGGAGGCAGAGGTTGCAGAGCTGAGATGGTGCTACTGCACTCCAGCCTGGGCAGCAGAGCAAGACCTCATCTCAAAAAAAAGCAACACATTTAAAAAATTACAAGGCTGGGTGCAGTGGCTCACACCTATAATTCCAGCACTTTGGGAGGCTGAGGTGGGCCGATCACTTGAGGTCAGGAGTTCCATACCAGCCTGGCCAACACAGCAAAGCCCCGTCTCCTCTAAAAAATATTTAAAAAATTAGCTGGGCATGGTGGCACGCACCTGTAGTCCCAGCTACTTGGGAGGCTGAGACACGAGAATCACTTGAACCCTGGCAGCAGATGTTGCAGTGAGTCGAGATCACACCACTGTACTCCAGCCTGGGTGATAGAGTGAGACTCCGTCTCAATTTTTTAAAAAATTAAAAGACTCAGGAAAATATTTCACGTGCTCAGAAAAAGAGGTATAACTAGTAAAAATGGGCCTTGATGTGATATATAAAGGCCTTCTCAGTAGCATCCACCTTCACCTATAATGAAAATATATGCCCTTTCTTCTCCAAGGGAAGTGGGTATGGCTAAGCAAGAATAATATTCTTCAGTGAGTATTGAAATAAAGAGTTTGGGTTGAAGAGGCCAAGAGTTTGAGATCAGCCCAGGCAACATAATGAGAACCTATCTCTACAAAATATTTAAAATATTTAAAAATCATCTGTATTGGCATGCACCAGTAGTCTCAGCTACTTCGGAAGCAGGATTGCTTGAGCCCAGGATTTCGAGGTTACAGTGAGCTAATGATTGCACTACTGTACTCCAGTCTGGGCAACATATTAAGACCCTGTCTCTATCTTTTTTTTTTTTTTAATGTGAGTTCAATAGAAATTAGCAAACATCTTTATTTTATTTTATATGTCCATGCTTTAACCCTCAATTCAGCTATATCTAAAACATAAGATATGTTTCCTTGGGCAAATCCTGGACTCAAGGGATTCTCCTGCCTCAGCCTCTCAAAGTGCTGGGATTACAGGGGTGAACCTCCCTGCCCAGCCTGAACTCACGTTCTTATCATTGGTTATGGACTGAGAATTCTAATTAGTTCCCCTCCTCTCATAACTTTTCAAATAAAACAGACATATAAAAAAGTCAGTTTTAGAGTCTCTCACAATTAGGCCATCAACAATACGATCAGGCTTAGTTGCCTAAGAGTAAGTTGTTTTTAAAATTCTAAGTTATCTCTCATTTCCACATCCAGAATGATATTCCCCTAATATTTATGATGATAATATTATTTTTAGGTGACGGGACATAAGGTTGTTTCTTCTTCTTTGTAATATTTTGTGTTGTTTGAATTTTTTTTATAATTCATGAAAATAATAGTCATTTTTAAAACCTCTCCGTTCAATTCACTTAGCAAAATTTATAGTTCACAGTCTTCTACCTTTTCTATTAGCTAAGTAATTTTCAAAATTTGCTTTTAAAAAATTCAACCCCACTTTCATCATTACAACTTATTTTAAAAGACTCTCCCATATAGCCAGTGTGGAAAGAAAGGATATCTGACTGTTTTCACAGGACACACTATCTTTGAAATTTTTTCCTTTGTCTATTTTTGTTCTTTGTGTTGTCACATTTAGTTGTTTCAGAATCCTGCTGAACTTCCCAAAGCATTCCGAAGGAATACCATCATATGCAAAATTTAGGTAACTTGGGAACGCTTTGCTCAACTTTGCTTTTCTTTAAAAAAAAATTTTTTTCCATGACACAGCCTCAGGAGGTCCTGACGACATGTGTCCTACTTTGCTCAACTTAGTGTTTGTACATGCTGGAATATAGTTTAAGACAAGGTTCCTAGGTAAGATAATCTCAGAAATTTTCTTTTGTGGTACAGGTGTCAGAGCAACAAAGCAGGATGAATTAGGAATAGACTTGGACAACACTGTGGTGTTGAGGCTTATACATTCTTTACACAGTTTTCCTTTTCAGGGCCTGGCCTTTGTGGTGTGATGAATACCACAGACCAATAAAACCTTCTAAGTGTCTTTCAGTCAATGATTCACTCTCACTGCATCCTGGATTCTGGCTCAATAACAGAAATTTTAAAATAGCTGCTTTTTAAAATTAGTCCAGTATGGTGGTGTGGGCCTGTTGTCCCAGCTACTCAGGAGGCCGAGGTGGGAGGACAGCTTGAGCCTGGGAGGCAGAGGTTGCAGACCTGAGATGGTGCCACTGCACTCCAGCCTGGGCAATAGAGCCAGACATTGTCTTAAAAAAAAAACATGCTGATTTTTAAAATGCTGGCAGTATTAGATTAGAAATCACTCATACTTTTTTTTTCTTTTTTGGCATTGTGGTTATACTATTAGTTATACTATTAGGTTATTACTGTTAGTACTCTATATAAAAGTGGGAAAATGAAAGAGAGTTTGTGTCATTGGAAAATTTCAAGGTCAGGCTGGATGATTATCCAAGGTCAGGCTGGATGACTATCAGGCATGCTCTAGAAGAGAGCATCCATTTAAAGGAAACTTGACTAGGGAGACCTCTCAAGTTCATCTTTCAATCCTGTGTTCTTGGCCAGGTGCAGTGGTTCATGCCTGTAACCCCAGCACTTTGGGAGGCTGAGGTGGGAGTTGCTTGAGCCCAGGAGTTGGAGACCAGCCTGGGCAACATAATGAGACTCTGTCTTTACAAAATAATAATAATAATAATAATAATAATAATAATAATAATAATAATAATAAAATTTTAATTAACTGGGCATGGTGGCACGCATTTGTAGTCCCAGCTATTCAGGGGGCTGAAGTGGGAGGATTGCTCGAGCCCAAGAGGTCAAGGCTGCAGAGAGCCATGACTGTGCCACTGCACTTCAGCCTGGGCAACAAAGCGAGACCCTGTCTCAAAAAAAAATCAATCAATCAAACAATCAAGCCTGTGCTCTGAAGTTTACCCTCTAATCTTATGATAGTAATGCACTATTTTGGAAGAACAGGAGTCTCTTCTGGCCATGTTCTTCACTTTGTCTTGATTCTGAAACCTTTGTGTGTGTGCCAGCTCTGAGAATTAAACAGAGGAGGATGGGGCGTGTGGAAAAGTATTCCTAGGAGACTCGGAGCTGTCCAGCAGTCAAAGGAGCTGCACACAATGAGCTCCAGCTAATGAGACTTGTCACGGCATTTGGAACAGGGATTCAGCGAGGCCATTCTTGACCAGGGAGAGGGGTGTATATGTATACATCTATATAGAATTCTTTGCTTACCCAACCCATTCCCAATGGGGATTTTTTTTTCCTGATTTACATGTTGCTTTTCTTTTTAAATGGGGGCCAATGGGCTTCTAAATTGTATAGAGAAAAGAGCAAGTGATAATGTACAGAGCAAGCTAGAAGGAGAAGAGCTGAAGAGGACAGCAGGCAAAAATAGGACTACTACACTGTACAAGCAGCCTTTCAGCTTGTTAATTACAAGCTATTTAGCAAACACACACACATTCTATGCAAACATGCCCCATAAGTAGGTGCCACTCTATGGCAGCTTCATTATTTACATTTTGCAGTCAGCAGTCATTTTAGCACACCGTTTTGGAAAAAAAAAAATGAATGTGTCGAGTATTAGCTTACAAAGCCTTCACAGACTTTTTTGTATAATAAATAAATAAATAAGTAGATTTGGCCTAAAAAGGTTGTTCAGCCTTTTTTCCTTTGCGAGTGACAGACACATTCGCTTTGATGAATGCCCACTTGATTGACGTTCTGAAGAAAGACATAAAAATCCTTAAGCTTGTTTATATATTCTTATAAATGGTTGGATACCTAGCTGCATTTTCTTATATTGCCTTCTAAAGAGGAACCCACATTTCCACAGACATCCTGGATTTGAGAGGAGGAATGGAATATGGGGAAACATCTCATCCAGCTTCCATGTGCTATGCAATTCAGTAGTAACCCAACTTTATAGGTAAAACAACTGAATGTGGAGAGGCTAAGTGATAATTTTTAATAACTTGAAAAATTACAAATTCAAAAATAAATTTTAATAAAAAAATTACATTTAAAGTTTCTAAAAAATTTACATATTCATTGTAGAAAATTTGGGAAATATAAAAATATACACAAAAAAGAAAATTAAAATTATCCTGATGAAACTACTGGTTTTTGTTGTTGTTGTTGTTGTTTGAGATGGAGTCTAGCTCTGTCTCCAGGCTGAGTGCAGTGGTGCAATCTCGGCTCACTGCAACCTCTGCCTCTTGGGTTCAAGCGGTTCCCCTGCCTCAGCCTCCCAAGTAGCTGGGATTACAGGCACGCGCTGCCATGCTGAGCTAATTTTTGTATTTTTAGTAGAGACAGGGTTTCACCACGTTGGCCAGGCTGGTTTCAATCTCCTGACCTCATGATCCGCCCACCTCAGGCTCCCAGAGTGCTGGGATTCCAGGCGTGAGCCACCGGGCCCAGCCGAAACTACTATTAACAGTCTCCCAAACACATATGAAATATGTATGTGGTTACATATATATTTCATGCTCAAAATATTGAGGAGGAAAAAAAGGCAAAGTAAAAGAGTTGTTAGCCCATCTTTTCCAAATTGGGAACCACTGTACACATTTTTATTTTTTTTTTAGACAGTCTCACTCTGTCACCCAGGCTGGAGTGCAGTGGCACGATCTTGGCTCGTTGCAACCTCCACCTCCCAGGTTCAAGCGATTCTCCTGCCTCAGCCTCCTGAGTAGCTGGGATTACAGGCACGTGCCACCATGCCTGGCTACTTTTTGTGCTTTTAGTAGAGATGGGGTTTCACCATGTTGGCCAGGCTGGTCTCAAACTCCTGACCTCAAGTGATCCACCCGCCTCGGTCTCCCAAAATGCTGGGATTACAGCCATGAGCCACCGTGCCCGGCCCACTGTCCACATATTTTAATCACCTTCTTTAACGCGTCTCCTCTTCCCCTGAGACCAATCTGATGATAAATTGTAAATGGGGTGCCAGATCTCCTATTTGAAAAATAGCACCAGGTTTGTAGGTAATTCCTTACCTTTCTTTTCCTCAGTAGAGACCCAGGAAATTGTAAAAGAAGTATGATACTGCAAAACACCTTTGTTTTTGCGAGATAACTTTGGAGGTGCCCGTGTTGACAGCTGTAGTCAGTCACATGCTTACCAGAACAAAGAGCTCTACAAAGGGAGAAGTTAACTTTAGCTTTGAAAATCCTTTTATCCTTCATGATTTGGTGCCTTTAAATTTGTCACCTGAATGCGATATTAACATAATCGTCTGCATTTCAGCTAATGAATGCACCTGCTTCTAAGACTTTATTTTAGCAGTTTTAATGAGCTCTTCAAAAGAGTTTGCCTGGACTTACTGCACTGCTAGAGAAATAGCAGCTGTAAGCAACTAGCAACACATTCAGTATTTGAATCAAGCTCTGTGAAGTTGTTAAGCTTGAGAAGGAGTATCTATCCATCTGTTTGTGATAAGGGAAATGAAAATTGAGATGCGGCTGTGGCATTTGGAAAGAGCACTAGAGTAACTGGGTCTGGCCAAAGGTTATTCTCTGGCCGTAAGTATGGATCTCAAGCATATGGATTTAATGTATTGATTTAAGCTAAATTCTAGTTTTCTTGTCTATCTAATAATGATACCCATTTATAAGCTTGTAAGGATTAAATATCTCACCTGTTATATGCACTCATTAACATTAGATTTTTATAATTATGATGTTTATTAAGAAGATGTGACTTTACAAAGGGCCATTTGAGTCCATTCATAGGAAATACCCTGAACAGGTAAATACACAAACTCAGAAAGTAGATTGGTGGTTGCCAGGGGCTGCCGGGGGAAGTTGGAAGCAATTGCGTAATGGACATGGGGTTTCCTTTGGGTATGATCCAAATGTTTTGGAACTAGATGCAAGTGGTGGTTGTACAATGTTGTAAATATACTAAATGCCTCTGAATTGTTCACTTTAAAATAGGTAATTGTCTGGGCACAGTGGTTCATGCCTATAATCCCAGCACTTTGAGAGGCCGAGGTGGATGGCGGGGAGAGGATTGTTTGAGCCCAGGAGTTCAAGACCAGCCGGGGCAATAAAATGAGATCCTGTTTCTGGAAAAAAAAAAAAAAAAACAAAACAAAGCAAGAAAAATAAATAACCTAGGTAATTTTATGTTATGTGAATTTCACCTCAATAATTTTGAAAAAGGACAAGGTCCTGTGGCTCATGCTTATAATCCCGGCATTTTGGGAGGCTGGGGTGGGAGGGTTGCTTGAGCCCAGGAGTTTGTTACTAGCCTGAACAACATAAGGAAACCACATCTCTACAAAAAATTTAAAAATTTTTAAAATTAGCTGGGCATTGTGGGTGGGTGGTGGGGGTTGGGGAGTTGAGGCTGCCGTGAGCCATGATGGTGCCACTGAATTCCAGCCTGTCTCAAAAATAATAATTTTTAGCTGAGCGCAGTGGCTCACGCCTGTAATCCCAGCACTTTGGGAGGCTGAGAGGCCGAGGCGGGCGGATCACGAGGTCAGGAATTTGAGACCAGCCTGGCCAATATGGTGAAACCTCATCTCTACTAAAATAAACAAACAAACACAACTTGGCTCGTCATGGTGGTGCGCACCTGTAGTCCCAGCTACTCCAGGAGGCTGAGGCAGAAGAATCACTTGAACCCAGGAGGCAGAGGTTGCAGTGAGCTGAGATCGCACCACTGCACTCCAGCCTGGGCAACAGAGTGAGACTCCGTCTCAAAAAATAATAATAATAATAATTTTTAAAAATGTGACTTTAGATGGATTTAGTAAATTCCATTGGGTTGACTATAGGTTGTAAGATGGTTCCTAGATAAATAATTGCTCAACAAGACATATAGTAAGGAAAAAAACAAGCAAACTGATCGCCTTACATAAGTAATCAGAAAGACTGTTTCATTGCTGAATCATACCTTGACTCCACAGTGAAGATTTTTGCAAGGGAAAATATTAACCAATTTCTGGAGGTCCAAATCCCTAAACAATTCTGTAAGCCATTTAAATTTTGTAACTGTTATATGGAAGTTAGCATATTAGAATACTCATTTACTTCCAATATATATTTTAATACTTTTTATTATATACTCAAATTAATTCTATGCTTGTTACACTGATTTCAACATCACATTTTCATAATATCCCTCTCCTTTTCTTCATATGCTCCTGTGTGTACTTTGGGTAGTAGTAACCACCCATCCAAAACTCAAGTGAATGGAAGACAAAAAACATAGGACAAATGTTGCTTTAAAAATATACACAGCAGGCCGGGCACAGTGGCTCATGCCTGTAATCTCAGCACTTTGGGAGGCTGAGGCAGGTGGATCACGAGGTCAGGAGTTCGAGACCAGCCTGGCCAACCCGGTGAAACCCCATCTGTACTAAAAATACAAAAATTAGCAGGGCGTGGTGGTGGGTGCCTGTAGTCCCAGCTACTCAGGAGGCTGAGGCAGGAGAATTGTTTGAAACCTGGAGGTGGAGGTTGCAGTGAGCTAAGATCGTGCCATTGCACTCCAGCCTGGGCGACAGGGTGAGACTCCATCTCAAAAAATATATATAATATATATATTTATATATATGTAAATATTTATATTTATATGTGTATATATTATATATATTTATATATTGTATATTTATATATTTTATATATTTATATATTGTATATATTTTATATATTTATATATTGTATATATTATATATTTTATATATTTATATATTGTATATATTATATTTTATATATTTATATATTGTATATATTATATTTTATATATTTATATATTGTATATATTATATTTTATATATTTATATATTGTATATATTATATATTTTATATATTTATATATTGTATATATTATATTTTATATATTTATATATTGTATATATTTTATATATTTATATATTGTATATATTATATTTTATATATTTTTATATATTATACATAAGTATATATGTATATATACGTATATATATTTTTATATATATACGTATATATATAATATATATATACATATATATATAATATATATGTATATATATAATATATATATACATGTATACATATACACACACACATACACACACAGCAGGCTGGGCGCGGTGGCTCATACCTATAATCCTAGCACTTTGAGAGGCCGAGGCAGGCAGATTGCCTGAGCTTAGGAGTTCAAGACCACCCTGGGCAACATGGTGAAAACCCATCTCTACTACAATACAAAAAAAAAAAAATAGTCAGGCATGGTGGCAGCTGCCTGTAGTCCCAGCTACTTGAGAGGCTGAGGCATGAGAATTGCTTGAAGCTGGGAGGCGGAGGTTGCAGTGAGCCGAGATTGCACCACTGCACTCCAGCCTGGGAGATACAGCGAGACTCTGTCTCAAAAAAAAAAAAAAGGAAAAAAAAGGAAATATATACAGCAGATACATTACAGACCAATTGGAGGTAACACCCTGAAATGAAGATGCCACAGATTTTTATCTTTCTCTCTCCTTGTAAAATTGGTAACACGAAGGCAAGATAACTGTTAAGTAAATGGAAAATTCTTCAATTTCCTTTTTATTTTATCTCAATAAAAATGAGGCAGCTATTCTAGCTAGGGTGGAAGTAATTTATTCTCTGTACTCCTTCTCTCCTTCACATCATCCTGACCAACAGTCTTCCCTCAATATTTGGAGCTGGTTCATTGGTGTTTCACTCACACACCACAACACTGGAGAATCACTCAGAAATCAGGACCAACTTAGGAATCTTCGCCGGCTTGATGCAAGAGTTTCTCTGGAAAGGCATTGATTTCTAGAAGCCCCCAACTTGAATCTGCTGGAGTAAGCAGCCTTCTGGCAACTGCTTGCATTCCCACATCTCAAGAGATCCACTTTATCCAGACTTGCGTGGAGCATCTCTCCAGAAAACATCCAGTTCTACTTTTAGACCTTAGCTTTGTAATCTGAGCAAACAACCCCACGGGGGCTCACCTCCAGCTGCCCTTAGGCAGTGTTTTGCTACCCAAGGCGAGCTGACCTTATACTGATGAAGACCTGCTATCTATGGCCTAGCTAGTCACAGCGTGGTCCTCAGAAGGGCAGCATCAGCGTCACCTGGGAGCAGAGAGTCTCGGTCCTCACTCCAGGGCTATTGAATCAGAATCTGTAGCTCAACAAGGTTCCCAGGTGATTTGTATGCAGTTTTAGGATTAAATAGCAGTGGTCTAACAGACCTGCCTGAGTTGCTTTTTCCAGCAACAGAACTCCCCATGTCCTGGTCTGAAGTTGTTATCCATCCATTTTCCACTACCAGTCTCTACACAGATTTCTCTGCAGCGCTCCAGGGCAAGCTATCTCTATTTTGGATGAATTCCCAACCAGTGGGTCTTATAGCAATCTGCATTTCTATTATTTGGGTGGTCACACAAGTAGATAGCACAGCCTCCCACTAGCCTGAACCATACCCATTCCCCTCCAACTCATTTTGTTCTCCTTATTCCCACAGCTGTAGTGTTACAATGATCATAAATTATTGTTAAAGAAGAAAATTACCAAAAGAAAAAAAAATAGTCTCTATAAACCTGCATAGTTTAGAGCTAAAGAATATGTTAAAATTTTCCATCATGGAAATTTCCCAGCTACTGGGCTCTTTAGATTTTTTTTTTTTTTTCAGAGCTGCAAGCAAAGAATGGAAATTTCCAATTGCAGCATCGAGGGCTGCTGTTCTGCTGACTGTCTTGCTCAGCCGGGGTCATCTGCTTCTCTAAGACATCAAGGAATGCCAAGGTAGGTCTGAGAGAAAACACATACTTCCTCTGCAGGAAGGAAGGAATGTCTTTATGCTGCCTCCAACTTGTAATTAGGGGAGGGGCAGGAGAGGTGACATCCCCCTGCTCCATCCACCTGGATGTGGATTTTGTTGTTACCACCTATCAGCAGCTTATCCTACTTGACATCTTTCCAGTGGCAGCTGGCTGGCAGGTTTTTCGTTTTTTAAGAAATCCTTAAGGGGGTGGGGGATCCAGAGAGATGGAGGGAACCAACATTTTTGAGGTGTACTCTTCTAAGTAACCCACCAGGTATTTTATATATGTTATGTCATTTAACCTTGTCACACTTAGCCTTCATTACATTTAACCTTGTGACCCACCCAAGGTTAACTTCTGATTTTCTGCACTCAAATTTTGGAAGCATCATTTGTTCTTCCTAAGACAGCCCTATTGCCCCCAGCCCTCCTATAAACCAGTTATCTTCAAGCATCCTGAAGGTTTTGTTTCCACCTCCTCAATAACATCAACAGCTCCGTTCCTTTTTATTATATCTAAGTTGAAAGATATTTCCATTCACAGGTGGTCCTGATGTCTGAGTCAACGGGCGTCTAATAGTTCTCTAAATTCTGTCATGTACCTCCCCACTCACTACTGCTATTACTACAGAAGTATGGTGGCAGCTCCACGAAGTCTGAGTATAAAGGCACTGGCATCTTGCAAACAAAGCTAAGGACCCTGACTGGCTCTAGGCCTGAAAGAACATTCTCATACCTAGGCTGGGTGGGTTTGTCTGGGTGGTTTGGGAGTTTTGTGTTTTTTTTTTTGTTTGTTTTTTAATATAAAAAACTTCTAGGGGGATTCTGAAATACCGTAAGAAGCAAGAGCTATCTATGTTTACTCTCTTCTTACAGACAGCCATATCATACCAGGAAAAGAAATGCTAAGGAGGTCTTCTGACATCGCTGTTGCTATTTATACGTAACATCATTTATTGAGGCAAGTTTGGTAATAGTGAAGATTTTCTAGCAATAAATTTTAAAAAATCATTACATGGCTAGTAAGTTAAAAAAAATTCTCCCCTGTCTGTCATTTCAATCACATCCATATCCATAGGTAGTGATATGATCTTTGAATACAGTGACCAATTTTACCACCACCCAATGATAAAAGTGGAGGCAAATGGGAATCAGCCAGAATATTGTAGGTCTGTTTAGGGTTGAGCCTCAAAAGCTGATGTTTAGTTGAGTTATTGCTTACATCTGTGACAATGATTTTCCGTATCCCTTTAACCCATTAAAACTGAGTCTGATTCCCTGGTGAAATTCATCAAGTGGTATTTGAATATGGGTCTGGGTCTCATGTGATATGTACACATTTCCAACAGACTTCTTTCCACCCCTCCTCTGTATTTGTCATTAGCTAGAAGATAGTGGTCCTCTTAGCTGAAGACACTGATGATTCATATCTGTGGGTGGGGCTGAATAGACTGATGTATGATGACTCGTTCTTTCCGCTTTAGACCACAGAGATGACTTTTAAAATTTTGTGGTTGGAATACACGCTGTTTTAGATGATGATTGATTGTTTGTGATTTCAAACATGGCCTCAATTCTGTCCCTCCTGTTTCCCTGCCCCTTGCAATGTGACTTTGCAGCTCCTCCCATCAAGAGCTGGAGTCTGTTTCTACATTCCTTGAGTCTGGGCCTGCCTTTTGGCTGGCTTTGGCCACTAGAATGTAATTGAAATAATGGTGTTCCAGTTCCAAGCCTAAGCCTCAAGTGTGTGCTTCGGCTCTCCTCTGAAACCTGCCAGGGCTATGCGAACAAGTCCAGGCTAGCCGGCTGGAGGATGAGACATCCTGTGGAGTCAAGATGAGCCACTCCAGCTGAAGCCATTTTAGACCAGCCAGCTCCAAGCGAACATACCAGCTGATCACAAATGTGTGAGCAAGCCCACTGTGGTCAGCTGGGCCCAGCCCAGATCAGCAGAACCTCTCAGCCAATTCACAGACTCGAGAAATAGTAAATGGTAGCTGTTATATGCCATGCAATTTTAAGATGGTTTGTTATGAAGTAACAGGTAACTAATACAGGTGATCAATTATCTTCTTCCCCCCAACGCCCCCCATGGCTAGGAAGCTCAGAGCCAAATTCAAAAGCCAATCGTAGAAACTATGTTTATTTATTTATTCATGTTTATCACACACTTTATGGGTAACGTATGTGCAATCTTCTCTCTCCTTAATGGTGAATTTTTAAAATTCGATAACCTATTGTTTACCACATTGACTCTGAACCAACCCAATACCTTGTTTTAAATATTTAGGTGGTTGTTATTTATCAGATTAGAAGAGAAGAATCTAGAGTGAGGACTGGCAAACACTCACTTTCTTTTTCTTTTTTTTGAGACAGAGTCTCACTCTGTCACCCAGGCTGGGGTACAGTGGCACAATCTCAGCTCACTGCAACCTCCACCTCCTGGGTTCAAGCAATTTTCCTGCCTCAGCCTCCCAAGTAGCTGGGACTACAGGCATGCGCCACCATGCCTGGCTAGTTTTTTTGTGTGTACCTTTAGTAGAGACGGGGTTTCGCCATGTCAGTCAGAGTGGCCTCAAACTCCTGGACTCTGGTCTCGAAATCCTGGACTCAAGTGATCCTTCCATCTCAGCGTCCCAAAGTGCTGAGGTTACAGGCATGAGTCACCGCACCTGGCCTAGGATTGGCAAACACTTTCTGTAAAGGGCCAGCCAGTAAATATTTTAAGCTTTGCAGGCTGTATAGTCTCTGTCATAACTACCTAACTCTGCTGTTATAGCACTAAAGCAGCCATAGACAACCTGTATACAAATGAGCATGGCTGTATTCCAGTAAAACTTAATTACAGAAACAGGCGGTGGATCAGATTTGGCCCTCAGGCCATAGTTTGCTGACCTCTGCTCTAGAGCAATACGTTACTATGCAAAAACATCTTCACCTACACTACAGTCTCCTCAACTTTATTGTAATTTATCTCAGTTGTTTTGGAAAAAAAAAAAAAGACAAATGAAGTGAATTTACTTCCTCTAGCAGAGGACAAGAAGAGGCTGACTGTGCGGTAGGAAAGTATATAGCATTTGTACCAGAGCAAGTATGACACTGAACAAATCCTCTGGCCACTTCGTCCATGACTGCTTATTTAGTTCAATGCTGAAGGCCAGAATAACACAAGCAATGTCTCATTTGTTTTGTTTCATCCCACAGCTTCTAATCTCAAACACTCATTTAACAAATGCATGCTGGATGTCACAATAAGGATGGCGCTCCAGTCCTTCTTGCCTACTCGGAGTTCCCTGAATGTATTGTGCTATTTCACGCCTCTCTAACTCTGCACACAATGTTCCTTCTGCCTGGAACACACTTAGCCCTCTTCTCTTACTGGCTAACGCCTACACGCTGATCAAAACTAAGCTCAATGATACTGCCTCTTGGAAGACTTCCCTGAGTGCACTTCTACCTCCTCACCCTCAACCTTCAGCCCGCACACTCAATCTCAGCATTTATTCTACTAAACTCATAATTAAGATAGCTAATGCTTATATGGTACCAGACACTTACTATGGGCCAGGCACAGTTACATCCTGTCATTTCATTGAAGTTATTGGTATGCTTGCCTGTTTCCACAAGACAATCATACGTTCAGAAACATTTATTGAGTACTTTGCAACTGGCGTGCTAGGCAAAGTAAATAAAACAGTGACAGTAAAGTAATAAAACAGACCGTAAGCCCACTGAGGGAACCTACTGCATGTTATTTGTTTTTACCTCTCAACACCTAGCAGCGTCCAGAGCAGAGGTTTTGTTTTAATTTTTTTTTTTGACACAGGATCTAACTATCTCCCAGCCCAGAGGGCAGTGGCACGATCATGGTTCTCTGCAGCCGTGATCTCCTGGTCTCAAGCAATCCTCCCACGTTGGCCTCCTGAGCAGCTGGGGCTACAGGCGTGTGCTACCATGCCCAGCTCATTTTTAAAATTATTTTGTATAGAGACAGTATCTTGCTATGTTGCCCAGGCTGGTCTTGAACTCCTGGCCTCAAGCAATCTTCCCACTTCGGCCTCCCAAAGTGCTGGGATTACTGGCGTGAGCCACCCATACCTGGTCAGAACAGAGGCTGTTTGTTTGTTTGTTTTTGAGACGGAGTCTTATTCTGTCACCCAGGCTGGAGTGCAATGACATGATTTCGGCTCATTGCAACCTCCACCTTCCGGGTGCAAGGAATTCTCCTGTCTCAGTCTCCTGATAGCTGGGATTACAGGCGCGTGCCACTATGCCCAGCTAATTTTTGTTTTTTTTAGTGAAGACGGGGTTTCACCATGTTGGCCAGGATGGTCTCAATCTCTTGACCTCATGATCTGCCCACCTCAGCCTCCCAAAGTGCTGGGATTACAGGCCTGCACCACCACCCCCGGCCCACAGATGTTTTAAATTAATATTAGAAGAACAAATGAAAATACCACTTACATGGTACAAAATACGTGCTAGGCCATGTTCTAAGCTCTTTACATCTCTAAGCCTCAAAACAACTTTATGGGGTAGCTGGTATAATTATCACCATTTCACACACGGGAATTGAAGGCATGGAGAATTTTTAGGTAATTTTCCCAAGGTCATACGGCTAGTATGTGACAGAGCTGGTTCCAGAATCTATGTTCACAACCCCTGGATGAAATGAAAGCTTGAGTGACTCAGCATAAATCCATTTCTACTCCTGGGAAAGTAATTTTTTTATTTTTTATTTTTTTTTGAGATGGAATCTTGCTCTGTCGCCCAGGCTGGAGTGCAGTGGTGCGATCTCGGCTCACTGCTTCCCAGGTTCAAGCGATTCTCCAGCCTCAGCCTCCCGAGTAGCTGGGATTACAGGCATGTGCCACCGTGTCTGGCTAATTTTTTTTTTTTTTGTATTTTTAGTAGAGACGAGGTTTCACCATGTTGGTCAGGCTGGTCTCGAACTTCTGACCTCAGGTGATCTGCCCACCTTGGCCTCCTAAAGTGCTGGGATTACAGGTGTGAGCCACCGTGCCGGGCCCCTAGGGAAAGTAGTTTAAAAGATGCATCTTTGAGAACATAGGTTGTCCAGTGGTACCAGTCACGTGCTTAAGGTTAGGAGTCAGAGAATTGTGTTCGCAGCTGCTCTCAAGTGCTTGATGTAAGTGAGTGATATTGGTAGTGGCATTGACAGTTCCTGCAAGGTGCAGTCTTACATTTACAGAGCATTACGGTGCATTCTGAACTCTGATCTGATTTCTCCCACCACCCTCTCCTCCTCTCGGGTGGTATGCATCAATGCTCAGGGGCAACTCCAGCAGGGTTTCTGCCAGCATGTGTCTGCCGTGTTGACTCTTTCCTGATGGCAGGCAAGTTATACAGTAGATCCATCCGTGTTGGCCTATTCCCATGGACACTTCAGCAAATTAGCATTTTGGAGAAGACTACACAGAAACATCCATAATACTGGTGAACCTGGCTGGGTGTGTGCATCTTTAAAAAAGTATTGCTGGCCGGGCATGGTGGCTCATGCCTGTGATCCCAGCACTTTGGAGGCCAAGGCGGGCAGATCACCTGAGGTCAGGAGTTCGAGACTAGCCTGGCCAATGTGGTGAAACCCTGTCTCTACTAAAATTACAAAAAGATTAGCTGGATGTAGTGGCGGGCACCTGTAATCCCAGCTACTTGGGAGGCTGAGTCAGGTGAATTGCTTGAACCCGGGAGGCGGAGGTTGCAGTAAACCGAGACCACGCCATTGCACTCCAGCCTGGGCAACAAGAACGAAACTCCATCTCAAAAAAAAAAAGTATTACTGCCAGTCATTTATGGAAGGCTTTGGAAGTCCCCATGGGGCCTTGCAAGCAACATGCCACTCAGCAGGGAAGATAAAGACAGGGAGAGACAGTGACTGGCCTGCAGCTGTTTCTAAGGACAGGCTTGCTCTGCTGAAAAAAACAAAGAACAGATATTTGGAATAGAATTTTGCATCTGAAACAAATATGGATTTGGAGAATTTTAGGTTTGAGCATTAAGACATTAGAAAATAAAGCCAGGCACAGTGGTGCACACCTATAGTCACAGCTACTAGGGAGGCGGAGTTGGGAGGATTGCTTGAGCCCAGGAGTTTGACACTGTAGTCATGCCTGTGATCATGCCTGTGAATAGTCACATAGTGAGACCCTGTCTCTAAAAAAACTAAAAAAAGAAAGAAAAGTGATCACAGAGTCCCTGCAGACCCTTGAAGTCTATGGTCTCTCTGAGTAGAGAACAAATGTGTCCATTCTCCCACCTCAAGGCAGCTTAAAAAAAAAAAGTAACTCTTCTTCTTTACTCCGTTTGCAAACTAGATAACTAGGAGGAGGTGAACAGGCAATTTCCTCGGTGGCCTCCACTGATCGTTTAGAGGATGCAACAAGGTACCAGGGCCAGGACTGGTTCCCACAAGCTTCCTGTTCTCAGTCTGAGGCACAACAGAGGCTAAAAAGAATTCAAAGATTCAAGAATTGGCTCTTAGAAGCAACCATGTGTCACCAAAGAGCTGGGCAAGATAGTGCTTGTTGGCTTTTCTCCTAGTCAAGAATTAACCATGAGACTTCTCTAGGAAAACATTGATTGCCTGGCTGGAAAACTTCAGAAACATTGAGTTGACCACTATTCTCAGGCACCTGCACATACATTTTTCAGGCCATTGGGTACAATTTATAGCATCTTATTTTCCAGTGAAAATAATCTGTTACTATATTTGTAGCCTGTTTCATACGGTTTAACACTTAATAATTCTCTGTTGTTTTTATTACGAAAACTTGCATTCTCTCATCTAGAGCAGAATCTCCCTGAGGGCAAGATTTACGCCTTCCAATTTCTTTGGACTCCTCCACAGGACCAGACAGAGAATGAAGGAGTACAATAGTGGGTGATCAAGAGGGAATGATTACAGGACAGAGTATTTGGAGACCTGGGCAGTTCCAATGCTCCCCACCCCCGTCAAGCTGAGTATAGGTCCTCAGAAAGCACTTAAGTCTCAGAGTTGCCATTTCCTCATTTTCAGATTACCTCTCTTACCTTACCGGTTGTTGGGAGGATCAAATAAGATAATGTCTGTGAAAGTATTTTGTGAACCAAGATCTGCTAGCCACTGAAATGTAAGAAGTCATCAGAAGAGGCACTTAGTAAATATCTGATTGATTTTTAATGATAAGATATTGTCTTCCCCTTTCTCCTTTACATTCAGCTCCTTTGAGGGTGTTATTTTGCAGGATTTCACTTTATATGAGTAGCAAAACCACTCCACATCCACCTGATGCTGTGTGGTAGGTCCCCTAGTGCATTTCATCTCATAATTATCTTAAAATTTGATTGACATTTAAGCAAACCAACCAAAAAAGTCACAAGGTATGCCATGGTCACGTTGATCACATAGAATTTGTCAAGATCAATGCATGTGTAACCCACTGGCATTTCAGAGCCTTTCTTGTGCTGCTGCGTCAGCCCACTAAAATTATACCCTAGGCAAAGATTATGTATATTTCTGTACTCTAGTGCATAGTTCATACATGAGAGTGGCAGATCATTGCTCTAAGCCCAGGCCAGAGAAAAAGAACATTAAAATGTGGCAGTATAATGGGGAATTTCACAAAAAGGTGACACTATAAAACAGACTCTTAAAACAACTCATTTATTTGTAAGTCTTTATTCTCTATTTGTTCTTAGCAAAGAAGACAATCTCTCTATAGTAACAGAATTCTATATGACTCATTAGAGAAATCTTTCAAACATGGTTATTCCTTAAAATGCTTCTGGAAGATATAAGGTTTGGTCTTAGGGTTTCTTCTCACTCAACTGGAGGAAAAATAGAGATGCTAAAGGATAAGCTAAATTGTATATTCCAGGGATTTGTTTATGTAAACTCCTGATTCCTCATCTAGTTCTTTGGGCCCAAATAACGTGAAAGTAAAAATAATTAGAGAGTGACAGCTTGGCTGTGGTAAGCATTGTCTTCTCTTACTGAAGCTTTTCAATTCCAGTATTTTCAAACCCTATTCCTGAAAGCTATGGGAACCTGTTTTTCCCAAATTCAATCATACAGTGTCAACTGCAGGACTGGTATCCAGGTTTGAAGCATTTTGTCAACATATTGAATCCAGACCAGTTTTGAACTCTATTAACTCTATTGATGAACATATTTATGATGGGTTTTTTTTTGGAGATGGAGTTTCACTCTGTCACCCAGGCTGGAGTGCAGTGGTGCGATCTCGGCTCACTGCAGCCTCCCCGTCCCGGGTTCCAGCAATTCTCCTTCTTCAGCTTCCCGGGTAACTGGAATTACAGGCACGCACCACCACACCCAGTTAATTTTTGTATTTTTAATAGGGATGGGGGCCGGGTGTGGTGGCTCACGCCTGTAATCTTAGCACTTTGGGAGGCCAAGGCAGGTGGATCACTTGAGGTCAGTAGTCCGAGACCAGCCTGACCAATATGGTGAAATCTCGTCTCTACTAAAAATACAAAAATTAGCTGGGCGTGGTGGCTTGCGCCTATAGTCCCAGCTACTCAGGAGGCTGAGACAGGATAATTGCTTGAACCCAGGAGGTGGAGGGTGCAGTGAGCTGAGATCGTGCCACTGGACTCCAGCCTGGGTGACAGAACGAGACTCCATCTCAAAAAAAAAAAAAAAAATAGGGATGAGGTTTCACCATGTTGGCCAGGCTGGTCTCAAACTCCTGCCTCAGCCTCTCGAGTTATTGGGACTAAATGTGTGCGCCACCAAGTCCAGTTAATTTTTTTTCTTTTTGGTAGGGATGAAGTCTCCCTGTGTTGCCCAAGCTGGTCTCGAACACCTGGCTTCACTTGATCCTCCTGCCTTGGCCTCCCAAAATGCTGAGATTATAGGTGTGAGTCACTGCGCCTGGCCTGAAGCCTAATTTTTAATAGATGTTAGTAGCTAGTAACATTAAACTCATACTAAATACCAATACATTTTAATGTTTAAACCTGATAACATGTTTATGCATATATAGTTTTCTATAATAATTTTATTTTCATCAGATGCTTTTCTTTCTTATTCTCAAATTTCTCCCACTTCTTCTAGGGCTGATGTGAGGCTAAGCCTCTTTCATAATCAATACTGGAGGGAAAATACCTAAGAGGAGGAGGAAGTAGTGGATTTAACATTAATTATTATCATTATCTTCCTGTGACACCATGCTCTGCTCCCTTTGCCTGAAAAGTTGCAGGAAAATAATGGTGATGGGAAGGGGAAAACGTCCAACTGCAGAATTAATTATTTGTCAATTTACCCCCAAAATATATGGTGAGTGGCAGACATGTAAGGGTGTTGCTGTACTCTTGATATTGAGAGAGAGCACGAGGGACAGATATTATAACACAAATGTTTCAAGATGGAGAGTTTCTTGTACATAGAAAGTCATTTATGTATTGTATATTTTAATAAATATTTTTGTAGAGTACAAATAATTTTCTGTATGGAATTATTCTAAGATTTATGAAAATGTTTACCAGTTTGTAACCAAACCATTCCCAAAAGGGATCTAAAATAATAATTTTAAGAAAGAAATAAATTAGAATGACATTGAGTAAAAGTTATACAGCTTTCTTTTTCTTTCTTTTTTTTTTTTTTTGAGACCAAGTCTCACTCTGTCGCCCAGGCTGGAGTGCAGTGGTGGGATCTTGGCTCACTGCAACCTCCACCTCTCAGGTTCAAGTGATTCTCCTGCCTCGGTCTCCTGAGTAGCTGGGATTACAGGCACCTGCCACCACACCCGGCTAATTTTTGTATTTTTAGTAGAGACAGAGTTTCACCATGTTGGCCATGCTGGTCTCGAACTCCTGACCTCAGGTGATCCGCCCGCCTCGGCCTCCCAAAGTGCTGGGATTACAGGCGTGAGCCACTGCGCCCGGCCTTAAACAGCTTTCATAAAACATTGGTTTCTTCTTTTATATTGTTCCTCATGGTAAAAACAGCAACATTTCTACATAAATGGTAACATTTGCACCATTTGCTTCATTTTAGGATCTGTGATTGCTCTTGGGAACGAGTCCTGCTGTAGCGTGAAGGGGAAGGTATAATTTGGAGCCAGACACAAGAAAAAAGGTTTCTTTCAGAAGCAATATATTTATGTACATGTAAGAGTATCAGAAAAGGATTAATAATTTCACCAAGTAATCTAGAGCTACATTTCATATGTAAGTTCTTCACAGAGCTATGACAAACTTTGTAGAACTCAAGCCTTCCATGGAAAAAAGGTTATAAAAATTCTTTTGGCTGGGCATGGTGGCTCATGCCTGTAATCCTAACACTTCAAGAGGTTGAGGCAGGAGGATTACTTGAGACCAGGAGTTCAAACTGCTGTGAGCTATGGTTGTGCCACTGCACTCCAGCCTGGATGACAGAGCGAGACCTTGTCTCTAAAAAATAAAAAATAAATGTTAGAAATAACAGAATCGGCCAGGTGCAGTGGCTCATGCCTGTAATGCCAGCATTTTGGGAGGCCGAGGCAGGCGGATCACAAGGACAGGAGATCAAGACCACCCTGGCTAACACGGTGAAACCCCTTCTCTACTAAAAATACAAAAAATTAGCTGGGCATGGCAGCATGCACCTGTAGTCCCAGCTACTCGGGAGGCTGAGGCAGGAGAATTGCTTGAACCCAGGAGGTGGAGGTTGCAGTGAGCCGAGATCGCACCACTGCACTCCAGCCTGGTGACAGAGCAAGACCCTATCTCAAAACAACAACAACAAAATAATAATAATAATAATAATGTCTCTTTTAAAAAACAAATGCAATGGAGATAGCAAGCCACAAAGCGTATTACAGTATTAGTCATAATTATTTGCCTTGTCACTCTTGATAACTTATTTTGCATTCAGTAGAGTTAGAGAAGTGTATGGATGAATACTCATCATAATTCTTCTCCATGTGGACTTTAGAATTTTAGGATAACAGCTGACCTTCTTCCTTCAATAGGTAGACCCTTAAAGGAATCTAGGAAGTGCTGACCACACAGCACCTCCATCAAGACAGGGCTCATTTCCAGCCCTGCTTAAGGGAGTAGTGAGATATTTGTTGCAGTCTATGTGTGATGTTGAAGGAAGTGAGGAATATAATCTTCCTTAATTATTACATGGTGCCCATGACCTTATTTATTATTTCACTAGTAAAGAAATAAATTGTATTTCTTCTTCAACATATTCACAATGAATCTCTGAGATACAGGAATATGCTTATTCAGTCAAGAAAGGTATTTATTTATATAAGAGAAGCAAGTGCTTCAGAAGAAAACTTCCTACTTAACAACAGAAGAAAATACCTTCTTAAAATGATCAAGCCAGTAAGTCTAAGGAAAGGGAGGAAAGGAAACAATAATGAAGTATAATACACAGTAAAAATAAAATGGAAAGAATAAAAAAATATCAGTTACCACTAAAAATGTGGATGAGTTGAATCTCTGTGTCAAAAGGCAAACTTTTATATTGGGCCAAAACAAAATTAAGCTATGTCTAAGGAATTCACCTCTAAGAAAGTGACTATGAAAGTTTGCAAATAAATGACTGGGCAGATATATGTCAGGGAACTCCAAAAGCAGGAGTGTTTAACCTGAGAAAGCTGATTGCCAAAAATAACAACAAAAAAGGAAAAAAGCAAAACAAAATAAACAAAAGCAGGAGTGCCAATATGAGCAAATTCAAGGCCAGAAGCATTAAATAGGAACAAGAGTCTGGAACGATTGAACAGACTGTGGCAAAGATTGCTAGATGCTTACACAATGTCCATTCCTCTTCATCCTTGCTAACAAAACTTCAATTTAATTTGGAGCAGCAGTGTGTCCAGATTTTTTTTTAAGTTAATTTTTCCATCTCCTTTTGTACTTAGGGATAGACAATAAGTTGTAGGTGGCTCATGCCTGTAATCCCAGCACTTTGGGAGGCCGAGGCAGGTGGATCACCTGAGGTCAGGAGTTCAAGACCAGCCTGGCCAACGTGGCAAAACCCCGTCTCTACTAAAAATACAAAAAAAAAAAAAAAAAAAAAAAAAAAAAGCCGGGCATGTGGCAGGCGCCTGTAATCGCAGCTACTCAAGAGGCTGAGGCAGGAGAATCGCTTGAACCCAGAAGGCAGAGGCTGCAATGAGCCGAGATAACGCCATTGCACTTCAGCCTGGGTGACAAAAGCGAAACTCCGTCTCAAAAACCAAAAAACAGTAAGTTGTAAGCAGAAGTTAGTGGATGGGGCCTGCTGAAATCTAACTCACCTGGATTACTCATTTTTACTCTTTTTCCTCCTTCCTGTCTGGAATATGTATGTGATGGCTAGAGCTGCAGGAGCCATCTTGCAACCATGACTTGAAATATGGGTACCACACACTAAAGGTGACAGAGTAGGAAGACAGAAGCAGCTTGCATTCCAGATTACCATAGAGCTACTATACCAGTCCTGGACTTCCTACCTCCAAACATCTTTTATATGAGACAAATACAGCTTCATGTATTTAAGCCACTATGATGTGTGCATTTATGCAGCCAGCCCAATTGCCTGTGATATGAATAGAAATGTGACAAAGATATACAAGTTATCAGCTATTATGCACTTAAAAACAGTGCAAAATAAAAATCAAAAGACAAGGAGCATTTGATGAAATTATAACCATAGTGGTAGATTTTAATACATCCCTTTCAGAATTTGATGGAACATGAAGTCAAAAACAAGCAAGAATATAGACAACTATAATGATATCATCAGAGGCTTATTATATACACATATATAAGAGTGTATGTGATTAGTAAATAGCATAAAAACCACATATATATACCTTGCAAAAAGGGAATATGCAATCTTTTTTTTTTTTTTTTTGAGATGGAGTCTCGCTCTGTCACCCAGGCTGGAGTCCAGTGGCACAATCTTGGCTCACTGCAACCTCCGCAATCCCAGGTTCAAGCGATTCTTCTGCCTCAGCCTCCTGAGTACCTGGGACTACAGGCACGCGCCACCACGTCTGGCTAATTTTTTTGTATTTTCAGTAGAGACGGGGTTTCACTATTGGCCTGGCTGGTCTCGAACTCCTGACCTCGTGATCCACCCTCCTTGACCTCCCAAAGTGCTGGGATTACAGGCATGAGCCACTGCGCCCTGCCCAATCTTTTTATATGTGTATGGAACATTTACAAAATCAATCACATATGTGGCCATAAAAGATTGTGTAGGGTACAAAAGAAAGATGCTGGAAACAGTCTGTTCTACAGCTTGCTGGCAAAATGACCTTGTGCAAGTTACTTAACCTTTCTGGGCTTTGTTTCTTTGGAAAGTGGAGATCATCATAGCCAGAATTTTAATCTTTTATCATTATTACCATCCCTCCCAGCCTAGCATTTTCCAGCCTGAGGCCCATTTACCTATATGAAGCTGCTAGTGCCACATGTCACTAGCTCTATGTAGAAGCCATTGATGGCTGTCACTGTTTCCCATTGGAGGGTCAACAGCAGGCTAGAAGGTTAGCTTTTCTCGAATGGGCCTCAACTGAACAGTGAACACAAGGCTGTCTACTACAGAATTCAAGAGCACCAAAAGAATGTTAAATGGATGAATTGTTATTTGCAGGAAAAGAAACAGGCACCATGTTTCCAATTATTCTTCATTTCAGACAACGACTCGCTGTTTCCATTGGCCAGCACAGTAGCTGAATGGGGAACACTATGGAGTAAACCTGCTGAAGAAGGATGAATGTGGGCCAGTGAATATTTTTGACACAGTCCTAGCTTTATTTTTGCTTATTGCTGGCAAGCTAATGAGAAAGTCAGTATAAAACAATTGACAAAAACTTTGTAAATGAGGCTTAAAAGACAAGAAATCTTTATAGCTCCCCAAAAGATACACTTTTTGTACCAACAAGGATCATTTGAGACGTAAGATAGAACTTCCAAATTTAGCTGTTGGTTAAAAAAAGGAAAGCAATAATATAAATCTTTTTAAAAACCCACAAAATAAAATATTTTTAGTATCACAAAATCAAAATATTAAAGCACATGAAAAACTTAAAAATACATAAAGGAAAGATAGATTTCCATAAATTAGTACTTCAATATATACAAATATGTGAATCTGTTAAGAATACCATTAATTGCATATTTTAGGAAATTATTATTTCGTATAAATTAAAAATATATAGGATATGTTACAAATTACAAATATTCAATGTTTTGATAAAATAAACTTTAATAAAAATAATAAACTTTGAAGTTTATCCCTGAACTTAGAGGGAAGGCAGAAATGAACTGAATATAGTAAGTTCCTCAATTCATTTTAGGTCACAAACCAGGGATAAAATAATCAATGTCAACTGGGAGTAAATGGGGTATTTGTTCGTTTGCTTTTGGAGATATGTAATAGCATCATCAGAGTAATATTTGTTTTTTGGTTTTTTTTTGAGTGGAGTCTCACTCTGTCACCCAGGCTGGAGTGCAATGGTGCAATCTTGGCTCACCGCAACCTCCACCTCCCGGGTTCAAGCAATTCTCCTGCCTCAGCCTCCCAAGTAGCTGGGACTACAGGCGTGTGCCACCACACCCAGCTAAATTTTGTATTTTTAGTAGAGACGGGGTTTCACCATATTGGCCAGGCTGCTCTCAAACTCCTGACCTTGTGATCCGCTTGCCTTGGCCTCCCAAAGTGCTGGGATTACAGGCATGAGCCACTGGGCCCGGCCTATTTGTATTTTTGTATGTTTAATCTCAAACATGTTGATGTACAAATAAAGAAATGGAGGGTAGTTATTTGGGTGTCCAAAATCTTTCCTAACTCTCTAGATGTTCCTATTTTTTCTTAGCATTATTTTAGGGTATCAATTCTTCACCAATACCTAATCCTTCCTCTCTTTTAAAAAATGTTGTGGGATTACAAAATTGGCTGTCATCTTTCTACTTAGAATGACCTGACTAACTTCTGCACTCATAAATATTATTTCCCTGTCTTTGCTTAAGCTATTGTCAGTCACAGAAGCTCCATCTTTTCATATGTGGGAGAACAACAAAATCAGGAAGAAGTTTCTTCCACCTACTCTATCTATCTATCTATCTATCCATCCATCCATTCTATCTCTCTCTCTCTATCCATCCATTCTATCTATCTATCTATCTATCTGTCTATCTATCTAATCTAATCTATCTATCTATCCATCCACCCATCCATCCACCCTATCCATCTATCCACCCATCCATCCATCCACCCACCCTATCTCTCTGTCTCCCCATCCATCCATCCATCCATCCATCCATCCATCCATCCATCCATCCATCTGCCTATCTATATACCCACCCTATCTATCTATCTATCTATCTATCTATCTATCTATCTATCTATCTATCTATCTATCATCTACCAGTTATCAGGGAGGGAGACAAGTGGGGAGGAGAGAACAGACTTGCCCTGTCTGAATTGTACTGGAAACTTAGTCTGTACTTGCTCTTGTTCTATAACTCTACTCAAGAGTACAATATTGTTAGAACCAAATGAATTTTTTTAATTCAACTTGGCAGGTAGCAGTAAATATTTACTGGTTTGAATTATCAATTCTCATCAAGATTGGTACTGAGAACTATATTAAAACAATCAGGAGATTTTTCTTAAAGGATCATTTTTTATTCCAAAATTGGTTATTGTAAAATGTGTGTGAGTCTGTTTAATCACGTCAGGCACAGGATCATCTTGCATTCCTGCCTTCTCCCAACATGTGGAGGTCAGATGCCTTGTGCTGCCCTCACCTCATGTCGGGAAGAGATACCACAAAGTAATTTTGTAGGATAAAGAAGGATTAAGAAGAGAAAACGGGTTCTGAGGAAAATGCAACATATGAAATCAGGAATCTCCCTTTCCAAGGAACTTTCGAAGGCTTTTAAAACCTTTCTTGTCCCCGCTATTGTTTTCCCATCACCAGGCAAGAAAGTTCAGTTTTTCCGATTAAGAGTGCCATCTGTGTCTCTGAAAAAAGACACATATTGTGGAATGAAAAGGAAACGGTGGAGTGAGGGATAAATGAGCATCAAAAGTCTTTAAAGGGTGGGGCGCGGTGGCTCACGCCTGTAATCCCAGCACTTTGGGAGGCCGAGGCGGTCAGATCACGAGGTCAGGAGATCGAGACCATCTTGGTTAACACAGTGAAACCCCGTCTCTACTAAAAATACAAAAAATTAGCCGGGTGCGGTGGCGGGCACCTGTAGTCCCAGCTACTCGGGAGGCTGAGGCGGGAGAATGGCGTGAACCCGGGAGGCAGAGCTTGCAGTGAGCCGAATCGTGCCACTGCAGTCCAGCCTGGGTGACAGACCGAGACTCCCGTCTCAAAAAAAAAAAAAAAAGAAAAAGAAAAAGGTCTTTAAACTCTGGAGAAGCAAAGTGAAAACTGAAAACTCAATTCAATTTGTCAGTACTTCTGGTTACAAGAAAATCTGTAGTAAATGAAGACTATGTTGTTTTGTTGTTTTGTTTTGATTTGTTTTTTTAATTCAGCTCCTACAGGAGAAGGCTGTTTTTGTTTTTTTAAGCTGCTCCTCGTGGAGCAGCACCGAGTCAGCTGAAAACTATGTTTCTCTGTGTGTGTGTTTTTGTTTGTTTGAGATGGAATCTTGCTCTATGACCCAGGTTGGAATGCAATGGCACGATCTCAACTCACTGCAACCTCCACCTCCTGGGTTCAAGCAATTCTCCTGCCTCAGCCTCCTGAGTAGCTGGAATTGCAGGCATGCATGACCACGCCAGGCTAATTTTTGTATTTTCAGTAGAAATGGGGTTTCACTAAGTTGGCCAAGCTCGTCTCAAACTCCTGACCTCAGGTGATCTACCCACCTTGGCCTCCCAAAGTGCTAGGATTATGGGCGTGAGCCACCACGCCCGGCCAAGACTATGTTTTTATAAAGCTAATTTGCATTATCATTCTAGGACTCCGATATGTCCCTCTTCCACTTGTTGTCAATAAAAAAATTCATCTCACCCAGAATCCAATCATTTCACATGAGTCAGAATGCATGACTGACTCAAGGTTCAACTATCTGTAGTGTTTTTCCCTTATTAGATTTAATATTTCCTTCAAGATGGGCTTGTACGTCAGGTACTTCGTCACTCCCAGATAGCTACAGATTTTTGCTTTATTATGTCTGTTGTATGAATGTGTGTGTGTGTGTGTGTGTGTGTGTTTGTATATACAAAATATGATGTATACATAAGTATTTGAATAGTGTTATAAATGCAAGTTTAAAGAAAATATTGATTTTTGTCAATTCATTCAAGGAAAACACATATTCACTAATGCAAATATCATGTTACAGAATCCACCTGATTTTCATTTGTTTAAATCAAGTAATTTTTAATCAACTTCTACAAATTTGACTCAGTCATTTCTCATATGCTGGGGATCAAAATCTCTCTACTACATTTAAGTCATTCATCATAGCTATCAAGCATTACACAGAGATTTACAGTGGAATTAATACTATGGATCAAGTATAAGTGGTTGTTCCCCAGTTGCATCTGACAGCATTTCTATTTTCAGTGTTTCTTGAAAAGTCCAACATCAGGTTTGTATACATCAGAACCTTTCTTGCTGCAGTTACTATAGGAGACAGTTCCGTGGCTTTTCATGGTGTACAAGAAAGGTAGATTTCAATTTCTATTATCTAACTTTGCTAGGTTTTCAGGTATGCTCATCAATAAATTAATTCTTGGCCGGCACGGTGGCTCACGCCTGTAATCCTAGCACTTTGGGAGGCCGAGGCAGGTGGATCACGAGGTCAGGAGATTGAGACCATCCTGGCTAACATGGTGAAACCCTGTCTCTACTAAAAATACAAAAAATTAGCCGGGCGTGGTGGCGGGTGCCTGTAGTCCCAGCTACTTGGGAGGCTGAGGCAGGAGAATGGCGTGAACCCAGAAGGTGGAGCTTCCAGTGAGCCGAGATCACGCCACTGCACTCGAGCCTGGGTGACAGAGCGAGACTCCATCTCAAAAAGAAAAAAAAAAAATACAAAAATTAGCCTGGTGTTGTGGCAGGCGCCTGTAGTCCCAGTTACTTGGGAGGCTGAGATAGGAGACTGGCCTGAACCCCGGAGTCAGAGCTTGCAGTGAGCCGAGTTCGTGTCACTGCCCTCCAGCCTGGGCGACAGAGCGAGACTCCATCTCAAAAAAGTATATATAAAATAAAATAAAAATAAATAAATAAATAAATTCTTGTGTGGACAGATTAATGGACTCCAGATCAACTCTTCGAAGGCTCTTCATTGCTTTGGTGGAAGGTGAAAGGCTCACACTAGGTCTTCATTAACAGCTCTTCTCCACCTGGCCCCAATCTACCTGCTACTATGTCCCTTCTGTGCTGGTCCCACTGGTCTCCTCATTGTTGCCCAAAATACACCCTGGACATTTCCAACTTCAGGCATGTACTTAAGCTGTTCTTCTCAACTAAAATATCCTCTTTCTTTTGCTCTACAAACCCAAGTTCTATCTGTTCTTTGTCAATGTTGTATTTCTTAATTATACCAAACAATGTATGAGTATATCCTCATTAGAAAAATATTCAAACAGGCTAGGCGAGGTGGCTCATGCCTGTAATCCCAGCACTTTGGGAGGCCGAGGTGGGTGGATCACCTGAGGTCAGGAGTTCGAGATCAGCCTGGCCAACATGGTGAAACCCTGTCTCCACCAAAAATACAAAAAGTTAGCTGGCCATGGTGGTGGATGCCTGTAATCCCAGCTACTTGGGAGGCTGAGGCAGGAAATCGCTTGAACCCATGAGGCAGAGGTTGCAGTGAGCTGAGAACGCACCATTGCACTCCAGCCTTGGCTACAAAAGCGAAACACGATCCCAAAAAAAAAAGAAAGAAAAATATTTAAACAATAATAAAGAAGTATACATACAGTAAAAACTGAAAGTCCCTATTAATTCTAGCCCTTCCCCTCTCCCACCTGCCAACTGTATTGCCCTTCTTCCAATTTGCTAGTTATCCTTCCGACTCTTTTTCACTGCATTTAATAAACCTATACAGTTTTTGTTTTGCTTCATTTTTAGGTAAGTGGGGTTACAGTATACACTCTGTCCTGTGGCTAGCTTTCTCCTCTTCAAGACCTATATTAAGTTTCCTCTCTCTCCCCAGAAACCTCCCTCACCATTTCAGCATCCAATGACCTCCTCCCTGTAACCCTGCCTTGGATTTCAAACACTTGGTATCCTTGGAACCCTATTGGCTTCTGATTCATCTCTTTATGATGTCGGGTTGTTTAACTTTTTTATGTGTGTCTTATCACTGACATGTAAAATCTTTGAGGGGAGGAATGTTATCTTGATCTTTTGCAGCATTTAGAACTGCCCAAAATGGGTCTCCAGCCTGATTTTATTGAGTAAGTGAACTTTAGGTTTCCCATTTCCTGATCTAAGATGGGAAAGCTCTGCTCCAATGCAGGGAAAAATTAAAATGTACTATGATGAAGTACTTCAGCGTTTTCATGCACTCTCCTAAGAATTCTCTCAATCTGTTGTACATGGTGGGTTTGTGGATTTCTATTAATATAAATCAGTTGAGAAGTGCAGCAACTTTGTGAGAAGCCAGAGACCCCAGGCAAAAACTTTTCTTCTCTGACCTGTCAGACCAAGGACAGCTCCATGAGTTACAAACCCTCAGAGATGAAATCATCACAGAGTGAAAGGGAGGTTTACAGCACAGGCTGATGTGGGAAAAGGTTGTGAGGGAAGCACCAACTAGCCAAGGGGAACCCACTCTCTCAGATGTTTCAGACTTTTAAAATTTCAGCTCTCACTGAACCAGCTTTCCAATGGAATTAGTCACTGGTATAACAGCCACAGCAATTCAAAAGGCCTTTCATTTTTCCTTTTAAATTAAAGCTGTAAAGTCGAACTTGAAATTCCTTCAAAAAATGTTATTTTCTCAGCATCACAGAGAAGGCAAAACAGCCAATATAACATATCCGTGTTTTATGTTAAATGCTGTCCCTTGAACAAGTTACTTAATCTTTCTATGCCTCAGTTTCTTTATCTAAAAATGAGTATAACATTTGTGCCTACTTTATAGAATTTTGAGCATTAAAATGAGATAATTTAGTGCAGTATGCAGTGAAGGCTGGCTCACAGTAAATTCTCAAAATTGTTAGCTATGATGAGGGTGATCATGTTATGACTCCTCAAGTCTATGTCAGCAGCTACAATGGCTCGCTCTCTCTCTCCCTCTCTCTTTCTTTCATAAAGATAGGGTCTGCTGTGTTATCCAACAGTGCAGTGGCATGATCGTAGCTCACTATAGCCTCAAACTCCTGGGCTCAAGCGATCCTCCCACCTCAGTCTCCCAAGTAGTTAGGATTACAGGTGTCAACCACCATGCCTA
Source organism: Homo sapiens (assembly GCF_000001405.40). Lineage (NCBI taxonomy): Eukaryota > Metazoa > Chordata > Mammalia > Primates > Hominidae > Homo > Homo sapiens. The sequence goes on along the minus strand of NC_000007.14, from coordinate 131,169,945 downwards.
GGTGAAAGGGTTTTCTATGTGAGACTTTAGCCAAAGCAGGCATACAAGAACACCGTTGAGCTGTAATAATGGTGAACATTATGAACAATATTTCTTGGGAAATTCTATTTAATTCCTTCATCCCCATTACAGTGAATTTGCTTAGAATCTTTATTCAACAGACTATTGCTTGAAAATAAATGAGTTATTAAATGGAAAAATCTCTTCTTGTGAAAAATTTTCTCTAAAATCCTATTAGTCCTAACTAGATAATACATTCCTTTTGACATCTTACATGTCTGCTATTAATAATCTCAATTCGTAAGTCTAACTAACCAGTTGAAAGGATCTAACTTAATTAAGAATTTTGCTTTATCAAAAAATTTTCTATTGTCTCAAAAAAGAGCTTCCAGATCCTTCAAAAGAGGCCATTAATCAAAGCAGATAAAATTAGTTTTAGTTACTAAATAAATACTTAGAATACTGCAGATAATCAAAGTAGTTAAAATTAACAGTCAAACTGTTAATTTTGTGGTCTCAAATAGTTATCGAGACACTGTAGACATTGCAGAAAAAATCTGAAGCAATGAGCTGGTTAACTCAGATACAACGATATTTGGGGCATCAATTGATTACGAGTTTCAGATTGAATTATTCTGTTATTCAATTGTTCACTTAGGCAATGCCTATATAATAAGTTAACTTAGGCTATCTTAATAATTGATGTGTGTTTGTTAGTGTATTGGCTAAGGACATAGGACTTTAGATGAGAAAATGAGGGTTTCAGCCAGACACGGTGGCTGGCCGGGCGAGGTGGCTCACACCTGTAATCCCAGCACTTTGGGAGGCCAAGGAGGGCAGATCACTGAGGTCATGAGTTGGAGACCAGCCTGGCCAATAGGGTGAAACCCGTCTTACTAAAAATACAAATATTAGCCAGGCGTGGTGGTGGGTGCCTGTAATCCCAGCTACTGGGGAGGTTAAGGCACACGAATTGCTTGAACCCAGGAGGTGGAGGTTGCGGTGAGCCAAGATTGCACCACTGCCCTCCAGCCTAGGTGGAAGAGCTAGATGCTATCTCAAAAAAAAAAAAAAAAGAAAACAACGATTTAAATTTCAATTTGGTAACTTCCTACATAAGTGAACTTGGACAAATTATTTAACCTTTCTAAGCCTCAGTTTTCTTATCACTAAAACGTAATACTTATTTTGCTGGCTTGCAAGGGTAAAATGAGGTAATATACATAAAGAAAATATACATAAAGAAAATATACATAAAGGCTTAACTGGCACTTAGTAGGTAGACATTGAATTAATTCTTTTCCTTTTTAAGTCACTTCAGTTTCTCAGCCATGATATTATAATAAATAAGTAAATACATAATATGTCAGGTGGTGGTAAGCGCTACAGAGAACAGCAAAGTGGGAATCCTTAATGTCTACCAGTGGGGACAGGGGTAGCTAGGATGAGAAAAATAGAGGGGGACATTAATATGGTGGCTTAGCCTCAATCCATGCATAAAGATTGTCAAGGTGCATGGGGGCAAGTTGTGTGGCTTTTTTTTAAAGCCTTTATTGTTTCATAATTGTGTCCTTCATAATCAGGCAGACACAGCCTAAAATTATACAGGAAGAGTGGCAAAGAGGAAGGAGTCAGGAGTGAGAAAGCGGAGGAATGAGGCATGGGAGGCTAATGAGCTGTAGGGCCAGCCATTGATGTCAGGATCCTCAGAACTAAAAGTAGAAGCCACAGCCTGGAGACTCACACTTACCACTGATACCCAACAATGCCATCTAGATGGTGGTGAGTTAGTTGTAACAGCAGTTTCTTTTGAGTATTTTAAAAAATGATTATTATAAAAAATTAAATAGCACATTACAGAAAGGATATAACCTAAATACAGAAAACTGAAAAGATTTAGGAAAAATAAGTCACCAATAATTCCATTAGCCTAATTCATTTAATATCAGCATTTGGGTTAATTTCCTCCTAGTCCTTTTTCAGGTGTATATTTAAAGATACGTGAAATCACACTGTATACAGTTGTGGATCCTGTTATTTTAAGTATAACATTGTCTCATAGCATTTTCCTTGTTGCTAACCAGCCTTTCATAACTATCCTTTTAACAAGTGAATAATATATCATTAAGTAAATGAACAGTAATTTACTTAATTTAACTATCTCTGTATATTGTTAGATGTTTAGAATCTTTCCAATTTCTTGATATCATAAATATCACATTAGTATACATTTTTCTGTGTGTTTTCTTTTCCACATTATTTTTTTTTTTTTTTGAGACAGAGTCTTGCTCTGTTGCCCAGGCTGGAGTGCAGTGGTCCCATAACAGCTCACTGCAGCCTCAACCTCCCAGGCTCAGGTGATCCTCTCACCTCAGCCTCCTGAGTAGCTGCGACCACAGATATGTGCCATCATACCTGGTTAATTTTTTATATTTTATAGAGACAGAGTCTCACCATGTTGCCCTAGGCTGGTCTTGAACTCCTAGGCTCAGGCAATCCTCCTGCCTCAGCCTCCCAAAGTGCTGGGATTACAGGCATAAGCCACCATACCTGGCCTTCTTTTCCACATTTTAGATTATCTTCTTAGAATTGACTTTCAGAATTTTCAAAACATAAAACGTTGCAGGAGATGGACATTTTATGACTCTTTATACTTACTGCCAAATTGCTTTTCAAAGGGATTATAACAATGCCCAGTCCCAAGAATGGTGTAATGGTGTACTCATGAGGTAGCAAACCTCATCATACCCTTGAAAACAGTGGATCATTTCATTAATTTTTTTTTTTTACAGCTTCAGTTTCCAGGTTGTGATATAAGCAAGTAAACAAATAGTATGTCAGATGCTGATCAGTACAATGGGGAAGAGGAAACTGGAGAGAGGGGATGTGGCGGGGGAAGTGTTGCTGTTCTGTACAGGATGATCAGGAAAGGCCTTTCTAAAAAGATGATACTTAGGCCGGACGCAGTGGCTCACACCTGTAATCCCAGCATTTTGGGAGGCCATGGCAGGCAGATCACCTGAGGTCAAGAGTTTGAGATCAGCCTGGCCAACATGGTAAAATCCCATCCTGTCTCTACTAAAAATACAAAAAGTAGCCCAGCATGGTGGTGGGCACCTGTAATCCCAGCTATTGGGGAGGCTGAGGCAGGAGAGTCACTTGAACCCAGGAGACGGAGGTTGCAGTGAGCCGAGATCGTGCCACTGCACTCCAGCCTGGGCAACAAGAGCGAAACTCTGTCTCAAAAACAAAACAAAACATATTTGAATAAGAGCCAAAAGAAGTGAGGGATTAAGGTGTAAGAACTGCCCGAGGAAAGAGGGTTTCAGGCAGAGAAAACACTAAGAAAGGCCCTAAGACAGACCCATGTCGGGCAATGTTTGGGGAACAGCAAGAAGGCCAGGGTGGCAGTGCCCAGCGAGAAGCGGGTAAGGAAGGAGATGAGCTCAGAGGCAATGTGGGCAGCCAGGCCATTGAAGGCTTTATCAGCCATTGTAAGGATGTTTCTTTTACTCTGAGTAAGATGAGAAGGCATTGAAGGGTTTTGAGCAGAGGGGATTTGGGAATTGGCCTGTGTTTTATATGATTACGTTAGCCAGTGTGTTCGGAATGGGCTAAATGTGCTCGAAATCAAACTCAGCATCTTTCCCGGCAAACCTCCTACAGTCTCAGCATCTCCATCCTCTGACTCACCAATGCTCAAAACCATAGTAATCTTTTACATCCCAAAACCAATTGTCGCCAAGCTCTGTCAATACTCCCTCTGGAATGTCTCTTGCATTTGCCTTCTCTGTCCATTCCTACCGCCAAAAGCCTACCATAATCATTTTCTTTTTTTTTTGAAACAGAGTCTCCCAGGCTGGAGTGCATGGGCATGATCACAGCTCATTGCAGCCTCGACCTCCCAGGTTCAAGCAGTCCTCCCATCTCAGCCTCCTGCACAGCCGGAACCACAGGTGCACACTGCCACTCTCAGCTAACATTTGTATTTTTTGTAGAGATGGGGTTTCGCCATGTTGCCCCGGCTAGTCTCGAATTCCTGGGCTCAAGCGATCTGACTGCCTTGGCCTCCCAAAGTGCTGGGATTACAGGCATGAGCTACCGTGCCTAGCCCCATAACCGTTTTCTAACTCATCTCCCGGCCTTCTACCTTTCTGCTCACCCTCGTACCACCCGGTGCCGCTAGAACAATCTTCCTAGCAAAGCTGATCACTCGTGTTATCTTATTTGTCTCCCTGCTCTTCACCACTCAAAAGGTCTAAATTCTTCAGACTGGAATTCAAGCCCTACCACAATTTGATCTTAATCTAGTGCTCAAAACTTATCTCCCATTGTTTTATTCAGAATTAACTGTGCCTTCCTAACAAGTTCCTTGAACCAGCTCTGTACTTTATTACTGTACATTTTTGCTTACATCGTCTCCACTTCCCTACACCTTCTGTGTAAAACACTCTTCCCTTGGGCCGGGCGTGGTGGCTCACGCCTGTAATCCTAGCACTTTGGAAGGCCGAGGCGGGCAGATCACAAGGTCAGGAGTTCGAGACCAGCCTGGCCAACATGGTGAAATTCTGTTTCTATTAAAAATACAAAAAATTAGCCAGGCATGGTATCGCGTGCCTGTAATCCCAGCTACTCAGGAGGCTGAGGCAGGAAAATCGCTTGAACCTGGGAGGCAGAGGTTGCAGTGAGCAGAGATCGCGCCATTACACTCCAGCCTGGGCAACAAGAGTGAAACTCTGTCTCAAAAAAGCAAAAGAAAACAACAACAACGAAAACACCCTTCCCTCAAAGCCCCACCCAGAAATCCTACCCACACTTCCGGGATCCCAAATATCACTTTCTTCATGAAGCCATCCCCACTCTCCCTGGCTGGAATGATGTTTTTTTTCTTCTGTGCCCCATAAGTTCTATTCCACTACTCACACATTCTGTACCACATTATACTATCATTTTGTGAATATACTTTCCTTCCTGCCAGGTGATAAGCTCCTTGAGGATCCGTGTCTTGTTCATCGTTGTTGCTCCTACAGCACTTATTTCAATGCCTTGAACATAGTAGGTTTCCAAGAAAGGTTTGTGGACTTGAATTCTCCAGGGCCTTGTTGCCAATTTGTTCTTGCAACAGAACTAGAATTCAGGTCATCTGATTCCCAGCTCCCTATCCCTTTCCCAATACCATTCTCTCTCTGTCTTCCTTCTATGATTCATTGTCATCTCATCTGAATGACATTTGAAACCGCTAAGGAATTTTATGGAAGAGTGACTAAACAAAAAACAAATGCTGGAATGTATTTTCCATGTAGCTATTTAAGCCAAAGTGAACCTAATGAAGGGGCACTAAAAATCTGATCCTGAATAAAAAATAAAATAGAAACAAACAACAAAAAAAATGGCACATATATGTCTAGAAACGTTTTAGCTTCTTAGGGCTTGATTTTTGGCTTGCATTAATCTTATAGGAGTCCAGTTGCCATGTTTCTTGGTAAGCTATAAAGTTGTAGTCTGGGGGAAGAAATAAAAAACAAATAAGTGGCCGGGTGTGGCAGCACACACCTGTAATCCTAGTACTTTGGGAGGCCAAGGCAGGCAGATTGCTTGAGATCAAGGTTTTGAGACCAGCCTGGCTAACATAGTGAGACCACATCTCTACCAAAAAAGATACAAAAATTAGCTAGGCATGGTGGTGTGTGCCTGTAGTCCCAGCTACTCAGGAAGCTGAGTTGGGAGGGTTGCTTGAGCCCAAGGAGCAGAGGTTGCAGTGAGCTTAGATCTTGCCACTGCACTCCAGCCTCAGTGACAGAGTGAGACCCTGTCTCAAGAAAAAACAAAAACAAAAACAAAGCAAGTAAGTCTATTTTTCTGTTTAAAAGCTCTTAGCAACATTTTTAGCCCCTAATAATATGAGAGGGTTTAAACATTTGGGAACGAGGCCCTGTGGCAAAGCTTAATTTGCAATTATTCCAATCCTCCCCCTGCCTTCCCAACTTGGAAAAATAGCCCAAGGAGCTACTGTTCTAAACTGGGCATCCTCTTCGGTATTTGAAGTTTAAAAAGTAAATTATACCCGTGATACATGTTATATACAAGTATAATATATGTAAAATGCAAATAAAATTGTCATAGCATTTAACAACTAGTAATCGTTAGCATTAATGATATACACACGAGAGTTACTTGTGAGCGAAGAACACTGATGCCCTTAGGAAAAAGAAGATTTTACCAAGTTAAAATATATATTTTAGAGAATGGTTTAATATTTTAGAGAATGGCTTAATATTTCAGAGAATGGTTTCTCTCCTTGACAGTTTTGTCTCTCCTCTCCACTGAAACTTAGAAGAGGGCAGGATTGCTGTGAAGAATGTCCTATTGAGGTTTTCACAAATTCGAATGAAATGGGATGAAATTAAAACCCTCCACTTTACAGGGAAAAGGGATGAAAATGAAGCACTCATTCATCTCAGTCTACTCCATCTCAATCTGAATGTTACAGCAGAGGCTGACCTGTGAATCTAATGTCAATTGTGATAGAATCGTAGAAATGAAAGCAAGCTCTGAAATAGTTCCTTCTACCTTCGATCCTCAGTGGGTGAGCCCCGAACCATTACAAACAGGAGTTAGTATTTAAGAAACTTTCTCATAGGCAATTTCCTCCAACTGCACCCTAAATTCTACTTTACAGAACTTCATAGACCATTTTTCCTGTGCTCTACAATGAAGATATGAAAACAGCCTTTTGCCACAGCTAATGATCCTAACCATTTTTCTATCACTTGGGTTACATTTCTGGACTATGGGGAGACAGCCTAGAGCAATGGGTAAGAATTCAGAATTGGAGACAGAGTTGCGCTTAAGCCACAGCTGTATGATCATAGGTAATTGACTTAAGCGCTCTAAGCTTCAATTTCCTCACCCATAATAGAAGGATGATAATACCATCCAGCTGATAAGATAACTGTGAGGACTTGTCTAGAACCAGTGCTGTCCAATAGAAACATAATGGAAGCCACAATGTGAGCCACATGTGTGATTTAACATTTTCTAGTAGCCCATTAAGAAAAGTAAAAAGAAATAGGCAAAATTAATTTTAGTGCTATATTTTACTTAACTCATGTCCAAAATATCATTTCAACATGTAAAAAATGTTCATGAGTATTTTACATTCTGTTTTTTGCACTAAGTTTTCGAAGTCCAATGTGTATTTCACACGTACAGGTTGAGCATCTCTTATTCGAAATGCTTGGGACCACAAGTATTTCGGATTTCAGATTTTGGAATATCTGCATATACATAAATGAGATATCTCGGGAATAAGACCCAAGTCTAAATTCAAAAATCATGTGTGTTTCATATACATATTATACACATGGCCTGAAGGTAATTTTATATAATACTGTTAATAATTTTGTGCATGAAACAAAGTTTTTATCAATCGAATGATCAGAAACCAAAGGTGTCACTATCTCAACCACCCATGGGACAATCTGTGCTTGTTTGGCAACATCATTCCTGACGCTCATTTATGTGCTACTGATAAGCAATCATTTTCTCACGTTTATTTAGACATAAGTACTTAACAGTAAAAAATATAACACACCATGAGCGTGTTGGTTCATTCCTATAATTCCAGCATTTTGAGAGGTCCAGGTGGCTGAATCACTTGAGGCCAGGAGTTCGAGACCAGCCTGGCCAACATGATGAAACCCCGTCTCTACTAAAAATACAAAAATTAGCCGGGCTTGGTGGTGCACGCCTGTAATTCCAGCTACTCCAGAGGCTGAGGCAGGAGAACTGCTTGAACCCAGGAGGATCGCTTGAACTCAGGAGGCGGAGGTTGCAGTGAGCCTAGATCGTGCCACTGCACTCCGGCCTAGGTAACAGAGTGATATACATATATATATGTGTGTGTGTGTATATATATATATATATTTGTATATCACTCTGTTACATATATATATATATATATATATATATATATATATATACACACACACACACGTATATATATGTGTATATATGTATATATAACATACTATTAAAATAGTGAAAAAAACAATGTGTTCAGAGTTACTAATCAGCACAGCAGCATCCCTTAGAATACCTGTGTCACGGCCAGGCATTGTGGCTCACGCCTGTAATCCCAGCACTTTGGGAGGCCGAGGCGGGCGGATCACGAGGTCAGGAGATCGAGACCACGGTGAAACCCCGTCCCTACTAAAAATACAAAAAATTAGCTGGGCGTGGTGGCGGGCGCCTGTAGTCCCAGCTACTCGGGAGGCTGAGGCAGGAGAATGGCCTGAACCCGGAAGGCGGAGCTTGCAGTGAGCCGAGATCGCACCACTGCACTCCAGCCTGGGCGACAGAGCGAGACTCCGTCTCAAAAAAAATAAAAAATAAAAAAAGAATACCTGTATCACTTGCTAAACAGCAGCAATAGCAGAGAACAGCAGGCTTTGTCACCACCAACAATGCCACTTGTAGCATCATAGTCCTCAAAAAGTTTTGGATTTTGGAGCATTTTATATTTTGAATTTTTAGATTAGGGATACTCAACCTGTATAGCATACCTTAATTCAGACTAACCATATTTCAAGCGCTTGATAGCCACATGTGACCCGTGGCTACCATACCGGAGAGTGCAAGTCTAGGAAAAAGGCTGTGACTCATTTAGCATTATGCTAGGCATAGAGAATTCTACAAAATCATCATGGATGTTATTGTTAGAGGACTGTGTAATCTTCTCAAAGCATTCACTTCTCTAGACTGACCCTGTCTGTCCTGCTCTTAGAAGTACCTGGAGAGGTTCCACTGCTCAAGCTTGAGCTCTTTAGTTACTTTAAGGGGTACTTCCTTATGGTCACTCCCCATCTATTGTATGGAGAAGGCGACCAAAAGTGGCCTCCGTGGGGGTTCTGCATAGAAAATACACACATGGAGTGTCAATGACCTTCAGGGTACTGACTTATGAAACCCCAAGAAGGAGACACCATCATATTGATAGGACAGGATAGGACATTTGCTAAAGCAACCACTTGCTCCTATACTTCTCCCCTTCTGAGTAGAGAGGCTTAGCTAAGTAATACATGTGATCAAAAGTTGATTTGTTAAATTAAACATAGGGCCAGGTGCGGTGGCTCATGCCTGTAATACCAGGACTTTGGGAGGCTGAGACAGGTGGATTGCTTGAGCTTAGGAGTTTGAGACCAGACTGGTCAACCTGGTGAAACCCTGTCTCTACAAAAAATGCCAAAAAAAAAAAAAAAAAAGCACAGTGTGGTGGCACATGCCTATAGTCCCAGCTACTCAGGAGGCTGAGGTGGGAGAATAGGCTAAGCCTGGGAGGCAGAGGTTGCAGTAAGCCAAGATCGCACCACTGCACTCTAGCCTGAGTGACAGAGTGAGACCCTGTCTCAAAATAATAATAATAATAATAATAATAATAATAATAATAATAATTAATAATAATAATAAAATAAGTTAAACATAGAGTTCCCTTACAACTGAATAATTCTCCTAGGTATGTACCCAAGAAAATTATAAAATGTACATTTCCACAAAAGCTTGTACACAAAGGTACACAGCAGCATTATTTACAATAGCCAAGAAATGGAAACCACCCAAATGCCCAAGAGCTGATGAATGGATAAACAGCATGTGGTATATTCATACAATGGAATCTTTTTCAGCCACAACAAGGAATGAAGGACTGATACAATATGGATGAACCTTGAAAACATTATGCTCAGTGAAAGAAGCCAGTCACAAAAGGCCACATATTACATGATTCCATTTATATGAATATTTACATTAGGCAAATCCATAGAGCCAGAAAGCAGATAAGTGGTTGCCAGGGTCTGTGGTTAGGAGAGAATTGAGAGTGACTCTACCAGGCATGGGAGTTTTTTTTTTCTAGGATGACGGAAGTGTTCTGGAGCTAGGCTCGGGCTCTGGAGCCAGGCAGCCTGTGTGAAAGCCCAGGTCTCATTACTCATTCGCTTTGTGACTTTGAGCCATGTTCCTACCTCTTCTGTGCCTCAGTTTCCCTTTACAATGACGATGATAAGAGTGCCTGGGCTTGTTATGAGGATTCAGATAGTTAACATATGTAAAGTGCTCAGGAGAATTTCTGGCCAGTGGTATATACTATTTTTTTTCCCATTATAATGTTTATGACTTTAAGAAAATTGATATATAATAGTCGTACATATTGTTGGGGTACATGTGATATTTTGAAACCTGATAGCTATTTTGAAATATATAATAAATTATAGTCAACTTTAATTTCCCTACTGTACTGCTGAATACTATAATTTATTTCTACTATCTAATTCTATGTTTGTACCCATTAGCCAACATCCCTTCCTCCCCCACTCCCCCTTCCCTTCCCAGCCTCTGGTAACCACCATCCTACTCTCCACCTCCATGAGATCCACATTTTTAGCTCTCAGATATGAGTGAGAACATTTGATATTTGTCTCACTGTGCCTGGCTTATTTCACTTAACAAAATGACCTCCAGTTCCATCCATGTTGCTGCAAATGACATGATTTCATTTTTTAAATGGCTGAATAATAGTCCATTGTATGTGTGTGTCTGTGTGTGTGTGTGTGTATCCACATTTTCTTTATCCATTCATCTGTTGATGGACACTTAGCTTGTGTGATAGATATTTCATAAGTGAACCTGATCAGCCTGTCCCCCACCCTTGCTTATTTCTGTCCATAGCATTAGTCACTTTCTTTTTCTTTTTTTCTTTTTGAGACAGGGTCTCTCTGTTGTCCAGGCTGAAGTGCAGTGGCACGATCTCGGCTTACTGCAACCTCCACCTCCGGGCTCAGGCGATCCTCTCACTTCAGCCTCCCTAGTAGCTAGGACTACAGGTGTGCCACCACACCCAGCTAATTTTTTTTTAAATTTTTTTGTAGAGACAAGGTTTCACCATGTTGCCCAGGCTGCATTCATCACTTTCTAACCTACCCTATAATAACTTGCTCATATATGTTGCTTGTAGCCCATCAACCCCTACTAGAAGGCAGGGATCTAATCTATTTGTATGCTGCTAGATTCCAAGCACCCCAAACAGTGGCTAGCACAGACAATGCACCCCATCACACTTTCTGAGTGAATGAACAAATGGTTGGCAATTCTGGCCAATGGCACTGGGCAGCCTGGATGGAAATGAGATGCACCTTTCACTGAACAGTTTTTGCACCATTTTCTATTCTACCATGTGCTCAGTCCTTTTCATAAAGGTGAAAAGTGAAAAATGAAATACAGAAAATAAGAATACTTGACCTGAGGGAGAAGCTGGTGGCATTAAACAGTAAGACTTTAGGCATCAGTGGAAAGTGTGTGATCTAGAGAAAAAAGTGAGGATGTGACTGCGGGTCACCTTTAGACTTTTAACCCCTGAGTAAAGAGTGGAATGACACCTCAGGAATGGCACTCAGTCCTACTCTTGAAGCACAGTATGTACACAGGTTAATAAGAAGTTTGTTTGTTTGTTTGTTTGTTTGAGATGGAGTTTCACTCTGTAGCCCAGGCTGGAGTGCAATGGCGTGACCTCAGCTCACTGCAACATCTGCCTCCCAGGTTCAAGTGATTCTCCTGCCTCAGCCTCCAGAATAGCTGGGACTTTGCCACCATGCCCAGCTGATTTTTTTATATTTTTAGTAGAGACAGGGTTTTGCCTTCTTGGCCAGGCTAGTTTTGAACTCCTGACGTCAGGTGATCCGCCTGCCTCAGCCTCCCCAAGTGCTGGGATTACAGGCTTGAGCGCCTGGCCTAACAAGAAGTCTCAATAAGATCTTTCGTATTGTGCAATATGTGTTCTGTACTTACGGGTACAATGAGAAATTTTTCCATGGCAAAACGCCCGTTTCCAGGCACAGTAAACAGAAGAGCTTGCGGAGGATTGTTGCCCACTTCCCACTGCAGCATGGATAGGCAGGTGGCCACAGTGGACGGGATTCCTCGGGCAGGGACAGAAGGTCTGTCACCACTGCTAGCAGTGCCCTTGCTCATTCCTTAATAGGCTCCGGAAACCCAATAAAGATTACAGATGCCAAATACGAGACTAGACTCCAAATGAACTGTTTTGTAAATGTATCCCAACTAATTTGGGGTAAAACTCTGCTCTAAGTTGTCTTTGAGGTCTCTCTACCTCTTTCTTTCCTTCTGCCTTAATACCTCTCTGCTCTCTTCTGTTAGGAAAAAAACAACTGATGAGTCACCAGCTTCTCGGGTAATGTATTATCCTTTTCAGGAGCTTTTGCATGAAAAAAGAGGTCAAAAGGAGAGAAAGAAACAATAATGATAATGTTGGTGATGATATTAATAATACTAATAATGATGACCATAGCTGATGATAACTGTGTGTCAGCTATTCCACCAAAAAATGGATACGATTTCTCTCATTTAGTCCTCCAACAATTCTATGAGGTAGATATCACACCTATGTTACAGATGAGGAATGAAAAATCATATAGCAAGTGGCAGGTGAAGGCAGACTGTCTCTAAAAATTTTTGCTCTAAGGAATTTTTTTATTTTTAAGACAGTGTCTCTCTCTGTCAGCCGGGCTGGAGTGCAGTATTGTGAACATGGCTCACTGCAGCCTTGACCTCCTGGGTTCAGGTGATCCTCCCACCTCAGCATCCCAAGTAGCTGGGACTATAGGCACACACTGCCACACCCAGCTACATTTTTATTTTATTTTATTTTTTGTATTTTTTGTAGAGACAGGGCTTCACCATGTTGCCCGGACTGGTTTTGAACTCCTGGCTTCAAGTGATCTGCCTGCCTCAGCATCCCAAAGTGCTGGGATTACAGGCGTAAGCCATCATGCCTGGCTATGTAAGAATTTCTCAAGTAGAACATTTGATCCTGTAGGAAGACAGCTGGGGGGAGTTAGACAACCACAGCAACCCTCAGTAGCGGCGACAATGACAGTTGAGGCTTGAAACTTCAAATAACCCACTGTGTCTGTGACTGCCTAGGTTCAAATCTTGAGTCTGACATTCTTAAGATTACCTGGGGGCAAGTCACACACTCTCTCTGTCCTTGAGATTATGGTTAGAACTCATCAAGATAATGCAAACAAAGTACTTAAAACAGTGCCTATGAATACATACATGAAGCACTCAGATGCTGTGTACAGGTGCTCCTCAACTTACAATGGGGTTATGTCCTGATAAACCCATCGTAGGTTGAAAATAACAAAAGTCAAAAAAGCATGTAATACACTTAACCTACTGCACATCGCGGCTTAGCAGAGCCTACCTGAAACATGTTCAGAACACTTGCAATACAGTAGTCAGTAAATTACATGAGAAATTCAACACTTTATTATAAAATGGGCTTTGCGTTAGGTGATTTGGCCCAGCTTCACGAGAGAGTAGTATCTGCACATCGCTAGCCCAGGAAAAGATGAAGATTCCAAATTTGACATATGGTTCCTGCTGAATGCCTGTCACTTTTCTTTTTTTTTTTTTTTTTTTTTTTGAGACAGAGTCTTGCTCTGTCACCCAGGCTGGAGTGCAGTGGCGCGATCTCGCCTCCACGCCCGGCTAATTTTTTGTATTTTTTAGTAGAGACGGGGTTTCACCGTGTTTGCCAGGATGGTCTCGATCTCCTGACCTCGTGATCCACCTGCCTTGGCCTCCCAAAGTGCTGGGATTACAGGAGTGAGCCACCGCGCCTGGTCGAATACTTGTCACTTTCACACCATTGTAAAGTCAAAAAATCATGATAAACTATTGTATTAGGTTGATGCAAAAATAATTGCATTTTTTGCTATTAAAATAATAGCAAAACCCGCAATGACTTTTGCATCCCTAACAAGTCACTGATTGTCTGCATTTTGATTGCTACAAATCCCTGCTAAGTATTGGAAAACCCATAATTTATTTCTAGCTTCCCAAATAACAAAGGTGCTCTTTTACCTAATTTTATAATGTAGTTGTTGATCCATTCTCTATAGAATTTTTATCAAAAAAGTGACATAATCAAATTTTGAAGGTAGACACGCCAAATCCCATTTCCCTAACACGACAATTATTTTTGGTTTTGCGTATTGCCTTCAACTTTTGCTAACTCTGAGAAGCGACGTGGAAAGGAGACACTGTACCATATCAGTTTGGGTTTTTGTCACACTCTCACAAAGTAGCTGTATGACTTTAATGAAGTTACATAACTGCCCTTTGTCTTCGTTTTCTAAAGTATAAAATGAAGGGGTTAGGCCAGACGATCTTTAAGATCGCTCTAGCTGTAACAGTCTATGATTTTGCCTATAATCTACTTTTTTTTTCTTTCATAATCATGGTTCAGTTGTATATAGAAGGTACATGTAAAATAGTGTTTACAAAGTTAGTTAATTTCCTAAACTATGTTTGGAAAATAAAGTTTCACATATAATGAGTTCTGTGAAGGTAAGGTTACAATAAAAAATCCCAGGAATTTCAAAGATAGCTGCCAAAATTACCAAAAAGATATAAAAATTCAGATCTTAATACATTCACGATATATGTATGTTTACAACTAAAGGATTTATAATTCAGTGCATTAATTATAAGGAATACATTAAGTTTGACAAGCCCATTCTAATCTTTGTGGATTGCTTCCTGTCAATACCACTTCATGGAGGGATAAACTATTTCCTCCTTCGTTTCAAATGCAGAATAGCTTGGTGATGAAATAGCTCTTCCATATACACATAAAATTGTACAAGTAAAGGAGCACTTCGCAGGATTTTCTTGAGATATAAAGGGCAAATAAGTAGGACTTTTAAGGAGCCAAATATACAGTTATTAATGTAAATATGAAAATGTTACAGCAGTGTAATTTTTCCATATGGTATTATTGATTTTTTAAATTTCTCTATAAGAACATCAAAAAGGGAAAAACAAAAAAGGCACAGTTCTACCTGACATAGATTGGCAGAACTATGTCAGTGTAAATGTCTAAAATGTCTATAACTATTAATGCAGTGAATCAGTCACTCTCTCCCCCACTGCCACTTACCATGTAACCTGGTATAACCTTTCTGGAGGTGATCTGACAAAACTAATCAAGAGTTTAAACATGTTCCTACCCTCTAGTCGGGTAATTCTACTTACAAAAAAGTGTATGAAGGAAATGATAAATACACAATTGCTTTGCCACACTTATTATATATAAGTGTAAAGAATTGGGAACATCTAAATGACCAGAAATAGAAGAATAGCTAAATAATTGATGCTACACATACATGGAATTTATGTATATATGAATATATATTTATGATACATGTGTATGTATATCATATATCATATCATAATATAGATAACAAGAGTGCTCATTGCTTCTGGCTTAGTCATTGTGTCTAGGTTTTTCAGTGAACAGAGGACCTAGGAGACATGTCTATACATGTACATAGACACCCTAAATTTATATCAACTCTCAATTCAAATTCAGGACCACAGGATTTCTGCCTAACCTCCTCCATGTTACATCTATATTCCCTTCCTCTCATGCTGAGAATCCTGCTTCTCAAGGACAGCAGGCATAGTAAGATTAGAATTACCACAATTAGGCCGGGGCGGTGGCTCACACCTGTAATCTCGGCACTTTGGGAGGCCAAGGCGGGTGGATCATCTGAGGTTAGGAGTTCGAGACCAGCCTGGCCAAAGTCAAATCTACAAAACAAGGTGAATTCTAAGAAGTCTAGTTTCTATCCCTATCCCCTCCACTTTCTTTCCTCCATTTTTTACAGGTAACTACTATTAATATTTTGTGATGTGAATCCTCCTATTCTTTGTTTTCTAATATAAGCAAATGTATTTACATATGTGTGTGTATGCATGCATATATGCGTGTATGTATATACATTTACATATATATCCCTTCTGACCTGTATGGTAGCATCGTAGACTCACATTCCTCCCCCCATTTTTTTGTAATATATCCTACAGATCAATCCATAATAAATATATTTAAAGATCCTACTTCTGGCCAGGTGCAGTGGCTCATGCCTATAATCCCAGTACTTTGGGAGGCCAAGGCAGGCAGATTGCCTGAAGTCAGCAGTTCAAGACCAGCCTGGCCAGCCTGGTGAAACCCCATCTCTACTAAAAATACAAAAATTAGCTAAGCATGGTGGTGCACGCCTGTAATCCTAGCTACTCAGGAAGCTGAGGCAGGAGAATCACTTGAACCCAGGAGGCGGAGGTTGCAGTGAGCCAAGATAGTGCCACTGCACTCTAGCCTCAGCAACAGAGCAAGACTCCTTCTCAAAAAAAAAAAAAAAACCAAAAAAAACCTACTTTCATTTTGTAGCTACACAGACTCCATTGTGTGTAGGTATCATAGTTTATTCAACCAGTCCTCCATTAATAGACATTGGGGTTATTTCTACTCTTTTGGTATCATAAATAGTTTCTGCCCTAAGGTTTTGTATTATATGTATATATATTCACATCTTAAATATAAGTAATTTCTACTATGTGGAAATATTCAAGATGAGCCTATGCCATCTTGTACCAAATAGCAGGAAAGCTATCAAAAACTGCTTGGGTTGAGTCAAAAGATGTCAGGAACCAATTTGAAGATGCTATCACAGACCAATGAGGATAATTTAAGCATTAATAAGAATAATAAATAATATGTACAGAAGCACATTAAATACATTTCAATGAATGAGTTCAAATTATAATTACAATAGAGAAAACAAAAGTTACTTAAAAATAAGACAAAGCAAACACCATTGGCACATGCCAAAAAATCAACTTAAGGAATGATAGGATTAAAATATTACCATTTTTACAATCCTTAATGAACTAATGGATCTAGGTAACATCACAAAAGAAGAGATTTTTATGTACCACCTAATGGCAAAATACTCCACTCCCTAGGAAGCAGTCTTGCCAAAAAAAAAAAAAATATATATATATATATGAATCTGATTAAGCCTGTACAGAGGAACATGTTGAGCTATATCATAGGAATGCAATCAGAAACATCCAGACTGTGGGAAGTTCTACAGGACAAACAACTTGGTTTTTGCAACAAATAAGTTATGAGGAAAAAAATGAAATTAAAAGAGATTTAAGGGATTTAAATTAAAAGAGATTTAAGGGACATATCAACCAACTTCAGTGTATGAACCTTATTTGGATCTTGCTTCAACAAGCAAACTACAAAAGTAAGTTATACTTTGGGAGGCCGAGCAGGGTGGATCACGAGGTCAGGAGTTCGAGAGCACCCTGGCCAACATGGTGAAACCCTGTCTGTACTAAAAATATAAAAATTAGCCGAGCATGGTGGAGCGTGCCTGTAATCTCAGCTACTCGGGAGGCTAAGGCAGGAGAATCGCTTGACCCCAGGAGGTGGAGGTTGCAGTGAGCCAAGATCATGCCACTGCACTCCAGCCCGGGTGACAGAGCGAGACTCCGTCTCCAAAAAAAAAAAAAAAGAAAAAAAGAAACAACAACAACAACAAAAGTAAGTTATAAAATTTGTAAGACAATTTAAAATTCCAACACTGAATATTTCATACTACTAAAAAATTGTATTAGTTAATGTAGATATGATAATGGTTATGTTTTTTACAAGTCCTTATCTTTTAAAGATTCATATTGAAATATATACATTTTAGACAGGGTCTCAGTCTGTCACCCAGGCTGGAGTACAGTGGCACAATTGTAGCTCACTGCAGTCTTGAACTCCTGGGCTCAAATGATCCTCCCACCTTATTCTCCTGGTAGTTGGGATTATAGGCACTCACCACCACATACAGCTAATTTTTTAATTTTTTGTAGAGGCAAAGTCTTGCTATGTAGACCAGGCTGGGCTCAAACTAATGGCCTCAAGTGATCCTCCTGCCCCAGCCTCTGAAAGTGTTGGGATTATAGGAATGAGCCACCACACCCAGCCATATCAAAATTTATGGATGAAATAATATAATATCTGGAACTTGCTTCAAAATAAAATGAGATGGGGAGAGGAATGGGATATTGATGGGCTAGACATGAGGTCCAACTTGACATGGGGTCCTTTATGCTTTCTGTCTACTTTTCCTTATGTTTCACTTTTCTATAATAAACCATTAACATGCATTTATATATCGTGAATATTCTGGTGTGTGTATGAGTGTGCATGTGTGTGTTTGTATGCGTGCATAAATTTAAAACAAAATTTTAATGATGATATCTCTGAGTGATAGAATTATGGGTGACTTGGTGATTTTTATTTTCTTCTTTTTACTACTCTGTATTCTATATTTTTATACTGCACATGTATTGCCATTTCTGCAATTCAACTATAATTCACTTCTGATGCAGTGAATAAAATAACTTTGTCCAGTACTCTTTAAATATAATTGGGCAAGGCTAATTATTTAACATTCAATTACATCTAGTTTTGATTGGGTACAGATCATAGTTTATGAAAATATAGCTCTAAAGTAAGGTTTGAGGTTCGGAAATTCTGTCATTTGGTGTAATAGGATAATCTTAAATTTATAGCTTAGGAGTAAACAGTTCATTTTTTTTCTCCTTTTTACATAACACAAAAACAACAGATCCAGTTTGGCACAAAATTTCCCCTCCAAAGTCACCTTTGTGCTGAAATCCAGCACCTCAGGTTTCAGTCAAGTAATTTGCAGATGAGAAAAGGTTTCTTAGCAAAATTTTCTTATGGTTTTACTACAGTGTTAGTTCCCAGTAATTTGGCAGAGTCCTATTTTCACAGCTAAGTGAGTCAGAGGGAAGGCTGCTCCTTCCGATTTTCGGATATGCAGAGAGGACAGGCAGTTATCAAATCAAATCACTCTTTTTGTATCACTGAAATAAATGTAAGGCCATGACAGCAGATGCACTTAAAGAAAAATATAGTTAACGGATATTTGTAGTTTATTACTAGTTAATACAAGATACTGCATGTTTTATCATTCAATTATGAAAAAGTTATTCCTTTAAGGTCAATAAACATTTTTTAAACCACTTACAAAAACAAGTCTATTTTATAATTACATCACCATCTGAATGTTCTATTATCAGATAATTGTCCCTTCTTCATTTATTTTGAAAGACATTTTATTTATCTAATCTTCCTTCTTCTGCTTGTTCACGTTTTCTCCTAAATAAACCCTCGTCAGCTCCTGTTATGAAATCTATGAACAGATTATCATGGAAGCACTTTTTTGCTCTGAATGTAGACTTTAAAGAGAAATCATGGGTAGATTTAGTTATTCATTTGAAAGTGAAGCTTTGATTTAACAAATGGCTAGAAGCAGACAATTTTGATTTGGGTCCATCTGTCCATTTGAGTTTCCATGGATTATTATATACTGCACATAAACTCAATCTACACTTGCAATTATGTTCCAAGCTTTGTGCTAAGTATTTTCATATGCAATCCCAAGTGTTTAGTACAATGACTTTGTGAAATAGCTATTTTATTATTGTTTGTTTGTTTGTTTGTTTGTTTGAGACAGGGTCTTCATCTGTCACCCAAGCTGGAGTGCAGTGGTGCCATCATAGCTCACTGCAGTCTTGACCTCCTGGGCTCAGGGGATCCTTTCACTTCAGCCTCCTTAGTAGCTGGGACTACAGGTGCATACCACCATGCCCAGCTAATTTGTGTATTTTTTGTAGAGACAGGGTTTTGCCATGTTGCCTAGGCTTGAAATCATTATTTTAGAGAGAGATTAAGTTGCTTGCTCAAGGTCACGCAGTCATTGAGTTATTCCAGATTTTGTTGCCACTTTTAAGTTATGAACAATGGTGATTGAGAGCGTTTGTAACAGTCCTTGGTGCCTAGTACTGAGCCTTGTACTAGAAAGGATGTCAAATCAGTTCAAAGGATGATAGACATCTATCTAGTTGCGAAAACAAGTACAAGGCAACTATCAGAGCAAAGACGGGGCCAGCTGAGGTGGAGCATGCTCTCTCTCAGGCAGAAACCAACTTAAAGGAGAAGGAAGAGGGAAGTCTGTTCTTCACAGCAGCAAAGCAGCGCTAGCCTTCTGCCTTGATCTTTTAACAAACTTAGGAAGCTTCCAACATCTTCAAGCCTGGGAATACACAGTGTTTTAATTTGATGACCAGCAAACTAAAGGTCAACCTGAGAAAGTTGATTCTTGACATACTTCCAACAAGGGTCACTTGTTTCATCCCAATGGACTCAAAGTTAAGAATTAAAAACCTCAACTGTAGTAAATTACATGTTTGAAAAACTGAGAGTTCTAATTACATGTACATCCCAAATGCCAGTGGGGCCCACTCTATTCATGTACTCATAGCTTTATGAAAAACTGTTTGTTTGGAATGTGGTTTTTAAAAGTAATTTACCTTCAGGTTTAGTTGAAGAATGGAATATGTGTGAGAAAATAATTTTCCAACTTTTGTTGACTCAGCAATGAAAAGGAAAATATGTTTATATGAATATGGCTACTTGTTGATCTCAGACACTTGAAATTTCATTTGCTAAATGCTAAATCCAATGATAAATTTCAAACATAATTTCCAAAACATACCCTTGTTCTAATACTACAGAACCATCTCGATGGGCATCAAATTAACTATTCCTATAAGGTTACACTAGAGTTGCTACTAGGAACATTTCATTTGTGGAGACATAAAGACAGGTTACATGATACTTTGTAAGTGGACTTGAAGTAAAGGATATTAGAAATAAATAGGAACAACAAAAATAAAACATGACTAAACCAGCTCTCCTGCCACCATCAAAACAAACGTTTCCAAGGAACTGAAGCCAAGAAAATAGAAATCCACAAACACAAAGGCCAAGATAATCAGTTGAATCTACTAAATCTCCATAAATGGCAAAACAAAATGCCAAAAACCAAGCCATACCAAAACCCCACCTGCGTTGAATACCAAACAACACTGACCTTTTCTGCCCCACCGCCTGCCCCAGAAATCCGAGCCTGCGACTGATTTTAAAATGACCAAATCTCCAAAAATTCTGAGAGATGGCCATTTTAAAGACACAATATCTTCGATCATATAGGTCATGTCCACATTAATATAAGTAGTAATTATTAAAGAAGAAGGAAACTCCTTCATTCGTTTTAAAAACCAATTCTTTCTCAGATTCGCCACAGAGCCAGACCAACTTAATTGTTAAGGCACAATAATATTAGATTGAACTATTTTTCTTTTTCTTCTTTTTTCTTTGGAGACTGGGTCTCACCCTGTCACCCAAGCTGGAGTGTAGTTGCACAATCGTGGCTCACTGCAGCCTTGACCTCCTGGGGTTCAAGTGATTCTTCCACTTCAGCCTCCCAAGTAGCTGGGACTACAGCTGTGCACCACCACGCCTGGCTAATTCTAAATTTTTTTAGAGACAGGGTCTCGCTATGTTGCCCAGGCTGGTCTCAAACCCCTGGGCTCAAGTGATCCTCCCACCTTGACCTCCCAAAGTGTTGGGAGAACAGGCATGAGTCACCGTGTCCATCCCTGAATGGTTTTTCAATCCAATAATTTTTATTATGGAGAGAAAGCTGGGCAATTTAAACAATTATGTGCTTTATTTCTCCATTTCGGTATTCCATTCCTGTTAATATATAGGTATTGAATTTAACTTGTTTCATTCTTAATGTTTTATGTCTTGTCTTCTTTTTAGAAAAATTTAAACCAGCCAAAAGGCTGCAGGGTAAGTGTTGGTGGCTAGTTCCTATGAGTAACAAGTCATAGTCCATAGAGCCTAGGATGCTGGCCTGGAGAACAGGCCAAATTCTGCAGATGTGGTAGTTCATGCCTGTAATCCCAGCTCTTCGAGAAGCTGAGGCGGGAGGATGACTTGAGCCCAAGAGTTCCAGGTTACAGTGACCCATAATTATGCCACTGCACTCCAGCCAGGGCAACAGAGCGAAACTCTGTCTCAAAAACAAAACGAAAGAAAAAAATCTGACTGCCCTGAAAAAACCCTGAATACCTAAAACATAGAAAATCTAAAGCTTATGCCATAATGCTTGTCAGTGCTTAAGTTCATGCATGTTACAGACTTCACCATAGCCCTCCCACCACAGCACCATACCACAGATGCAGGAACTACACAAGCCTCCTTGTATCCACATGACCATTTCTTCTCATTTGGATGCAGTATCTGCTAATGAGCAGGGTCACTTGAAAGAGAACTGAACTTGGAATCAGAGTCCAAGTGTGTCAGTTCCAGCTCTTTGGGGAACCAGACAAGGCAATTTAGTGCAGTGGATCAGTGTCTGCCTGCTAAAGTCAGACTGTGTGGGTGGAAATCCTGGTTTTCCACTTTCTAGCTATGTGACTGTAGGCAAGTCTCTTAAATCTTGTGACTTGGTTTTCTTATTTATAAAATGGTGATGATGTCAATAACTACCTTAGAAGATTAAATGTCTTAAGATGGTTTAGAACAGAGTCGCAGATATTCTAAACACTCAATCAATGTGGGCAATTATTATTACTAGCTATATGACCCTGGGGAGCTCACCTAAGCTCTGTAAGACTCTATTTCATCTTCTGTACAAGAAGGGGTCACAATCTCACATGGTCTTTATGAAGACTGAATAAACTCAAGTAACATACATGTGGAAGCTATTTTTAAGACATCATCAACGGCTGGGGGCAGTGGCTCACACCTATAATCCCAGCCCTTTGGGAGGTCGAGGCGGGTGGATCACCTGAGGTCAGGAGTTCAAGACTAGCATGACATGGTGAAACCCTGTCTCTACTAAAAATACAAAAAAAAAAAAAAAATAGCTGGGTGTGGTGGCAGGCGCCTGTAATCCCAGCTACTTGGGAGGCTGAGGGAGAAGAATCGCTTGAACCCAGGAGATGAAGGTTGCTGAGACTGTGCCATTGCACTCCAGCCTGGGCAACAGAGGGAGACCCTATCTCAAAAAAAATTAATAATAATAAAAGTAAATAAATAAATAAAACATAATCAAATATCAGATGACTCCTTTAACCTAGCAGAATCATTTCCTTTCTGTTCTTTGCTTCCATCATACTTAAAAAACATACACGCAACTGCTATAGCATTTGTCACAAGGTACTGTAAGGATTTGCCCACCTGTCTTCTCCCCCACTGACAGCACATCCTCCAATTCACCTCTGCATCCTTCACACATTGGACATACCTGGTACAGGACCAGTATTCAATAAATATTTGTTTAAATGAATATTGTTCAAACAATTGCACAGGAATTCTCAAGGCCTTTGCCGGGAGTGACGGATTATCACTTTTGCTGAGGGTCCTCAGTAGACCACCCAGAAATGTGCTTTTCTTCAGGCACAATATATTGAGGTTCTGTCATTTCAGATCCCGCCAATGTTGTATTTGTTGCATTTGTTCATTCTTTTCACTTAATAAATAATTAGCAAGCACCTACTGTGTGCCAAGTCCTATGCTGGGCTCCATACAGTATACCCAAGTGGCAAATGGCCAGACTAATACAGTTCCTGCATATTACATATAGAGGGAATCTATGTACTATAGAATCATCCACCCTTTGAGATAAACTCCTCGGTTTGATTATTTCATTAGAGTGATAGGATCTCAAGGTGGGAAAGAACGGCTTTCTAGAAGTGAAAGTCCTTATACTTTACTTTTATTTTTATTTACTTATTTTAGAGACAATGTCTCGCTCTGATGCCCAAGCTGGAGTGCAGTGGCATGATCATAGCTCACTGCAGTCTTGAACTCCTGGATTCTAGTGATTCTCCTGCCTCAGCCTCCCCAGTATCTGGGACTATAAGCGTGTACCACCATGCCCACCTTAGGGTCCTCATAGAATAATAATTAAGGTTTGGGATCTGACTGCCTGGGTTCAAATCCTAGATCTGCTTTGTACCAAGGTGTAAGACCTTGGGCAAATTGCTTAATCCCTCTAAGCCTCACTTTCTCATCTGTAAAATGAGCTAGTGGGATTGATGTATTAGAAATGACAACCTCATTAATCACGTATTATGGTGTTTGCCATACAGTACACACTCACTATGTGTTTGCTATTATAAACAAATCTATTCTCCTCACTTCCTCACTCTAGTGTTTGAACTTCTGTCACAAATGTACCCAGTGAATGGGGCATGACTGCCCCACTTCCGGGCACCAGGGTCAGGGAATTTACTACCTCCAGTGGTTGTCCATTTGTCTGCTAGGCAAATCTAACAGTTGACCAATGTTAATGGGTTGAAATGTACGTGCTTACATCTCCACTCATTGGCCCTCAATCTGCCATTTGGGATTACCCAGAAGAGATCAAATCTCTCCTCTGCCGGATAGACCTCAAACTTTGAAAGGTAGCTACATATGCTAGTTATCACCATCCCCCTTACACACCTACATAAAACCTTGGATCTTTTTGTTATTTCTGAATAACTCTGTGCACCAGATTTCTTATTATCATTTTTATTTTTCCCATATAATCCTTTGTTGATCAATGTCTCTGAATGTCTGAAGCCCAGAATTCATAAAACACAATAAATGTGGTCTGATCATCAGTGAGTACTAGAGAACTAGTTCCCCTCTCGAACGTTACATTTCTATTAATACAACAAAAGATTGATTTTTTTTTAAAGCTACATCCCACTGTGTTGACTCATCTTCTTACAATCAACAGGAGACTGTAAATCTTCGTGCCGTGTGTAGCTGTAAGCCACCTCGCCCCCACTCAGTACCTGTACAATTCGAGGATCTTTGAGTACTTTATATTGGTACACATTAAACTCTATATTGTTTGATATGATTCATTATTACATTTTGTCAGGATTGGGGGTGGGGAGAGAATCTGATTGTATCCTCCAACCTATTTGTAATTCTTTCTAGTGTGTGTCATCTGTAAATTTGTTCGGCAGGCCATCAATGTTATTGTCTTAGTCATCGATATAAGTGTTCGGGGAAAAAGCAGATTTTCATTAGATCCCTGGAGATCCGAATATGCATCAGCCTCTTTGTTGTTGTTGTTGTTGTTGTTGTGGTTGTTGTTGCTGGTTGGGGGATGGAGTTTCAATCCTGTTGCCCAGGCTGGAGTGCAATGGTGCAATCTTGGCTCACTGCAACTTCTGCCTACCGGGTTCAAGCGATTCTCCTGCTTCAGCCTCCTGAGTAGCTGGGATTACAGGCGTGTGCCACCACGCCTGGCTAATTTTGTATTTTTAGTAGACACGGGGTTTCTCCACGTTGGTCAGGCTGGTCTTGAACTCCTGATCTCAGGTGATCCGCCCACCTCGCCCTCTCAAAGTGCTGAGATTACAGGTGTGAGCCACTGTACCCGGCCTGCATCAGCCTCTTTAAAAAGAAAAAAACAAACAAAACACAAGGGCCAGGTGTGGTGGCTCAAAAATGTACTTGTAACCCCAGCGCTTTGGGAGGTTGAGGCAGGAGGATTGCTTGAGGCCAGGAGTTCAAGACCAGCCTGGGTAACATAGCAAAACCTCATCTCTATTTTTAAAAGTATAAAAATTAAAAAGAAAAACTTTTTTTTTTTTTTTGAGACACAGTCCTGCTCTGTCACCCAGGCTGGAGTGCAGTGGCATGATCTTGGCTCACTGCAAGTTCCGCCTCCCAGGTTCATGCCATTCTCCTTCCTTGGCCTCCCGAGTAGCTGGGACTACAGGCGCCCACCACCACGCCCGGCTAATTTTTTGTATTTTTTTTTAGTAGAGACGGGGTTTCACAGGATGGTCTCGATCTCCTGACCTCATGATCCGCCCGCCTCAGCCTCCCAAAGTGCTGGGATTATAGGTGTGAGCCACTGAGCCCGGCCAAAAGAAAAACTTTTAAAATACATCATTCATTCAATCAAAAAATATTTACTGAGTGCCTTCTGTGTACCAGTTACTGTTCCAAGTGCTGAGCATCTAGTGCTGAACAAAAAAATTGCCTGCCCTCATAATGCTTACATTCTAGGAAAGGAGGTAGACAACAAACAAAGAAGTGTTATGAAAAACAAAATCAGTTATGGGGCTAGAGAAATTTGACAGTGGGGATGCAGTGGGGTTGACGATAGGCAGTATGGCTAAAACAGAGTTGTTTTTGGAGTATGGTTGAACTACACATGTCCTGCATTATTAAACTGGCCCAGAGTGGGCAGCAAGTCTTTCTGATTCTCAAAATCCACTTTTATTTTTATTTTTATTTTTTTTGAGATAAGGTCTTGCTCTGTTGCCTAGGCTAGAGTGCAGTGTTGTGATCATGGCTCACTGCAGCCTTGAACTCCTGGTCTCAAGTGATCCTCCTGCCTCAGCCTCCCAAGTAGCTGGGTCTATAGGCACATGCCACCTGTAGTCCTAGATAATTTTTAAATTTTTGTAGAGATGGGGTCTTGCTATGTTGCCCAGGCTGATCTTGGATTTCCAGCCTCAAGCAATCCTTCTGCCTTGGCCTTCCAAAACACTAGGATTACACGCATGAGCTACTGTGCCCAGCCAAAAATCCACTTTTCTCTATGTGAAGTCACTTTAGAAAATATCAATAGAGCAATGATGAAGAATTTTTTCTTTTTTTTGAGATGGAGTCTCGCACTGTCGCCTGGGCTGGCATGCAGTGGCACGATCTTGGCTCGCTGCAACTTCTGCCTCCTGGGTTCAAGCGATTCTCCTGCCTCAACCTCCCAAGTAGCGGAATTACAGGCACCTGCCACCATGCCCAGCAATTTTTTGTATTTTTAGTAGAGATGGGGTTTCACCATGTTAACCAGGCTGGTCTCGAACTCCTGACCTCGTGATTTGCCGGCCTCGGCCTCCCAAAGTGCTGGGATTACAGACATGAGCCACTGCGCCCAGCCAAAGAATTTAAATACTCATGAAACAGAGGAGAAAATGTGAAAGGATGGAATTCCTCAGAAGACTTCACAACATTTCTTTGTACACATAGCATATTCAAACATTGTGAAAACAACTAGACTAGTGAGGACTCCAGTCACATCTTCTGATGAAGACTCCAGAGAGAAGAATTTGAAAAGCATTACTATATAGGTACAGTACTTTTTTGACAACTAAAGAAAGAAAAAACTAAAACATCAACACTTACCGAATTCCAATCCCCATGTTTTCAAGCATGGAGCAGGTTATGAATCCAATAGTTTATGGAGTCAGGAGGATGGAATGTTTGGATGATCCCAAAACATGGTTTGAGAGTCTGGATATGGAACTCTGGAAAAGAAGCCCACAAGGGACAGATGTGAAGTCTACCTCTATTAATTGCCCTCTGCTTGCAATTCCTTTTTTGTTTTCTTTTGAGACATAGTCTTGCTCTGTTGCCCAGGCTGGAGTGCAGTGGGGCGATCTCAGCTCACTGCAAGCTCTGCTTCCCGGGTTCACGCCATTCTCCTGCCTCAGCCTCCCGAGTAGCTGGGACTACAGGCGCCCGCCTACACGCCCAGCTAATTTTTTGTATTTTTAGTAGAGACGAGGTTTCACCGTGTTAACCAGGATGATCTCGATCTCCTGACCTTGTGATCCGCCCGTCTCGGCCTCCCAAAGTGCTGGGATTACAGGCATGAGCCACCGCGACCGGCCTAATTTTTTTAAATTATTATTATCATTTTAATTTTTTTTTTTTGAAATGGAGTCTCGCTCTGTCACCCAGGCTGAAGTACAGTGGCGCGATCTTGGCTCACTGCAAGCTCCGCCTCCCAGATTCAAGCGATTCTCTTGCTTCAGCCCCCCGAGTAGCTGGAATTACAGGCACACACCACCACATCTGGCTAATGTGTTTCTTGTATTTTTAGTAGAGACAGGGTTTTGCCATTTTGGCCAGGCTGGTCTCAAACTCCTGACCTCAGGTGATCTGCCCACCTCGACCTCCCAGTGTTGGGATTACAGGCGTGAGCCACCGTGCCCTGCCTTTTTTTTGTTTTTGTAGAGAGAGACTTGCCATGTTGCCCAGGCTGGTCTCAAACTCCTGGGCTGCAGCAACCCTGCTGCCCTGGCCTCCCAAAGTGATGGGATTACTGTTGTGAGCCACCACACCCAGCCGGAAATTTAATTTATATTTTCACAATGATACCTTTGACATTCACATTCATTCATTTCTTGAGCATCTGTTTTTTGTACCAAATACTTTGTTGGTGTTAGGAATACAAAGGTGAATAGAAAAAATAAGGTCCCCGTAAGCACTTACAGGAACCTCACAGGACAGGGCACGGTAGAAACAGGAAAGTCAGCTGTGATAGAGAAGCGTGTTATGAAGAGATAAGTACTGAGAGCCCTAGGAGGTAACCTAACCCAGATTTAGGGAAAATTGGAAGTTAGTGACTTGTACACAGACACTTACAAGGTGTGAAGGAGTTAACCAAATAAAGAGGTGGGGAAGTCTGTTTTGGGTGGAGGGCACAACATACGTACATTTTGGAAAGAACATGAATGATTATGCATGCTGAGTATGTGAGTACTAAAAGTAGTTTAGAGAGTCTCAGAGTGGTCAGAGATGAGACTGGAAAGGTGAGCAGCACCAAATTATGGAGAAATGTACAAGCCACATTCTCGAGGAGGTAGAATCTACTGAAAGTCGTGATAGATTACATGTTGGAGTTTTGAAGAGGGCAAAGTCCGGACTGGAGATCAGGTTTTTGACTTAGACAACTTGGTGGATAGTGGATATCATTCACTAAGACAGCAAAAATATGAAGAGGAAATTGAGGAGATTTTGGAGAGAAGGTGCTGAGTTAAGCCTTTGACGTGTTTGTTTTGTGATGACTGGGGAACATTCAGAGCAACAGCAAGCAGTTTGATCTAGAAATCGGAGGATATCCATTTAGGAGTCATCTATACATGACAGACAACAAGAGACTTCACAGCGATGAATGAGATGCCCTGGGAGGGTGTGTAGGAGCAGAGAAAAAGAGAGAAGACAGAATAACACCAAAGCTTAAATAAAGGATGGTGTAGGCCAGGTACAGTGGCTCACACCTGTAATCCCAGCACTTTGGGAGGCCAAGGTGGGTGGATCACGAGATCAGGAGATGGAGACCATCCTGGCTAACACGGTGAAGCCCCATCTCTACTAAAAATACAGACAAAAAAATTAGCCAGGCATGGTGGCACGCGCCTATAGTCCCAGCTACTCGGGAGGCTGAGACAGAAGAATTGCTTGAACCTGGGAGGCGGAGATTGCAGTGAGCCAAGATCGTGCCACTGCCCTCCAGCCTGGGCGACAAAGCGAGACTCTGTCTCAGAAAACAAAACAAAAAAAAAAAGGATGGTGTGTTAGTTCATTCTGTGTTGCTTAAAAGGAATGCCTGAAGCTGGGTAATTTCTAAAGAAAAAAGGTTTATTTGGCTCACAGTTCTGCAGGCCGTATAAGAAGCATGGCAGTCATATCTGCTTCTGGCAAGATCTCAGGAAGCTTTTACTCACGGCAGAAGGTGAAGGGGACCAGGCATGTCACATGACATGGCCAGAGAGAGAGCACGAGTGAGAAGAGGAGGTGTTGCTCTTTTGAACATCAGTGTTCATGTGAACTAATAGAGCGAGAACTCACTCATCACAGCAAGAAAGGCACCAAGCCATTCATGAGGGATCCACCCCCATGATCCAAACACCTCCCACCAGGCCCCACCTCCAATGCTGGGGATGAAATTTCAACATGAGGTTTGGAGGACACAAATATCCAAGCTATATGACATGAGCAGAGAAAGGACCCCTGAAAAAAAGAGCGAGAAGGTGTAGCCAGTGAGGTAGGGAAAAAAGAATTGTGAGGTATCCAGAGAACAAGGGAAAAGCATGTTTCAAGGAGTAGGCTGTGGTCCACAAAGGCAAATGCTATCAAGAGATCGAGCAAGAAAAAGACTAAGAAGCACCCACAGGTGAGTACCATGGAGATATCTGACCAGTTTGGCAGAGAGCAGGGTCCGGGGAGGCAGCAGTCAGGTCAGAGTGAGTTGAAGAGTAAATGGAACCAATGGATGCAGACACCTGTTTCAAAAAGTTTGCCTTAAAAGTGGAAGACATAATCCCTAAATTTCCTTGCAAGGGCAAGGAAGGTGGGCCACCATTAGGCTCACCTCAGAGGATCTCTGAGGTCCCTTACCACCTGCGTGTCAGCTCAGCTGACCTCCTGCCAATGCTCTTGAAGGACATGGCCTGTCTGTTGAACAGTAGCCCAAAAACCAGTACTGGTCTTGGCCAAAACTGCAGAGCAAACCAAATTAGCCTTTTGTGTCCTCCTCCTAACTCTTCTTCTGTACCCACCCCTGTCCCTAGGCCTCTGAGGTCCACACAGACTTCCTGGTCCATGGCCCACTGTGAAGCATGAATGTGTACCTGAACTCTGAGCAGTCCACTGCTGAGATGACCTACAGAGGGATGAATCTGTTCTGACACAATTGTCACACTGTCACTATCTCTCACTTCTTGTCACAGCCCATGTATCAGGACCAGTCAGAGGGAGAAGAGAGGAGTGTAGTCACCTTGGAGTCTGGAACAAACAGCTGGCTCTGCAGCTGGCCAGGCAGCTATCCAAGCAGGGGGCCTCTCTAGGAGCAAAATCCAGAAGCCAAAATAAATGGGTCAGGTGGAAAGCAGATGACTATAACTGCAAGCAATGCTGAAGGTTGGCCCTGGGGAGCGAAGGTGAGTCAAGGCCTAATGGATGGACACCAGAAGGGGTTTGAATGAGAGGGGAGGGACGGGGGGAGTCCAAGAGCAGGGGCCAAAAATGGGTTAGAGCCAATAGACCACACAGAGGCCACAATGATGCTGTACGGATGGGTCCCTCACCACCGGCTCTCTGTTACCCTGAATCCTCCCAGGGTACTGTTTCAGACCTCAGACCTTCCCATGAAATTTCTGATATCCACAATTCCTCAAATATTATTTCCAAACACCCCTTCTCCTGCCATCCTATCCCTGTATTCCAGGAAGAAGATAGGAAAGCCCTGGGCCTGGTTGGGGGTGATAATGAGGTGCACATAGGCCTTAGTGGTAACTAACCTGAAACACTGCAGGAATAGGTCCCCCATCCTAAGAACCAGGAGTGGAAGCGAAGGCCTGGCACAGTTAATTTAGGCCCTAAATCAGTAAGAAAGCTAGCAGCATGACTTGATTCGTGGAAACATTATTTCTAAGTTGTAATCATTCCAGATGACTTAGGTTTTCCAAGACGCATACAATGACTGAACTGAAAGGCTTAACTGTCTTCAGTTTTTGATTATAGCACAGAGAGGAGATAAAGAACATTGGTAAACATCACATATAAATACACTATTTCTGCCTGTGCACAGATAGGCAAGGCTGTACAAACTGAGTTTTCAGCTGAAGAATTTTTTTTTTCATTTCACTCAAGTCAATAGTCACTTACCCGCTGAATATTGCTTAAAGCAGAGTTTTCATCTAATTCTCATTTAACGAGCTTGAAAAGGCAAAACTAAATAATAATACCTCATTTGTGTGTAATGCTTGTCTTTCAAAGAAGGCATCATAACCCATTTTAGACTATCTAATTTACAGTAACAACACTTTTACAATGTAAATACTAGTAAGGGCTATTATCATTTTACAAATTATGCATGAAAGAGACCAAGGCACCTGGAAATGAAATGCCTGGTTCAGTGTAACTTCCACTTCAGAGGTGT
The DNA here is from genome assembly GCF_000001405.40 of Homo sapiens. Lineage (NCBI taxonomy): Eukaryota > Metazoa > Chordata > Mammalia > Primates > Hominidae > Homo > Homo sapiens. Next base: position 131,138,398 of record NC_000007.14, on the reverse strand, counting down.
TACGGCTGGTTTATTTTTAAAATTTTTTATGAAAAATTTAAAAACCGTGAATAATGAAATGATGCTTCAAATAAACATATTTATTAAGGTGTACCTTGTGCTCCAATTTTAAAAGAAAAAATATTTTGCTTAAAAGAAATAACAAGGACCAAAATGTTCATGTGTTCTGGCCAGGCGCAGTGGCTCACACCTGTAATCCCAGCACTTTGGGAGGCAGAGGCAGAGGTGGGTAGATCACCCGAGGTTTGGAGTTTGAGACCAGCCTGACCAATATGGAGAAACCTTGTCTCTACTAAAAATACAAAATTAGCTGGGCGTGGTGGCACATGCCTTTAATCCCAGCTACTCATGAGATTGAGGCAGGAGAATCACTTGAACCCGGGAGGCGGAGGTTGCGGTGAGCCGAGATCACGCCATTGCACTCCAGCCTGGGCAAGAAGAGTGAAACTCTGTCAAAAAAAAAAAAAAAAAAAGTAAAGAAAGAAAGAAAAGACAAGACAAGGACCAAAATGTTCATGTGTTCTGGCCGGGTGCAGTGGCTCACACTTGTAATCCCAGCACTTTGGGAGGCCTAGGCAGGTGGATCACCTGAGGTCAGGAGTTCAAGACCAGCCTGGCCAACATGGTGAAACCCCATCTCTACTAAAAATACAAAAATCAGCCGGGTATGGTGGCGCATGCACGTAATCCCAGCTACTTGGGAGGCTGAGGCAGGAGAATTGCATGAACCCAGGAGGTGGAGGTTGCAGTGAGCCGAGATTGCGCCATTGCACTCTAGCCTCAGCAACAGAGCAAGACTCCATCTCAAAAAACAAAAACAAAACCAAAACACAACAAAAAAAGTTCATGTTCACAGATCACATCTCTCTCACAAATCTAGAATTAAACCAATCAATCCCTACTACCCAACTCTGATGTTCATCAGCATGATTCCACAATCTTGTGCCACACACAGTACAAGTCACAGGATGGATCACTCCCCTTTCCATACACATTACGTTGCAATAATCTTGTCTCAACCGGATGTGGAAAAAACCATTATAGGTACAAATTCTGCATATATGTAAAGTCATTGACACTCTTTTTCTTTTATTAGCTTCAATTTGGGGGGTAACATTTTTCTGATCTTTTTATATATTCATTCATCCACACTCTCCAGCCTTCATGCAACTATTCAATAAACACGATAATGTGCTCAAACTGTACAGGCGCTATTCTAGATGCACAGGATAGAAATAGGATCAAGGGCCAAGTGTGATGGCTCGCACCTGTAACCCCTGCATTTTGGAAGGCCGAGGTGGGTGGATTACTTAAGCCCAGGAGTTCAAGACCAGCCTGGGCAACACAGGGAGACCCCGTAGCTGGGTGTGGTGGCATGCAAAAAAATAACCTAGGAACCCCAGAATTAAGACAAAGTCACAGGCTTCAAGAAACTCACAGTCCAATGGGAAAGCCAGAAGAGAAAACCACTGAAGTTCACTGTGGTAGGTGTGGCGATTGAACTACACGCAAATGTGGTTTGGGGCTCTGTCTTTGTATGAGTGGGTGAGGAAGGCCTCCTGCAGAAGGTCCTCCCAGAGCTAAGCATGCCAGGACGAAGGGCATTTGGGTGTTCCAGGGAACAGCGTGGGCAAAGACACCAACAAATAAGAGCAGACAATGCATTTGGAGAACGGCAGGACATGTGGTGCAACGGGAGTTGTTCAGTTACTTTATGGCTGGTTCTGTTTCACAGTCTGGGCCCTGGACATCCCCAAAAATGCTTCTATGAAGGGAAATGTATTGTCCTCAGTCATGTAAGTAAAAACACATTCTATATGGAATCGGTACCAAAGTGCCTTTTGAAGCTTTGACCATTTGAGGAAAATGACACAGGGAACAACACAAAATCAAAGTCTGGGTCTGGTCTACCCAGGTTTGTATTCTTCATACTTCATTACTGTTGTACTCCAGTGGGGAACTGCTATAAACAGCCTGCTTATTCATCAAATCTAGGCGACCACTTGGTCCATCTCCATTATTATTTCAATATAACATTTTTATAGAGAAACATTTTGAAGTACAGCATTTTCAAATACACTATGTTGGATGGATCAGGTTTTCCACATTCACCTCTTCCTGACCAGGCAGACTTGGTGCTGCTCACTCCCCAAAAAGGGCGGAAGTCAGCCTGAAAGGCTTATTCTCAGGAACCCCACATGCCTGCAAGAGGTGTTTGAAAATAATCTCTCAAAATCCTACACCCAAGTCCCTGCAGGGACAGCTCGTCCCTGAGGCCCCCCTCTGAGAAGTCTTGCATGAAGGCCTTCATGAACTGAGGCCAGGAGGAGATAAAATTGCAAGCACAACAGAACTCATAAACAGCCCTCCCTAGACTCACCCTACTGCCTGAGTAATCCCACCTGAATTCCCTTGTCACTTACGCAAAGCTTTGCACCCTGAAATCACATCATTGTTTCTACTCAGGAGTTTTTCAGAGACTCAGAATAACTCATTTATCTATTTTGGTTCATGATCTATCATGGGATCCTCTCGAAGACATTATTTCTTCATTTATCCGACTTTTACCCGTTCAACAAGCATCTACTTCATCATTTCTGCCTATCTCTTGAAGCCAATCCAGTCAGCCTTTTGCCCCTATTACTCCACTGAAAACACACCGATGAAGCTCGCAATGACCTCCATGACATCAAATCCAAATTCACAGTCTTCATCTTACTCCTCTCAGCAGACTCTTGGCACAATGTTCACCCCTTCTGATAAAACACTTTCTACCCTTATCTTCCATCACACCTCACTAGGTTGCCTCCTACCTCATTGTTCCCTCGCAGTCTCTTTGGCTGGGCCCTTCCCAATGTCTGAATATTGGCAGCCCCATTGGGCTTGTCCCTCTGCAATTGTCAATCCAGTCCATTGCCTTAAATACCATATTTCTCACTCTGATGCGTCCCTAAACTCCTGACGCGGAAGTGGAAGAGAGGCCAGACGCAGTGGCTCATGCCTGTAATCCCAGCACTTTGGGAGGAGGAGGGCAGATCACCTGAGGTCAGGAGTTTGAGACCAGCCTGGCCAGCATGGTGAAACCCCGTCTCTACTAAAAATACAAAAATTAGCCGGGCGTGGTGGTGGGCGCCTGTAGTCCCAGCTACTCGGGAGGCTGAGGCGGAAGAATCACTTGAACCTGGGAGACGCAGGTAGCAATGAGCCGAGATCGCTCTGCTGCACTCCAGCCTGGGCGACAGAGCAAGATGCTATCTCAAAACAAACAAAAAACAAGAAACAGGAAGTGGATTCTTTTCCTAGAACCACTGAAGGAGGAGATGAGTTGGCAAGGAGAGAAGAGTGGCTTTTTTGTAAGAGGAATAGGATGAAAACAGGCACAAAGGTGTGGAGAGGGAAAACTGTTCCAAGAAAAGAGAGAAGTCTGATGTGGGCTAGAAATCAATGCTAAGGTATGTTGTGGTTATATTGCGAGGAACCTTGATTACAGCTAGGGAATCTGGACTTGATACTGAAGACAGTAACTATCAGCATTTCTTAAAGAGTGGAAAGATGTGCTCATTCATATTTTAAAAAATTAAAAACTTTAGTGGCAGGATGAAGACTGAGCCAGCAAAGCCAATTAGAAGACTACTGTAATAGTCTAAAGAAGGGATTAAGGTCTGAGTCACCATAGCAGCAGTGGGGTGAAGGGTAGTAACAAGTCCAAGGGGGATTTAAAAGTAGCACTGAAGACACAGTTATCAATTAGATAGAGGTTTGGGAGTAGGAGAGACGGGCCGAGGTTGAAGTGCAATGACACTGACGAAGCTAAAGGCAGGAAGGAGAGCAAGTGCAGAGGGGATGCTGAACAGGATATGAAGCTCACAGTAATTGTGGGATATCCAGTGCAAATGAATGACAGGTCTGCAGATCAGGAGAGAGGTCTGGACTGAATGCATAGGTTCAGGAGTCCGGGCCCATCAGTGGCTCAGTCCTCGTAATAAATAGGATATCTTGGGGGCAGACAAACAATGAAAAGGACCAAGCGAAGAACACTGAAAAAAAGCCTGAGGCAGCTGTCAGTGGAGAAGGACCCTGGCAATAGACTGGAAAGGAGAAAAGATGGGGCATGAGAGTGGGACAGAGGGAGGTCTGCAAGGAAAGAGACATGAGACCTTCCCAGAGAAAATGATCAACAGCTTTCTCTGGGGTCAGACCAGGTATAAGATAAGGCTTAGTAATTAGAAGACCTGATGAGCACAGTTTCTAGAGAATTAGAAGTCAGCTGGCCGGGCGCGTTGGCTCATGCCTGTAATCCCAGCACTTTGGGAGGCCGAGGCAGGTGGATCAACTGAGGTCAGGAGTTCAAGACCAGACTGGCCAACATGGTGAAACCCCGTCTCCACTAAAAATACAAAACTTAGCCGGGCTTGGTGGCAGGCGCCTGTAATCCCAGCTGCTCGGGAGGCTGAGGCAGGAGAATCGCTTGAACCTGGGAGGCAGAGGTTGCAGTGAGCCGAGATTGCACCATTGTGCTCCAGCCTGGGCGACAAGAGCAAAACTTCGTCTCAAAAAAAAAAAAAAAAAAAAAAAAAACCAAATTAAAAAAAAAAAAAAAGAAGTCAACCTGGGCCGGGTGTAGTGGCTTATGCCTATAATCCCAGCAGTTTGGAAGGCTGAGGCAAGAGGATCACTGGAGCCCAGGGTTTGAGACTAGCCTGGTCAACATAGTGAGACCCCATCTATAAAAAAAATTAAAAATAGAGGCTGGGCGCGGTGGCTCACGCCTATAATCCCAGCACTTTGGGAGGCCGAGGCGGGCGGATCACGAGGTCAGGAGATTGAGACCATCCTGACTAACATGGTGAAACCCCATCTCTACTAAAAATACAAAAAGTAGCCGGGCATGGTGGCATGTGCCTGTAATCCCAGCTACTCAGGAGGCTGAGGCAGGAGAATGGCTTGAACCTGGGAGCGGAGGTTGCAGTAAGCCGAGATCACGCCACTGCACTCCAGCCTGGGAGACATAGTGAGACTCCATCTCAAAAAAAAAAAAAAAAAAAGAAAGAAAGAAAGAAAAAAAAAATTAAAATTAAAATAAAAAATAAAAAAGAAGTCAGCCTGGAGTGGCTTGAGTGAAGACTCGTCTTTGAAGTTGCCAGGAGGGAAGCAGGTAAGGCTGGAAAGAAGGTGGAATTGGGCAAGGAGTAGGAATTATTTTATGGAATGGGAGTCCTGAGTACAAGTGGCCATCTAGCTTCTGCTCAAAATCTCTAGTGAGCCTGCTACCCCACAAGACAGCTGGTTGGGCTTTTGTACAGCAACACATCAATTCCATTCAATATATATTTGTTGAGTGCCTGTGATGTCTAAAGCATCGGGCTTGGTACTTCAGGGCCTAAAAATATATGCAAGGCACAGTCATGCTCTGGTTTTTCTTTCTTTCTTTCTTTCTTTCTTTCTTTCTTTTTTTTTTTTTTTTTTTTTTTTTGAGACAGAGTCTCACTCTGTCACCCAGGCTGGAGTGCAGTGGCTTGATCTCGGTCCACTGCAACCTCCGCCTCCCAGGTTTAAGCGATTCTCCTGCCTCAGCCTCATGAGTAACTGGGATTACAGGCGCTGCCACCACGCCCGGCTAATTTTTGTATTTTTGGTAGAGATGGGGTTTCACCATGTTGGCCAGGCCAGGCCGGTCTTGATCTCCTGACCTTGTGATCCACCGGCCTCGGCCTCCCAAAGTGCTGGATTACAGGTGTGAGCCACCGCGCCCGGCCTTTGGTTTTTCATTTATTGGCCCAAATCTACCTCCTTCCAAACATAGCTTTGTCCTCTGGAGCCACACAAGTATAAGAAGACTTTTTTCCATACGACAGCCCTCCAGCTAACTGAGAATGGTTTCCAGCCACCTCTGGGGCTTTCCCAATCATTTCACCTCTGTGAAATAATCCAGTCGTTATGTATGGATATATGTATGTATGTATATGTGTCTTTTGTTACCAGTTGGCTGCTCTCCTCTGGATAACCATACCCTAGTCTGTCAAAGTCCCTTTTAAAATGTGGCACTCAGAATTAATCACAATTCTCTCCATCTGGTATAAGCAGTTAGAAACCAGTAGGCACATTCTTTCCCTTTTCCAGGACACAGTGCTTCTGTGAATGCCACCTGAGATTGTACGAGTGTTCTCACAGCCACACTGCTGACTCATGGTGTTTTATGATCAACTCAAATCTTGAGATCTTTTGCACTTGAAATGTTGATATACTATGTCTTCCAAATCTAACATTTACACAATTGACTTTTAAAAGCCAATTGCAAGATTTTACACTTTTTCCCACTATTATGTATTTTTACATTGGCTTTTCATGAGCCAGTAGTAAAAAGTGGAAAGGTTTAGGAGTCAGACAGATCTGTATTCGAATTCTGGTTTTATTACATAGCCCTGTAACCTAGAACATGTCATGTGATCTCTGAGTCTCAACCTGCTTATCAGTGAAAATAGGGCTAATACTACCTGCACTGCGAAGTGGTCCTGAGTCTGAAACCAGGGCAGTATAATACCTGATGTAAGTTCTCAATAAATGTTGGTTTTCTTGCCTTCCTTTTCTTTGATTCTCTCAACTTTGATTCCTTAGCAGAAGTATGCCTTTTAAGTCATTCCTCAAGATTAATACATCTTTCTTTTAATAAAAAAATTTGAGCATAACAGGAGCCAATAACCAAAAGAAGATACTTTAGTATAATAGTTAAGCATATGGCTTCTGAAACCAGACTTTCTGTGACCGAATCTGAGCTCTTCTAATCACTAGCTATCTGGTGATTACAAGCAAGTTCATAAACCATCCTGAGCCTTGGTTTGCTCATCTGTAAAATGGGGATAACAATACCTGTTTCTCCAGCTGCTGGGGAAGATTAACTGAGATGATGAATGAAAAGCGTTTTTGCATAGAACCTTGCACATAAGTACTTGGGAAGTGGTGTTATTATTACCGCTTAGAAAACTCCAGGTAAGCAATGTCCTATTAATCTGCACTTTTTAATTTGAGACACAGTCTTGCTTTATCGCCCAGGCTGGATGCAGTTGCATGATCATAGCTCACTGCAGCCTTGAACTCCTGGGCTCAAGTGATACTCCCTCCTCAGCCTCCCGAGTAGCTGGCAATACAGGTGCACACCACCAGGCTCAGCTAAATTTTATTTATTTATTTATTTATTTATTTATTTAAGTAGAGGTGAGGTCTCACTATATTTCCCAGACTGGTTTCAAACTCTTGAGCTCAAGCGATCCTCCCACCTTGGCTTCCCAAAGTCCTGAGATTACAGGTGTGAGCCACCACACCCAACCTTTTTTTTTTTTTTTTTTTTTTGAGACAGGGTCTCCCTCTGTTGCCCAGGCTGGAGTGCAATGGCATGATTATAGCTCACTGCAGCTTCAACTTCCTGGAATCAAGCAATCCTCCCACCTCAGCCTCCCAAGTAGCTGGGAGGCTACTTGCATGCCACCATACCCAGCTAATTTTTGTATTGTTTGTAGTGACAGGTCTTACTATGTTGTCCAGGCTGGTCTTAGGACTCCTGGACTCAAGCAATCCACTTGCCTCAGTCTATCTCAAAGTGCTTGGATTTTAGGCATGAGCCATCTCATCCAATCCACATTTGTGTGTGTAATCATTTTATCTACTAATAATACATTAGTAATAAATGTAATAATAAAACATTTCATCTACTAATAATACTGAATAATACTGTTCCATGGTCCATTATATTATTCACCAGCATCCCTTGAAAACCTGTGTCCAATGACAGGTATGACAAATATGTCTGTCATCTTCTTACGTATTAACATTATCGACAGAAAAAACTAAACCAGCTAGAGGATCTTGGGCAAATCACTTGACATTTATGACCTCAGGCTCCACTTCTGTGAAATGGGGGTAATGGTAGTAATATCTACCTTAGAGGTCTGGCATGAGGATTACGTGACTTAAAGCACATGGTAGATAAGGAAATGAGAGTGGTTTGGAAGTACTTAAGTGAACCCAGGTTGGCTCTCGTTGATACCAACTTTCTTTCCCTAACCAAACTAAGCTTATCAGGCTGTAGGTTCTGGAATCCACCATTTTCCCTTTTAAAAATTGGCATAGTTGCCCAACCCTAGGCATATGGTATTTGTTCTATCCTCAGCAATTCCTCATAGCATGTCTATAATCATACCTGGAAGTTCCTTTTGTATCCCTAGATACAGTTTGTATGGATCAGAAGATTTGAAGCTCATTGAAATTTGAATCTCATCTAAATTTAAATTTTGTCTAATTTAAATGTATCCTTTCATCATTCACCTTGGCTCCCATTTCATCTTAAATTTCTTCTTTATCCAGACTATAAGAACACACATGTCTATCGAAGTGAACTTAACTATAGAAATCACACCCATAAAATAAAATCAATTATAAATCCACTACCACAATATTGCCACTGTTAATATTTTTCTGTGGTCAGTCTTTCTTTTTTTCTGAGAAAATATACTTAAAAATAAATGACCTAGCTGGGCATGGTGGCTCACACCTGTAATCTCAGCACTTTGGGAGGCCGAGGCAGGATGATCCCTTGAGGCTGGGAGTTCAAGACCAATCTGGACAACATAGCAAGACCTCGTCTCTAAAAAAAGTTTTAAAAAATTCACAGGGTATGGTGGCACATTCTTGTAGTCCCAGCTAATTCAGAGGCTGAGTCAGGAGGATCACTTGAGCCCAGGAGGTCAAGGCTGCAGTGAGCTATGATCAGGCCACTGCACTCCAGCCTGGGTGACAGAGAGAGACCCTGTCTTTAAATAATAAATAATAAATGACCAACTTTTTCTGATGTCATGATATCTTCCATAACCTGCTTTTTATTGGATACATAGATTTCATCATGGGAATACACAAAATTTATGCAATAATTCTTTTTGGACATTTGTTATCTCTAAGTATTTAATATTATAAAGAATGCTACACTAAATATTCTTCTACATTAAATTTTCTTAGTACCTGTAGTTATTTTCTTAGGATGAAGTCTTAAAGGTGAAATTGCTGTGTTAAATAAGTGGTTTGTGTATGTTAAGGTTTTTAACACACAATACCAAATTGCTCTCAGAAGGTTTATACCAATTTATATTCCCAATGTGGTATGAGAGTGCTTATTTCCCTGACTCTTTATCCATGTAAGATATCATTTTAAAGTTCTTACAATTTGCTAGGCACAAAGACATCTGGGTTTTACTTTGATTTGCATTTTCATTAATTAATAATGAAACTGGACCATTTTCATTTTCATTGACCAGTTGAATTCCTTTTTTTCCTTTTTGCCTTTTGTTGTTCTTTACCCGTTCTTCTTTTGAGATCTTGTCTTTTTCTTGTAAGTGTATGAGTTGTTTGCATGTTAAAGACACTACCGCTTGTCATATACATAAAGTCCTAGAATCTCTAGCTTGGGCAACAGAGCAAGATCCTGTCTCTACCAAAAAAAAAAAAAAAAAAAAAATAGGTGAGGTGGCACACACGTGTGGTCCTAGCTACTCCGGAGGCTGAAGGGGAAGGATCACCTGAGTCCAGGAGTTCGAGACCAGGCTGGGCAACATAGGGACGCCCCATCTCTAAAAAAAAATATTATCCAGACATGGTGGCACACACCTGTTGTCCTAGCTACCTGGAAGGATTGCTTGAGCCCAGGAGTTCAAGGTTACAGCGAGCTATGAATGTGCAACTGCATTCCAGCCTAGGCAACAGAACAAGACCCTATGAAAAAAAATCTAGAATTTCTCATGTATCTTTTAATTTTGTTTGTGCTACTGCCTTATCTACATAAGCTAAAAGTTCTAAGCAATGAAATATATCAATGTTTTCCTTTCTTTCTTCTTCTTTTTTAGAGACAAAGTCTTGCTATGTTGCCCAGGCTGGATTCAAACTCCTGGACTCAAGTGATTCTCCTGCTTCAGCCTCTCAAGTACAATGCTTTTCTTTTATAAACCATAAACCATTGCTTTTTTGCTCATGAAGGCCTTTACCACTCCAAGGTCAAAAAATGCTTACACTACTTTCAGCTTTTCAGCACATATCACCCCTATTATATGGGTCACTTTTCACATTTAATTCTTTAATCCATCTGAAATGCATTCCATTCTTCCTGGCCACATGTTTTTCCATTTTTTGTTTGTTGTTTTTTTTTTTTTTTTGAATCAGAGGCGATACTTCGGTCCCTTCTCTTTATGTTCAAGCTGCATATGGACCACTTGGACACATCACAGTGTCTAGGGGCCTGCTCATATATGGTTGGAACAATTTCCTCCACAGCCAACTGATCTATAGGTTTTCTAAATTCCTTCTTCAACATGAGTTCCACAGACCTAGTAGAAACAGACCACAGCTCCAACTCTCCCCTGAATTTATTCTGGTAATGTTTCTGGCTTTTGGCTCCCTTTTTCCCTGGTTACTTATTCGGACCATTCCTTGTCATTTTTTAAATAAGCAAACAAAAACAAATATACTCAGCATCTTGCTTATACCAGTTCACAATGTCTTTTCCTGATCTGTGATCCCAAACCCACATCCTGATCTAAATACCTTCCCAGAGGAGACTTCTATGTGGTTAATCGAAGCCACATAGTTGGAACCTGGAGCACCAGGGCTTTAAGTCAATCATTTAATTGATTCAGAAGAGGTAGGACACAGTGGTAGACACATACTATGCTCCAGGCACAGTTCAAAATGTCCTGCCCAGGGCAAGCCATTCCCATCTGACTGCATGTTAGACACTGTTCTGAGTATCTTCACAGCAGTTCTTTTATTCCTTCTTGCATCTTGGCCATGCCTGATCTTTTCAACACATATCCCCTGTCTCCATTCCATCCTCTTCTGTGACACACATGTTCAGTGACGTGGCTTCTGTGGGCCGGCAATGGGCTCTCTCTACCCCTTCTCAGAGGTTTTGATCAGTTTTTCCTTCTTGTCCTGTCTCTAATATTTGCTGCACTCCTGTTCTTCAGTCGTACTCGCCCACTCTCCTCTGTGTGCTCCATGAGATAATATGCCTCTGCGTGTGGCCTCCAAACTCCTTTCTGACTCTTTCCCACCTGTTAGTGGTCACTGGCTACACTGCCACTTCCAAGATCCCAAGTAGACCCTTCATCTGCTGAGTGTGGTTGATACCAGCAGAACTAAGTGAAAAACAATTCCATTTTCTTCTATTCTTTTCTTTCTTTTTTTTTTTTTTTTTGAGATGGAGTTTTGCTCTTGTCACCCAGGTTAGAGTGCAATGGCATGATCTCGGCTCACCGCAGCCTCCGCCTCCCAGGCTCAAGCAATTCTCCTGCCTCAGCCTCCCGAGTAGCTGGGATTACAGGCATGCACCACCACACATGGCTAATTTTGTATTTTTAGTAGAGACGGAGTTTTTCCATGTTGGTCAGGCTGGTCTCAAACTACCAACCTTAGGTGAACTGCCCACCTCAGCCTCCCAAAGTGCTGAGATTACAGGCGTAAGCCACCACACCCGGCCATATTTCTTCTATTCTAAGATCAACATATGGGCCGGATGCGATGGCTCATGCCTGTAATCCCAGCACTTTGGGAGGCCAAGGCAGGAGGATCACCTGAGGTCAGGAGTTCAAGACCAGCCTGGCCAACAGGGTGAAACCCCATCTCTACTAAAAATGCAAAATTTAGCCAGGCACAGTGGCACGCACCTGTAACTCCAGCTACTTGGGAGGCTGAGGCAGGAGAATTGCTTGAACCCGGGAGGCAGAGGTTGCAGTGAGCCAAGATCGCACCACTGCACTCCAGCCTGGGTGACAAGAGTGAAACTCCATCAGGAAAAAAAAATATATATGGTAGGATGCACCACCATTTAATGGCTGTTTTGAGAGCCCTCCCAAAAAACACCGCCGTGTTAAATGTACCTACATTCTCATTTTAGAAATATTAAAAACATGGGGGGATATCTGTACCTTAGAATCTAGGACATGCTATAGTTAAATGACTCTATTTTTCACTTAACTACTCACATATGACAGTCTGCCCCATTCAATGGTACTATCCTTCCTTCTTTATTATTCTTTACTATAAACATAAGCAAAAATAAAAGTTCATAATTCATTGTCTTCAATACTTTTCCCAGACCTCAGCTGTCTCTGGTCATTAGCCCTTCTGGCATTATTCTCATGGGTCTCACGGATCTGAGCCCTCCTTTTTGAAGGAAGCCTCGTTATATACCCCTTCTCCTGCCTTTTGTACATGTCCTTCAAACGTACAAGCTTAATTGAACACTTCCAGAACAACCAGATTGATCTTTTTAATCTTTTTCTTCTGGATTTTTATTTATTAATTAATTAATTTATTTATTTATTTATTTATTTATATTTATCTTTTTTTTTTTTTGAGACGGAGTCTCGCTCTGTCGCCCAGGCTGGAGTGCAGTGGCGTGATCTCGGCTCACTGCAAGCTCTGCCTCCTGGGTTCACGCCATTCTCCTGCCTCAGCCTCCCGAGTAGCTGGGACTACAGGTGGCCACCACCACGCCCGGCTAATTTTTTTTGTATTTTTAACAGAGACGGGGTTTCACTGTGTTAGCCAGGATGGTCTCGATCTCCTGACCTCGTGATTCTCCTGCCTCAGCCTCCCAAAGGGCTGGGATTACAGGCGTGAGCCACCGTGCCAGGCTGTTTTTAATTTTTTGCAGAGACAGAAGTCTCACTTTGTTGCCCAGGCTGGTCTCGAACTCCTGACCTCAAGGAATCTTCCTGCCTGGGCTTCTCAAAGTGTTGGGATTACAGGTGTGAGCCACAGTGCCTAGCCTGATCTTTTTTTGGATGCTCGTCTTTTCTTCATTTAAACCACTGATTTTGTAAAAATGTACACTTCCAATCATATGACTCCTCTTGCCCTTTATTTCCTAGTTCCTGGCCAGAGGGAGTCTTGTGTCCATATTTTCTCTTAACTTGCTCCTCTCGTTCATGTCAGGTTAGCAGGTGCAGAATTGCCTTCTTTGGCTATTACAAATTCAAAGCTGCCCTGGTCACTTATTTTAAGTTGTTTGTCACTTCTACTTTGCCAACATATTTTTCTTAGCTGGTTAGAATTAAGCACAGAATAGTACTTCTTCAGTAAGCAATTAGTTTAAATTTAAGTCATGCCAACTTTATTTGACGATCACTTTTCAGCAGAATGAGACTGTCAGTAGATATCAGATAAGCTGAAGTTCTCCATTACCCCTATATCGTGTCCCTGTGCCAATAATTTTGTCATTTGTATTGGGAAAGCATTACTGATGTTGCCATAACAGGATCACAAGGCATGCTAGGAGTAGTTGACTGCATACAGCCAGTGGAGAGAGGGTATGAGCCAAGACCAGGGTTGGGGGATGCTCCCTAGAGCACGGGCTATGAATACAGAAACCAGCTTGGATCTGGGCAGCTGGCCTCTGCAAAACCTTGTGTCTCTTAATCACATAAAGTTCAGGAAGCTGTTAATACCAGGCAGTTTAGCCTTACCCTAGCAATGGGTTATCTATAAAGGGGAAGGCGCATATGTCCCATGGTTTGAGGAGAGCACAGCAGGGGTGTAGGCAGCAGAATACAGCCCTCTGCAAAGATGACTGGTCAGAACTAAGCTAAAGAAGACATCAGGATCATGGTAAAGTAGGCTGGGGTTCAAGACAAGGGACCCACATCCAAAGGGAGACTGGGATACAAGGCAGGAGGACCAGAGACTGAGGTGTTGAGGGCAAGGTGGAAACCCATATTGGGCAGAGGGGTGGGGAGGCACAATAGGAGGGAGCTACAGATGTCTGAGGCCCCATGGCTGACCTAACTGAAAGGAAGCACAATGGTGGGGCCGATACTAATGGTGACTTTCTCCAGTCTGAGCCAGCGTTTAAGTACTGGGGAGGCTGGGGGTTGGACCCATAAGTAGGGCTCCTTAGACAACCCAGCAGCTGGTTGCTAGAGAAGACAAAAGCAAGACAACTGGCCAGGTGCCTTATTGTATGCTCCTGTGACAATGTCACTTCTGCTTTTATTTTCAGCCAAATGTTCTCGGCCAGGTGTTCAGCCCCCAGGTTTGCGGGTTTCTATATGTGTCTGTGACCTCTTGACTTACAAGCTTACTCTGCTTTGCCTTTGGTTGTGTGCTTCTTTTGAATAAGTTACCTACCTTCATATTGCTGTAATACTACAACAACAGCTACCATTTACTCATTGTCTACCATTTCCCAGGTACTACACCTGCTGATTTACATACATGATCTTATTTAATTCTCACAACCTCCTTGAGAGGTAGGTGTTATTATCCTCATTTCAAAAAGAGGAAACTGAAGCTTATATGGTGTATGTAATCACCCCAAGGTCATGCAGCTGGGATGCAAAAGAGCTCAGATTTAAACTTAGTTTTGTCTGACTGCCTATTGTTGCTTTAAAAGACTGCATTTATACATTGATACTGTGATACACCTGAACAATTCTCACAGAACTTATCAGTCACTAGATCTTTTGTCTGTCAGTCTACCTACCTACCTACTTATGAATTATCTATCCTTTTATCTTCAACTCCATAATACCCAGTACTGTACTATGTAAGAAGTAGATTTTTTTTTTTTTTTGAGACAGAGTCTTGCTCTGTTGCCCAGGCTGGAGTGCAGTGGCACAATCTCGGCTCACTGCAACCTCTGCCTTCTGGGTTCAAGCAATTCTCCTGCCTCAGCCTCCCAAGTAGCTGGGATTACAGGTGCCTGCCACCATGCCTGGCTAATTTTTGTATTTTTACTAGAGACAGGGTTTCACCATGTTGGCCAGGTTGGTCTTGAACTTCTGACCTTGTGATCCACCTGCCTCGTCACAGGCCACCACACCCAGCTATTTTTATTTGTACTTTGTAGAGACAAGGTCTTGCTATTTCCCAGGCCATCACATTTTTAAATGATTGGAAAATGTGAAAAGAAGAATGATATTTTATGACACATAAAAATTATTTGAAATTCAAATTCATTTTATTGGAATATGGCCAGGTTCATTCATTTAAATTTTGTCTGTGGCTGCTTTGCACTACAATGGCAGAATTGAGTAGCTGAGACAGACTGTAGGGCCAGGAAGGCCTAGATTATTTCCTTTCTGGCCCTTTATAGAAATGGAAAAAGTTTGCTGATCTTTGGTATAACTAAATGATACAGGATGGCATAACATTTTAAATATTGTTTCAACTACATCTATTACTGTATTTCCTAAAATTTCCAGTTCAAGGACACTCTCTTTTATTATGTAGAAGAGCTCCACGTTCTTAGAACAGAGTCAAACATGTCCTTCTTTGATATTCTGTACAGCGGCCCTGATAGCAGCAACACTTTTTTTTTTTTTTTTTTTTTTTTTTTGAGACGGAGTCTCGCTGTTTCGCCCAGGCCGGACTGCAGTGGCGCTATCTCGGCTCACTGCAAGCTCCGCCTCCCGGGTTCACGCCGTTCTCCTGCCTCAGCCTCCCGAGTAGCTGGGACTACAGGCGCGGGCCACCACACCCGGCTAATTTTTTTTGTATTTTTAGTAGAGATGGGGTTTCACCGTGTTAGCCAGGATGGTCTCCATCTCCCGACCTCGTGATCCGCCCGCCTCGGCCTCTCAAAGTACTGGGATTACAGGCATGAGCCACCGCACCCGGCCCGCAGCAACACTTTAATGCAGAAACAATAACAGACTAAGAAGCTGGTGGTTTCTCTAAGAGGTTAGACGTCTCTTCCTGCCAGTAGTCACCTTTCTCTCTCATGGGAAACTGGGGCTGGGCAGCGTTATGAGTGATTACAGTGTATTACAGAACTGTAGTGGCACAGAAATGGATGCCCCCGTTTCCATCAACTCATTCAGGGTGATGTGGTGGAGTCATAGACGAGGAAAAGCAAATTGCCCTTTTCGTCATCACCTAGGACCTAAATAAAGATAAAAATGACTCAGATTGACCAGACACAGGTGAATATCACTTCTCAAAATGTTTTCTGAAGGTACTTACATGGCAACAATATGGTTCTGTGGGAGCCCCATCAATGTGTTAGCTCAAGAGTAAAACACAGGGAGCAGAAAGAACCTCCTTACATTTCCTAAGATCAAGCTGGGTTTGCAGTCAACTTCAAGGGAATCTGTTTTACTTATTTATTTTTTGAGACCCAAGCATAAATTCTACTGTCTTTCTGCATGTCTGCCTTTCTTGCCATGCATCTTTCTCTCTTTCTTCAATCTAACAAAAGTTTACTGATCATTTATTATGTGTGGGTCACAGGGCAAGCCCCAGGGAAACAAAAATAAATAATAAAATAATACTAACTCTCAAGGAGCTTAACGCTTACGAGAGAAACAAATTAAAATAATCTTTCTTGACCTTTTGGCAGTGTTTAACAAAGAGCTGATCCTCCTTAACAGATTCTTCTCTTGGTTTCCTTGGCCCCGTAGTCTCCTGGTTTCTGATTCTCAGTCTCCAGTGCCAGCTCTTTCTCTTCTTTTCAGTCTTAAATGATCAAGGATTAGACCTGGACCCACTTTTCTTTGAGTCTTTCTATCTACCCTCCTAGGCAATCTTCTTTCAAATTTATAAACCCAGTTCCAGCAGCTCTTATGAACCTCACACCCATATCTACAACTCTGCAGGGGACATCTGCACTTAGAACTTTTGATCTTCCCCTGTGTGATAGTCCATTCTTGCATTTCTTGCATTGCTATAAAGACATATCTGAGGCTGGGTAATTTTTTTTTTTTTTTTTTTTTTTTTTTTTTGAGACGGAGTCTTGCTCTGTCACTCAGGCTGGAGTGCAGTGGCGCGATCTCGGCTCACTGCAAGCTCCGCCCCCAGGGGTTCATGCTATTCCCCTGCCTCAGCCTCCCGAGTAGCTGGGACTGCAGGCACCCGCCACCACACCCAGCTAATTTTTTGTGTTTTTAGTAGAGACGAGGTTTCACCGTGTTCACCAGGATGGAGGCTGGGTAATTTTTAAAGAAAAGGAATTTAGTTGGTTCTTGGTTCTGCTGGCTGTACAAACGTGGTGCTGCATCTGTTTCTGATGAGAGTCTGGGGAAGCTGACATGGTTTGGCTCTGTATCCCCACCCAAATCTCATGTTGAATTGTAATTCCCAATGTTGGGGGAGGGACCTGGTAGGAGGTGACTGGATCATGGAGGCGGATTTCCCCCTTGCTGTTCATGTGATAGTGAGTGAGTTCTCACGAGATCTGTTGTTTGAAAGTGTGTGTAGCACTTCCCCCTTCACCCTGTCTTTTCTGTGCCAGCCATGTGAAGATGCGTTTGCTTCCCCTTTGCCTTCCTCCATTATTGTAAGTTTCCTGAGATCTCTCCAGCTATGCTTCCTGTACAGCTCCACAGAACCATGTGCCGATTAAAGCTCTTTTCTTTATAAATTATCCAGTCCCACATATGTCTTTATAACAGTGTGAGAACAGACTAATACAGAAAATTGATACCAGAATTGGGGTATTGCTATAAAGATATACAAAAATGTGGAAACAACTTTGGAACTGGGTAACGGGCAGAGGTTGGAACACTTTGGAGGGCTTAGAAGAAGACAGGAAGATGAGGGAAAGTTTGGAACTTCCTAGAGACTTGTTGAATGGTTGTGACCAAAATGCTGATAGTGATATGGACAGTGAAGTCCTGGCTGAGGTGGTCTCAGATGGAGATGAGGAATTTATTGGGAACTGGAGTGAAGGTCACTCTTGCTATGCTTTAGGAAAGAGATTGGTGGCATTATGCCCCTGCTCTCAAGATCTATGAAACTTTGAACTTCAGAGACATGATGTAGGGTATTTGGCAGAAAAATTTTCTTTTCTTTTTTCTTTTTTTTTTTTTTTTTGAGAGGGAGTCTTGCTCTGTCTCCCAGGCCGGAGTGCAGTGGCGTGATCTCAGCTCACTGCAAGCTCTGCCTCCTGGGTTCACGCCATTCTCTTGCCTCAGCCTCCCGAGTAGCTGGGACTACAGGCGCCCACCGCCACACCTGGCTAGTTTTTTTTTGTTTGTTTGTTTGTTTTTTTGTATTTTTAGTAGAGATGGGGTTTCACCGTTGTTAGCCAGGATGGTCTCGATCTTCTGACCTCGTGATCCACCCGCCTCGGCCTCCCAAAGTGCTGGGATTACAGGTGTGAGCCATTGCAACTGGCCTGACAGAAAAAATTTCTAAGCTGCAAAGCATTCAAGATATGGCCTGGCTGCTTCTTTTTTTTTTTTTTTTTTTGAGATGGAGTCTCACTCTGTCCCCCAGGCTGGAGTGCAGTGGCACGATCTCAGCTCATTGCAAGCTCCGCCTCCCAGGTTCACACCATTCTCCTGCCTCAGCCTCCCGAGTAGCTGGGACTACAGGCGCCTGCCAACACGTGGCCTGGCTGCTTCTAAAAGCCTATCCTCATTTGCATAAACAAAGAAATGACTTGAAACTAGAACTTATATTTAAAAAGAAAGCAGAGCATAAAAGTTTGGAAAATTTGCAGCCTGACCATGCAGCAGAAAAGAAAGCCCCATTTTCTGAGGAGGAATTTAAGGCTGCAGAAATTTGCATAAGTAAAGAAGAGCCAAATGTGAATAGCCAAGACAAGGCAGAAAGCATCCCAGCCACTCCAGCTCCAGCCATGGCTAAAAGGGGCCAAGGTGCAGCTCAGGCCATTGCTTCAGAGGGTGTAAGCCCCAAGTTTTGGTGGCTTCCATGTGGTGTTGGGCCTGTGGGTGCACAGAAGGCAAGAATCAAGGTTTGGGAGTCTCTGCATAGATTTCAGAGGATGCACGGAAATGTCTGGATGTCCAGGCAGAAGTCTGCTGTGGAAATAGAGCCCTCATTGAGAACCTCTACTAGGGTAGTGTGGGGGGGAAATGTGGAGTTGGAGCCCCCACACAAAGTCCCCACTAGAGCACTGACTAATGGAGCTGTAAGAAAAGGGCCACTGTCCTCCAGATCCCAGAATGATAGATCCACTGATAGCTTGCACTATGCCCTGGAAAAGCCACAGCCATTCAACACCAGCCCATGAAAGCAGCTGCAGGGGATGTATGCTGCAGAGCCACAGTGGTGGAGCTGCCCAAGGCCTTGGGAGCCCACCGCTTGCATCGGTGTGGCCTGGATGTGAGACATGGAGTCAAAGGAGATTATTTTAGAGCTTTAAGATTTAATGCTGCCCTCTGGAGTTCTGGACTTGCATGGGGCCTATAGCCCCTTTGTTTTGGCCAATTTCTCCATTTTGGAATGGCAGTATTTACCCAATGCTTGTACCCCCATCGTATCTTGGAAGTAACTAACTTGTTTTTGATTTTACAGGCTCATAGGCAGAAGAAACTTGCATTGTCTCAGATGAGATATTGGACTTAAACTTTTAAGTTAATGCTGGAATGAGTTAAGACTTTGAGGGACTGTTTGGAAGGCATGATTGGGTTTTGAAATGTGAGAAGGACATGAAATGTGGGAGGGGCCAGGATGGAATGCTATGGTTTGGCTCTGTGTCCTCACCCAAAACTCATGTTGAATTGTAATTCCCAATGTTAGGGCAGGGACCTGGTGGGAGGTGATTGGATCATGGGGAAAGATGTCCCCCTTGTTCTTCTCGTGATAGTCAGTGAGTTCTCAAGATATGTGCTTGTTTAAAAGTGTGTAGCACTTCCCCCTTCATTCTCTTTCTTCTGTGCTGGCCATGTGAAGATGTGTTTGCTTCCTCTTCACCTTTCGCCATGATTGTAAGTTTCCGGAGACCTCCCCAGCGATGCTTCCTGTACAGCCCACAGAACCATGAGCCAATTAAACCTATTTTCTTATTAGCCAGTCTCAGGTATGTCTTTCTTTCTTTTCTTTCTTTCTTTTTTTTTTTTTGAGACAGAGTTTTGCTCTTGTTGCTCAGGCTGGAGTGCAATGACGCCATCTTGGCTCACTGCAACCTCCGCCTCCCAGGTTCAAGCGATTCTCTTGCCTCAGCCTCCTGAGTAGCTGGCATTACAGGTGCCCACCACTGTGCCCAGCTAATTTTGTATTTTTAGTAGAGATGGGGTTTCACCATGTTTGCCAGGCTGGTCTCGAACTCCTGACCTCAGGTGATTCACCCACCTCGGCCTCCCAAAGTGTTGGGATTACAGGCATGAGCCACTGCACCCAGCCCTCAGGTATGTCTTTATAGCAGTGTGAGAATTGACTATTACAGGAGCTTTCAATCATGGCAGAAGGGAAGGGCAGCCAGCAAGTCACATGGTGTGAGCAGGAGCAAGAGAGAAAAGGCAGAGGTCCCAGACTCTTTGAAACAACCAGGTCTCTTATGACCTAATTGAGCGAGAACTCATTCATCATCAATAGGCTCATGAGGGATCTGCCCCCATGATCCAATACCTCCCACCAGGCCCCACCTCCAACATTGGGGATTACACTTCAACATGAGATTTAAATGGGACAAATATCCAAACTGTATCACCCTGCAATTCTGTTTCTGTCCTAGGATTCTCCATCTTAGTCATGGTCTTGACACCTCTATTCATGTACCTGATCTTGGGAGAGAAGTCAACTATGACAATGTCTCCCTCTCCATAACCCACTATTTCCAATCAATCATCAGTTTCTTTAAAATAACTCTTGGCTCTCATCATTTCTCTCCCTGTGTGTTTCACTGCCTTAATCTGGGCAACCATGATCTCTCACAGGAACCATTAATGTACCTTCCAACTATTCTCTCCACATCTGCTCATTCTCTGCTCTATTTTATCTCCCCACAAATAATGTTTTTCAGACCAAAAAATGTAAACTGTCTTTTAAAAAGAAATGCAATGCTAGCAAAATACACGTTGTTCTTCATTGTAATTTTTTTTACTTAGTAATGTATCATGAAGATCTTTTCACATAAGTATGCCTAGAATTGTCTCAAACTTTTAACAGCTGCCTATCTTTCACCTGTTTTTTATTTTTTCTTTGTTTGTTTGTTTGTTGTTGTTGTTGTTGTTGTTGTTTTTCCTGAGATGGAGTCTCGGTCTGTCGCCCAGGCTGGAGTGCAGTGGCGCAATCTTGGCTCACTGCAATCTCTGCCTCCCGGGTTCAAGCAAATCTCCTGCCTCAGCCTCCCGAGTAGCTGGGATTACAGGTGTGCACCACCACGCCCAGCTAATTTTTTGTATTTTAGTAGAGACGAGGTTTCACCATGTTGGCCAGGATGGTCTCGATCTCCTGACCTCGTGATCCGCCCACCTCAGCCTCCCAAAGTGCTGGGATTACAGGCCTGAGCCACCGCGCCCAGCCTCTTTCACATAATTTATTTAACCACTTCTCTATTGATGGCTGTTTTCAGTCTTTAACTACTACTATAAATCGTGCTTCAGTCCTAGAAAAGGTCCTAGAAAAGTCATCCTCCAATACCTGTGTGAGTATATCTATTGGATAAATATATAAAAGTAGAATTGCCAGGGTAAAGGCTTTGTACATTTAAAAATTTGATAAATGTTGCCAGATTGCCCTCCATAGACGTGATACCCACTTTCACTCCCACTGACAGTATAAGAAAGTGCCTGCTTCCCAGCCTGGCCAGCCAAGTATGTTATTAAACTTTTTTATTTTTGTCAACTTGACAGTAAAAAATAGATGTCACTGCAGTTGTGATGCACATGCCTTTTATTATTACATATTTTAAGATCCATTGTATTTCTTTGACTACAATCTGTTTGTCATACCCTTTACCCAATTTTCCAGAGTTTTAAAGGTTTTTTTTTTATGGATTTGTGGGAGTACTCTGATTTCTTCTTAAATAGTTTAATTTCCATGTTCTATCAGATATCCTACTATCTTTTCAAAGTAATGATTTAGTCAATTTTTTTATTCTAATAATAAGTAATCATCAAGGGCTAACTCCATTACAAGGGAGTGCATATGTAGAATGTGTGAATTGATTTGCAGAAGTCTTGAATTCCTGAAAATAATTTCACAAGACTGCCTTATGCCTATACCTATTCCATTTCGTTTCATTTTCCTAACAGCCTTGTGAGGCATATAGTATTGTTAACTACAAAGTGAGGCTCAGAGAATATAAACGTCCAGGATCACACAGCTGGTAACTCTTCCACTTCCAAAATCTTAAAATCCTAGTAATCATCACCACTAGCCATTCCAATTACACTAAGACTGATTCTTGATGTCTCTAATTTCTAATAAATGGTTGCTCTTCTCCTTTTCCTACTACAAACACCCAATGAATATATATATATATTCATTATATAGTCCCACCACCATGCCCTACTAATTTTTTGTCTTTTTAGTGGAGATGGGGTTTCACCATGTTAGTCAGGATGGTCTCGATCTCCTGACCTCGTGATCTGCCCGCCTCGGCATCCCAAAGTGCTGGGATTACAGGCGTGAGCCACCGTGCCCGGCCCTAATTAATATTTTTTAAGTGCCTGATATATGCCAGTAATCTTCACAAGGTTTGCATTTTAGAGGAGTTTTCAACCGTATGTGATAAAAACAAATAGAAATAAAGTTCCATTACTATGAAAAAAATATATCTAGGATGGTTGGAAACGTGGAGAGAGAAGGACACTTCAGGTGGCGTGGTCAGGGAGGGCTTCTTTGAGGAGGTGACATATAAGCAAAGATCAGAATGACCAAAAGAGTATTCCAGGAAAAGGAAGTATATAGGGTAAATCCTATAATACAAGAGCAAATTCAACAAGTTTGAGGAAGAGAAATAAGGCTGGTGTCACTGCGGTGGTGGAGAGTGGTGGGAGATGAGGTTGAAGAGGTGGTCGGGGATGCCGTACAGGGCTCCACGGGCCCTGCATGGAGGAGGAGTCTGGACTTTATCACAGGTGCCATCAGCAGACATGGAGGGATTCTAAGATGAGAAATCACATGATCTGATTTATGTCTTAAGACTTATGATTTATGAAACTCTAGCTGTGCTGTGGTGAATGAGGACAAGAGCAGAAGCAGGAAAACCATTTAGAAAGCTATTACAAGAGCACAGAAGAGGGATGATGGTTTGTATTAGGGTGGTAGCAGTGGAGACCGAAAGAGACATTTTGGAAATGTTTTGGAGGTAAAGTTGACCTGAATTCTGAGGATTGTGAAAACGGAGGAAAAGAGAAGAATCAAGAATATCTACATGCTTTTTGTGTTGAGCAATTGGTGGGTGGTAATGCCATTTAATTTGAAGCCTGAGAGAATGAAGAATTCTATTAGTGTAGTATTTCCTTCTTTCCTTGTGCAGCCTTAAGCTTGCAGACCATGGATTACACCACTCTCTTTTATTTTCCTTCCCTACTTGCCCTTTAGTCCTTCTTATATAAAAGAACTTCATCTATCTGCATCCTCTACTCTTATCCTGTCTTGAACTCACTGCAGTTTGGCTACTATCCCCATTTTACTAATAAACTCCTTCTTGCCGAACACAACAATGACCTCCTTACTAAATCCAAAAACTTCAGTCCTCTTTTTCTTTGCTTTGCTTTTTTTTTTTTTCTTGAGACAGAGTCTTGCTCTGTTGCCCAGGCTGGAGTGCAGTTGTGCAATTTCAGCTCATCACAACCTCTGCCTCCTGGGTTCAAGAGATTCTTGTGTCTCAGCTCCTGAGTAGCTGGGACTACAGGTGTGTGCCACTACACCCGGCTAATTTTAGTAGAGATGGGGTTTTGCCATATTGGCCAGGCTGGTCTCGAACTCCTAACCTCAGGTGATTCGCTCACCTCGGCCTTCCAAAGTGCTGGGATTACAGGTGTGAGCCACTGCAGCTGGCCACAATCCTCTTTTTCTTGACTTCTAGCTGGCATTTAATACTGCTGATGTTTCCTCCCCTGGCTCCTTTGAAACTACTTGTTCCTGGTCCTCCTACCTCTTGGGATATTTTTCCCCTGTATTTTTTCTTTCCTCACTTTTTAAATATCAGGGTTTTCATAGGGTTCCAAAGTAGATCCTCTTCTTTCCTTTCTCTATGCCTTCTCTTGGGGATTTCATCTACTTCCATGAACTATTCCTTATTCTGATGACTCCAGCATAGATCTCTCTCCTGAGTTCTAGACTTCCCTGTTCAATTATGTAGTAGACAGCTTCACTTTGATATTCTATGGACACTTCAACTCAACATGTTGAAAACTAAACTAATTACCTTCACTCCACAACCTGCTTTTCCTCCTGAGGTCCCTATCTTGGACCTCAGGATATATCTGCAGGATATAATGGGAGCAGATTTATGGCTTATGAAAATGGAAGGATAGCATTGATGGAGGATACCATCAATAATCAAATTCTGTTGGTTCTATGTCCTTAATATATCTTAAACCCTTTCAATGCTTCCTCTCTCCATGTCCATTCTTGCTACCTTAGTTTAGACATGCATCATTATTTCTTTCTTATAATGTGATATGGTTTGGCTCTGTGTCCCATCTCAAACTGTTAGCCCCACGTGCTGAGGGAGGGACCTGGTGGGAGGTGACTGGATCATGGGGGCAGTTCCCTCCATGCTGTTCTCACGATAGTGAGGGAGTTCTCATGAGATCTGACGGTTTTAAAAGTGTCAGTTTCCCCCGCAAGCTCTCTCTCTCCTGCTGCCTTGTGAAGGTGGCTGCTTCCCCTTCGCCTTCCACCATGATTGTAGGTTTCCCCAGGCCGGAGCACAGTGGCATGATCTCTGCTCATTGCAACCTCCGCTTCTGTGGTTCAAGTGATCCTCCTGAGGAGCTGGGACTACAGGTGTGTGCCACCAGGCCTGGCTAATTTTTTTTTTTTTTTTTTTTGTATTTTTGTAGAGACAGGGGTTTCACCATGTTGCCCAGGCTGGTCTCAAACTCTTGAGCTCAAGCAATCTGCCCACCTCAACCTCCCAAACTGCTGGGATTACAGTAGTGTGCCACTGCACCCAGCTGAGAGATCTTTCTAAAATGAACATTTGATCAGTTCACTATGCCCCTTAAAATTCATCAGTGGTTCTCCACTGGCCTTAGAATAAGTTCAAACTTTTTAGGATAACATACTCAACCATGCTAATCTTTCTGGATTTCTCCTCCAGGACTTCTGCCATGCATTTATACAATGTATTTATTTAGAACCTACTTGCCAGGCTCTGTTCTTCACCCTCAACTCCCTGCACACAGCTTTTTCCCTAAGGTCTTTACACATAGTACTTTCTTTGCTTGGAATATCTTTCCCTGTAACCTGCCCACTTGTCTGGCTTACTTCTACTTATCCTTCAGAACGCATCTCAAGATTCACCTTGTGTGGTTAGAGACCCTATGCGTGGTCAGGGTTAGGCACCATTCTTATGAGCTCCCCTGTTGATATCATCTCACTGTTGCGTGATCAACTGTATATTCATCTTTGTTCTCATGATACTATAATGTCCTTCAGAGCAGAAACTGTGTCTTATTCATCTTTGTATTCCCAGCACCCAGCACAGTACCTGACACACAGCAAGCACTCAATAATGAATAAAGTGGCAGAGTTGGGTTTCAAAGTCAGGTCTTTTCTCTCTGGCACAAATCTCACATTTCTTCATGCTACTTCTCAATACTGTGAATTTGAAAAATTCCAAGAGCTGAGCTAGGTCTATTTTTGCCTAGCACTAATTAAAACACAGGCAAATAGATTATTATTAGTTCCATGAGGATTCAGTTGATTATTTTTTTGTACACCCCTTCCTCCATCATTCCACCACTTTGATCATCAGAGTACTTAGGATTACCTATATCTAAAATGACTGAAAGGCTAGGCATGGTTGAGTGCACCTGTAGCCCCAGCTACTCAGGAAGCTGAGGTGGGAGGCTTGCTTGAGCCCAGGAGTTGGAGGCCAGCCTGGGTAACACAGTGACACGTTGTCATAATAAATAAGTGAGTAGACTGAAAGAACTTTCTCTATACTTTTATATCCTTTTGTAACTCTTATCCTGTTGCTTCCATAATACCACTGAGGCAGGGAGAGACTAAGTACATGGGGAGCAAGGTAAATTTTATTTTTCTGTCAACAGACACTAAAAATGGATACATCAATAGAAAGTCATTTCCCATCATTTCCCTCAAGGTTCCTATGGATAGATATTAAAGGTTCAGTGCTTAAATTTAACATTGCAAAATCCAGCTAAAATTGAAATTTTTATGTAGTGAGTTCAATCTCATCACAGAAGTTTGTAAATGGGAGGAACCTTAGAAATCCTTTAGTCCAGCACTTTCATTTAAGCTTCCACGAAGAAACTGACATAAGACCTACAATGGCTCACTCAAGGTCATCCAGGCTATCGATGCCATTATACATCTTTTTCAAAGGGCTTCATTTTCCATCTAAACAAATTATCTACATCAGAATCCACCTATTTACATAGGGCTTATCTTTCTGATATTGCCTTTGCAATATCCTTGTTATAAAGAGGAAGGAACTGAAAACAAACAAAACAAAACAAGGTTGTCTTGTCCAGGGACATAGAGGAATTGGTAAAAAAGACAATTAGTACACAAAGTGATGGGGTTTCCTATTTGTAGTGTAGCCTTGTAGTCACACTGTGTTCTCCGAATGCCACAATGCTAACCCAAAATTACTTGTCCTTCCTGGGCCTGGATTCCATTCAATTTTATGCCTTGTTTAGTCTAAATGATTTCCCCAGCTTCGACATGTATTTATTTATTTATTTATTTATTTATTTATGCGTTTCATTTTAGAAGTATACTTAAATCTACTCTTTACTCGAGTTTGTCTTAGTTCTAGTGCTGAGGAATGAAGATTCTGGGTAAAAGAAATCAAGATGATGTTTTTTTTTTCTAGGCTTTACATTTCAAGGATTGTTTCTCAAATGGCAACTGGCAGTCTACTCCTCAAATGATGACGTTTTCCACAGGAATTACAATTTAATTGGAATATTTTGTTTTCAATGGGAAGCAAAGATTTCTTTCCAAGAGGATCAGTTTGATAATGTTTTACCAGCTAGTGCTACGA
Source organism: Homo sapiens (assembly GCF_000001405.40). Lineage (NCBI taxonomy): Eukaryota > Metazoa > Chordata > Mammalia > Primates > Hominidae > Homo > Homo sapiens. Next base: position 131,111,481 of record NC_000007.14, on the reverse strand, counting down.
GACCAAATATAAACCAGTTCTGAGAAACAGGAAGTGAACTGACTGGTCTAGTCTGAGTGTCCCTGGCAGTGACGCAAATACAGAAATCAAATTAGGAAAACAAGATATGTGGGTGTGAGGCAATCGATAATAATCCAGGATGCTACAACATAAGCAAGAATGCCTTTAACCCGATGCCATTCATTTTAATAACACCCTGAGCAGTTTGATTTCCACGGAACACGCTGGTGATTAGAGAGCAGCAGGAGCTTGGGTTCCCTAGCAACAGCATGTGCTTTTGAGACAGTCATTAGCCTTTCAGTTAATCCCATCAACCCCTTACCTCTAAATGTATGACTGACATAAAAAAAATGATGTTTTAGAAAGTGCTTTGAAATTTCCAGGAGTGCAATGGAAGGGAATAATCATAATTAAAAAGTTGTCTGGAGAACTACACTCCAGTGAAGGAAGTAATGTTCCTACGTGCCAAGCCTGTCCGTATATTTCCCTGCTCTCAGTTGTAGGTTTCTGAATCCCCTGTGGCAAAGGGCAAGGGAGGTGAAATTGTTCAGAGTTTCAGGCAGTCTTCTCACCTAAAGTGAGTAGTATTGCAATGTCTCTTGGAATCATGGCTCTGAAGATGAGGAGAGAAGCGGGATGGGCAGTTTGTGTGGTGAGGAGGCTGGCTGCAGGTAGGCTGGGAGGGAATGTCACACATAGTTTTCTTTCTCCTTTAAGCCGAATGAGGTATGCTGGTCAAAGGAACTTGGGGAAGGAGGATGGTGAGGGGAATGAAGTTCTTCTTCCTATTGATTGTTTTGTTGCACCAGAGGCTGTTTGTCCAAGGCCACTGGCCAAGAGCATTATTTTCGTGGCTAAAGTGAGGTTGGGCAGGTTTCCCATCCCTTTCACTAGTTTTGAACAAGACAACCCAGAAAGCGCAGCAAGGCTCTGGGAATATGATGTGGGTTGGCTTTTCCTACTCAGCTGCACCTTAAAGCGCCAGGCCGATGGGCTGATACTTCTCAAACCCTGAATCATTGCCTCCAGCTCTGTCCTGGGTTCAGGATGCACCACTCCACCCTCTGTGTAGCTTGGGGTCAACTTCGGGGCGTCACTCCAATAGTAATTATTGCTGCGTTTGGCTGGACATCCTTATTACGGCCTGGGTCCCTCTCAGCTGGAAACTGGGCTCCTTCAGTTTGGCTGGGGTGACTTCTAGCACTTCCCGCCGCCCCACCTTACCCCCCTGCGCGCTCCCTTCCCAAGGCGACCACCTGCACCGCCCCACTTACCATCTGCCCCGCGGGGAGGGCCCCCCGGGCTAGCGGAGCCCTCCCTGCTCCCGGGCGGCTCTGGAGGAGCTCGGTGTTTGCCTCTAGCCCTTCGCTACCGGAGGATCAGGTTCCTCCCCTCCTCCCCCTCCAGCTCCGGCCGCCGCCGCCGCCGCCGCCGCCTCCTTCTTGCATGACACAGCAGAACCGCAGCTGCTGCAGCAATTTCAAGCCATCCGCCCAGGAAGCGCCGCAACCGGGACTCGGGAGGGGTGGAGGGGGCGAGGCAGAGGCCGCGGCCCCAGGGGATCCTTGGCCCCACTGTGCACCACACACTCCTTTCCCAGCCCAGGGGCACGCGAACAAAATGAGGCTCAAGCTGACCAGGCCGAGCCGGAGGAACGCTGGGGCTTGGCAGCAGAAGGGATGGGACCAGAGAGAAGGGTGTGGAGGAGACCCCAGTGAGGGCCAGGACATTTCAGGTAAAGAGAGGTAAGAAGAGGCCCAGAAGTCAAGGGCCAGACTGTGAAGGTGATTAGAGGTCAAAAGAGGTAAGGAGGTAGAGTTGCAAAGAAGAGAGGCCGAGCTGGGAAGGGCGTGGGGGTGGGGGTAGCTGCAGGGGAGGGTGGGGGGTACAGTCTTTGGGGAGGCCCGAGCTGAGCCCCCAGGCAGAAAAGGGGCTGAGTTGGGAGGCAAGGGAGGTAGGAGGAAAGGGATGAAAAGAATTAGGCATGAGATAGGAAGGTAAAACTTGGGAGAGATATTATAGAATTAGAAGGGTTGGAATGGAGCTCATTCATCATGGCTGATGAAGTAAACTGATGAGGTGGAGAGAGACAGAGTCAAGGCAAGGCCAAACGAAAAGATCTTCCATCCCACTCTTCAGTTTCTTGCGAAGTTTTTCTTGATTCCGCCAATCCACACAGTTTCCTTTATAAAATGGAAAAGCATGAACTAAAAAACCCAGAAATAGCTATCTGGCTTAGATTTACAGGATAAAATCTCCATGTCTGTAAAAACTTTAAGGCAGAAATTTGGGATTTATGGTACAAACCCTTTAAGGGACTGTGAGTCAGTAATACCCACAGCACTCAACATTGTGAGTTTCCACACATCCCTGGACTTGAGTGAGTCTTTCCAAGTGTTTGTTAATGGTACAAATGATGACAAAATTAGTGGTTCAAAAATATTAAAGTGCACATGCTTTTTGCTTTCTCTATGTATACAGAGATTACATATATGTATACTTTCTAGCGTCTAGCAAGTATGGTATGGCTAGGGATAATTATGTTTTTCTGATTATTTTGTTTCCCATCAAACACCCCACGAATTTTACAGCAGACCGCCTTCTTGTCACCATTTGAAAGAATGTGGTCAGAAAAGTAATGCAAAAACTGCCACTTTGGTTTTGTCTGTACCTTCCAGGTCATATCTCCGTACCTCACTTCCTGACACAAACAAGTTTTCACTGTTGTCAGCAACAAAGCCCTAATATAGCTGCGGAAGAGAAAAACTGCATTGCATTTTGCCTCCTGCAAGCATCATCAACAGTTACTGGAGGAACGTAATTCCAGAAAGCTTGAAAGCCGTGGTGATGGTAATTATGTATCAAATGCCTGGTTCTATTTCTGTTATTATTGTTTTGTCATTTCTGTTTTCCCAGCGATCTGACTGAACTCGCAGAGGGACAAATCCAGTTTTTCTTTTTGACTTTTGTCAAACTAAATCAGGCCTGATAGAAAACTCATTGCTCTCCGGGGAAACAAAGTAGGAGCCACGAAATGTCATTTTAACAGAGCGTGGGTTTGGTGACTGTAGGAAAGGATTTGAGGACGCTCCTTCTGTTCGGCTTCCTATGTCATGAGCACAGGCTCCACGCACGCACAGACACCACGGCTCCCGGATGCTGTGGCTCCCCGATCGGGGCTCCTGCAGCGCCAGAAGCCCCTCCGGGATGCTTCGAGGGGCTCCCGGTGGGTGGAGGTACGGACGCCGCTGCGGCCGCCGCCGCCAGTCCTGCTGCTGTTGTTGCTGCTGCAGTCACGTGGGAGCCCCTTTAAGTTTCCATAGAGAGGCCTCTCTGGTGTCACATGATGGACATGATATAATGAAACAACATTGTGGAGAGGAAAGCATTAGGGGAGCCCACGGCTACAAAAACAAGTGAGTGAGAAGAGGTGGGAGGAAGAGAAACTACGCCACCTCCCCTGCAGCCGAGTGCACGCAGCAGCCTGGCGTGACAAGTGGGCGACGCCGGGGGGCAGGGAGCCGGGGTCCTTGGCCCTGGCCGGGGACCCCACCGCCCACCGCGCGGAGGACAACTTTTAGCCGGCAGCCCAGACCAGCGCGGCACCTGTCTCCGGAGTCTCCACCGCTCCTCCCGATTCATCCCAGGGAAATTCTCAAGAATACGCTCTACAAATCTACGTGCGCATCATTTTCACCTCGCGTCGCGCCCGGGAGGAAGGAACGAGGCAAGGAGCTAAAGCAGCGTGCGTTCAGCCCTGGGGTAAGTTCGTCGGGTGGGGAAGCCGGTCCCGCAGGACTTTGGGATGGGAATTTTGCTCTCCTTTGCGATCTCAGGGCGTGAAGAAGGCGTCCCCTCCGCTGCCGGCGGAGCTGATCGGCTGGCTAGTCAATTTCCCCTTAGCACGCCCCGTGCGCCCACCCTCGCTCAGCCCGGGGCCCCCTCGCCGTCCCCCGGAAGGGGTCTGCGGTTCCTGGCCAGGACGTTCGGAAGGCGAGCGGGGGAAGGTAGGGCTGTCGCGGGAACCCGGCTTGTGAGAGCGATTTCGCCATGTTTGTGTTGCTAAGAGCACTTTTTCCCCTTTGCTGTGGCTTGATGCCACATGGCTCCTCCGGAGCTGCTGCCGGGCTGAGAGAGTGTTTTTTTTTTTTTTTCAATGTCCGCATTCCAGCTAATGTTGCGCAGATAAAATTCAAACTTGAGGTAAACAGAAGAAGAGGAGGAGGAGGAGGAGGAGGGGAGGGGGGAGGAAGGGGGGACTGTTTCCATTTCGAGATCCCACCTCTTCCCTCCGCGCAGCCCAACATCCCGAACCTAGAGACAACTCTTGCCTTTCTCCCACGTCCCCCACCTTTGCTGTCAACAAGAAATAAAGGCGGGGCGGGGGGGGGGGTTGGAGGTAGGGGGTGGCGTGCTTATTAATTAGAAAGGACGCGGTGTCTCGGTTCTCCACTGGAATCAGCAACTCCCTGGAACTCGGGCCTCTGGCCCCGTCCCTCTTTTCTCCGGCAGGGACGCAGGATGCCTTGGTGCACTCTAGAGACGGGGACCGGAGGGTGCAGCGCGCCTGGGTGGGGCGAAGGGCGCCGGTCTCCTCACGCCCTCTGACTTTAGGATACCAGACAGTGTCTCTTCAACCCCACCCCAGGCGCAGGTTTCCAGAAGGCGGGGTGGGTGGGGCCCCCGATTTCCAGAAGGCGAGTTACCTAGCAGGTGTGTGGGGTGGGCATTGCTATTCGGTAAGTCTGTTGCATGGGGTAGGATGACGTGGGGAGCTTAAAAGCTTTAAAGCCAGCGCAAAGGTAGAGCTGCGTCTGCTGTTTTTGTTTTTTTTTTTTTTTCCCTGTGTCTGTGGCAAATTAAGGAGAAAAATCAAGACGTTCCCTTCAGTCCTCCCTCGGTGTTAACGTCTGCTCCAGCTCGCAGCCCGCTGCTGGGTGAGTGGCGACATCAGGGCGAGGGTGAGCTTCGTCACGGGGAAAGCTGGAGGCTCCTGACAGCTCGTAGCCGTCCTCCCCTCGCCCCGCCCTAGGCGGAAGGTGTGGGTTGGGTGGTCCGAGGAGGGTGACGTCCAAGGTGGGGTGGGCACAGGCTCGGGATCCCTCGCAGCGCTAGGGGCCGCAGCCCCGGTCGCCGGGGAGTGCCATGGCAGGGAGGCGGCAGCCACGTGAGGGGTCTGCGGAAGCGCCGGAGCTGAAAGCTGGGGGCGAAGTGCGTAGCAGAGTCGTGACGGGGGTGACACGCAGCAGCCGGGGGCGGCGGGCCGCCGGAGCCGGGCGCCTCCCACGCAGGGCCGGCGTTCCCCGCCGCGGGTGGGTGCGCACTCGCCGGCCCTCTCCCGGGAGACCGTTTCCGGGAGCGGGCGCTGGCGGGGCGGGGCCGTGGCGGTAAACAGGGTGGTGCCCTCTGCCCTCCCGCCCCCGGCCTGCCGGGGCGCGCGGCCGGCGGTGCCCGGGGCGGTGGAGGCGCGGTCGCGGCGCCGGGCAGCGGGGGCGCGCCCGCTCTCTGCCGCCCCCGCGCGCGCCCGCCGCCGCCCGGCCGGCCTCCTCTGTTTTTGTTTTGATGGAGCCCGCGTGCAGCTGGCGCGTGTCGAGTCACGTGCCGTGGGCGGGAGGGGGCCGGGGCGCGGGAGGCGAGGGCGCGGTGACACGGGCCGGAGGGGCCTGCGCCCGCGGAGGGCGCGCGAGGGGGCGTGTGGCCCCCGATGGAGCCCTGCCGCGCGGGTGCCCCGGCGCTGGCTGAGGGGCTTGGCGCTTCTCGGCGAGCAGTGCTAGGTTTGTCGTCGCAGCGCTTCGGGGAGCCTAGTCCAGGAGAGAGGACCTGCCTGCGCTGCTCGGCTCAGAACTCGGACCTTACAGGTGGTGTGTACATCCCGGTGGACGGGTAGACACTTCTGTGTGCTCCTGAAGGCCGGCTGCGTGTAATAACCAACTGGAGTGCTTTAAGAAGGATTCTAACGCCAGCCCAATCCCAGACCAATTGGACCCACATCCACATAGGGCCTGGACAGTGTATTTTTAACCCCCTCTTCCCCATAAGTGATTTTGGTGCAGTGAGAATTTATAGAAGTAACCAGCTTGATGGAATAGCTACTTGTGAAATCACATCTATTTAGGGACAAAATAGTAAAAATAGCTAAAATAGCTAACACGTATTCATCTGTCACTCAGTGGGGTCTCTGTGTCAGATACTGCGGCTCCCCAAACATGGATCTACTCGTAGAAGTACTGTTACCCCTATTTTATAGTTGGAGGAGGAGTGGAAGCTCGGAGTTAATCAGGGAGGACTACTGTGACTAGGACCTAGGGAGGTCGAGTTCAAAACCCCTACTTTCAACAGTCACATATGCCTCGTGGAAAATGTACCTTTGCCTAAGGGCCCCATGTTTGTGTGAATAGTAGTAATGTTTGCCTGAGGGCCAGCTTGTTTATGTGGGTACATTTCTACTGTTAAGATTTTTGTCTGAAAAGCTTTGCTTGTATAGGGGAGGAAAATCGTGGTGATTCTTTAAGGCCTGTAGGCGACCTTTTCCAGAAGTTTATTGTGGATCAAGGAGAGAGGGGATCTCCGTAATTTGAAGTGAATAGGTTCTCTGGAAGTTTCTTGTTTTGTTTTTGAGACTTGAGCATTTCTATAATGTGAAGGGGAGAGTCCGGAAGAGGCAGATATTTTCCAAGTATTTACATGAGCAACCACAAGAGTACTTTAGGTTGCTGGATGCGATACAGTTGTGGTGTGGTCACAGCTGGATGTACCCAGAGGTGCGGTACAGTACAGAGTAGCAGAAGTTCTGCCATTAGCATTTTGGAGAAAAAAAAAAACAACTAGTCTGGAGTAGAGAAACTTTGCCGTTACATCTCTTTTCTCCCCTTAATTTGTTTGATTTGTCTCCTGGTCAGATAAACTGTTGGTGGGACGTTTAGATGTGGGAGTAGTCCATTTCATTAGTATTTTCTGTACAGAGATTCCAAAGAAAACTCATAGTAAACAGAGGTTTCTCCCTGAAAACAAATGATACTAGCTACAGTGTATTTGTGACCAGTATGTATTATTAAGAGGTACCGTGTCACAAAGAACTTTATATTCCTGTTGATTGCTGTCAAATATTGTTACCTCTATGGCAGGCATGGGTATATTATTTAGCATACTTTAGGGATTGGTTTTCATATTACTTGCAGTTTTGATGAGGAAGGCTTATAGACCTACTCAGGCAAACCTGACTGGAACGTGAGTATCTGTGGTCTGGTGTGGAAATAGCTCTCTAGCCCCATCTCCCTCCTCCCATTGTCCACCCCCATCCTCCTTACCACGAAACACATTTTTCACCAGCATTGCCAAACCACTTGGGATTCCTGCGCATGGCTTTGCTTAGTTTGCTCTTCTGCTTCTTGGATACCTCCTTCAGGAAATGTTCCCTGATTTCTCCTCAGAAACCATTTAAAAAATACCCTCCCTGCGTCATCTCTGCATTATATATATGCTTGTCTTATTGCATTATATCACAGCATATCTCATTGTATTTGTTACATATTGGGCACCTCAAAGGTGAGAATGGTGACTTGTTTATCTGCACATCACTGGCACACAGTAAGCACTTAAGTTTATTGCATTGGTCGCAATTACATTTACTTCCATTTAAGTTGCATTATCTGTGTCGGTGTTTTCCTGAATCACTCATCTTCATTCTGAACTGTCCTCACCTCCTTCTCTGCTGCTTGCTACCAGGCTAAAAACACAGCTGAAAGCACCCCAAGACAAAACTTACACAGAAAATACACAATAATAGTAACACATTATCAAAGAAATAGGAAGGGGCAAAATATCAGTTTTTCACTTGTTTGCGAATTTCATCCTTCACTGGCCGATTGGACGGTGTGAACTTTCTTGGTTACTAATATATGCTGGAGGAGATGCCCAAGGTTGTTTTTGTTTTTCGATTTACTTGGGAAGGAAGAACTAGTACTACATTACCAGTGGACATGCTTTGATGTGCCATAACAGAGCACAGGTGCTTCATCACATTTCATTGCTGTAATTTTCAGATTGAGTATTACAGAGGTATTTGTAGAGCAGCACTGTCCCATAGAGCTTTTGGAGAGGATGGAAATGATTTATAAATTTGTGTTATCCAGTGTGGTAGCCACTAGCCACTTGTGGCTATTGAGCACATTAAGTGTGACTGACGAACTGAATTTCTTTTCTTTTCTTTCTTTCTTTTTTTTTTTTTTTTGAGACGGTGTTGTTCTGTCACCAAGGCTGGAGTGCAGTGGTGCAATCTTGGCCCACTGCAACCTCTGCTTCCCAGGCTGAAGCGATCCTCCCACCTTAGCCCTCCCGAGTAGCTGGGATTACAGGGGCCTGCCACCATGCCTGGCTATTTTTGTGTTTTTAGTAGGGGTGGGATTTCGCCATGTTGCCCAGGCTGGTTTTGAACTCCTGGGCTCAAGCAATCTGCCCGCCTCGGCCTCCCAAAGTGCTGGGATTACAGGTGTGAGCCACTGCGCCTAGCCAGAATTGAATTTCTAATTGATAAATGTAAATAGCTGCTAATGGCTACTGTATTGGATGGCACAGTTACAGAAGATATGTCTGTAATTGACAGGTCATCATTTAGGCTAAGGTATTCTGCCTTTAAAAGTCTGCAGTCACAGAAGATATGTCCTGTAATTGACAGGTCATCATTTAGGCTAAGGTATTCTGCCTTTAAAAGTCTGCAGTCATCTTCTAGGGCTTAACACCATGCTTCCCGTTCATAGATTATAAGGTGCTTAGTGGGTGATATTTTTGGCCTATGTGGGGCCTTCATATTATGGAGCATTCGTGTGTTCTGTGGCTTTTCATGTAGTGCGTGTGGTCTTCCTTTTTCAGGAGCAGAGTAGAGTGATTATTAGTAATTATGATTATGAGTAATTATTTACAAATGGATGTGAGCCCTTGGTGTATACACTAAATGAAAGTCCTATGAGTTGAATCAGTACTTTTCTGAGATGCATTGTGAGGGGAAGGAACTGTGCTTGTCTTGCTGACCATTGATCTCCAAGGCCTAATATGCTACTTGACACCTATCAGTGCTCATAAATATGTTTTGAATGAATGAATGAATGTTCAACTAACTTAAGCCTTCCAGTTTAGCTTCAGAGGCTGTAACATGGAGCTGAGAAGAGAAGTAACGAGTAACTACACCAGTGGCTTTATAGTTCTTCCAAGGAACGCAGTCTCTCCAGGGGTACTATTGTTAGCTCTGTGACTCTGATTTCTTTCTGGTAAGATATGTAGCAGGAATTGTTACACTTATTTGATGACAGATTGAAAAATAAAGTCACAAGAAGATTTGGTGCTCAGGTCATACAGAGAGAGTTGGAAGTATACATCAAATGGAAGTAGTTGTTTCTATTGCATTGTGCAGTCATCCATGATAACTTCTTTTTTTTTTTTTTGAGTTGGAGTCTCGCTCTGTTGCCTAGGCTGGAGGGCAGTGGCACGATCTCAGCTCATTGCAGCCTCTGCCTCCCAGGTTCAAGAGATTCTCCTGCTTCAGCCTCCCTAGTAGCTGGGATTACAGGTGTGCGCCACCACGCCCGGCTAATTTTTGTATTTTTAGTAGAGATGGGATTTCACCACGTTGGTCAGGCTGGTCTCGAACTCCTGGCCTCAGGTGATCTCCCTACCTCGGCCTCCCGAAGTGCTGGGATTACAGGCGTGAGCCATGGCACCTGGCCCATGATAACTTCTTCAGAGGAAATAAAATAAAATAAAATCATGCGCTGAACTATGTTAGAAAGTTTGGGTTGTAAAATCCAAGTTTGTTTGGTAATTGTGTATGTTAATGGAGTCTGAAAAAAGGACTGAAGATATTACCTCTAGTGTGGCAGGACATTGACAAAACAACTTAACCATGAGAAACAGGAATGGAAACATTTCTTTCTTCAGCTTCCAAATCTCATGTATTCTGTGATTTTTTTTCTATGGTAATCCTAGCACCCAAGTTACAAGCTTGTCAAATGGGATATTTAAAATGTAAATAGAAAATGTTTAATTGTGTAGATAACCCCTACTAGGCTTTGAAAAAAAAAATATATATATAGTATCAGACACATCAAACATCTGTTTAGAATAAGAGCACTAAGACCAAAAATTGTAGATTTTATTTCATGTAGTAGATCCTATATTGGGGGTTGATGATGTAGCCGAATATTTGGTTTAGTACCTTTAAGAGGCGATAAACATACTCTGCTATCTATACTATGCATCAGACTTAACCTACTTTGTGCTGCTATGTGTGTTTGGATTTTAGGCCTGTCTTCATCCACAACAGCTTGTTCCTAGGATAAATGTTGTCTTCCTATCATTCTGCCACTACATGTTCCACAAATGAAAAGTAATTTTATCATAGAGTAAGTCAAACACAATTGGAAATACAAATCTGTTGTCTTAAAAAAAAGTCATAGAATACATTCCAAGATAAAATGGGAAGACTTCTCTTTTAAGCAATTCCTAGTCCTTTAGTCCTTACTTTTCAAATACCTTTGGTATGAACCTTTTGGGTGAGGCAAAAATATAAAAGCCCCCGAATCGAAAACAAAGTATCAACCACGTGTTCGTCAATTCCTGCTGTTGCCCTTGAAACCAAACCAAAACACGAGCATAACAAGACAAAACCCACCACTGCTAATAGCAACAAAAGTTAACCCAACCAACCACACAGAAAGAGCCTGTGAGATTTGAGTTGTCATTTTTGTAGCGAGGTCAATCATGTGAAGTCTTTTTTATTTAAAACATTTTTTATTTATCTTTTTCAAGACGGGGTCTGGAGTGCAGTGGCATAATCACAACTTACTGCAGCCTTAACCTCCTGGCCTCAAGCAATCTTCCCACCTCAGCCTCCCCAGGAGCTGGTACTACAGGCACATGCTACCGTGCCTGGCAAATTTGTGTTTTTTGTTTGTTTGTTTGTAGAGACAGTGTTTTGCTATGTTGCCCAGGGTTGACTTGAACTCCTAGGCTCCAGTGACCCACCCCCTCGGCCTCCCAAAGTGTTGGTTGACAGGCATGAGCCACTGCGCTTGGCCAAGTCTTCTTTTTTAGGTATTAAATGTAAATTACTCATGACAAAAATACTTGCCTGTATCTGAGTAGATAGTAATGATATTAGAATTAATGCTACAAAAGATCAGGATGTATTTTTGCCTAGAAGATCCTATGGGACTACTTGGATTCAGGTATATAGTTTAAGAATCATTTTGAAGGTCACCAACTTGTTCGAGTTTGAGGATGTTACTGGCTTCACTTCTTTCTCATCAGTGGAGTGGTTGGATTGAACTCTGGTTCTCAAACTTTGGTGTGTATCAGAATCACTGAAGAACACACATTATTGGGCTGCACCCCAGAGTTTCTGACTCAGAAGGTCTAGGGTGGGCCCACTAATGTATATTTCTTACAAGTTTCCAGGTAATGCTGACGTTGCTGGTCAGAGGGCCAAACTTTGAGAGCCGTTGGGATAGACAGTATCTTCTAAAGTTCTGTGATTTTTTTTTTTTTTGCCTGTTCCCCCCACCCCCATCACTTTTCAAGTTGAGCACTGATCACTGCTTGATTTCTAAAGGATTATGTCATTTAAAAATTGCTGTATGGCAGACTGAGTTGTAAAAGTTTAAAATGGATTAGATTAATTTTATTTTGAGAATTTCTTGAGAACTCCATATATTTTCCAAAAATAATGAGTCTGTTAAAACTCAGATTGGGTATTCCTACTTAGCTAAATTAGAAATCCCCAGTTAAAATATATTAAAGTATTTCCGATGTTACTAAATGACAAAACTATTTGCTACTCCTTAAACCTAAATGTTGTATTAAATCTAACCAAGTGCCTTTTATTTATTTAGAAATGGTCTCACTCTGTCACCCAGGCTGGAGTGCAGTGGCACAATCATAGCTCATTGCAGTCTCAACCTCCTGGGCTCAAGTGATCCTCCCTCCTCAACCTCCTGAGTAGCTGGGACTGCAGATGTGTGCCACCACGCCCAGCTAAATAAAAAAAAATGTTTTTCTAGAGATGGGATCTTGCCTTGTTGCACAGGCTGGTCTCGAACTGCTGGGTTCAAGCCATCCTCCCGCCCCAGCCTCCCAAAGTGCTGGGATTACAGGAATGAGCTACTGTGCCTGAACTATTTAGTTTTAGAAATGGAGTCTCGCTGGATTGCCTAGACTGCCCTTGAACTCCTGGGCTCAACTAATCCCCCCACCTCAGCCTTCTGAGTAGCTGGGACTACAGGTGCATGACATGGCATGTGGTCTTCTCTTAATATGCAGCTACAGAGTACAATGCAGCACATTATATAGTTGTGGACTCACTAGATAAAATGATTTTCATGAGACACAGTTTTTTCTAGACAAAACTCCACGGATTTGGGTCCATAATAGACTGTGACAGCGTTAACTTGGACATCCCCTAAAGATAACAGCCTCACGGAAGAATCATGGTTGCGGGAAGGAAATGTCCATCGGGGCATGGATGAGTACGTCAGGGCACAGTCATTCCTGATTTTGATGACCTTGGAGAACAGTGGTGGCTCTGTAGTTTCTAAATGAGGGGACTGTGGGGCTGGAATCTGGTAGGAAAGGGAGTGGGGTTACTAGGAGACTTGTCTTCAAGCAGCCCTTTCATAGCAAGCACACCGTTCTTAGGGTGTATGTTTATGGGAGAGGGAAGATCTTGGGGAGGCGTTGGTGGAGATTCCAAGGCATTCTAAGAGGACAGGTGGCGCTCTGGAAGCATTCCATGTTAAACCAGACTCCCAGGTGCTGAGAATCAGATGGACTCAAGTTGAGTCCAAGTGAGGTTTGACAGTATATTCTAATATGACTAAATGTATTGGAGAGAAAAGAAAAGTTAAGACTTTGAGGAAAATATATATAACTTTACCTGAAAGCAGAGAAATAAAATAGAAGAAATTGGTGAGCAGGGAATGGGAAGACAAAAATGGAATGTTGTAAGTTTTTAAATGTCCTGAAACTTTTAAAAGACATATTAACTATGTCAAGATGAGTCAATAGCACAGGGTTCTTTGTTAGAAAATAATAAATGAATAAGTTTTCCTTTTTGTTTCTGGTGAATACTTCGCAATATCGCCAGGTGCTATTATTTGACTCATGTCAAATGCCTTTCCAAAGTTATGCCCAGAATTCATGCAATGCTTACATTTTTAGATTGCTTTATGATCGTTACCTTGTTTAAATCAAGTTTCTGGAAGGCACACATGACCGTTATTACTAGGCGTGCTTTATGGATTAGGAAACAAATCATTTGTATAGCGCAGACCACGAAGCTGGGTTGAGACCATGAGACTTCTCTGCTTTTCACACTACCAGTTTTAGTTTTATCTTGAAATTGTATATTGTCTCACCGCTTTTATAAGAGGATTGAGCCTTAAAATCTTAAGAGTTGATTTGGCATACGCGTAATTGATTTGAGCTATGTTTCATGGACCCAGCTTTAGATTTTGATCACCTCTTTCTCTTTGAAAAGAGCTACGTGTGATTTGCTACCCAGATCTGTACTCATTTCTTGACTCAAATATGTATCTGTGACATAATCTTCGTAGTTAAATCTGTGAAACTTTCAAATCCTTCAGACTTGACAGTGTGAGGCTGGGGTTGGCAGTCTGCTTAACAAGATGCTGGGACCACCTCTGAATTAGTGAATCAGGGAGCTGCTGTGTGATCCCCTCCTCCAGGCTTTCTTGGAGTTTGTCTCTGCCACTTCCTCAAGCCCTTTAAAAAGGCTCCTGTGCTTTAGAGAGTTAGGATGTTAATGACCGTTCTTTTTTCTTGTACTTTATTAAGTACTAGTCTTACTAGACTAGTGCTTAAGTGGCAGTGTCTGCCTTTGCCTTCTCCCATCTCTTTATGCTCCTTTCTTCCAACTTCTCACGTTTCTGTTTCTCGCACGGCCAGGTGTCCAGCATCCCATGCTGACTTGCGGTTGGCCAATCCCCTCCTCGTAGATTTCCTCCACATTTTCCTCTTCCTCCTTTTCCTGTGGGAAGTTCTTTTTCTGGGCTGTGGCTGGTCTTACGTAGTTCGGTGGAAAAAGTATTGAGGTAGTGTTAGATACTGTGCTGCACCTCCAGGAGTGTCCAATCTTTTGGCTTCCCTGGGCCACACTGGAACAAGAAGAACTGTCTTGGGCCACACGTAAAATACACGGACACTAACGATAGCTGATGAGCTAAAAAAAAAAAAAATTGCAAAAAAAATCTCATAGCGTTTTAAGAAAGTTTGTGAATTTGTGTTGAGCCACATTCAAAGCTGTCCTGGACCACATCTTGGACAAGCTTGCTTACAGTATTTCTGCTGGATTTCTGGTTCCAACTAGCTATGGAACCCTGTGAGAGATTTGAGTCTCCGCTCATCTGAAATGAGAGGTTGGATGGAGAACGGTCTTTCCAGCCCTAAAATGCTGTGATTGAGATTATTCATACGGTGGTATGGTTGTAGACCCTCACAGGAAACTTCAGCATTTTGAAAGGTACCCAGTAATCAAGACTGGTCTCAGTGTAGGGGTGATGCCTTTGAGTCCCCAGGTAAAACGATCTTGGACTCCTTAAATTAGATTGCCTGCCTTGTGGCCCGCCCTCTTCTTCAGGAGTTAGGGATGGGTCAGGAGGGCACCCTTGTCTTTATTGTGATATCTACGTTAGAATACCCGAATATTGAACCTGGATTACACTTTGGAAAAATTGCTGACACAGGTGTGAAATATTCGGCTGCTTTTCATCTCCATGAAGGAGGCAGTGGCCTTCTAAAGTTGTTCTTTCGGTGATGGTATTTAAACCACTAGGAGAGTTTCTGGGAACCTGCTTCATGCCTCTGTTAATTCTTATACAACTCATAAAAAATGCCACTTCAGATCTTTCTCTTGCAAAATTGTGCATGGCCTGTGACCGTAAGTGCTAGTGTCCTATTTCTAGGGACATTTTTGTTAGTACTGAATCTTTTTGTTATGTTCACCAAGCTACTTATCTGTCCATTGTCAAGGCCACTGACAGTTGTTTTGCTGTCTGCTTTTGTATTGATGTGTCATGCATTCATTGCACATATTGTTTATTTTTTAAAATCTGTGTTTATCTTTTTTGTTTGTTTCCAGAGAGATTAGTTATTGCTATGCTAAGAACATTTATTTAATCCTTTGTCCTTAGTGTCATTCATATTCCTTTAGCTATTCCTATTTTTTAGCTTTTTAGAACTTTATAATACCTACTTTTTATGGGCTCACTTCCAAAATAATTTGTGGTGACTCTTCCATTTTTAGCGTGTATTGCCTGAAAATTCAGGTATTTAATAGCAAATGAAAGTTTTTTTTTTAAATGTTGTTTATTTTGGATTTTATCTTTGAAATCTGTAGTTTGTTTTATGCCTCTTAGTTAGCTTACAAAAAGTTACTCTGCTTACACGTCTCTTATTTTTATGGAAAAAGATATAACATCCCCCTTTGCTCCCCCTTTTAAAGGGTTCTAAATTGAGATTCTTTCTGCTACTAATTTAATTCTTCTGAAAAAGAAACATAGGGGTTTGTTCTTTGCCATATATCTTTGTTACTGCCTAACAAGCAGTTTGGAACAATGACTTTATAGACTTAATCAGTACCCTGTTTAGTCATTTCATATCATCTGCAGTATGTTTTTGAGATACATATTTTTTTAAAAAATAAAAGATCATTTGGGATTCTAAACAACAGAAATATCCAAACAACAGAATTGCTCTAAAGTTTTAAAAGTGATCATCTGTATGAGAAATCATGCCTTGCAATAACTGAAGAACATTTGCTCTTCTGTGGGAAACAGTGGCGGCACGTCCTCGGCTCATTCTTGGTCTGAGTGGTCCAGCCACTTACCCCAGAAAGCGGTCCTGCATTGTGGAGGGAAACCACAGTGGCTCCCGAGAATCCATTGGCAATGGATGCATTCTGACCACATTTATTGTTGTTTTTGGAGGGTAACAGTTGTTTTAAAGCACTGAACTGTAATTGCATAAATACTCATCTTACTTCCTAAAACGTGTTTGTTGATCATCGTGCTCTTTTGGAGTAAGAGCTGTAAGCTCTGGTAAGATTACTCCTCAGGAACATGTTGGGTCTTGGACATTGCAGGTCAGTCATCTAGGGCAGCAGTCTCCAATCTTTTTGGCACCAGGGACTGGTTTGTGGAAGATAATTTTTCCACGGATGGGTGGGGTGGGGGATGGTTTCAGGTTGATTCAAGCGCATTCCATTTATTGTGCACTTTATTTCTATTATTATTACATTGTCATATATAATGAAGTAATTATACAACTCACCATAATGTAGTATCAGTGGGAGCCCAGAGCTTGTTTTCCTGTAACTAGATGGTCCCATCTCGGAATGATGGGAGACAATGACAGGCCGTCAGGCATTAGACTCTCGTAAGGAACCCGCAGCCTAGATCCCTCGCATGTGCAGTTCACAGTAGGGTTGGTGCTCTTATGAGAATCCAACGCTGCTGGTGATCTGACAGGAGGCGGAGCTCAGGCGGTGATGCGAGTGATGGGGTGCGGCTGTAAATACAGATGAAGCTTTGCTTGCTAGTCCACTGCACACCTCCTGCTGCGTGGTCCAGTTCCTAACAGGCCACAGACCAGTACCCATCTGTAGCCCGGGACTTGGGGGCCCCTCATCTAGAGTATTCTGGACTGTGGACTCTGTGTTCCTTTTCATGCATTGGAATCTTCCTAGTCCTCAACAGGGAGCCTAGGAGCAGGCACAAGGAAACATGTCCCCTCTGGGTAAACTTTCTGTCCAAAATTAAACAAAACAAACAAAAAACCTGAATACGTCTGGAATCTGTCTGAGTGTTTTGTGGATGCAGGCCCACCCTGGCCCTGGCATATCAGCAAGCCAGTTGTGGGCCATTCTTTTCCTCCCTGTTTATTGTCGTTTTTTCCTGCGTTCTTTACTCACTCAGTTTCCTTCCTTTTTTGTCTTTTTTGGTTCTTTTCCGTTTCTTCTCTTTTTCCTTTTACCTTCTTCCATTCCTTATATGGATAGCCTAGGAAACATCCTACACTTACCATAGGCATTTTTTTTAGCCTGATTAATGGCAGTCCAGAACTAAAGACAAATTTTACTCTGATATTATGGTCTGTAAAATCGCATGCTGGTGCAAATTATTTATTTGTTTGTTTGTTTGTTTGTTTTTTGAGACAGAGTTTCACTCTTGTGGCCCAGGCTGGAATGCAGTAGGATGATCTTGGCTCACTGCAACCTCTGCCTCCTGGGTTCAAGCAGTTCTTCTGCCTCAGCCTCCCAAGTAGCTGGTATTACAGGCATACACCACCACACCCAGCTAGTTTTATATTTTTAGTAGAGACGGGGTTTCACCATGTTGGCCAGGCTGGTCTCGAACTCCTGACCTCAGGTGATCCACCCGCCTTGGCCTCCCAAAGTGCTGGCATTACAGGCATGAGCCACCGTGCTCGGCCTGGAGTTTCACTCTTGTTGCCCAGACTGGAATGCAGTGGGATAACCCTGGTTTACTGCAACCTCCACCTCCTGGGTTCAAGCAATTCTTCTGCCTCAGCCTCCCAAGTAGCTGGTATTACAGGCATGCACCACCACACCTGGCTAATTTTGTATTTTTAGTAGAGATGGGGTTTTACCATGTTGGCCAGGCTGGTCTCTTGAACTTCTAACCTCAGGTGATCCACCCACCTCAGCCTCCCATAGTGCTGGGATGACAGGTGTGAGCCACTGTGCCTGGCCCGGAGTTTCACTCTTGTTGCCCAGGCTGGAATGCAGTGGGATGATCTCGGTTCACTGCAGTCTCCACCTCCTGGGTTCAAGCAATTCTCCTGCCTCAGCCTCCCAAGTAGCTGGTATTACAGGCATGCACCACCACACCCGGCTAATTTTATATTTTTAGTAAAGACGGGGTTTCACCAAGTTGGCCAGGCTGGTCTCTCGAACTTCTAACCTCCCGGATGGTCCACCCACGTCGGCCTCCCAAATTGCTGGAATGACAGGCGTGAGCCACCACACCCAGCCAGTGCAAATTATTTCTGAAGAGTTTAATATGTTTATATAGCATATTTCAGGTTGAATGGAAAAGATATGTGAAATGTATCACTTCTCAAGCTGTTTTTGATATTTAAATGGGCATTCAAATAGGTTTCAGATTGATGTTTAAATTTTCAGATTTAAATAGGCATTCAAATAGGTTTCAGATAGGTGTTTAGACTTTCAGATTTAACTAGGCATTCAAATAGGTTTCAGATTGAAGTTTAAAGAACAGTTTGCCTAAATTTTGGTAATAAATAACCATATAGAATTTCAGGGTCCTTTCTACGTATGGAAATTTTTGGTAAACAAAGATATTGTTTGGGTTAAAGTAGTATTTTTAAATTTCTTAAATTATAACAGAGTTTGGTATGTAAAAAATGTGGTAGAGTCAAATTTGTGTTAAATAGCAACTGTGACCTATGCCACTCTGAAGGAGCACAGTATATTCTAGCTGTAAGGGCCTTGGGAGCACATTGAGTTCAATCTTCTCATTTTATAAATGAGACAATTTACTTAAACTTACACACCTGGTTCACAGCATAGCGGACCACAGTTAGGTCTTCCACCTCCCTGTCCACTGTGCTTTTTGGGCAGAAGATAAGGTTAGGAAATTTAGAAGTGAAGTGGACAGAATAGCATGAGAAGACCATTATATTTGAGTTCTCAAGCAAGCTTTGACTTTAACTTCTGAGTTACGAGATATTGGATTAGGTGTGTTTAACCTCTTTGGATCTTAATTTTCGGAGGGTTGTATTTTTAGGTCCTTCTGAATTCCAATCAGGTGAAAAAAAATGAAATAGGTTTCAATTCTTCTTATTGTAGGTTCTTGCAATTTCACTTTAAGTAGTACCCCTATTTTTTAGTAGCATTCCTGTTTTTTTCTTGTTAGTGAATCAACTTTTCAACACGTGTTGTTGTTAGACACAGGCTGTCTGAGTCAAGATGCTAGTTGCTTCTGTATTCAGATGTCTCTAGCATTGTCTTGATTAACTGAAGTTAAAACACTTTAAAAGGCAGTTCTTCCCTAGTTTCAAACTGCAGGAATAGTCCATGGACACGTTATTCAGAGGTACTCTTTTCAAGTGGTTTACACTTTCTTACAGTCTTCAAGAGTAATCTCATCATGTAAGTAAAATTTAAGAGAATTTTGCTGCTCCAACTTCTAGAGTTGCTTTATTTATGGTTGTGGAACAGGTTTTTCCATTCTTAGTAGGATAATCTGGCATTGTTTGTGTCAGAGAGAAGACAGTTGTAACAATGTGGAAGGATAGGAAAGGTGAGTTTAAAGTATTGAAGAAAAGCTGAAAGACTGGAGGTTTTTTTCAGAAGACTCTGCCAGTGAGCTTTGAGACCTTTCCCCCATTGCCTAGCAGTAGTTCCCATGCCCTTAATTGTTTTAAAAAAGCCCATTCTAGGCCGGGCGTGGTGGCTTACGCCTGTAATCCCAGCACTTTGGGAGGCTGAGGCAGGAAGATTGCTTGAGTCCAGGAGTTTGAGACTAGCCTGGGCGACATAGTGAGAGTTTGCCTTTACCCAGGTGTGGTGACCTGTGCCTGTGATCCCAGATACTCAGGGAGGTTGAGGCAGGAGGATCACTTGGGCTTGGGAGGCCAGGGCTACAGTGACCTGTGATCATGCCACTGCACTCTAGTCTGGGTGACAGAGTAAGACCCTGTCTCAAAACAAAACAACAAACCATTCTTTCAGTGAACACTTTTTTAATACCTATTATGTGCATAGCACGAGTTAGGTGCTGTGGGAATTACAAAAGAATTGTTCATATAGGGCTTTTTGCTGTAGGTGCTTCCTCTCTAGCTGGGTTCCCAGTACTTAGGCCATGAAATGGTGAGGTGAAGTAAATGAGTACGCGCATAGAGTGCTCTAGTTGAGAAGGGAGAAGGGACAAAGCAGTAGGGGAAGACTCTAGGGAGCCATGGAATCTGAGCAGTTTGAAGGACCAGTAGTTAAGAATAGCTAAAAAGAACTCATTTTAATTTTCTTTTGGGAGAATGCAAGGGAAGTGGTTGGGCTAGGTTAGGACATAGGCTTGGGAGTTGGGAAAGAACCACTGTAGGTTTTAAAGTGTAAACCAAACAGTGACAGAGGCAGATCTCAATCAGTTTAGAGGTTTATTTTGCCAAGGTTGAGGATGCACCCCCGAAAAAGAAACACAAGTCACAGGAGGACCTGTGTCTTGTGCTTTTTCTGAAGAGGATTTTGGGAACTTCAATATTTAAAGTGGAAAGAGAAAGCAGGAGGGGAAGAAAAAAAAGGGAGAGTGGGTAGGCAATGAGGCAAGTGGTTACATTCTTGGGAGGCTCTGATTAGTACTGCTCAGTGAATCTACATTTTTACATGTGAAAAGAAAGGAGTGGGGGAAAAAGTCAATTATGCATTCGTCTTGTGCTCAGTAAATCTACATTTTACGTAAGATAAAGTAAGCATGTGAAATTACAGCTGTTTGGGAACAAAAGTAAGGCAGTTTTTTCGTGATTCAGTTTCCAGGCTTAACTTTCCCTCTGGCATAGTGAGTTTGGGGTCCTGAGATTTTATTTTTCTTTCACAGTGGCAAATGAGGGAGACCCCTGGAAATAATACAGCCTTTTTGCCCTAGCTTTTTATAATATTTTGAAAATTTCACGCTTAAAAAAATAGTACTGTGAGCACCTGTATACCCTGCTTCTGTATTCACTAGTTAACATTTTGCTGTACTTGCTGGCTTGTTCCAAGTGTGTGTATATTTTGAACCATATGTGGTAAGTATGCATATTTGTATTATTTTGCCTCATCATTTGAATGTAAGTTGCAGACATCATGACATTTCACCTCTAAATACATGCTAAGGAGGACTGTTTTCTGTATATACCTGCAAAACAGTTGTCACACCCACAGAGTCTAGCACTGATGCAATAACCTGGCTTAATATATAAAAAATATTTAAACATGAAGGTGTGTTTATTGTCTTGGGACCACGAGTATTGAATAAATTGGTGTGGCGAGGCTAGAGCCACAGAAACTGGTTTACACATATTTGAAGAGTCATATGTAGCCATAAAATAGAAAGAGGAAGCTCATTGTATTCTGATCTGCTATACAATAAAATCCTGAGTAGAAACAAGGCATAGAAGAATGTAAAAAAAGAGAATTTATAAACATTTGCATATATATAGATATAATAACTCTGGAAGGATAGAAAAAGAACCATAATATTCCATGCCTTTGAGATAAGGCATCAGGTAGCTGGGGGACAGGTGGACTTTTCTCTGAATATTCCTTGTTACCTTTTATGTTCTATTTTGCATTTTGAACTATGTGAATATATTACTTATTCAGAAATAAATGGTAAAGAAGCACGCATAGGCTTTTGTTGTTACCATTATTAGCTCTGTAACGTGTAGGAGCATACTTCTCTTTACAGCCTAAAGAGATTTGGAGAATGAGACGTGAGGCACAGACAATGGAGAAAAAATTTTATTATTTCAGTTTTGAAGGGTGTTTTAGTCCATTAGAGCTGTTGTAACAAACTGTTGTAGACTGGTTGGGTTATAAACAACAGACATTTATTTCTCACAGCTCTGGAGGCTGGGAAATCCAAGATCAAGGTGCTGGCAGATTCAGTATTTGGTGAGAGTCAGCTTCCTGGTTCATAGATGGCGCCTTCTCCCTGGGTCCTCACGTGGTGGAGAGAAGAAGCAAGCTCTCTGGACCCTTATGAGGACACTAGTCTCATTCATGAGGTCTCTATCCTCATGACCTCATCTAACCCTAATTACCTCCCAAAGACCCTACCTCCTAATCCTATCATCAGGGAGTAGGGTTTCAGCATATGAATTCTGGGGAGACACAAGCCTTCAGTCCGTGACAAAGGGAAATTTGCTATTTGTGCCACTTAATGGACTGAGATACTCATGGTGTAAGAAGGTAGTTTTTCAGGAGCTGCTAGTGGGGAGAGTAGGGGGGGCTTGATGGGAATCTGATATCCAGGAAGTATGGGAATTTCACAAGGGAGAGCACAAAGGAAGGTGTAGTAGAAGTACAGAATGTACTTCTGTACATTATGTCCAAATCCCAGAAGTATGACTGGGATTTGGACTTTGCCTTGTTGATGTATTAATACTATTTTTTTTTTTTTTTTTTGAGACAGGGTCTTGCTCTGTTGCCCAGGCTGGAGTGCAGTGGCGCAATCTTGGCTCACTGCAGCCTCCGCCTTCCAGATTCAAGTGATTCTCGTGCCTCAGCCTCCAGAGTAGCTGGGATTACAGGCGTGCACCACCTCGCCCAGCTAATTTTTTTTATTTTTGTAATAGTAGAGACAGGGCTTTGCAAGGTTGGCCAGGCTGGTCTCAAACTCTTGACCTCAAATGTTATCTGCCTGCCTTGGCCTCCCAAAGTGCTGGGATTATAGGAGTGAGCCAACATGCTTGGCCTATTCATACTATTTTTGAGGACAAAAGATGGTGTGTTAAAAAAGCTGCTGAGAGAAAATGAACATTTAGAAATAATGTCTGCCTATTTGTTCAATTAAAAAATCATAATGTTTCTAATGCCTAATAATTATTTTTTAAAAGACAGGTTCTTAGATTTTACTGAAGATTATGTGAAGGTTAAAGTAAAGCCTTATTGAGTAAATGCTAGAAATCTGTTATTAGTAAGTTATGTCTATTTGATAGCAGTTTGATTATTTTGTGTGATAATTTTTATATAATTATATGATGAACTTCTGTGATAGCTACCCTTTAAAATTACTTTTTCTCAGTGTTTTGAGATGTTACATGAAAGGTTAAAATTAATTTTGGAGTTAACTCAGCCACAGTTTATTTTCTATTTTGTTAATGATTAACACGAAATTATCGATTGGTACTTAGAGCCTCTTCTCTTGAAGGCCAGTGTTTGTTAATTAGTGAGTGTTGAATTGCTCCCCGGGTTTAGTAGGCATCTTGTGGTTAATGGAGACAGATGGTCTTCCCTTGATAGATGCTTCTGGAAAGTTAACATTCCAGCAGTGACGGTTACATTCCTGTCAGGCAGGACTTCAGGAAGAGAGGAACTCCGCACCGTTTGATCAGGATTCCCAGGTGTGACTTTGCAGGTGAAGAAATTTGATTTTATCAATTCATTTAGGGTGGATGGAGATTGTGAGACTGAGTAAAGCTATCCAAGCCAAGCAAGCTTACATGAGATTCAATTCTCCAGTGTATTAGTTGGCAGTGGAAGATGTGCTGTAGCCAGCTGTAGACTTATTGAAAGGATAAAACTTGGATCAGAATTTTGTTGGTGAGCATAGAAATAAGATGGGAAAGAACTGGATATTTTCAAGTTGTCTGTCAAGCCATGTGGATTTGACAGAGAACTCTCTCCCTTCCGGGGCTATCCTGTCTAAAAAAATGGAGCCCAGGCTGGGTGCTTTGGTTCATGCCTGTAATCCCAGCACTTTGGGAGGCTGAGGCAGGAGGATTGTTTGAGCCCAAGAGTTCAAGACTAGCCTGGGCAACATGACGAGACCCTATCTTTACAAAATTAAAAAATTAGTCAGACATGGTGGTGAATGTCTGCAGTCCTAGCTACTTGGGAGGCTGAAGTGGGAGAATTGCTTGAACCCTGTAGGTTGAGGCTGCAGTGAGCTGTCATTGAGCCACTGCACTCCAGTCTGGGTGACAGAATGACCCCCTGTCTCAAAAAAAAACAAATATATATATATATATAGTTACACACCCACACATTTCTGAACAATGTTTGGTTTCACCTGTTTTTTATCTTTATGTAGCAGAATCATACTGGATGTATTGTTCTGTACCTCTCATTTCACTCAACGTTAGGATTTTGATATTTTAACAGTGTTGATACATGTAGCTCTAGGTGATTAATTTTCATTGCTGTTTAGCTTTCCGTTGTATGAATATGCCATAGTTTCATAGTATGAATATGCCAATTTCTCCATTCTGCTGTTGGCTGATGTTTGGGTTTCATGATTTTTGCATTGTGAACAGTGCTGTGAACACTTGTAAACTTGTTTCTTGGAGAATGTGTGCAGTCTCTACAGATTGTATTCTCTCTTTATTGTATTACATAAAGAGAAATAATTTCATATGTTCCTGTATTTACTCTAACAGCTGGTGTTAACATGAGAATATTAGTATGGAATTAAGGTCATTTATGAATGTTGTTAAGTGAATTCAGTTGATTCCAAGATCTGTCTTGAATAAAAGCAACATTTTTCATAAATGACTATTTTGCACTTAAAAAATATTGAAAAATACTAGAAGATAGTAACATCCCATAATATCACCACCCTCATTTGGTAATTATAAAATTAGGCTGTAAAAATTTTGTTTTACTGTCAGTCCTATTTGCCTCTGCCAAAACACACCCCAACCGCTTTACTTAGGAATAGTTTATCACCATTACCAATTATGCTTTTCACCTTTACTTTGTGTTTAGAAAAGTCATGTCTATACATTTGCATATATTATTAAAGATATATAGTATGTAAATATATTTTTTAGACAATAGCTTGTAAATGCAATTTAATTTTTTTTCCTCTTCTTGCTGAATTTTTTTTTTTTTTCAAAATCGGGATATTGGCCAGACGCGGTGGCTCACGCCTGAAATCCCAGCACTTTGAGAGGCTGAGGCAGGCGGATCACCTGAGGTTAGGAGCTCGAGACCAGCCTGGGCAACATGGCAAAACCCCGTCTCTACTAAAATACAAAAATTAGCTGGATATGTTGGCGTGCGCCTGTAATCCCAGCTACTTGAGAGGCTGAGACAGGAGAATCACTTGAACCCAGGAGGCAGAGGTTGCAGTGAACCGAGATTGCGCCACTTCACTCCAGCCTGGGCGACAGAGCAAGACTCTGTCTCAAAAAATAAATAAATAGGTCGGGCATGGTGGCTTATGCCTGTAATCCCAGCACTTTGGGAGGTCGAGGCGGGTGGATCACCTGAGGTCAGGAGTTCGTGACTAGCCTGGCCAACATGGTGAAACCCCGTCTTTACTAAAAATATAAAAATCAGCTGGGTGTGGTGGCACGCACCTGTAATCCCAGCTACTAGGGAGGCTGAGGCAGGAGAATTGCTTCAGCCTGGGAGGCAGAGGTTGCAGTGGGCCGAGATCGTGCCATTGCACTCCAGCCTGGGCAACAAGAGCAAAACTCGGTCTCAAAAAATAAATAAATAAATAAATAAATAAATAAATAAATAAATAAATAAAATTGGGATATTAACACTGATACCATAATATTATCTAACTGTAGACCTTATTCAGATTCTGTCAGTTATCCCCAAAATATCTTTATAGTAAGAAATTTCCAGATCATATGTTACATTTAGTTAACCTGGAACAGCTTCTCAGTCTTTCTATGTTTTGTGACCTTGACATTTTCGGAGAGAACTAGGCAATATTACATAGTGTCTTTCAACAGTGGTTTGTTGTTTCCTCATGCCGGTATTGAGGTTTTGTGCTTTCCGTAGAAATGCTACATTAGGGACACTGCGTTCTTCTCAGTGCATCATATTCAGAGGCACCTGATATCTATTTGTCTCACCATTGGTGATATTAACTTGGATCCCTTGGTTAAGGTCAGGTTTCTGTCAGATTTTCCGGTTTCTCTGGTTTTTCTCAGGAAAGTTACTCTCTCCCTTATTTCCAATAATAATTGTCTTATGGAATGATATTTTTAGATTTCGTTAATGTCCTGTTACTCCTCACACCTTTAACCCTAGGCTTTTAAAATCTATTGATGCTTGTGTGAATCATTTATTCTTTCCTAATGGTGATTTTTAAAAGTCCATCATTTCTTCTTCATTTATTTATAGTTGACTTTCTTCCCTCAAAAAGAGCTTTCTCTTCACTCTCATTTATTTCAGTGCATATTCATGGATTCTTATATTAGTCTTAATGTGTTATCATTATGTATTTTGATGCTTAAATTATCCCAGATTTGGCCAGTAGGAGTTTCTTCAAGCTGCCTCCTGTGTCTTTTGACACATCTCCATTGTTCTTTGAACATATTCTTTCTTGTGCATGTAGAATGTTTCTCATTGCGTACCTTCTCTGCCTCAGCCCTAGAATCAGCCGGTTCTCCAAGAAACTCTGTATGAGAGTGTCTGTTTCTCCATAGCCTAGCCAAGAGTGACTTTTTTTAAAAAAAATTTTTGCCAATTCGATAGTTGAGAAATAGCATCTCAATGTAATTTAAATTTGTATTTCTTCCACTGTGAGTGGAACTGAACATCTTTAATATATCTAAGAGATATATATGTGTGTGTGTGTCTGTGTATATGAGTATATGTGAATATATATGTGTGTGTATGTATTTTCCCATGTCCTTTACCCATTTTTCTGTTGTTTCTGTCTTTAAGAGTTCTTTATGTATTATGGTTATTACTCCTTTATCTGTGATATGATGCAAATATTTTCTCCCATTTTATCTATTGCCTTATGTTTACAATGGAGTATTTTTGGCCATACAGAAATTAAAAAAAAATTATGTAGTCAAATCGATCAATCTTTCAGTCTTCCCAATTTTGAGTTGTAGTTAGCAAACCCTTTCCTACATCAAGGTTAGAGAATTCACCTTTTTTCCCCCTTCTAGTGGTAGTATGGCTTCATTGCTTTATTTAGATCCCTGATTCGTTTGGAGTTTATTTTGGTTTATGGTATGAGGTTTTCCAAATGAGGTTTTCCAGTGGCTAGCCAATTATTTTAACATTGTATTAATCCATTTTCATGCTGCTATGAAGACATCCCCTTGACTGGGTAATTTATAAAGAAAAGTTGTTTAATTGACTCACAGTTCAGCATGGCTGGGGAGGCCTCAGGAAACTTAACAGTCATGGCAGAAGAGGAAGCAAACATGTCCTTTTTCCCATGACAGCATCATGGAGATGTGCCAAACAAATGGGAGAACAGCCCCTTATAAAACCATCAGATCTCATGAGAACTCACTATCACAAGAACAGTAAGAGGGTAACCACCTGCATGATTAAATTACCTCCTACTGGGTCCTTTTCATGACACGTGAGGATTATGGGAACTACAATTCAAGATGAGATTTGGGTGGGGACACAGCCAAACCATATCAAACATCATTTATTAAATAGTTTTTGCCTTGGTGATTTTAGATGCCACCTTAATAATATACAATACTAAAACTTCATCTGCACTTGGATCTGTTTTTGAACTTTCTGTATTATTCTGTTGGTTTGTCTGTCTATTCATGTGTCAGTAAGACACTTTTCATCATGGAGGCTTTAGACTGTGATTTAATGTCTGGAAGAACTCGGCCTTCCCTCTAGTGTGTTAGTGTTTTCCTGGCTGTTACTGCACATTTATTTTTCAATACAAGGCTCAGTATCAATTGTATGTCTCCATTAAAAAAACTTGGTTTATTTATGAGGATTACATTAAATTTCTAAATTTATGATGAACTGACATTTTTATGTTAACTTGTTCTATCTGAATATAAGAGATGTCTGTGGTTAAACTCTTCATTTGTGTCTTTTTAAGAATGCTTTAAAGTTTTCCTCAGATGTGTTTTATACATTTCTTTTAAAATTTATTCTTAAGCACTCAATTTTCTTTGTGCAACTTGCTTTGTTTCCATTTAATGTATCATATATAGCTGAACAGGTCAGTACATGTTGATCTATTTCATTTTAAAAAATGGATCCATGATAAGTTATCTCTGTGTATCTATTAGTATGGGGGAATGTGAGGGTAGCATAAGTCATAATTTCTATCTTAAATAACTAAAACATAGTTTTGGAAATCAGACATGTTTATTTATGTACATTAAAAACTATAAAAAATTCCTGTGTAGGTATTTAATTCACTTCCTTGAATTGAGCCTAGAAGAAAGTGTTGAATTTAGTTTAGTGGAGAGGACCAAAAAGGACATTCTGTGTGACAATGGCATGGGCTAAAGTAGAGGCAGAGTTTCACATGTCGTGTGAGGTCAGTGAAATAACTGGCTCAGATGGTGTTTCTGTACCCAAAGATAAAGTAAGAGCAGTTATTGGACAACCTCGAGTGCCCAAAGAAAGCATTTGGATTTGTCACACTGGCAGCAGAGGCCTTCTGAACTACTAATCTATTGCAGTGTAACAAATTATCCCCAAATTTATTGGCTTAAAACATCAATCAACATTTATTATCTCTAACAATTTTTGTACGTCAGAGATTTGGGATCACATTAACAGTGTTCAGGCTTGGGGTCTCTTGCAGTGAAGTCAAGATGTTAGTCAGGGCTGGGCATGGAGGCTCATGCCTCTAGTTCCAGCACTTTGGGAGGCTGAGGCAGGAGGATTGCTCGAGCCTAGGAGTTTGAGACCAGCTTGGGCAACATAGCGAGACCCCATCTCTATTAAAAAAATAAATAATAATTTTTAAATAGATGTTAGCCAGTCTTCAGTCATCTTAAGGCTTTACTGGGGCTGGAGGATCCTCTTCCAAGATGGTGTACTCAAATGGCTGGCAAGTTGGTGTTGGTTGTTGGTGGGAGGCCTCAATTCCTCCTCTATGTGGGACTCTTCACAGGGTTGAGTGTCCTTATGACATGGCAGCTGCACTCCCCAGATCGAGCGACGCAAGAAAACAAGACAGAAGCTTCAGTGCCCTTTTTGACCACGCCTTGGAAATCATCCCCCATCACTCTCGCCATGTTCTGTTCCTTAGACACAAGCCAGTAAATTCCGCCCACATTCAAGGGAAGGGGAGCTAGGTTTCACCTTTTAAAAAGAGGTGTGTCAGAGAATCTGGGAACAGATTTTACAACCACCACACTGTCCTAAAGAGGAGTGATGGTGTAATTTTGAAAAGGAAAAAAAGTCTGGGATCCAGACAAAGATTAATCTGGTAGTAATGTCAAAGATGAATGGAAGAAAGGGAGAAACAGAGGTGGATCGTAGTGCTGCGATCTAGCAGTCAAGTGATGGATTTAGTTGGGGGCAGTGAGAGGGCAGAGGTAGGACACATGGAAGGGAGGCAGCAGAATCCCTTCCCTGTGATGGTTGAGGTTTCAATGACTGAGTATGTAGAGAAAATCAGAGCAGTGACTTTGGGGAAAGCCATGGTTTGGGATATGATTAGGAAGGGGAGCTGGATCTGTTGCATTAGAGAGAAAGAAGAGCCAGTTGAGTTCCTGCAGGAGCAAAAAAAGCAGAGTGATCAAGAGCTTCAGATGTTGCAGAATTCGCAGAGAATGATGTTTGAAATGAATGCATTTGCTTGCAAGGTTATTATAGGTGACAGCAGTTTAAGTGGAGTAGAGCAATTTTGGAAATTGGATTATAACATTTAATTCGATGATTAACTTTTTACAAAGTGCTAGAGGTGGGAGGATGAGGGGCTGGTATACCATTCACCACTCATATTTTGAGATCTTACATCTTTCTGCCTCCTGATAGTACCCCCAAGCCTCCCTGGAATGGCACTTCCACTCAGCTCTTGGATTGAGGGCAATGGAGGAGGATTTTACCTCACTCATTTTCAGGGATTCTTTTAACTGCATTGGAAATCAACTTACTTTATTATTTTTTTACTTTACATATTGCTTTTAACTATCATGTGTGCTCTCCCCTAGCCCCACTCATTTCCCTCCCTTTCCCTTCTTCCTGGTCAGTAAGCATTTAAGATCATGATCCAGTACAAAGACCTATTCTTCTCCCTTACCTCCCAACTTCAAGCATGATTCTATTATTCATATGCTTTGTTAACTGAACTTGCAGGGATGCAATTGATATATAAGAAATATAATTAAAATTGCAACCAGCAAATGTAAATACTAAATTGAAAGATTCTTGGTTTTTTAATTTTAATTTTAATTTTTTGTAGAGATGGGGTCTTGCTGTGTTGCCCAGGCTGGTCTTGAATCCCTGGCCTCAAGTTACCCTCTCGCCTCAGCCTCCCAAAGATCTGGGATTACAGGCATGAGCCACCATGCCTGGCCTTATTTAGTATTATTTTATGTTCTGTATCTGTACATAGATTTAATCTGTTTTCAAATTAGTGAAATAATTATCAATAAGATGGAGCCAAAACATGAAAATAATTTTAAAATGTCTTTATGTGACATAACACAGATTTGTGTAAGGATTTGAGGTTAAGTGGACCAAAGAATTGTGTAGTAAAACACTGACAAACCCAGAAATTAAATGCGAGTTTTCTCTGTAACATGATGTGACGATGATTATATTATTATTATTATTCCTGATAGGGTTGTTTTCCTTTTAAGAAGAAATGTTGGGTCCATTTAAGACTTAAACTAAATTACAATAGCATTAATAACTATGGTTCCAAATTAAGAGTAGTCTTTATGCTGTGAAAAAAGAACTATTGTTGATAAGTTCGTTTTAGAACAAAAAGATATGATTGTTCTCAGTAACATCATCTTTGAATAAATAGGGCAGCCTCTGATGATGTAGCCTCGTTTTGCAGTGTGCGTGGGAGGTGAGCACAGAAGAGACAAAAGGGCCAGGGGATGGTGAGAAGGAATAGCAGAAGGGAGGGACACCTGGGTGCCTTCACCGTGGATGGCACAGATCGTAAGTGACTGGAGGGGGCAGAGGCTCTGACTGTGTCAGTACTGCCATTAGGTATTCATTACATAGACATTAAGCTTTTTCTGTGTGTCTGTGGGTGTGAGAGAGGGAGACAGAAAAGAAAGGGAGTGATAATGTATATGTCTCCAGAGATCACTGTGTTGTTTACTTTTACTGTTAAAGATCTAGGGCCAGGTGCGGTGACTTACACCTGTAATCCCAGCACTTTGGGAGGCTGAGAGCAGGTGGATTGCTTGAGCCCAGGAGTTCGAGACCAGCCTGGGCAACATGGCGAAATGCTGTCTCTACAAAAAATACAAAAATTAGCTGGGTGTGGACCCAGCTACTCAGGAGGCTGAGGTGGGAAGATCGCTTGGGCCCGGGGGGTCGAGGCTGCAGTGAGCTATGATTTTGCCACTGCACTACAGTCTAGGTGACAGAGACCCTGTATCAATTAAAAAAAAAAAAAGATCTGGATATATTTGGAGATTCTGTCATGGTTCTTACTCTTGTACTTGAGCAGTTGACAAAAAGTTAATCTGGTTAATTGATACATTTTCCATTTCCTGTTTCCCACTCGTCCTATTCCCTCCTCTTTCTCTCTATGTTCTCTGAGTCTCACTTCAAACCTTGTGGGTCCTAGAAGCTTCCACCGAGTGTCTCTTCCATTTCCAGGGCCCCACACTTGCCGGGCACATTGTCCTACTGTGTGCTCCATCTCCAGAATGTCCTGGGAATCACTCTGTGTGTAGGTTTCTACAACCTGTGTTATTCGTGTCTGTTTGTGTGTTTGTTTTCGCTTCTCTGAGGGAGGAGCCAAGTCTCATCCGTGTAGCTCCACGTGTAATAAATGTGAGTCGAGTGAACGAATGAAAGATTTCCCCAAGCCTTGTAGTGGACGTGCTTGGACCATGGTGGTCCATCAGTGTGGCAGTGGAGTCCCTGAGCATTGAGGATTGGGAGACGTGTGACTAGAGAGGTAGACCACACAAGCCATGAAGCATCTAGGGGTGACTGCAAACTGAGTGAGGCAGGTCTTCTGGTCCTGTGCTGCTCCACACAGAAGGTTTCAGGGATGACTTGGAAGCAAGAAACAGGTAAATGCAGTGCTGCGTGCTAAGCGTTGCAACCTCCTGCACAAACTGCTCTGGGCGCTTCAATTAATTTGGACTGTGGGGGTTGGTCTGGGAAGACTGGCGTTTTGAGTTGAGTCTTCAAGAGCGTGCAGTTGCCCACCAAATGGAGAAGAACAAGGAGCATGTTTCAGAAGCAGCATGTACCACGCTGTAGAGGTGGGAATTGTCATTTTCTTGAGAAGTTGTAATGGAGCTTAAGGTTCAGGGGCGTTGGGAAGTGGGAAAGCAGCAGGAAATGAGATTGGAGAGGGCCATGTGTGTAATGCTGAATGACTGGCCTTTGCCCCATTGGCTGTAGGGAACCACTGGAAGTTTTAAAATCAGGGGAATGGCGGAGATTCACATTTTAGAAAAATGCCTGGCAGCAGTGTGGAAGATGGACTGGAAGGGGAAGACTAAAGAGAATGGACGAGTTAGGAGACTGCTGCAAAGTCCAGGTGAGCACGGGGAAGGGCCTGGATTAGGCCTTGACAGCGGCGATGTGGCAGAGAAGACTAAGTTGCATGTGATTTTGGGAGGCGGAATTTGCGTGACATACCAGAGCTGCAGATAACAGTTGTGGGAGGGATGGAAGAATAGAGAAGGAAGCTTTTTTTAACCTATAGCCATTGAATGGGAGAGTAGAAAGGAAACATTGAGTTTGGTTCTGGACATTTTAGAATGGGGCACCCAAATGGAGAGAACCAGCAGACGGAAACATATTCACATGTGTGTGAATGGGTGAGATTATATAAGGAGAGCTTGCTGAGCAAAACGAGAGAGGGTCATGCAGAGGACTCTGGGACACTCCAACATTTAAAGGGCACACTCGGGAAAAGAGCCATTTAAGAACAGTTTCAAAAGGAGAGATAGCCACAAGAGGTCAAGCTGAGATGAGCAGGAATACGAAGCCATTGGAACAGAGTGAGACCCTGTCTCAAACAAACAAAAACAACAACAAAACTTTTTCAAAAGAATTTGTTGTAAGATTTTTAAAAATACCAAGCACTTTTCAGTATGTGTGTGTGTAGCGGGGGTAAATATATACATAACATAAACTTTACCATTTAATCATTCTTGAGTGGTTTTTTTGGCATTAAGTACATTCACATTGTTGTGCAACCATTACCACCATACATCTCCAGAACCTTTTCACTTTCCATGATTGAAACTCTGGCTGGGCGTGGTGGCTCACGCCTGTAATCCCAGCACTTTGGGAGGCCAAGGCAGGCAGATCACGAGGTCAGGAGTTCAAGACCACCCTGACCAACATGGTGAAACCCTGTCTCTACTAAAAATATAAAAATTAGCAGGGCGTGGTGGTGCGCACCTGTAATCCCAGCTACTCAGGAGGCTGAGGCAGGAGAATCGCTTGAACCCAGGAGGTGGAGGTTGCAGTGAGCCAAGATCACGCCACCACATTCCAGTCTGGACGAGAGTGAGACTCCATCTCAAAAAAAAAAAAAAAAAATTCTGTACCCATTAAACAACTCCCCATTTCCCTCTCCTCCATCTGCTGACAACCACCATCCTACTTTCTGACTACTCTGGGAACCTCATACAAGAGGAATCATACAATATTTGTCCTTTCGTGACTGGCCTGTTTCAGCGCAACGTATTCAAAGTTCATCCATGTTGTAACCTGTCAGGATTTCCTTCAGCATCTTAAAAATATAATTTGAATATAGTTTTTTTTTTTTTTTCAAGAAACCAACTATTTACAACCATTACAAAGTCCTACGATCTGCCACATCAGTTTTACACAGGGAAGGGAATTAGAAGAAGGGAATTCACGTCAATCACAGACATCCTGTCGAGCATGTGTCAGGTGCCACATTGGTTCTAAGTGCTTCATCTAACTCATTGAATCTCCGTAACAATTCTGTGCAGTGACATTATTTTTCTCATTTTACAGCTGAATAAACTGATTTTCAGAGAGTTTATGTAGCTTGTGCAAGACCACACAGCTGGCAAATAACTGAGCCAGGATTCAAATCCTGATCTTCCCAATACCCAAGGCCATGCTCTTTTTAGGACCCTTCAGTTCTCCCTTTAGTCCTTTCTCTAATTATGTCACTCTGAAGGAGTCAAATCTCTTTGCTTTGAATTTAATGAAGTTGTGCTTTAAGGTTTTCCTGGTGTTCAGCAAATATACAAGGCTCCTCATGACATTAAACTGCTCTTATATTGTATTTAACCTTTTAAGAACAGAATCAAGCATTTGCCAAAAGTAGAGAATTAATTGTGTAACTAATTAATTCAGTTCACATAGTTATTTGTTTAATGTTGTTTGATGTGTCTGTCCAACTTAATATTTATCTGGGGTCGTTGACAGAACTACGTTGATTTGTAGGATAGGTTTCTGAAGGAAAATACTTTTTTTAAACTAAACAGTTTCTATTCTAATCACAAATAGGAAAGGAAGAAACTTTTTAAAATGAAAAATATATAACCACTCATTTTTGAGGATCTCACAAAAACAAAGTATTATGCAAGTAATCTGAAGCCAAAAGCCACAGGCTGAGATTTGCCATGCTGAAGGTTTTTTTTTTTTTTTTTTTAATCTACAAATGTTTCTTTGAATTCTTGAATGCTCTATCCTGTGCCAGTGAAAGATGTTTTTCTTTAAAGATCTTAGCAGTGACTGACATATCACTGTTTGAGCAGATGATCCTGAGAAAGTAACCAAAGCCATTTACAGAACAGGCGTTTCTGTAACTTGGGCCCTTTACGGAAGTAAGCCAGTGGGCTTGCGTGTTGTTTGAAGACTGGGCTTATCTTTGTTCAGTGTTTTGCTTTGAGAGCACGACTGACTTTGAGTTTCATCTGCACTCTGTGACCAATTGTGAGACAGACCCAAAGTCTGAAGTTTGTGTTGACTTTAGAAAGTCATTCTCTGAAGCCTTTTTTTGGAATGAGTTTAAAGAAGGAAGAGTACCAAAAGCCAGGTCCAGTCTTGTAGTGGATGTTTTGGAAAGAAAGGATCATGGTTCTCTGGGACCATCAGAGTGGATCAGATTACATTCTAATGTAATGATGAAAACAAAGAACAATAAATCAGAGGGACTCTAAAACATCCTAAAATCTTCCCTCAGGCAAATAATACCAAATCTTCGAGGGTGGATAATTGTTTTCTCTCCATTTTCTTTTTTCTTTTTCCTTGCAGATTGACAGAATTAAAAATTTGACAAGCCCCATCAGTGGTTCATTTAAGTGTTTTGGTATACAGGTGATTAGAAACTATAAAATCTCTTCTGCTTTATTTTAAAGCTATTGTCTTGCTCAGACTGCGTAATTTAAAGGCAACTGTGTTAATGTCTGTGGTGAAAAATTTCTGATCCTAAAAGTCATGGACAAAAAGGGGGCATTTGCCTACCTAGTGTCAAGGAGCTTAAACTGTAATCAGAAGTCCATGCATTATTGTTTTATTCAAATGTAAAGGGAAGATGAATGCTCAAGATACCGCAAAGGATCTTCTTAAAATATGCAATTTGTGTGACTCTTGCTGAGTCAGATGAGTGGGTGATGCTGGGCAGAGCTGTAGAAGAAAACTGACTTTCAGCAAGGAATAAGAATCCATGCTAAACAGTACAGAAGTGAGGCTGAGAATATGCTCAAGGAGAGTGCGGTGGTTGGAATGTTTGTCCCTTCCAAAACTCACGTTCACATTTAATCCCCAGTGTGGCAGTATTGAGAGGTAGAATCTTTAAGAGGTGATTGGGTCATGAGGGCTTTGCCCTCATGAATTGATTAATCCACTCATGGATTAATGGATTAACGGGTTAGTGGATTAATGGGTTGTCATGGGAGTGGGGCTTGTGGCTCTGTAAGAAGAGAAAGAGAGAGCAACACTCAGCCCCCTCGCCATGTGATGCCCTGCACTGCCTCGGAGTTTGCAGAGACTCACGACCAGCAAGAAGGCTCTCACCAGATACCGTCTCTCAACCTTGGACTTCCCAGTATCCAGAACTGTAAGAAATAAATTTCATTTCTTTATAAGTTATCCAGTTTCAGGTATTCTATAAGCAACAGAAAATGGACTAAAACAGAGAGGGAAGCCTCTGGAAGGGGGAAGCCTGAGTGGTTAAGTGGTGAGTCCAGCAGCTGAGGAGAAAACTTTTGACCTGAAAGGACTAGATCTGGGACCCAGATGGAAAACGACTTCCTCTTTTTACCTTGGGGTTTGAGAGAGTGCTCAGCCTGGGTCTAGGAGTGGAGGTAGACCAGCCTAACAGAAAGGACTGAGTCCAAGGAATTGCTAGCCAGAGGGAAAATAAAATAAAATCATGGAAGGCTTGGGAGATGCCTTTTGATACTTTAAACCAAGCTTGTCCAACCTGTGGCCTGCAGGCCACATGTGGCCCTGGACAGCTTTGAATGCGGCCCAACACAAATTAGTAAACTGTCTTAAAACATTATGAGATTTTTTTTTTGTATGATTTTTTGTTGTTGTTGTTAGCTAATCGCTATCATTAGTGTTAGTATATTTTATGTATGGCCCAAGACAATTTTTCTTCCAGTATGGTCCCGGGAAGCCAGAAGATTGGATACCCCTGCTTTAAACCTACCATGATAATTGGATACTGTGAGATTTTTATGTGTAAAATGTAGTCCAGATGGATAGCATTTGAATTCCCAGGATACATAGCAGTAATTTTTTTGTTTTTCATAGCAGTAAATTTTTTGGTGTTTTTGAACAAACTCGAAGTCTATTATTCACTGCGGAGTACCAAGTAGGATTCTCTCATTAGCAGATAAGAGAAAGCAAAATATTGTGTCTTTACAGGAGAAAACTATGTATTCAATTAAGATAGGGTGACAAAACCCAAGTGTGAAACCTACTAGTGGGGACTGGCAGAAAGATACCCTATTTAAACAGTGTTCTGTCCTTACGTAACGTTATTCTCTAATTGGCATCTCTTAGAAAATGGCTGGATTTGGCCCACTTAGTTAAGTAGGTCCAGGAGGGGCAGAGACTTGGAGTTTATTCATTTTGGGAGGAAGCCCAGAATAGTCAATAGAACTAAAGGTATGACGATAGTGTTAGGTGCATGTCCTGTAATGTAGTTGGAATCCTAAAAACTGGGATAAGTTTGAGGTGTAGGGGTTACCCGATTACAATTTATCCCTGGTTTTTGTCTTCATTGTCTGCATTGCTGTTAGGTTTTCTGAAGCCTTGTCTTCTCTAGTTTAAATTGGAGCAGGAATTATTCTTTGATAAAAGGCAGTAGTACCTCAGCTAACTTTCTCACTCAGAATATATTTAGTCAACAGATAACTGTTGACACATACTAAATACAAGTTCATTACATACTTTTGGAGGATATAAAGATAAATCAGGCAGAGTTTATTCTTTTCTCATGTAATGGGGGTGGAGGCGATGGACCATCATTTAATGGTTGAGAACTGGGGTTCTGCAGTCAGACCCAAGCTGGTTCAGACCCTGGTGTTGCAATGTACCAGATGTATAGCCTTGGAAAAAGCTACTCAATCTCTACTAAACCTTCCAAGGCTATATATCTAGTGCATGTCAACACCAGGATATGTATAATAGTACCTATGTCATAAGGATGGCTGGAGGCCTATGAGATAATGGTTGTAAAGGGTTTAGAAGACTCCCCAGAGCATAGTGAGCCCTCTCTGAACACTGACAACACACACAAATGAACAGAGGTGCTTTATGGACCCAGGGGGTTCTGGCTTTGCTGATGTCCAGTGTTAGAGGTATGGCTTGGGGAGTTACCTATATTGGAAGCAATCACTCAGACTGTATGTCACTGGATGACTTGCCAGAGGCAAACAAGAAACAACATGGCAGACACAGAACCTTATTTTTTTATCCACAAAAGTGGACTGTATTTTTCTGTTTGCTTTGATGTTTTGTTTGTATTACTTTGTTTTTTGTTTTTGTTTTTGAGACTGAGTCTCGCTCTGTCGCACAGGCTGGAGTGCAGTGGTGTGATCTTGGCTCGTTGCAACCTCCACTTCCCGGGTTCAAGCGATTCTCCTGCCTCAGTCCCCCTAGTAGCTGGGATTACACACACTGCCACCGTGCCCGGCTAATTTTTGGAGATGGGGTTTCACCACATTGGCTAGGATGGTCTCGAATTGTTGACCTCAAGTGATCCGCCCGCCTCAGCCTCCCAAAGTGCTGGGACGCCTGGCCTGTTTGTATTACTTTGTGGTAACTCTGCCATTAGGGGAGTTGAATCAGACTCATCTGATATGAAGATGACTTAATCATTAATTATTTTAGTACACAATTATTGAGTCTGTTTTTGCACCCATTATGGGTTCCAGCACTAGATCTAGTTTATTAGCACTGAAAGTAAATTAAAGACTAAGCCATATTGGTGGTTGGCTCACAGACTTAGGAGTTTGGCTGGCTGTTAAGGATCGGAGTCTGTAATATTAGAAAGTTTTCAGGCAAAATGAAAGAAACAACCAGATAATAATTTGGTAAATAATAAAGGAGTGGTGAAGTTGGATTTCCTTAGCTGACTCTTTTGCTCAGACATTGTGGTCTCAACTTACTTATCTCTAAATATTTAAATAGATTACTGACTGGCCTGGGATGTGGTTTGTTCTTTAAAAAAAAATGTTATGTAATATTTGACCCATACAAAAGGTTATATAATTCTGTACAATTAATAGGACGTTATTAACACACTGAAGCTACCGTGTGAGGAGGTGCCTCACTCATGTACTGCATTATTATAGCTTGCTAAACATACCTTGGTTAATAAGGAACTATTTCTTGAATGTCACTTCCTTGTCTCCTGCCACGCATCTGGTGGTGGGCCCGGAGCCCTTGTTGACCAATAGGCTCAATATTTGTGAGGGAGACCTGGACAGCAGAGTAGAGGTGTGTTAGGACACGCTGGGCCCTGCCAGCATTTGTGTCTGTCACCTCTAACCACGAAGAGGATAATGACTTGAGAGAGCAGTGCCTGCTGCTGCAGCTCCTCCTTCCCAATCTCAAGTGAATACCTCTTGAATTCCTCTAGCTGTAGCCTAGAATCATGTATAGAAAAGGATTCTGGGAAATGTAGTTCCCCTTAACCAAATGCTAACAGTACAAACTGCAGTTGTGCAGTTAAGTATGTGTTTGTACTTATTTGTTATACTGGAAACAGGAGAGATATTTGTAATTATTTCTGCTTAAAAGATATCAGAATAGTTATTTACTATTCAGGTATCAGATTTGTTTAAAAATGACATTTAACTTGATTATATCATTATTTTCTTTTCCATTAAACCCTAACAATTTTTAAAGCCATGAAATAACTTAAAAAACAGAAGTAATTTAATCTTACCCTCTCCTTTGGAAAGAAAATATTCCTTTTTTAAAGTGAAAGCAAGTTTCAAAAAAAGAAAAGGAATAAAGAACGGCTACTCCATAGGCAGAGCAGCGGCCTGGTCTGCTTGACTGAGTATCCTTGCAGTTATTTCTGGATTATATGCTAAACAAGGGGTGGATTATTCATGAGTTTTCCAGGAAAGGGGTGGAGATTTCCCGGAACTGAGAGTTCCTCCCCTTTTTAGACCATATAGGGTAACTTCCGGACATTGCCTTGGGATTTGTAAACTGTCATGGCGCTGGCAGGAGCGCCTTTTAGCATGCTAATATATTATAATTAGTGTATAATGAGCAGCGGGGACGACCAGAGGTCTCTTTCATTGCCATCTTGGTTTTGGTGAGTTTTGGCCGGCTTCTTTATGGCATCCTGTGTTATCAGCAGGGTCTTTGTGACCTGTATCCTGTGCCGACCTCCTATCTCATCCTGTGACTAAGAAAATATTCTTTTAATTTGACAAATCAAGTTGGATCTCATTGTGCTAAAAAAGGTTTTTAAAAATATTATCCAATACAGTGCCATCTAGTGACAAATCATTTACTTGCTGGTTATTGAAAATAGTTGACTACAAGTTTTATGTCCTGATAAGTCAGGAACTTCACTTCTAATTGTGCAAATTCTTAAGACATATTTTAAGCGACTATTTCTAAATAAATAAAATATTTGTAAATAGAGAGCTGGAAAATATTTTCTAACCCTCAGGTTTTATACATATGTATCACAATGTGTCTTATTTAATGCCACGTGGACCCAGGAGTAAAATCAAAATCAGTGTTTTGTCTAATAAGGTGGTAATAGGATTATTTTAGAAATGTGATGTAAAGGAATGAGCATGGCTTTAAAATCAAACAGACATGAGTTTGTCTATTTGGACTTATTTTTCTTATGACTTAGCAGGTAATTACTACCTGCTTGGAAGTGCACCAAGCACTATATAGGTACTGCCTCATTACATATTCACAAAACTCTATAGGTATTTTACAAATGAGGAAACCGGCCAGGCACGGTGGCTCACGCCTGTAATCCCAGCACTTTGGGAGGCCGAGGCGGGGGAATCACGAGGTCTGGAGATCCAGACCATCCTGGCTAACACAGTGAAACCCCGTCTCTACTAAAAATACAAAAAAAAAAAAAAAAAAATTAGCCGGGTGTGGTGGCGGGCGCCTGTAGTCCCAGCTACTTGGGAGGCTGAGGCAGGAGAATGGCGTGAACCCGGGAGGCGGAG
The DNA here is from genome assembly GCF_000001405.40 of Homo sapiens. Classification (NCBI taxonomy): domain Eukaryota; kingdom Metazoa; phylum Chordata; class Mammalia; order Primates; family Hominidae; genus Homo; species Homo sapiens. The sequence goes on along the minus strand of NC_000007.14, from coordinate 131,071,170 downwards.
CTTGCAGTGAGCCGAGATCGCGCCACTGCACTGCAGCCTGGGCGACAGAGCAAGACTCCGTCTCAAAAAAACCAAAAAAAAAAAAAAAAAAATGCGGAAACCAAGGCAGGGCAAGGAAGTGTTATGGTGCTTACTTCATTGTTTTTTGTTGTTGTTGTTTTTTGGTTTTTTTTTGTATAGAGATGTAGTCTCACTCTGTCACCCAGGCTGGAGTGCAATGGCGTGATCTCGGCTCACTGCAACCTTCGCCTCCTGGGTTCAAGCGATTCTCATGCCTCAGCCTCCCGAGTAGCTGGGAACACAGGTGCCCGCTACTGTGCCCGGCTGATTTTTTTATTTTTATTATAGACAGGGTTTCACCATGTTGGCCAGGCTAGTCTCAAACTCCTGACCTCAAGTGATTCGCCCACCTTGGCCTCCCAAAGTGCTGAGATACCTCATTGTATTTTATTGTGTGTGTTTATGTGTTTCTGTAATAAAAGAGTGCCCCTTAACAGAGAAGGTCTTACTCAAGAATATTGTGTTTTTCCCTGCCCCTATTATAGACTGGTATGTCTGCAATTCAACTGCTGAATATTTGATTTTTTTCTTTGTCCATGAAATGAAAACACAATACCCTTGACAAGAACAATAGTACATTACATTGTTTTGATAAAATATCATTGTTTTCTCTATATTCAAGAGTGGAAAATATATGTAATTTTTTATAAAGGGTATTATACAGTGGCACAAGCACTAAACTAAGCAACTCTGGGTTCTAGTCTCTACTTGGCCACTTTTAAACTAGTGTTAATTTAACTCTAAAGTTGTACATGCACACAACCCGCATATTCCAAGAGCTTGTTAGGTACAAGGCTTGTTACAAAGACCAGCAGTCTCCCCGCTGTCACTCCTGCCCCATCCCTTGCTCTCTGAGCTCAACTCTTAGAGCGGATTGTTCTGCTTGTTTACCTCCAGCTCTCTAAACAGGCATTGCTCTATCCTCTTCTTACTTTTTCAGTGTTAGGCATTACCTTTGACCTCTCATGATAAAGGAGAATTTATCTTTTTTTTTTTTTTTTTTTTTTTTGAGATGGAGTCTTGCTCTGTACCCCAGGCTGGAGTGCAGTGGCGCCATCTCGGCTCACTGCAAGCTCCGCCTTCCAGGTTCATGCCATTCTCCTACGTCAGCCTCCCGAGTAGCTGAGATTACAGGTGCCCGCCACCGCGCCGGCTAATTTTTTTTGTATTTTTAGTAGAGACGGGGTTTCACCGTGTTAGCCAGGACGGTCTCGATCCCCTGACCTCGTGATCTGCCCGCCTCGGCCTCCCAAAGTGCTGGGATTACAGGCGTGAGGCACCGCCCCGGCCAGGAGAATTTATCTTATGCACCCCCACCCCATGTGCATAGCCCTTTTCTTTTCATTATAATTACATTTTGAATAATTCAGCATTTACATTGTTAGGACTTTGAAAACATTATTCCCAGCTGAGTTATATAATCTATGGTTGCCTTTTCTTTCCAGCACAACTTTTTGTTTTCCCTGGTGTTAATAATTCTTTTCTTTTCTTTTTTTTTTTTTTTTTTTTTTTGGAGGAGGGCTTTGTTTGTTTGCTTAGATTTTATGTACTTTTCCCGTGTTCATCCCTAAACTCTTCCCCCGGTGTAATCTACTTGTGTCGAAAGTGTTAGGGTGCTCTGAAACAGCGTTGTCAGCCTGCAGGCAGCCATCCTCTCTGGCTGTGTTGTCTTTTCTCGAGTTAGCTGGAACTCTCTGCTGCCTCCCAGAGGGACGGTGAGACTTAGAGTCTGGCTGAACGTGAAGCCCTATTTGTTTGTGACTAAGACTGCTTGTCAGCAAGAACTGTCAAGAATGAGTCTTCTGACAGGCAGAAGCACTAATTAGCTTTTACCGTGACCAGTCATGAAGAAGCAGAGTAGGTAAGTAAAGGTGCCAGGGGTGAAATGAAGACCACATGGTATATAAGATATGTGCAAACAATAGTTAAAACAGAAAGAATTGTTTTTCTTTCTTTCTTTTTTTAAAAATACCTTTTTAAAAATAATGGAGATGGGTGGGGGGGGGGGTTGGGAGGAGGGTCTTGCTATGTTCCCCACGCTGGTCTCGAACTCCTAGCCCCAAGCGATCCTCTCACTTCAGCCTCCCAAAGTGCTGCGATTATAGGCATGAGCCACTGCACCCAGCTGAGAAGGAATCTGTGAATTGCTTCTCATTGATTGTTACAGGAAATGATGTTGGAGACATGAATGATCTAATTAATGACTCTTAGCTTTGTATATATTTTGTTTACCTCAATCATAGATTTGGTCTGGTTGTGAATCATGTCTAAGATGTTACTTTTGGGGTCGTCATTATTACATACATGGGAGAAAAACTAGAGGGCAGAAGGAGTCTCTACTATTTTCATTAATAGAACAATTTGCTACAGAACTGTTTTAAGTATTAAATACACAAAAGCTGCCATTCTAGATAGCTAGCAGTAGGAGGCCACAGAGATCATGATTCTGGTGGAATCAGATTGAGTCCTGCAGATTTCCTATTGGAATTGGAAAAGAAACCAAGGGTAAGTAGTCTAGTTGAAATGCTGTAAACCCTTCTTAAAATTCAGGATCAGATAAACTAGATTAAAAATGCCATCCTGTTTTTCATAATGCAGTAACAAATGAATCTAAAATGTGCAACACCACTTTCTTATATGCTTGTGACATTCTTAGTAAATAAAACAAGCAGAGTAGGTATACTGATGTATAACCACCACTTTTTTCCATTGCACTTCTGATTTTTAGTTCTTGAGTCCCCAGTCCAGGCCCTGATTACTTTATGTCCAGATGACTTTCATAGCCTTCTAATGACGCTTTATATCTTGTACTCCTCCACTTCATTCTATGTATTGAAAGCAAGAGTTTTCATCAGAAATGGTTTCGTCACACGTGTCCTATGATAAGCAACCTTTAGTAGTCTCCTGTCAAATAGTATTTCAAGTCCAAGCCTCTCCATTCATTCATTCACTCATTCATTCTAGACATACATATCGGGTGCCTTTACCTGGGCTAAACCTTGGCTCTCAAGACAGACACTCGGGTATGCCCCCAAGAGCTTTATATTTGCATGTGCATTTTCTCAGTGTTCTGCAGTCTCTGTTACGGCTGAGTAAACTTACCTTGTCTCCCCTAAATTTTTACCTTTGTGCCTTTAAACATAAAGCAGCGTCTGTCATTTTATAATTCTCTTCTTTCAGAACTGCCTCTGGTTATTAAAAACCTGATCTACCTCTATTACTCTATGATCTTTCAGCTTTGTGTTATTTAATTTACACCATATTAATTTCATTTATTTCTAGTTTTTCTCTATTAAAATTCTATGTGTGTGCTGTTGCTTAAGTACAAGGTGGTCTTTTATTTCTTTACATTTCCTGTTAATGCCAAATAGCGTAAATTCCTTCTAAACAAAGGAAATATTACTTTAATGACTACAGCACATCCCATGGGTCGCTTTCCCTGTAACCTTCCAGTGCCCTCTTCTTTTCTAGCAGAACCTCCACTTTGCTTAAGAATCCACTCTTCTCTGTATACCCATATGCTCTGGGGAAGCTAGGCTCAGGCCCCAGTCACAGCCCACGGCTGTCAGGAAGGTTCTGTTCTTGCCAGTTGATAGGTTTGAGCATGAACATGTGACCCAGTTCTGTCCCTTGAGACATAAAGAGAAGCCTGGTGGAGGCTTCCAGAAAGGTTTGCCATCCTGGTGAAAAAGAGTTGGATGAGAAGTTCTGCCCACTGTGGGCCAAGCTCCAGCTGTCTTGCAGCCATGAAGGGAGCTAGCCCAAGCATCATCGCCACATGGAGCGGGGCAGAAAGACAGCTGGGGCGGGGGCCTTACTGCATTGCTGAGCCATCCTTTGTTGGGATTTCTTGTTATGTGAAGATAGTGAGGCTTTGTCGGCTTGGGATTTTCTCTTATTTTCAGACAAAGGCGTCTGGCTAACTCTTCACCATCAGCTCTCAGTTTAGATTTCCCTGATCTCTGACAACATCTCCTGCCATGCGTTTACCACACCACGTAGTAATAGATTATTTGCTTCTCAGGACCACAATTGACTGTAAACTCTATATGAGAGCAGGAACTTCACCTTGATCACTGTTATGAGATGTGCCTACAAACCAGCATAGTACCTGGGGACTGATAAGTTTTGAACACCTATATTTATTCATGTTATCCTGAAAGTAGATGCAGAGTTTCTGGGGCAGGGACAAATTATGATTATTATAGCAATAACCTAGGACAACAGACTTGAGTTTATAACCCCTGGAAGATTTCCACAGTCCTGGTTTCATCATCCTTCTGAAATGTAAACACATAGCTCAGGGGAGGTAAGTCCCTCACTATCTGTTCAGTCATCTTTTAAGTTTTAAGGTTGTCCTTTAACACAAGTCCTAGTAAAATTTTCCCAGTTCTAATTGTGCAGAAGTATAAAGACACTCACTTCCTCACACTGACAGAGTAGGTGCTCAATAAACTATTTGTTGAATATTTAACAAATTTAAAGAATAAATCTAATTTAAATCTAATTTAGTGGTGTCAACTGGGTCAGGGATTGTGGGCTTTTGTGGGGGGTGGGGAGAAGCATATGAGAATCATCTGGGGGGCATTTTAAATCAACAGGATACTTCTCACCTGCCAGTTCCGACATCTCCTATTACTGTCATATTCCTTAGGGTTTTTAGGTTTGTTTTTGTGGCCAAAAGGATGAGAACTTGGATATAGCCCACACTATGTTTGAGCCTTTCTTATGAAAGTTAGGAATGGAACCATTTGTGTTGACACCTGGTCCCAAGGCTGCTATCTCAATGTTCACATTCATTCCACCTGAGTCTTCTGTTTTGTGTTTCCTTGTACGGATTTGGTAGAATATTTATTAAAGGATGTTTCTTTTTTTTAATTAATAGCTTGCCTTTTTTTTCACAGAGGGTTTGAGGCAACTTTACCACACAAATACATAAAATGAAATAGCATATAAACAGAAAATCAGAACTGAGAAAAAAGGTTGCACATGTGTTGATTTTAATTCAGATTTGCTTCATGTTTTTATTGATGCCTAGTGCAAAATGACAAATAGCATCAATTATGTTAATAATTTTTAACATTTTTATTTAAGCCACATCCCTGTGTTGTAATCTATGAGACCTCTTCTGAAAAGAGTTCACACACACACACACACACACACACACACACACACAGACACTGTCTCTCAATTTTGCTATAATGTCTGTCCCTGGCACATCATGGAAACTTGTTATTAGAGAAGGTGAAACATACTCATTTCTTAGGAGGAAAAAAATATTCTTGGTATTAAGTTCTAAAAAATTTATTTCTTTAATAAAATATTCTAGACATATAGAAAAATAGACTAAGCTATCAAATACCATCAGTTTTGTAATATTTGCTTTAGATTTAAAAAAAAATAGAGACGAAATAGAGACCTCTTATTTAGCTCTTTTTGATTCTATTCTGCTCTTTTCCTCTACAGTAGAAACCACTATCCTGAGTTTAGTGTTTAACATTTCCAAACATATTTTATACTTTTACTACCTTTGTTTACATTTGCATCATTTTATATATATTTTATTTTATTTTATTTTATTTTATTGAGACAGGGTCTTACTCTGTCACCCGGGCTGGAGTGCAGTGGCATGATCTCGGCTCGCTGCAGTCTCCATCTCCCAGGTGCAAGCGATTCTCCTGCCTCAGCCTCCCGAGTAGTTGGGATTACAGGCATGCGCCACCACATCCAGCTAATTTTTGTATTTTTAGTAGAGACAGGGTTTCGCCATGTGGCTGGTCTCGAACTCCTAATCTCAAGTGATCCTCCCGCCTCAGCCTCCAAAGTGCTGGGATTATAAGCGTGAGCCACGGCACGTGGCCCTCATCGTTATGTATGTAAGACATTATTTTTTATGATTTGAAACTTTATATAAACCATGTTTCATCGTAGGCCTCTGCAGCTAGTCTTTTCACCTAACATTTTTTTTTTATTGTGAAAAAAGAAACACATAACATGAGAGTTACCCTCTTAACAAATTATTGTGTATGCTACAGTATTAACTATAAGCATAATGTGGTACAGAAGATCTCTGGAACTTTTCATTTTGCATGGCAGAGACTCTGTTCCCATTGAATAGCAACTGCCCATTTTTCCCTCCCTCCAGTCTGGCAACAGATTCTACTTTGTGTTTCTGTAAGTTTGACTACTTTAGACACTTCATCTATGTGGTTTCATGCAGTATTTGTCCTTCTTCACTTAGCGTAATATCCATCACTTAGCAACAAGGTTCATCCATGTTGTAACTTACGACGAGATTTCTGTTTTAAGGCTAATATTCCACTGTATGTATACACCATATTTGCTTTGTTTTTTCATTTAAGATGGATTTTAGGTTGTTACTACCTTTTGGTTATTGTGATTAATGCTGCAGTGAACAAGGGGGTGGTGCAAGCATTTCTACAAGATTCTGATTTCAGTTTTTTTTGATGAATATCCAGAAGAGGGATTTCTGGTTTATATTGTAGTTCTATTTGTAATTTTTTAAGGAATCTCCATACTGTTTTCCATAGAAGCTGCACCATTTTACAGTCCCACCAACAATGCGCAAGGATTCCAGTTGCTTCAGATCCTCACCAAGACTTGTTATTTTCTGGGTTTTTTGTTTTTGTTTTTTATAATGCCCATCCTAACATATAAGAGGTGACATCTTACTGTGGTTTTCATTGGCATTTGATGACATGTACGCCTTGGCCATTTGTATATCTTTTTTTTTTTTTTTTTTTTTTTTTGGAGAAATACCTATTCGAGTCTTTGGTCTATTTTTTCAGTGGGTTATTTGGGGTTTTTTTGCCACTGTTGTAGCAGTTCCTTATATATTTTGGATATTAGCCCCTTATCAGATAACATGGTTTGCAGATATTTTCTCCCATTCCATAGGATGCCTTTTTACTCTATTGATTCTTTATTCTTCTTTGATACTTGTAGCTGTCCTTATTTCTTTCATAAATATACGTAATACTCATATATAAGATATTTCATTATGAGACTATATTGTATGCATATTCTCCTGATTCACATTTGAATTGTTTCCAATTTTTTGCAGTTACCTGTATTCTGATATGTACCTCCTTATGTTCGTGTGCCAATTTCTCTAGTGTACATTTTCAGGAGTGGAATTACTTGGCTATAGGTATGCGTATCTCATCTTTATTAGATATTACCAAATTCCTCTCCAGAGTGGTTGACTCAGTGTAACTTTCTTTCATTAGTGTGATACTTTGCCAGTCTGACGCGAAATGCTGTTTCATCGTAGTGTTAAACTGCATCGTACTGAACTTGAACATCTTATGTTTATTTTCACCGTGATTTCCTTTTTTGTTAACTAGCTATTCACAATTTTTTGCCTCATTTTTTTCAATAGAGTTGTTTGTATTTATTTACTGACTTTTAGGACTTAATGTATCCTGAAAATTAATACCTTTTTGTTATGTATTTTGTTAATATCTTGTAGTCTGTGGTTTGGTTTTTCATTTTGTTTGAAGAACCTTTTGTTAGAATTTTTAAAAACTTCAACATAGTAACACATTTATCAGTCTTTTACTTTATAATTTCTACTTTTGTATGTTATTTTAAAAATCATTACCTAAAGAGCATTTTTTTCCTAAAAATTGTCAAAATTTTATTTTTACATTTAAGCCTATAGCTTGAAAATGTGTCTCTATGATGTGAGATAATGATTTTATTTTCTTATAGTTAACTTATGTCTCAGGATAACTGTTGTTCAATAGTCTGTCCTTTCCCCGCTGATTTGCAGTGCTACTGCCATCATATATCAAATTTCTGAACATACGTGAGTCTTTTTCTGGGTGCTCTATTGTTTTTCATTTATCTTTACTGTTTTGCTTATCATTGTTTCATATAACTTAAAGTTTTAGAGAGTGGCTGCCTGTTTTCTTCAAATTTGTCAAGACTGTTCTTGGCCCTTTTTTCTTATGAATTTTAGGATCAGCTTACCATGGTCCATGAAAGACCCTGTAGGGATTTTGATTGTAATCATGTTGTATTTCAGTTCAGTTTAGGGATATTTATTAAGTCTTCCATCCACAAATATAATGTATTTCTCAACTTACTTGGCTTTATAATGTTCTCTATAAAGCTCTTGAAGATTTTTTTGTTAGACTAATTATTAGAAAGCTTATAGCTTTAGTTGCTGCTTTAAATGATAGGTAGCTTTTCTTATTGAAATTACAATGTGATGTTTTGGCTTATAGGAATTATATTAATTTTGTATCTTGATCTTTTAACAATACTGATGAACTTATTTTTTATTAGTTTTAATGGTTTTCCTTCATAATTCTCTATATAGATAATGATTACTTGGAGATGAAGACAGTTTTGTTACATCATTTAAATTTTTATATTTCCTTTGTCTTTTTTATTAATGTTGACTAAGTCCTCTATTATGTTATTAAGTAAAAGTGATGATTGTAGTCATCCTTCTTGCATTTCGTAGCTTTTGAAGGAAATACTCCCATTATTTAACCATTAAGTGTGATTTTGTTGTAGGGTTTTGTTTTTGTTTTTAAGTTAAGCAAGTTCTTTTCTATTCCTGATATGTGGGATTCTTTTTTTTTTTTTTTTTTAATCATGAAGGTTGCTAAAGAATTAACGAAAGTGACCGGGCGCGGTGGCTCATGCCTGTAATCCCAGCACTTTCGGAGGCCGAGACGGGTGGATCACGAGGTCAGAGATCAAGACCATTCTGGCTAACACAGTGAAACCTCATCTCTACTAAAAATACAAAAACTTAGCCGGGCGTGGTGGCAGGTGCCTGTAGTCCCAGCTACTCGGGAGGCTGAGGCAGGAGAATGGCGTGAACCCGGGAGGCGGAGCCTTGCAGTGAGCCAAGATCGCGCCACTGCACTCCAGCCTGGGGGACAGAGCAAGACTCTGTCTCAAAAAAAAAAAGAGTTAACAAACCATTTTTCATTTTTTTAAGGACAAATCTGACCTTAGATTAACTCTCTACTCAGTTCTCCTGAACCCCTGGTAAAAGGGAAATGTTCACCATGTTACCAGGCAACATTGTTGTGGTGAAAGTGACCTCTGTTTGGTAAACATATCTGGACTGGGAGGAACTGTAAGTGAACTCTAAATTCCTGATTAGAAGCTGTAGCTTCCCCAGAAGTACTGACTTTTCAGAAATGGGTATGTCCTTTGTGGGAACCTTGGACGCCGTGACTAGCACCGTTATATGATATTTGGTTTCTGCTTGGGGCACAAAGTTTCTAAGCCAGCATGTCTGTGCACCACCCTTGTGATTTTATTTTATATTATTTTGTTTTATTTGAGACAGAGTCTTGCTCTGTTGCCCAGGCTGGAGTGCGATGGTGCAATGTTGGCTCACTGCAACCCCCACCTCGCGGGTTCAAGCGATTCTCTTCCCTCGGCCTCCCGAGTAGCTGGGATTACAGATGCCCGCCACCCCACACCTGGCTAATTTTTGTATTTTTAGTAGAGACAGGGTTGTACCATGTTGGCTAAGCTGATCTCAAACTCCTGACCTCAAGTGATCTACTCACCTCGGCCTCCCAGAGTGGCACCAAACCAGCATGGTACCTGGGCCCACCCTTGTGATTTTCATTTCCTTGCCCCTGAGCTGTCAGCTGGATGCCAGAGAGAATAGCTCCTGGATGGCCGTGTGGGCTCATGTGGGGGCTCCTTCCATGAAGAGAAACACCTGAAACCGCCCTGTTGGCATGCTGTGTTTTCTTCTATGCTTCCTGAGTAGATAAATGGCTGCTGATTGTGGCCTTGGTAACTGAGTAGCTCAGAATGTGTAATTAGAAGTCCCACGTGGGCACTGCAGTGCATCCAAACAAAATACAGAAATAAAAGTGGTTCCTGGGGTTGATCTAACTTCATAACTCTCACTTAAAATCCTCGATTTCTAATATTTATTGGAATACTCATATTTTCATTGACTATAAATATTTTAGATTGAACTTACAAGTATATATACTATACTATCTTTTTTAATGTGTTAGATTCTATATATGTTTGCCAACCCCAAAATGGTTCCACTGCTAAAAAAAAAAGTTTGATAACTAATGTTTTAGACCTGTACTGTCCAGTGGGTAGATATTTGCTGCTGTAATATGGCTATTAAAGTGAAATACAATTAAAATTCAGTTTCTTAGTCATACCAGCCATAATTCAAGTGCTTACTAGCCATATGTGGCTAATGGCTACTATCTTTGACAGTGTAGATATGGAGCATCTTCATCATTACAGAAAGTTCTGTTGAACAGACTTTCTAGGCTTTATTTTTAAAATTTATCCACCTTATCAGAGAGCATTATGTTTTTACTATATATGCTATATGCAATAAGAATCAGCATATCTTTCAGGGACATTATTGAAGACCCCAGTGTATCATGTATAGAATGATCCACTAGAGAAATATTTCTTAGATTTGAGTACCAGGAGAAATTTATTTTCCCTGAAATTTACCCTCTGATCATGTCCAGTTTGTAACTGATCATTTTTCCCTTTTTGCTTTGTCACTAGAGTGTAGGGCCAAGTTTATGGCTCACTTTAACCATTTGGCCTACATATTTGTATGCTTTGTGTAATTTTTGAAGGCTCTGGTTTTATCTTGCTAGTCTGCTTATTTTCTTGTCTGGATGTTTGTATTAATAAAACTATAAATTTTGCATTTTAAGGGGGGTGTAAATACCGTATAATGAATGAATACCTTTAAGATTTTGATTGATACTTCAGTTAGTTGGTAGGAGCCATTTATTACTGAACCTCAGAGGTGAGAACGGGTGAAGGAGCTAAAAGCAGTCAGTCCTTAGCTGATCATTACAGTGTACACACATGTAATCTGGACTGCTCACCAAATGAAATTGTGTCCAGAATTGGTGGGTTCTTGGTCTCACTGACTTCAAGAATGAAGTCATGGACCCTCGTGGTGAGTGTTACAGTTCTTAAAGATGGTGTATCCAGAGTTTGTTCCTTCTGATGTTCGGACGTGTTCAGAGTTTCTTCCTTCTGGTGGGTTCGTGGTCTTGCTGGCTTCAGGAATGAATCTGCAAACCTTGGCGGTGCGTGTTACAGCTCTTAAGGTGGTGCATCTGGAGTTGTTTATTCTTCCCGTCTGGAGTTCATTTCTCCTGGTGGGTTCGTGGTCTCGCCAGCCTCAGGAGTGAAGCTGCAGTGTTACAGCTTTGCAGTGAGTGTTAGAGCTCTTAAAGGCAGTGCAAACCCAAAGAGTGAGCAGCAGCAAGATTTATTGCAAAGAGTGAAAGAACAAAGCTTCCAGCGTGGAAGGGGACTGGAGCAGATTGCCACTGCTGGCTTGGGCAGCCTGCTTTTATTCCCTTATCTGGTCCCACCCACATCCTGCTGATTGGTCCATTTTACGGAGAGCTGATTGGTCTGTTTTACAGAAAGCTGATTGGTCTGTTGTGACAGGGTGCTGATTGGTGCATTTACAATCCCTGAACTAGACACAAAAGTTCTCCGAGTCCCCGTTAGATTAGCTAGACACAGAGCACTGATTGGTGCATTTACAAACCTTGAGCTAGACACAGGGTGCTGATTGGTGCATTTACAAACTTTGAGCTAGACACAGAGTGCTGATTGGTGTATTTACAATCCCCTGGCTAGACGTAAAGGTTCTCCAAGTCCCCACTAGATTAGCTAGACACAGAGCACTGATGGGTGCATTTACAAACCTTGAGCTAGACACAGCGTGCTGATTGGTGTATTTATAATCCTTTAGCTAGACATAAAGGTTCTCCAAGTCCCCACTAGATTAGCTAGATACCGAGTGCTGATTGGTGTATTTACAATCCGTTAGCTAGACATAAAGGTTCTCCAAGTCCCCACTAGACTCAGGAGCCCAGCTGGCTTCACTTAGTGGATCCCACACTGGGGATGCAGGCGGAGCTGCCCTCTAGTCCCGTGCTGTGCGCCCGCACTTCTCAGCCCTTGGGTGGTCGATGGGACCGGGTGCCGCGGAGCAGGGGGCAGCGCTCATTGGGGAGGCTTGGGCCGTGCAGGAGCCCACGGTGGTGGGGAGGCTCGGGCATGGTGGGCTGCAGGTCCTGAGCCCTGCCCCGCGGGGAGGCAGCTGAGGCCCGGTGAGAATTTGAACGCAGTGCTGGCAGGCCAGCACTGCTGGGGGACCCGGCACACCCTCCACAGCTGCTGGCCTGGGTGCTAAGCCCCTCACTGCCTGGGGCTGGCGGCGCCAGACAGCTGCTCCGAGTGCGGGGCCCACCGAGCCCACGCCCACCCGGAACTCGTGCTGGCCCACGGGCACCACGCACAGCCCTGGTTCCTGCCCGTGACTCTCCCTCCACACCTCCCCGCAAGCAGAGGGAGCCAGCTCCGGCCTTGGCCAACCCAGAGAGGGGCTCCCACAGTGCAGCGGTGGGCTGAAGGGCTCCGCAAGTGTGGCCAGAGTGGGCGCCAAGAGCAAGCGAGGGCTGCCAGCACGGTGTCACCTCTCAAAATGACTTAGAATGTATACCTGTCATACAACCAGTTTAGCTTGCTTTTCTAAAATGTTTTTAATTTTCAAAATAATGTTTAAAGAAGCCTTACTGAAGTTGATTGTAAAAAATTTCAAACTTTTAAGTGTTGCTAGGGAAATTGAACCGAAAACATATCTGATTATTTTACTCAAACTAGTGAACAGGGTTTAAATAAAGAGGGTGGAGGCTGGGTGCGGTGGCTCATGTCTGTAATCCCAGCACTTTGGGAGGCCCAGGTGGGCGGATCACCTGAGGTCGGGGGTTTGAGACCAGCCTGACCAACATGGAGAAATCCTGTCTCCCCTAAAAATACAAAAAATTAACCAGGCATGGTGGCACATGCCTGTAATCCCAGCTACTCGGTAGGCTGAGGCAGGAGAATTGCTTGAACCTGGGAGGCAGAGGCTGTGGTGAGCTGAGATCGTGCCATCGCACTCCAGCCTAGGCAACAAGAGTGGAACTCTGTCTCAAAAAAAAAAAAAAAAAAAAAAGAGTGTGGAGGACTCTTTTTAACTTTGCTTATGAAGAGAGTTTTGTTTTTTTTTTTTGGGATGACAGTCTGATTCTGGGTATTCATGCCTTCTCATTGGAAAATCACCACTGTGCTTTCTTCTTTTTTTCCATTTTTTTCTTTCATAGTTAGAGATGGAGTCTCACTCTAACTGTAACTGCGGGAGGGTAGTGATGTAATCACAGCTCACAGTACCTCCAGCCTCAGCCTCCCGGTTAGCTAGGACTATAGGCACACATTACCACACCTAGCTAATTTTTTTTTTTTTTTTTTTTTTTTTTAAAGAAACAGGGTCTCACTCTGTTGCCCAGGCTGGTCTTGAACTCCTGGGCTCAAGCAGTCCTCCTGCCTCAGCCTCTCAAAGTGCTGGGATTACAAGCACTGAGCCAGTGTACCCAGCCTTTTTTCTATTTTGTTCTTGTCTTGTATATTTTACATTTTATAGCTTTTCATGTTTCTGAAACCACTTACCACATTTAGGCCAAAAGGCAAAATAATAAAAAATAAAACCAACCTCACCTAAAAAAAAGTTTAAGGATTAAGTATTTCCATATACCAGTGTTGAACAGATTTGAACAATATATTTGATTTTATGCTCTCCAGTTGCTAAAGTGAGGAAAAGAAACAGAATTATATTGTTTTCATGTGCTGACAGCCGGAAGCATGTAAACATCTGCAGAAACCAAACGTTTCCTGGAACTAAGCTTGAGCAGAAATCTATCACGTGGACCTTTGTTTAAAGAACCTTGTGAAAAACCACAGTTATGTAAAAGATCCAGGAGCGCAGTTCATGTGGATTAGATTCTCTAGGAGGCAGAGAGTCTAAGGAGATCAAAGAAAACAACGACTTGGGAAGTGCATGTGCTGAGCGCTGGAGCCAAACTAGCAGAAAGGAGTTTTAGAGGCACTGAATCCAGGCCTCTGGTTTTTGGGGACTGTAGTAAAGAAAGGAGTTGAGGCCTGGTGCAGTGGCTCATACCTTTGGTCCCATTACTTTGGGAGGCTGAGGCTGGAGGATGGTTTGAGGCTGGAAGTTCAAGACCAGCCTGGGCAACAAAGCAAGACCCCTTTTCTAAAAAAAAAAATTAAAAAAAAATGGATGTGATGGTGTGTGCCTGTAGTCCTAGCTACTCAGGAGGCTGAGGCAGTAGGGTCAGGAGGCAGAGGCCGGAGTTGAAGGCTGCAGTGAGCTATGCGGGTACCACTGCACTCCAGTCGGGTGACAGAGCAAGACCCTGACTAAACAAAAAATAACAACAAAAAAGGAGGCAGGGGTTTAGAAAATACCATGATTGTTAACAGGACCATCAGATTTCATTTTTTCTAAAATATTAGATATTGTCAGTGTGGTTTTTATATAGGTGCTGATTCTGTTCTGTTCGTCTTCAAGTAACAAATGCCTGCAGTGGAGATATCTTATTTTGATGATTAACAGGAAGCTTTTAAGCTTTGAAGAAAGCAAACAACATTTTCCATGGACCTTTAAGAGCTGGGCTAATATTTTTGCCCACACAGAACTCTAATTCATTTCAGAGTCAAGGGCAACAATAGAATACTTTTTCAAGGACCTTGCATTTGTTAATACAGGTTTTCATAATAGAAAGCAATTTAAATATTCAGAACTAACGTAACATGGAAGAAACAACTTTTTCCTGAAATATTTGAGAGACAAATATAACAAACAATTCATCTTTACTATGACAATCTCAACGGAAAGACTTCAGTGTGGTCATATTAATGCATTTTCTGTTCCCAGCAGGCAAGTAAGGCAAGGGAAGCATCAGCTCCCAGGCTATTGTAGTCATCCAGATGGAGATGAGGTAGGCTCAGATGGCAGTGGTGGGAGCAGGGAGAAGTAGTTAGAATTCAGATGTAGTTTTAAGATTGAGCCAACAGGGTTTGCTCATGAATTGGGCAGAGGATATGAGGGAAAGAGAAAACTCCATCTTGGAGGATGGAGTTACTGTTTCCTGAGATGAGCAAGCCTGTAGGAGCTTCAGGCGTGGAGCACTAGGGGAACATCAGGAGTTTGGCATGGCATGATGTTAAAAGGGGAATGTCTATTAGACATCCAAGCGGAGATGTCAAGGAGGTGGCTGAAAATATGAGCCTTGAGTTCAGGGAAGAGGTTCAGGCTCTTATTTAAGGTGCTGAGACCCATTGAGATGACCAGGAGGAGAGCGTATAGACAGGAAAGTTTGAGAATTGAGAGTCCTGGGTCGCTCTGGCATTAAAAGGTGGATAATGAGAAGAAGTTTAAGGAATGGCCAGTGAAGGAGGAGGAGAGTCAGTAGGTTGTGGTGTCCTGGCAACCCAGCAAAGAAAGTGCTTAAAGAGGAGAGTGATCAGCTCTGTCTGTGCCGCTGGCAGGTCCAGTAAGAGGAAGACTGAACAGTGAACATTAGATTGAGTGAAAATGGTTTCTGCTGCTTTTTTGCCCAAGTAGTCTTGAATGAATTCAGTTAACCTGTCTCTGGGGATAACAATGGTACTTACCTCATCAGGTGGTGGTGATGAACTGTTTATTTATTTAAAAAAAATTTTTTTTGAGACAGGGTGTAGCTCTGTCACCCAAGCTGGAGGGCATTGGCATGATCACAGCTCACTGCAACCTTGACCTCTTGGACTCAAGCAATCCTTCCGTCTCAGCCTCCTAAGTAGCTAGGACCATAGGCATGCACCACCACACCCAGCTAATTTTTTATTCTTTGTAGAGAAGGAGTCTTGCTATGTTACCCAGGTTAGTATCAAACTGTTGGACTCAAGCAATCCTCCTGCCTTGACCTCTCAAAGTGTTGGCATTACAGGTGTGAGCCACCATGGCCAGCCTATGAACTGTTTAAGTGGATGACCAGCCTAGGCAAGAAAGATGCCATCTCTAAAAAAAAAAAAAAAAAAAAAAGCAAAGAAAAAAAAAAAAAGCTGGATGTTGTGCCATGTGCTTGTGGTCTCAGCAACTCAGGAGGCTGAGGTGGGAGGATCACTTGAGCCCAGGAGTTTGAGGCTGCAGTGAGTTAGATTGCCCCACTACACTCCAGCCTGGATGGCAGAGTGAGACCCTGTCTAAAAATAAACAAATAATGCTCACTTTGGCAGCACATATGCTAAAATTGAAACGATACAGAGAGGAGTAGTGTGGCCCCTGGACAAGGATGACATGCATATTTGTGAAGCATTCCATCTTTTTAAAATTCAATTTTAAAAAATTTTAAAAAGAAATAAGTAAATGGATGAGATAATTCCTTTAAAGCACCTCTTCCTGTACCTGGCTTTTGGGTATTTCACAGTTGAAGACATTGCTGGCTTTAACAATAGCAGTTTTAGGGGAGCAGTGGGGACAAAGCCTGATGGGAATGGGAAGAAAGAACTGGAGACAGTGGATGGAGTCAGCTCTTTTGAGTATTCTTATAAAACTGGATTAGAGAAATGGGGAGTTAATTCGTGGGACCCTGGGGTCAAGAGGAAAGGCCAGTAGGCAAGAAGGCCTCCCTCCCTCCCTCCCTCCCTCCCTCCCTCCCTTCCTCCCTCCTCCCTCCCTCCTCCCTCCCTTCCTAAATCCACAGACCTTCTATGGTGATTGGAATCATCCTGTATAGAGGGAAAAGCTGATGATGTAGTTGGATTTAGGACCATAGATAACAATGGACCAAAATAACTAGATTGTCCTTGCCACCTGCCCCCGCTTCTCAGTCTTTTATTCATTCATTTAACAAATATTTATTGTAGGTTCACAAGGTGCCAAGGACGAAGCTCAGGTGCTGGGAACAGTGGTGGTTAAGGGACTAATCAAACAGGCATGAGCTCTACACCCTCATGAAGTTGTCACAGTCCGGTGGAGATAGGCTTTCTAAAAACACACAAATACAGATTTGGATGAGCACTTTGCAGGAAGAGTACAGAGTACTTTTGAGAGGAAGAGAGGGAGAGTAGCATGGTGTAACTTAGATGGGGGGCATACGAAGGTCTTTCAGATGTGAAAGATAACCATGGCTGAAAAGAAGAGCATCCCAGCAAAGGGAACAGACCTTGCAAAGGCCCTGGGGCAGGTGAGAGAGAAGCTGGTGCTTTTGGGGATTTGAGAGAAGGCCAGGGTGGCCTGAGAGGTGGGAAGGGAGCAAGTCATGCAGGGCTTTGGAAGCCTCCATATTAAAGCTTATGGGATATCGTATCTAAGAGCAATGGGAAACGCTGAAAACTGTTTTAGTTGGGAAGTGACATGGTGAGATTTGCATTGGAGAAAAAAATATGACCCATGATGAAGTATGTCCTGGTGAATGGATCAGAGGGGCAAAAGTGGGGAAAAAATCCCGCCAATTTAGGCAAAAAGATAATACCTATGAAAATACTTAGTCTAAAATATGTATAATTTTGGTATAGAAACAGAAGTGAGAATATCCTCTCTTTAGCAGAATTTGCTTTGCACTTAACCAGGCTTCTTACTTCCATAAAGACAGCATTTTCTTGTTAAAAATAATGTTAATTCAGAAGAATCAGCTGAAGGTGTCAGTGATTTCAGATTATTTAACATAAAATGAAAGTTTCAAAAAGATTGTGGCAACCTTGTGAAAATTAAAAATAATGAGACCTTATTAAATTTTTTTTTCTAGAAGAAAATACCAATGAATCAATATTAGGAGACAGAAGCTGTTAAGAAAACTCAGTACGGCCAGGTGCGGTGGCTCATGCCTATAATCCCAGCACTTTGGGAGGCTGAGGCTGGCAGATTGCTTGAGCTCAGGAATCTGAGACCAGCCTGGGCAACATGGTGAAACCCTGTCTCTACCAAAAATACAAAAAAATTAGCCAGGTGTGGTGGCGTGCACCTGTAGTCCCAGCTACTTAATGGGCTAAGGTGGAAGGATCACTTGAGCCTGGGAGGCAAAGGCTGCAGTGAGCTGAGATCTCGTCACTGCACTCCAGCCTGGGTGACAGAGCCAGACCCTGTCTCAAAAATAATAAATAAGGGCCAGGTGCGGTGGCTCACGCCTGTAATCCCAGCACTTTGGGAAGCCGAGGTGGGTGGATCACCTGAGGTCAGGAGTTTAAGACCAGCCTGGCCAACATGGCGAAACCCCGTCTCTACTAAAAATACAAAAATTAGCCTGGCGCAGTGGTGGGAGCCTGTAATCCCAGCTACTTGGGAGACTGAGGCAGGAGAATCACTTCAACGTGGGAGGCGAAGGTTGCAGTGAGCTGAGACTATCCTATTGCACTTCAGCCTGGGTGACAGTGCGAGACTCCATCTCAAAAAGAAAAAAAAAAGGGAGCAAGTTCTAGTACTGGGTGGATATTTTATTGCACCAATTTAGGCTTCTCCCCAGAGATTTCTTAAAACAGAAAGGCAGTTGTAATACCAAGTATTGCTGTATCAGGCCACCTGCTACTCCAAAGCCATGAATTAACTTGTTCTAAGCCCTCAAGGAAAGAAAAGAGGAAACAGAGGTTTATTCCCTATCAAGACAGTCCACTTGAGAAAGTTCTGTCTTGGTTGTAACTTCAGGTTTCTTTCTTACACAGGCATTTTATTAATGCTTTTACGAGTTAGAAGAGTTGGGATAATTTGCCATCTGGAGTTTCTCTGCCTTGCTGATCTGAGCTCAGACCTGCCAATTTACCAGAGATAATTGATAACACCCTGTAACAGCTGAGTAAGTAGATTCTTCTGTTTTACTGCTTTTAAAAAAAGTTTAAAGTTTTAAAATAGTATAAACTTTAATTGGGTTCTTTAAATTTTGTTGTTGAATAATGCAATTATTATGATATTTTGTGAATATTTGTAAATAATGGGATTCTGGAATAAATTAATCCCCGATGATAGAAAAGAGTTAATGAACACTTTCTCCATACATAACACTTTAGCATTCAAGAAACATAGGACTTAAATACATATATTAAAAATTTAGGCCAGGTGCAGTGGCTCACGCCTGTAATCCCAGCACTTTGGGAGGCTGAGGCGGGCAGATCACCTGAGGTCAGGAGTTTGAGACCAGCCTAGCCAACATGGTGAAATCCCATCTCGGCTAAAAATGCAAAAATTAGCCAGGCATGGTGGCAGGTGCCTGTAATCCCAGCTACTCTGGAGGCTGAGGCAGGAGAATCACTTGAACCTGGGAGGCAGAGGTTGCAGTGAGCTGAGACTGTGCCACTGCACTCCAGTCTGGGCGACAGAGAGGCTCTGTCTCAAAAAAAAAAAAAAAAAAAAAAAAAATTTAAAAGCATTCTCCTTAGTGCTTTATTTCATTTTTACATTATAAAATGTAAAAAATATTGGTAAAACAACTGTTAATACATTTTTAAAATGCAACTGTATGTAAAAATTATCTTTTAATGCAGGATGCATTTTGGTTAATTTGAAATAAATACTGGTTTAGTGGAAATAAAATTTTAATAGTTCTTTCTATTTGAAAATAATGATTTTTCCAATACTAATATAGATAAGATCACAGAATCTGTCTGGATTTAACTTTCTCAAACAGACTAGGGAAGAATGGCTTTCATTCTTTCTAATCAAAACACCTGAATGAAGTTTAAAGTGTTTTAAGTGTTGAGTCAGTTACATTGAAAACAAATGGTTTCTCAGAACAAGAGCTATTATTCCTCGTACTATATCCTTTGAAACTGTTTTGACAAAACTAGTAAACCATGAAGTTGTACCAGGGCCTTGTTTGGGAATCTTAAACTAAAAACAGTGAATAAATCTACAAGATATTCGCCACTGCAGTGGGATTATTTAATTTTGGTCCAAATCTGTGTTGTCCAATATGGTAGCAACTGGCCACATGCCACATGTAGCTATTAGATGTTTGAAATATGAGTAGTACTAACGGAAATGTGCTCTGCAGAAAATACCATAATTCAAAAAAAAATTTAAAAAGACTAAAATACTAGGTTTTATATGACTCACATTTTGAAGTGATAATATTTTGGATATATTGAATTAAAACATGTTATTAAAATTAATATCACTTGTTTTTGTTTACTTTTTTATGTGACTGCTGGAAAATTTAAAATTAGTTGTAGCTTGCATTATACTTCTTTTGGATGGAACTGATCTATATCATCACATACAATCAACATTCTTAGTTATCCAGTACCTAGCATTCTGTAGTTCTTGAACTTTCTGGTCCTCCTATGGATCAATTCATATACATTTGTATTGTTTTAAGAATTTGATTCTTTGATTCATCAAATATTTATTGACTGCCTACCATGTGTCAGACAGTATTGTAGGTATTGGTGATACAGTAGTGAACAAAACGAACTAAACTCTCTGCCTTCATGGAGGTAACATTCTAGCAGGAAGATACAGACTAAGAACAAATAAAAAAGTACAATATGTAGTATATTAGAAAGCAATGAGTGCTTTGGAGAAATGTAAGGCAGGCAAGAGTAAGGGCTGAAGAGTTGACTGGTAAAGAGAATGTTTAGGGAAGGCCTCAGTGAGAAGTTGTGAAGAAGTTGATGGAAAGAGCCTGTGGGTGTTTGGGGGAAGAGTGTTGTAGGCAGAGAGGATAGCAAATGCAAAGACCTTGAGGCAGAAGCATGCCTGGCTTGTTTGAAAATAGGAGGAGGCTAGTGAATGGAGTGGAGTGAGTGAAGGGGCTGTAATCCCAGCACTTTGGGAGGCCAAGGCCAGGTGGAGCACGAGGTCAGGAGATCAAGACCATCCTGGCGAACATGGTGAAATCCCGTATCTACTCTAAAATACAAAAAATTAGCCAGGTGTGGTGGTGGGTGCCTGTAGTCCCAGCTACTCAGGAGGCTGAGGCAGGGGAATCGCTTGAACCTGGGAGGCAGAGGTTGCTGTGAGCTGAGATCGTGCCACTGTGCTCTAGCCTGGCGACAGGGCAAGACTCTGTCTCCAAAAAAAAAAAAAAAAGAGGAGATGAGAGGATATGGATGGTCATGTCATGTTGTCAGAGGCATAAAAACCAGAGCAATCCCATCTTGAGTAGGGGCTGGGTAAAATAAGGCTGAGACCTACTAGGCTGCATTCCCAAAGAGTTAGGCATTCTAAGTCACCGGATGAGATAGGAGGTCAGCACAAGATACGAGTCCTAAAGACCTTGCTAATAAAAAAGTTTGTAGTAAAGAAGCCGGCCAAAACCCACCAAAACTAAGATGGCATTGAGAGTGACCTCCGATTGTCCTCATTGCTACACTCCCACCAGCACCATGACAGTTTACAAATGCCATGACAACGTCAGGTTAGTACCCCATATAGTCTAAAAAGGGGAGGCATAAATAATCCACCCCTTGTTTAGCATATAATCAAGAAATAACCATAAAAATGGGCAACTATAGAGTAGCCATTCTTTTATTCTTTTACTTTCTGAATGAACTTACTTTCACTTTATCGACTTGCCTCAGATTCTTTCTTGCATGAGATACAAGAGTCCTCCCTTGGGGTCTGGATCAGGACCCCTTTCCCATAACAGTGTGAGCAGTGGTTATTGTATGGGTTTTGGCTTCCAGTGAGATGAAAAAGAATTGGTGGATTTTAAGGAGAGAAGCAACATGATCTTTCTAATGAAGGTAATGTGATTTGAATACTCTGGGCTAGGGGTGGGGGTGTTTGCAAGGGTAGAAGCGGAGAGACCCAGTGAGGCTACTGCAGTGACCCAGCTGCAAGATGGTGCCTGAGACCATAAGCAAGGGATGTGAGGAGAAATGACGGAATTCTAGTTATATGTTGTGAAATTAGATATGAGATGAGAGACAGAAAGGAGTGTCAGGGAAGACTCCACAGTTTGCAGCCTGAACAACTGAGAGTGGAGGTGCCTTTGCTGAGATAGGGGGGTGGATTGTGGAGGGACCGATTGGAGGCAGCACTAGGAGCTCAGTTTTAAACACATTACATTTGAGATTCCTCTTTAGATATCTAAGCAGAAAGGTCATGTAGGCAGAGTCTGGACTTCAGTGGGAGGTCAGGATTAAAAAGGCAAATTTGAAGTCATTAGCATTGAACTGTTGTTCAAAGTCATAAGAAGGATTGAGGCCACCAAGGGAGTGAGAAGAGTGGTCTGGGGCCTCTCCTGGTCCCATGGAGTCAGCAGGGCAGATTGAGGAACAGACAGGAAGGTGTAAATCGTGATACTCTAGACACCAAGGGAAGCAGTAGTAACCCACCTTGTCAGATGCTGCTGATGGGTCAGGTAAGATGCCAGCTGAAAATTGATCAGAAGATTTAGCAGTGAGGAGGATGTTAGTGATCTTGGCGAGTGGTTTCAGTGAAATGGTAGAGACAAAAGCCAGAGTGGAGCAGATTCCAGGGAGAATTGGAGGAACTGGATTGAAGAGTGAGTACAGACAGACTCTCTTTTGAGTAACTTGTGAAGTCCAGAAGAGTCAAGGAAAGTTTTGGTTTTGGTTTTTTAAGATGAGAGAAATTACATGTTTCTCCCAATGCATGTGTTAGAGAGATTTCAAGTTATTTTTCTGAAATGGCCTACTAGATTTATGACATTTAAGACCACCACCTGTGTGTGTTAGGGGTGGAGGTGTAGTGCTTCCCTCCTAAGATGATTTCATAGAATTGTGTTGTGGAAGAGGCAGAGGGGTGGGAGGGATCGGGGGAGAGACAGAGAAAGAGAGAGAATGTAGAGATTGGCATTGTATGTTAAAGGTGGCTTTTGCAATTGTTATGAAATTTGGCTGCTTCTTGCTCAGTGTCTGCATTCACATTCCGGGAATTAAAAATGTTAAGGTAACAAATGTTAAGACTAGTTCTCGTCAACTGAAAATGTTGAAAAAGCTGATGTTTGGGGTGTAATTTCTTTTCCTTACTTTTGAGGAAGTTATTGAAACATTTGAAGAAATTGAGGCAGAGACACAATACCCAAGGTCACACAAAATGAAATATTGCCAGAATAAGTGGATTTTAGATCTGATTTCCTAGCTATGTGGAACACTTAATCCCTCTGTGTTCAGTTCCAGCAGGTATAAAATGAGGGTAATATTTGCTTTACCTGCCACAGGAGGTTTTTATGAGGATCAGATGAACTAGTAGGTGCAGGGGCTTAGTCAACTATAAAGCATTGTATTATATAAATATGAAGTAATGTTAAAACTAAATTATACTTGAGGATTTTGTGGTAGCATGTGAAATAACTGGAAAAAGTATAATGTAACAAAATCTGGGCTGAGAATATTTGTAATACATACTCATACTAATAGAACTGCAAGAATTTGCTTTTTGCCTGTGTCAGACTTTGTTAATGACACCACAGAATCGATTGTGTTTTGAGTTTTGTGGCCAAGTCACAGCTGAGGTCCAAGCAATCAACCAGTTTATCTTCTAGGAGTCTCAAAGTTACTGAACTGGCTATTTTGGTACTTTAATATAATGTTAGCTTGCTGGTACTATGTGGAAGAGCCACTCTCTTAATATAAAATATTCACGTTCTGATGATAAATTTTCTATCAAACTTTGAGAGCATTTCTATATTTGATACTTGGAGTTGAATTATAGTCATACTTCATTTTTGTATTATCGTCATACTTTATGCTGTGGAAAACTGAGGAATTAAAAATGAGTAGCCAAGATCATTTCCCTTAATGGTGATGTGAAGAGGATAGGTGATTCTCTTTCTGAATAAAACAAGCGTAAAACTGGATGAGATTGTCCAAAATGGTCGTTTCTGGGCACTGGAAACAAAAGGCAGATAATAGATTGAGAAGCGTTATTGATACACTGAATCTTTGGGTATGAAGGATAGGGGTTGTGGCCTTCTCGCATGGGGTTTCTTCTCTCCTTGCCCACTATCTCAGTTGTCGAACTGCTGTTTTATCAGACATGATAGACTCAATTTGAAGTGTGGGTAAAGGTTGGGGTTAAGAAATCACAGCTTTGCTAGCTAAAAGTGGCATAATCAGTTAATAATGAAAAACTCACAGCTTTGCTACTTTGAGTTTGAAGTTTGCTAGTTTGAGGCCACCATCCAGAAATTTAACAAGGAGATCCTAGAAATGAGAGACCTATAGAGGGCTAACATGGCTCCCCAACCATCTGTAGCAGACAGCTAAACTTTGCATGCCCAGGGGATACTCAGTAGAGCCCAGCAAAAAGTGAAAGCCAGAAGAGACTTGAGATCTGGGTACAACTTTGAATGCTACCTTCCATGCAGACTGTTCCATCTGCAGATGTTGGAAGCCTTACTGGTGCAAGGTGGCTGGGCTTAATCTCTGCCCAAATCCACTGGCTGACCACTAAACTAAGCAGCCACTCACTCATTAGGGAAATGCAAATTAAAGCCATAACAACAACCACCAGAATGGCTAAAATTAAAAAGACTGACAATCCAAGTGTTGACAAGGATATGCGGAAACCAGAATCCTCTCAAATTGCTGGTGGGAATATAAAACAGTATGGCCATGATGGAAAACAGTTTGGCAGTTTCTTAAAAAGTTCAATATACACTTAATGTGTAACTCAGCAATTCTATTTCCAAGGTATGCTGTCAGGAAAAATGACAGCATGTGTCCAGGCAAAGTTGGTATATGATGTTCATAGTGTCACCCAGCAAGCAATCAATGGGCCTGCTTCCCAAGGCACATGGAGGCCAATACCATGGCGCTGGCTTTTGAGGAAAAATAAGCTTTATCATGACTGGACTGGCAAGGAGCCAGGAAGAAGCACCCAAATCTGCCTCCTGGAGCTGGTAGTTGGGTAGAGTTTTATAAGCATAGGGTAATAGGGTGTGATCCAATTGGATCTTGTGATGAAGTGATGCTGGGGGGTGTTTTCTGACTGGCTCCTGACATGGGGCTATGCCAGAGCTCAATCTGGTTGGATTCTGGATCCTGTTATGCCATATCCACTTTTTTTTTTTTTTTTTTTTTTTTGAGATAGAGTCTCACTCTTGTCACCCAGGCTGGAGTGCAGTGGTGCAATCTCAGCTCACTGCAACCTCCGCCTCCTGGGTTCAAGTGATTCTCCTGCCTCAGCCTCCCAAGTAGCTGGGATTACAGGCGCCTACCACCATGCCCAGTATTTGTATTTTTAGTAAAGATGGGGTTTTGCCATGTTGGCCAGGCTGGTCTCAAACTCCTGACCTCAGGTGATCTGCCCGCCTCGGCCTCCCAGAGTTCTGGGATTACAGGCATGAGCCACCACACCCGGCTTCCACTTCTTAGTTCAGTCCCCTCTCCTTGGTTGGAACATTTAGGTTGCCCCTATAGTTGCATGCTTGGTTCATCTGGACATGCTCAGCTTACATGATGTTCAACCTGGGGGCCCATGGCAACTGAAAAACAACTCACAACTTTGTTACAGAAGAGATGAACCAGATTGGTCTGACGTGGTTAAAACAGCAGCTTTAGCTGTGATTGAAAACTGGAACTAATTTATGTGTCTGTCAGCAGATGAATGGATAAGCAAATTGTGGTATATCTATAGAATGGAATAATACTCAGTAATGAAAAGGAATGGACTATTGATACATACAGTGACATGTATGCATTGCAAAATAATAACATGCTGTGTGAAAGAAGCCAGACACCTTTTCCTACAAAACAGAATACTGATTCCATTTAGGTGAAATTCTAGAAAATGCAAGCTAATCTGTAGTGACAGTAGATCAGTGCCTGCAGATCAGAGGATGGCTTGGGAGAGGAGGGAGAAAGGGATTCCAAAGGAAAGAGCACAATGAAACGTTTGGGGGTGATGTATATATTCATTATTTGATTATGTCTAATGATTTCATGGGTGTATACATATGTCAAAACTCATTGTATATTTAAATATGTGCAATTTATTGTATATCAAGAGTAACTCAGTAAAGTTATAAAAACTAAAACTATGCCCATTCAAAAAGCAAACAGATGTTCATAGTACCATTATTCACAGTAGACAAAAACTGGAAACAATCCAAATCCATCAACCGGTGAATAGATAAACAAAATTTGGTATGTCCATATCAGCCATGAAAAGGAATAAAATTCTGATTCATGCCACGGGTACATACTACAATATGGTTGAACCTCAGAAACATTATGCCAAGTGAAAGGGCTCTGTATTGTATGATACCATGATATGAAACTTTTAGAACAGGCAAAACCTTAGATCAGATCAGTACTTTGCCTGGGTGTAGGGTGGCAGCATGGAGATTGGTTTTAAACAGGCACAGCGGAACAGTTTGGGTGATGGAAATGTTCCTGGTGATAGTTGTGTATAAATTGTATGAAAACGTGTGCAATTGTGTACTTAAAATGGATAATTTTCAAGACATGCAAATTATACCTCAAGAAAGCCACTAAACGTGGGTGGCCACTCAAAATTTCAAATTCTCTTTAAGATGACCATTCAGGTCAGGCATGGTGGCTCACTCCTGTAATCCCAGCACTTTGGGAGGCCAAGGCAGGCAGAGCACGAGGTCAGGAGATCGAGACCATCTTGGCTAACACGGTGAAACCCCATCTCTACTAAAAGTACAAAACGTTAGATGGGCGTGGTGGCGGGCACGGTGGTGGGCGCCTGTAGAGGCAGGAGAGAATGGCGTGAACCCGGGAGGCAGAGCTTGCAGTGAGCCAAGATCACGCCACTGCACTCTAGCCTGGGTGACAGAGCAAGACTCCAAAAAAAAAAAAAAAAAAATTTCCATTCAAGGAATTGAACTATAGTACTGACTTCATTGTAACATACTGCTTTGGAATACTTTGGTGAGGTTCACTGAATTCATGTTCTATGCCAAATGCTTTTTGGATTCTAATTGTAAGTTAGTTATTTGTAAATTAGTTACATTGTAAAATAATTTAAATTAAATCGTAAAAAGAGTTACTTGTTTTTCCCAGAATTTAGTGACCAGGAATAGCTGTATTTCCCTTGCATATCATTTGTCAAATGATTGGTTTTATGTTAAATAGTTATTAACACCCCCCTCCCCACTGGAAAACATGTTTTTTGGATTAATATTCAATTTGTGTAAAGTAGTTCAAATTTATGGTGGTGGGTTATCCTTCAATTTTTAATTTAATTTTTTTTTTTTTGAGACAAGTTTCACTCTTGTTGCCCAGGTAAAGTGCAATGGCGCGATCTCAGCTCACCGCAGCCTCCGCCTCCCGGGTTCAAGCGATTCTCCTGTCTCAGCCTGTGGAGTAGCTGGGATTACAGGCATGCGCCACCATGCCTGGCTAACTTTGTGTTTTTAGTAGAGACAGGGTTTCTCCATGTTGGTCGGGCTGGTCTCAAACTCCCGACCTCAGGTGATTTCCCCACCTTGGCCTCCCAAAGTGCTGGGATTACAGGCGTGAGCCACCATGCCCGGCCTATTTTATTTTTTGAGACAGAGTCTCGCTCTGTTGCCCAGGCTGGATGGAGTGAAGTGGCGTGATCTCAGCCCACTACAGCCTCCGCCTCCCGGGTTCAAGCAATTCTCCTGCCTCAGCCTCCCAAGTAGCTGGGACTACAGGCATGTACCACCATGCCTGGCTTTTTTTTTTTTTTTTTTTGGATTTTTAGTAGAGATGGGGTTTCACCATGTCAGCCAGGCTCGTCTCGAACACCTGACCTCAAATGAGCTGCCCTCCTCGGCCTCCCAAAGTGCTGGGATTATAGGCGTGAGCCACCGTGCCTGGCCCTATCCTTCACCTTTTAGTTCTTTAGGAAGGAAATTGATGGTGGCTTAATACCTTTGCTTCTAGGCCTGGGTGTCCACCCACCTGACCCCAACTCCCATATATGTAGAGACATCAGGTAATCTGAGCATAAGATCCTTGCAGTGGTTGGGGAAGTGAAGCAGAGAGATGCCCTCTTGGAGCACTTCCATTTTCTGCACCAGACAGGAATCAGTTATCTCTGGGGTTAGTGACCTCACACCTTTGCCCCTGAATCCCCCCATATATAAAATAGAAGATTGAATTTTACTTACTTGGGTAAAAGTGGGCATTTTTCAGTTAGACATTTACCTAATTTTAATGAAAATACAATGACCCTAGAACATCCTGCCCATGATTCTGCCCAAGTTTATGCAAACAGAAAAAATTTATTTTGGAAAAAACCGGATCTTAAACTGAAATTCATTAAGCCATTTTTCCAAATAAAGTACCAGCTTAGTTAACCAAATTGTGCTTTTTCACTTTTTCCTTCCCTCAAAAGGAAATCCCTTATTCAACAAAAATTTGTGGAACACTCATATGTTTCAGGCACCCTGAAGATAAAGACACACCCACCTGCAAGGATAAAAGAAGCATGGCGGCGGGGTGGGGCTGGTATCCAGTCTGCTTCAAAACGGAGGAGGGGCATCCACAGAGAAGGGCTGGGGAAGGCCTTGCAGGAGGGCATGGAAGAGCCAGGTTGAGAGGGATGAATAGGACTTGGCTGTTATCCAGGTTGCAAGATGTTGGAAGGACTTTATCTAAAGCTGTGGCATTGGGATTAAAGAAGAGAGGTTGAGTCAAGAGATTCAGTGACTGGGAGTTATATGCCCTTTTGACTGGCAGGATAGGGAGAATATTGGAGAAAAAGGAGTCAAGGATTAGTTCAGCTTCTGCCGTGGCCTTCTCAGCAAGTGGTGGGGAATTCACTGAGGTGAGGAATACAAAATACTTGGAGGTTGCATCTGTTTGTTTTGCTTATTGAGTTAGGAAACCAGGAATTCACTTTGGAGGTTTGATCAGGGGAATGCAGCCTACGTTTGATTGGGCTTTAAAGCTGATCCTCTTTGCTCCATGGCCCAGCTCTGGGGGGGGACACACGTGGCACATCAGGCAGAAAGGGGCAGCTAGGGAGGTCTTGGCCAACTGTGGTTGGGCAGCATCATGGGCTGTAGTCTCACTTGTACAGGTGGAATCACTGTGGGACACTTCGGGGCATTTCCAGAGTGGAAAAATTCTTGCAGGTGAAAACCTGTCACATTGAAGAATTCAGTAGTGCTTTTGATAATTATTTTTTCTACTTGCTGTCTTGCCTTCTTCCCTCTGTATTTTTACCATTTATGGGAGTACATCTTTATATTTCTCTGGTAAAAGGAAGATGAAAAAGGTGAACTTTATAAAAGACTAACCAGTCCTTGACTTGTATAGCTCATTTAACTTTTAAAACCTGTAAAGGAGGTACTTTTCATCATATAAATTCATGATGAAGATAAATAAAATAGGTGTTTGGGAATCAGCAGGTTTTGAAATTTTATGACATGCCATTAACACAAAGCATAAATTCTTTTTCTTTTTCTTTTTTTTTTTTGAGACTGAGTCTCAGTTTGTCGTCCAGGCTGGAGTGCAGTGGCACGATCAAGGCTCACTGCAACCTCCGCCTCCTGGGTTCAAGCGATTCTCCTGCCTTAGCCTCCTGAGTAGCTGGGATTACAGGCATGCGCCACCACACTCGGCTAATTTTGGTATTTTTAGTAGAGACGGGGTTTCACATGTTGACCAGGCTGGTGTCGAACTCCTGACCTCAGGTGATCCACCCACCTTGGCCTCCCTAAGTGCTGGGATTACAGGAATGAGCCACCGCACCCGGCCGCATAAATTCTTTTATTCAGATCCATTGACATTAACATGTAAATAAGGATGACAGTTTATTATTTTGGAAATTCTAATTATTTGTCTTGTCCTTCAAAGAAGCGCTTTTGGTTACAAGTGGGTCCATAACACACAAAATAAAATTCTGTTTACGGCTGGGCGCGGTGGCTTACGCCTGTAATCCCAGCATTTTGAGAGGCCAAGGCGGGGGGATCACCTGAGGTCAGGAGTTCTAGACCAGCCTGGCCAATGTGGTGAAACCCTGTCTCTACTAAAAACACAAAAATTAGGTGGGTATGGTGGTGTGCGCCTGTAATGTCAGCTACTCGGGAGGCTGAGGCAGGAGAATAGCCTGAACCTGGGAGGCGGAGGTTGTAGTGAGCCGAGATTGCACCATTGCACTCGAGCCTGGGCAACAGAGCAAGATTCTGTTTCAAAAAAAAAAAAAACAAAAAAACCCACAAAATTACATACTTTTTGATAATATTGAAAAATAAGTATGGAAAATGATTCTTCTTAGGAAAATTTATGCCCATTATTCACTTCGCTGTTTTGTTAATGATCACGAATATATTAAACTGAAAATACAAGCTAAGCAGCTGCTTTGAAACTACATCAAAACAGTAGAAGTTTAAAATTAGATTCTTCTTATTGCATTAAATGCATCTTTCAGTAATATGTGGTCACTACACTACCTGCTTTACAGGTATTCTTGGAAATTTGGTAACAAAAAGAACAGGGTGAATAGATGTTGTAGATCATGAGGTATGGTGCAAAGTGCATGGCCTTGGGATAGGGATATCAGACATCTGAGCTGAATCTCAGTTCTCTGGTTGTTATGCCTCGAGGAAGTAAGTTGCTGGACCTCAGTTGTGCTGTTTCCTGGTCTATAAAATGAAGACAATAAAGAACCTGCTTCAGTGCGCTAAAACTCAAAGGACTTCTTGGGCTTGAGCGCTGGAGTAAACAGGCAGTTTCCCTTTGTACCACAAGAGGGAGTGCCTGTATAGATGTTAACCTGAGCTGAGGTTTGGATTTCTTTCTAAAATGTCGCTGAAAATTTAGGAATAACTGGATTACTGGGAAAACGTTAAAGAAAAAGATTTTTTGACAGTGTCAGGAGAAAGAGGAACTCGAAACACATAATGGGTTAAGAGGAAGGGATTACGTATAAAATTCCTTTAAGGTATGAAAAGCTTTGTTGACAGAGTGTTACATATTTCATTCCCAGTCAACAATCTTTTATTGTCAATGTCTGACCATGTTGATATATTTGTTTTGTTTTTCTCCTCCTTTGTAACTGTATTATAAATTTTTTATATTAAACAAATATAGAACTTAAAATTTAGTTTCTTAGTAGTAGTCCTGAATAATTAACATCAGTTGAAATTGGATTGTTTGTGCTCAGTGCCTTGGATATGTACAAAACCTGTTTGCTTCAAATTAGTGAGTTAGAAAATATTTTAATCTTTTCATCCTGCTCCCCTCCCACATACTTTTTTTTCCCCTTTTATTTTGAGCTTCTAGATCCTTTTATGTGATGTGTTGCTGTCATACATAGCTCACATTGGGTGGGAACAGAGAAGAACATTGTTTCCGTGGCCCAACCCTAGGGACATGGAACTCATTTTATTATACAGTGAAATTTTAAAATTTGAAACCAAGATCAGATCTCAACAAACAGAGCGAAATTGGCAATTGTGGAATTATCTAACAAATTTAGGGAAAAATCCAGTTGTATCTCAGTTATGTGAATGTGTCCTTCGATTTACAATTTTCAGGTAATCTCTTTATTTTGCTGGTATTTTTATTATACATAGAGCACATTGTTTTATAGAACTGTAATTATACCATAATACTTTTTGTATTGGGAAATGTTGAGAATTTAGAAAGAACAATCCTAGGCATTTCCTTTTGCTCTGTATTCTTCTGTTTAGAAGTTTTCCCTGTGGTTTGTTCCTGGCAATTAAACACTGTTCAAATTCAGAGTCAGACTGCCCTGGCTCAAATCTTGGCCCCACGATGTGTGAAACTTGACAAAGTCAAAGTTATCACTATAATTTCGGTCACTTGAAATCCAGTAATTTCTTGAGCAGAAGAAAGGGAAGTGGAATTACTGTAGAAATTATGCATAGTTTTATATTATCTGTGTAGTAGCCTGTTTAAAGTGATCATTGCTAGTGCATGGTATAGAATTACAAACTTGTAAATACTTCTCAAGATTGCCACTTTAAAAAAAAAAGCAAAAAGAGCTCTGTAGCCCTATTTTTTTTTTTATTTCCAACAGGAAATTTGTTCTTGTTTCAAAATGTGGGAACACCCATTATTCTCTGTTGGCCACATGAATGTCATCCATTTGTTTATTGCAGCAGAAAAAAAGTGAAGAATGGTTGATACAGTGGCAAGCTGTTCCTTTTAGGTTACTTTAAAAAGTCATGGAATTTCGGATATACAAAGAAAGCATAAGGAATACTCTAACCAGTATATATGTATACAGTATCCAGTATAAGAATGAAAATGTAATGTAGTTATTAAAACATTATGTGTGTGCTTCCACAAGCCTGTCCTCCTTTCTACCTTCCAGAAGTAACTTCTCTCTTGAATTTGGTGTTCGTCATTCTGGTGCATGCTTTTACAGTTTTACAAAATACACACGCATTCCCAAACATAAATAATACTGTTTCACAACATAAATTGTATTATGGTACATGTTTTAAAACACGATATACATTGTATCTGTTGCAAGTCAGGTTCCAAGGGAAATGGAACTCAGAAGATTAAGGCTGGGGGCCACCAGTGCCTCATGCCTGTAATCAGCACTGTGGGAGGCCGAGGCGGGCAGATCACTTGAGGTCAGGAGTTTCAGACCAGCATGGCCAACATAGTGGAACCTCATCTCTACTGAAATACAAAAAATTAGCCAGGTGTGGTGGTGTGCACCTGTAATCCCAGCTACTCAGGAGGCTGAGGCAGAAGAATCACTTGAACCTGGGAGGTGGAGGATGCAGTGAGCCGAGATCAAGCCACTGCACTCCAGGCTGGGTGACAAAGCAAAACTCCGTATCCAAAAAGAAAAGAAAAGAAAAGAAGATTAACATGTAGGAAGTTTGTTAAGGAGATTTTAGGATTCACACTTGTGGAATAGGAGGAAGCACAATTGGGCCAAGGGAGAAATTGGGCTGTGGTGTCCGATCACAAGATAGGCCTCAGCTGATCCCAAAGGGGATGCTGAAGGTGGGGTAGCCCTTGAGGATGGTACCACGTTGGGGTGAGGGGCCAGGCCTTGGTAGCTTCACATTGACCAGTTATGGGAAGAAGGCTACCCCTGAAGAAGGGATGAGACCTTGGTGAGGTGACTCTTTCAACTGAGGGCTGTTAACTTGCAACACCCCTAGAAACTGGGGGATAAGCTCTTCAGTCCTAAAGAGAGACCTGAGCAGCCACCTCAGTATTCACTACAGTCTATATTGTGTACATTGTCTGAGCCTGCCCTTTTTGCTGTATATTATGTTTTTGGAGTTTACTTATATTAATATCTGTAGCTCTAGTTCATTTATTTTAATTGTTTTATGGTATTCAGTTCTTCAAAATATGTCACAATTTTAAAATATATTTTCCTATTGAGAGACTTTTAAGTTTTTACAATTTTTCACTATTAAAAAATGTTGCTATATGAATTCATTTATATTTCTCCTTAGTGCACACACCAGAGTTCATCTGGGGTATACAACCAAAAAATTACCAGGTCTTAGGGTATGCACAATTTCAAACTTAATAACTAGAATGAAATTGCTCTCTGGAGTGGTTGTATCTCACCCCGTGTCCTCATAAACACTTGGTATTGTCAAGTCCTAATTCTACCAATTTGATGGGTGTGAAATAGTATCTCATTATAGTTTTATTAGAGTTTGGTTGATAACTAGTGAGTAATATCTCATTGTAGTTTTATTAGAATTTGGTTGATAACTAGGAAGATTGAGAATTTATGTGTTTATTTAGCTATTTGGGTTTCTTCTGTGAAGGACATTTTCTAATCATGTGATTTTTCTGTTGATTTCTTTTAGTGATTTGTAGGCAGTCTTTATATATTCTGCATATCAATTCTTTGTGGTCTATATGAGTAAAAATATCTTCTGGTTCGGGGCTTGATTGTTAACTTTTTAAATAATGCCATTTGTTGAATAAGAGTTTTCTTTTAATGTCATCCTTCCTTTGGGCATTGTTTCTGGGTATATTATTTTAGAAATTCTCCCTTAGGCTGAGGTCATATAAAATATCCTCTGTTTACGATTAAAAGTTTTAAAGTTTTGCTTTTCACAATTTCACCTGCTGTCCCTCTAAAATAGTTTTGTGTATAGCATGAGGTATAGTTGCCTAATTTTGTTTTTCTCATGGATGACCTGTTGTCTTAGCACCATTTAATTGCCTTTGCAACCCTTCTCCACCAATGCACAGTGCCATTCTGTCCTACAAACTTCTGTCTATGTAGATCTATGTCTTTTTGTAGGGGCGGGGGGGGGGGCGGCTATTTAGTTCCACTGGTGTATTTCTTTTTTCTTGCCCCATTTTCTTGCTTTTTTTTTTTTTTTTTTTTTTTTTTTTCTGAGATGAATTCTCACGCTGTCACATAGGCTGGAGTGCAGTGGCACAATCTCATCTCACTGCAACCTCCACCTCCCAGGTTCAAGCGATTCTTAGGCCTCAGCCTCCTGAGTAGCTTGGATTACAGAAGTGTGCACCACGTCTGGCTGATTTTTTTGTATTTTTAGTAGAGATGGGGTTTCACCATGTTGACCAGGCTGGTCTCGAACTCCTGACCCCAAGTGATCTGCCCGCACTGGCCTCCCAAAATGCTGGGATTACAGGCATGAGCCACCATCATGCTTTTAAAATAGGTCTTTATTTCTTTATTGTGTCTTAGTGTCTGGTAGTTTGTCTCCTCTTCTTGTTCTTCTTTAAAATCATCGCTACTCTTTGTGTTTTGCTTTTCCATATACATTTTAGAGTTCTGCTCCATGAAAAACCCTCCTTTGATTGAGGTCATGCATTAACTATATAGATTAGTTTGAAGAGTAATGATATTCTTATGGGATAGATATTTCCTGTGTATGTCTTCTTTAATATCTATATTTAGGTCTTTTTACTGTATACATCATTTTTATAACTTTTTAAATGTTAATAAAGATATTTCTTGGCCGGGCGCGGTGGCTCACGCCTGTAATCCCAGCACTTTGGGAGGCCGAGGCGGGCGGATCACGAGGTCAGGAGATCGAGACCATCCCGGCTAAAACGGTGAAACCCCGTCTCTACTAAAAATACAAAAAAAAAAATTAGCCGGGCGTAGTGGCGGGCGCCTGTAGTCCCAGCTACTTGGGAGGCTGAGGCAGGAGAATGGCGTGAACCCGGGAGGCGGAACTTGCAGTGAGCCGAGATCCCGCCACTGCACTCCAGCCTGGGCGACAGAGCGAGACTCCGTCTCAAAAAAAAAAAAAAAAAAAAAAAAAAAAAAAAAAAAAAAAAGATATTTCTTCATCAACAATTTAATGACTACATGACCATCCATTATTTAGCTAGTCAGTAGTTTACACCCTGTTAACATTTAAATTAACATATTTCACAATGATTGTTTCGAACTCACATATTTCCCATCATGAAATTATATGTAAATATTCACCTGTTTTATTCTAGTAGTGCTAGGAGTTGTATATAATTAAGTATTTGAGATGTATTTGAGTGTAAAATGTGAGAAAAATATCTTTTTCCCCACACAGATAGCCAGTTATTGAATACTTCATCCTTTGGTCTGACGTTGACTTTTTGGTTTTGCCATCAAGTAACCATCCACAGTGCCCGTACATAGCAGGCACTCAATAAATGTTTGAATAAATGAATTTGAGTATTTATTTTGTTTTCAGATGTTTTCTTATTTTCCGTGGACACGTCTGTCTATTCTAGTTCTACTGCCATGCTGTTTTAATTATCAGAGCTGTATAATAAATGTTTGTATGTGGTTGAACATCATTATTGTTATTGTTTTTTCGGAATTTTTCTGGGCTACTTCTGCATCACTTTTCTCTCGGATAAATGAAAATAATTTGGTCAACTTTCTTGTAAAACTATGATAATTTTGACTGATACTGTATTAATTTATTTTCCTTCCTTCCTTCCTTCCTTCCTTCCTTCCTTCCTTCCTTCCTTCCTTCCTTCTTTTCTTTCTTTTCCTTCTTTTCCTTTTTCTTCTTCTTCTTCTTTTCCTTCCTTCCTTCCTTGCTTCCTTCCTTCCTTCCTTCCTTCCTTCCTTCCTTCTTTTCCTTCTTTTCCTTCGAGATGGAGTCTTGCTCTGTCACCCACACTGGAGTGCAGCAGCCTGATCTTGGCTCACCACAACCTCTGCCTCCCGGGTCCAAGCCATTCTCCTGCCTACCCAGTAGCTAGGATTACAGGCACCCAGTACCACGCCTGGCTAATTTTTTATTTTTAGTAGAGATGGGGTTTTACCATGTTGGCCAGGCTGGTCTTGAACTTCTGACCTCAAGTGATCCACCTGCCTCCGCCTCCCAAAGTGTTTGGGATTACAGGCTTGAGCCACCATGCCTGGCCTACACTGTGTTAATTTTCTTAAAAAAACAAAAAAACAAAAAACAAAAAAACCTTAAAGGCATTTATATTTTAATTTTCTGGCCTAATGAGTGCTACATATTCATCTAGTTCATAAATTCTGGAACTTTTTGGTTAGAGCAGATAAATCCCCCAGATCTCTTTTTGGATTAAAATTCAATGTAATTAAAGAAATCCACTGCAGCAAACGCAATCCTGCCACGTGTTTATTCTGTAAGGATAAAATGTTTTTCTATATTGAACAGCACTGCACAGGCCTTGCTGCCTCCCCCTTATGAAACAGGACTCTCATGGTGCCACGTGTTCCCTGGCTGGACAGATTCCTGAAAATAGATACTAACTGCTGCTTGGTTGAAGAAATCTTTTTTGTGTGTGAGCTACTTTCTCCCGCAGATATTTAAAGGAATTCTATATCCCCACTTCTCTGACTTACCTTTTTTTTGTGGCGAGGAAACAGGACACAGAGCCTGCTGGGTATGCAAGAGAAGTCTGTATAACTGTTTCACACCTGCCTGGATGCTGGCAGTGGTATTTGCCAAGTGAAGTCTGAAGGCTGGTTTGTCATGTGTTTTCACAGAGCACTGATGGCTCCCAGCCAACCTGTTTAGGCCTTGTCTTTTTTTTCTTGCATAAAATTGCCTATTTTTCACTTCAGATGGGGGTGTTAGGCACTTCAGAGATGTTTGTTCTTGTCGCATGCATGCCATCTGTGGTCTGCTGGCATCGGAGACAGGTTCCCAAATTGGCCAGTGTGTCTGTTGGTCAGCAAGCGGGGTGACCAGGACCCACGCCTGTGCTTGCCCCTGTGGCTGCAGCCAAGGCTGAGGTGCACACCTGAAGGACCACACCTCAGTGCTGTTGGCCTAGTTTTTAAAAATTTAAATAAACTCTTTATTTTGGAATAATTATACATTTGAAGACAAGTTCAAAGATAGTACAGAGTTTCCATATGCCCCTCACTCAGTGATTCCTGTTGCTGACTCTTACATTATTATGTTACATTTGTCACAATTAAGGAAGAAACATTGGTACTTTACTGTTAACTAAAATCCACATTTTATTCAGAGCTCACCCGTTTTTCCGAATGTCCTTTTTCCGTTCTGCACTCAGGATATCACAGCACATTTAGCCACCATGTCTCCTTAAAGTCCTCCAGTCTATGATCGTTTCTGAGATGTTTGTTTTTGATAGCCTCGTCAGTTTTGAGGAATACTGGGCAGGTATTTTGCAGAATGTGCCTTAGTTTGGATTTTTTTCATGTTTTTCTGATTATTAGACTGGGATGTGGGTTTTTGGGAGGACAATCACAGAGGTGAAGGGATATCCTTATCACATCCGTGTGAAAAGAGAACGCCATCAACGTGACTTACCACTGCTGATGCTCACCTTGACCATGGAAATTTGTTTCCCCTTTCCAATACTCTGCTCTGTGGAAGCAAGTCACCAAGCACTGCATAGTCCCAAGTTAAAAGTTTTGTTACTTGTCTTATCTGTTGGTACCCAGTTATATTTGAAGCCATACCTAATATTTTTTGACGCTGAATATAGAGTTTGTGTTTAGAGCCTTAAGAATGAATAAAAATTTATTCTAAACTTAAGAAGTATTGGAAGTAGTTAGTAGCTATGTTGAATCTTTCTTCCACTCCTCATACATTTGGTTTATTGTTGTTTTTTTTTTTTTTTGAGATAGAGTCTCTCTGTCACCCAGGCTGGAGTGCAGTGGCATGATCTCAGCCCACTGCAACCTCCGCCTCCCGGGTTCAAGCCATTCTCCTGCCTCAGCCTCCCAAGTAGCTGGGATTACAAGTGTGTGCCACCACGCCTGGCTAATTTTTGTAATTTTAGTAGAGATGGGGTTGCACCATGTTGGCCAGGCTGGTCTCAAACTGCTGACCTCAAGTGATCTGCCCGCCTCAGCTTCCCAGAGTGCTGGGAATACAGGCGTTAGCTACCGCACCCTGCCTGGTTTTACTTTTAAAATCTTCATGCTCTGTAAAATACATCATCCTTCTACTGCATCAGCTACTCCGTTCTGCTCATTCGCCTACACAGATTGTACTTCCTTCTTCTGGCATAAGAATGCCTCCTTTTTCTTCTACTGCCAGGGAATAAAGTTTAGTATATGAATGTTTTATCCACACTGCAGCTTACCTAATAAATACCAAAATATGTTTATTCTGATAAATCTGATGTTTTTATGTATAAATTAAACATTTATGACTTTGAATGCTCTCTGACATCATGAATAGTTGGTTGGTTGGTTGTTTTTTTGAGATGGTGTCTCGCTCTGTCACCCAGGCTGGAATGCAATGGCATGATTTCGGCTCACTGCAACCTCTGCCTCCTGGGTTCAAGCAATTCTCCTGCCTCAGCCCCCTGAGTAGCTGGGACTACAGGCACGTGCCACCATGCCTGGCTAATTTTTGTATTTTTAGTAGAGATGGGGTTTCAGCATATTGGCCAGACTGGTCTCAAAATCCTGACCTTGTGATCCATCCTCCTTGGCCTCCCAAAGTGCTGGGATTACAGGTGTGAACCACCACGCCCGGCCCCTAACATCATGAGTAGTTTGATCTTCCACACACTTCTGCTTGTAGAGTAGTTGAACCTCAGGAGTTCAGATTTCAGATAGCTTGTTGTTTTCATGTTTGTGAGGGTGAAATTCTTAATGAATTTGATCATTTTTGTCTGATTTTCCTTTCCACTCAGATAACTTTCTTTACATTTTCACTTCAAATCCATTTGCTAAAATATGGATTAAAGAAGAATATGTTACTGTTTTAGATATAATAGGAATGTTCTTGAAGAGATGTATATAAATGTTGTATTTGTTCATTGAATCATCATGTCACATGTTTTAGGAAACTTACTGTTTCAAAAAACCTTGTGATACATTTTGTGATGATTTATATGACCAATTTTCAAACCCACATTTGCAGACATTTTATTTCATCCTCAGTTGCAGGCATTCCATTAAGGTGGACTGATTAAAGTGTCTTTTCAGAACATTAGAACTTCGTGTTTCCTCTTCATGGGGTTACTGTCAACTTATTTAAGAAGAACAGTAGAACTTCGTGTTCCCTCTTCTTGGTGTTACTGTTAACTTATTTTAAAAAGTTTGAGTATGTTACAGTATTTTGTCTTTAAGCCAGTCTTGGGATCTAGCACCAAGGGAAAAAGTTCAAAAAATGCATTTTAACAAGTCTTCTCACTTCATGGTCACTTGGTATGACGACTCAAAACAAGAATAATGTTCTTAATCAACCACAGGGGAAATCCTTTCTTCGGCCCTTCAATTCTACTTTTAGTCAGTCAAACAATTCTTAATTTCATGCGGGGGATTCCCACACGTTCTGTAAGTTTCTTTTAAAGTTTTCAGATATGTGTAGAATGTAGGATATGATTGCATTCGTCTCATATCTCAGTGGTGTGAGGTCTGTTGAGTGTGCCGCTACTTTGTTTTAATATTACTCATTCTTTTTTCTAAGTATGGATGTATAAGAATGAGCATGATAAAATGAAATCTAAAAATTAATTGATTTGTTCTCAGGTTAAAGGCCTATTAAATATAAGATCTTTGGATATATTCTGAGTCTTTTTATTTTTTATGCAGCAAGTAAAGAAAATTTTACAGAGCTTTGGACACAAGGCTCCTCCTTACCTGCCTTTTACTGAACTCACCATGTCTTCCCTGGTTAGCTGTAGGCTCTCCCGTGCTCCAGGCTCAGCAGTCAGGGTGTATTTTTATTGCTCAGATCTGACAAGTATGCTTCCTGCAGTTACTGTTGAGGCCAGTTTCTAAGGCTTTGAAATGACCTTCAAAAAGATGATAAATGTTGAGTCCCTTTTGGAAAAATATACTGAGATAAAGAACTGTGATAAATCAAATTATAAGGTAGATCATCTTGTAATTAGCACACTATAGGAAAGTTAGTTATGCCAGGCGTGGTGGCTCACGCCTATAATCCCAGCACTTTGGGAGGCCGAGGTGGGCGGATCACTTGAGAGGTCAGGAGTTCGAGACCAGCCTGACCAACATGGAGAAACCCCATCTCTACTAAAAATACAAAAAAAAATTAGCCAGGTGTGGTGGCACGTGCCTGTAATCCCAGCTACTTGGGAGGCTGAGGCAGGAGAATCTCTTGAACCCGGGAGGCGGAGGTTGCGGTGAGCTGAGATTGCGCCACTGCACTCCAGCCTGGGCAACAAGAGCAAAACTCAGTCTCAAAAAAAAAAAAAAAAAAAAAAGGAAGTTAGTTAAAGAACATCTGTGGGGACCACCTATGTTGTTCTGGGACTTTCTAGTGTTAGTGTAGGAGAATATCATGGTTTCTGTGGGGACAGGGGGTTCCCATTTCAGTGTGTTCCATCACCCTCCTCTATCCCTCTAAGAACATGGGAAAAGCCTCAGTGGTAGACAGGAACCTGCCATCAGTCCTTCCACTCTGAAGCACCCTTGCAGATGTACCAGATGGAAGTTGTCTTAAATGAGAAGAAAACTACTAAGTCCCTGGGCATTCCCTTTGTCCTCCAGCACCAGGTCCAGTCCTCAGGGAAAGTTTGTTCTTATTGAGAGTATTCCCAGAGATCTGAAAGGCCAGGGGGAAATTGCAGTGGAACAGACTGTCTTTCTCTTAAGGCATTTAAAAGTCATCCAGGGCTGGTTGAGGTAGCTCCCATCTGTAATCCCAGCACATTGAGAGACTGAGGCAGAAAGATCACTTGAGCTCAGGAGTTTGAGACCAGCCTAGGCAACAGATTGAAACACTGCCTCTATGACAAAAGAAATTGGCTGAGTGTGGTGGTGCACACCTGTAGTCCCAGCTACTTAGGAGGCCGAGGCAAGAGAATTGCTTGAGCCTCAGAGGTCAACAGAGCAAGATTCTTGTCTCAAAAAAATAAAAATAAAAAATAAAAGTCCTCCCACTCTCATGCAAAAGCCAACAAACCACAATAATAAAAAAGAATTTTTCCTGAATATTCCTGGTTCACTCTCAGGCCCTGACATCCCCGGAACTTACCTAACATGATATTTTCATAAAACAACTAAATTTTTATGTTCTTGTGCCAAGAAGATTCAGATCTATAAGGCTGCTTTAAAGGTGTTATCTGTCTTTTCATTTTGCTTCGCCTCTAAAAGATTTCTGTATTTTTCCTCTGGTTTAAACATTTTAGGAAATTTTATATTTAAACATTTCTTCCTCTCAGACGGGCGGGCTTGTCCATGCTTTTCAGCGGGTTGAGTCACTCCAGGACTACCCGCTCTGCGCCAGGTCCTCAGGAGAGTGCTGCCGGGGCTGCCTGGCAGACTAGTTCCACCTCGGTCCGCAGGGAGGCTGCATTTTAGGGTTGGTTACTAGACTGCACAGTGATGACCCCTTTCAGTACATTTTCCCCAGCTTTGTCTCCCTCCTTAACACTAAGATGTAGAAACAACAGCCTTAACATCAGGTTATCCCATCTGATTTTTGGCTTGGTGCAAACACAGAGCACCTAAAGGTGAATTACACAAGGAAATGGAACACCTTCGCCTGGAAGGTTGACTCCTGCACTTGGCTGTTGGCATTTCATGCATTCAACAAACATTTAGGATGTGCTCATTTTGAGCCAGGCTCTGTGATAGGGTGGGGAATACAGAAATAAAAAGGCCCTGTGCTGTCCTCAGTGAGCTTCCACTCTGGTGAGATAAATGCAGTGCAGTACAGTAACAGCTCTGATACTGAAGCATCTGGAAGGACTTGGGTCCAGCCTCTTGGCAAGTTCTCCTGGAGGAACTAACATTTGACCTATGATTGACATGGACTTTGGAGATGAATAGAGGTTAACCAGAGAAGATGGGAGTTGCCATTGGGGGGTTGGGGCAGAGAGTGAGGGAAAGTGTCAGCCCTGGTGGGTGCTACCTGGAGGAGGTTGCTGAGTATTGGAAGGCCCAAGGAGGCCAGAGACCAAAAAGTGTCCTGGGGACTGCAGGGTAAAAGGACCTGCTTTAGGTTAGGTAGCATTTGTTAAAACTTTTCGGACAGTTTAATTTTGAGCATGTGCCAACAGTTTGTTTTAGCTTTGCAATGCAAGGAGAGAGTCCTGCAGTAGGCACATTCAATGATTCGCTCTTGGTAGGGACATTAAGGGAAGAAAGTGATTAAATATCATCATTGAAACGAATGTCTGGTTAAAAACCTCTACACTCTGATAGTTGACAGTCAGCCGGGTAGATGGTAATGAGTTGCCCAGAGCAAGTCTTAATTTCCTTAAAGTTCATTTAGGAAATTGCATTAGAAAAAAAGCAAGCTTTTTTTTTTTTTTTTCCCTGGAATGCTGTTCATTTCTTCCTAGTAGGATACTGTGAATTTTCTAGCAGACCACTTGGTTCTATTCCAGACCAGGTACGGAACAGTTTTTCTTTGACAATTTTGAGATTACAGTGGAATGCAATCAAGTTTTTCAAGGACCTACCTGGTGAAGAGCTTTCTAAACTAAGCTGAGAGGAACTTGGGTTTTCATCCTGAGGGCAGTGTGGAAGCCAGGGAGGGAATTCATTTAAGTGGAGGAAAATCTCGACCATCCTTGTAGGGAGTGGATTAGCTGCAGTGTGAGGTTGGAGCAGTGGGAATAGTAGTTGGCAGAAAAGTTTAGTTATCCTGGGGAGAAATGATGAGGGCTTTGAGTTTTTTTGTTTTTTGTTTTTTGTCTTTTTTTTGAGATGGAGTCTTGCTCTGTTGCCTAGGCTTGATTGAGTGCAGTGGCACAATCTCGGCTCACTGCAACCTCCGCCTCCTGGGTTCAAGCAATTCTCCTGCCTCAGCCTCCCAAATAGCTGGGATTACAGGCGCATCCCACCATGCCCAGCTAATTTTTGTATTTTTAGTAGAGACAGTATTTCACCATGTTAGCCAGGCTGGTCTCAAAGTCCTGACCTCAAGTGATCCACCTGCCTTGGCCTCTCAAAGTGCTGGGAATACAGGCAAGAGCCACACCGTGCCCAGCCTGAGAGCCTTGAGTTCTGATCTGTCTTTTCCTCTCCTACTCAAACTCCTCTACCCCGAGGCAGAAGCATAGCTGGGGGGATGGAGGTGGAAATTGGTTGTTGCTTTTCCTCCAGAAGAGTTGGTTCAAAATTTTTAAATTTAAAGTAAATGATGGTAAGATCATGATGCAAGGATGTTAGAGGAAGCAGCCAGACTTTGAGATCAGGGCTGAGAGAAAGTAGTCAAAGGCCTTCTGCTGAGTGTACTCTGCCTCCAGCCACTGAGCCCACTTGCCCCATCTCTGTCTTTCCCGGGCCTGCTCACGTCTCTAGCCTCAGGCACTGCTTCAGAACCACAGTACCATCTGGCCTGGGTGTTCTGGCTGTTCTCAGTATTTCTGCTCTCATTTGCTGGAATTATGCAACACTCGGTCCTTCCTCCGAGGGCCGCCAGATGAGCCTACTTCAGTGCATCTGCTGTGGTTAAAACAGAATCTTCTGAGATGCGTTTATGCTAAGTTGCATACATATTTGTGTATGGTGATCAGCCCTGTTTACTTGGCATACAGCAAAATAGATCTATGTTTTCTTGCCACTGTTCAGTGATGATGTCATGTCATTCTGGGCAGAGGTAGAGCCAGATTGTAAGAAAGGACAGGGAACCAGAGCTGGGGGCGGAGCTGGGGGCGGAGCTAGGGGT
Organism: Homo sapiens; assembly: GCF_000001405.40. Taxonomy (NCBI): domain Eukaryota; kingdom Metazoa; phylum Chordata; class Mammalia; order Primates; family Hominidae; genus Homo; species Homo sapiens. The sequence continues at coordinate 131,027,329 of NC_000007.14, read as the reverse complement.
GATTTCTGCAGTGATTGGGGGGTTGCACCCCCTCTGACATTATTTTGCTTTGGTGTCTCCATGGTCTGCTTTCCCAGGTTCTTCTCTATTGTCTTTCATTATAATGTTTAATCACTACCATGTTAACATACTGCCATAAAATAACACTCCACAATTACCTGGTAACAGATAGTATGGGTATATTTGAAGACATGCATTTCTCTTCTGAATTTGCTGTGAGTAGGGACTTGGCCTTTTTAACTTTTATTTCCCTAAGAAACCTGTATTCAGAATAAATAATTATTCACCTCTTATGTTTTTTTTCGCATGTCATCCAGGTTGCAAAAATATCTGGCTTTAATAATTCCGGAGGACTTAGTTTTTGGGGAGCAAAGGTAGTGAGTCAAACCTGCAAGCTTAGAAAGGAGAATTCATTTGAGTTTCATCATTCGGTCTGGAGGTTTCCTAGGCAACCACTTATGTAGTAATTAAAAGATGAGGAACTAAAAAGGTATGTGCTCGGCAATTTTAATCCTCAAATGCAATCCTTGTCAGATTGAGATCACAGAAACAACAACTTAAAATAAGTAAATTAAAAAGGCCAACATTTAATTAAAGGACACACACTGTTATTAAGGGGGGTGTGTGTGTGCGTGTGTGTGTGTATGTGTGTGTGTTGCTTTATCTTTTTAATGCTCTGTCTTGGAAGGGAATGTTCATATATATATGTATATATTTTATACTCACCTATTTGGGAAAGCAGAAGTGAGGTTATCGCTTCAAGTGACTGCTTTAGCAGTGAGGTTGGTTATTATTGGTTCACGTGTTTGTATCTGAATGTGTTACCATCAGTAGAATCTCCAGCATGTGGAGAAGAGAGCTTATTAGTCATGTTTCTTTTTTCAGTGTTCATGGGGGAGTTTATCCAGATGTTTTACTTGTTTCAGTCTACCTTAGATTGTGCTGAAATGTCCTCTTCTGTGGCTCAGGAGAAAGCGTAGAAAGGCCATTCATGAATAGAAATGAGAGACCCTTTTAGCAAGTAGAAACAACCTCAGTTTGCTAAAGGTTTTCCTCTTAACTCTTCACACTCACCCTTTTTATATAGGTTTCTACTCAGGTGACCTGAAGGATATGAGAAACATTTTTCTTCCTCTGTGAAACACTACCACTCCCAGACTTTAACACAGACTTTTCATTAAATTCCATTTTAACATTTTAATGAAAAAGGTGGCTTTTTTTTTTTCATGTGCCAGTGAAAGAGGAAAGTTCTGCTAGTTATGTGAGACTCACTTTCTTTTTTTTTGAGATGGAGATTCGCTCTTATTGCCCAGGCTGGAGTGCAGTGGCGCCATCTCAGCTCGCTGCAACCTCTGCTTCCTGGGTTCAAGCGATTCTCCTTCCTAAGCCTCCCGAGTAGCTGGGATTATAGGCACGCGTCACCACGCCCGGCTAATTTTGTACTTTTAGTAGAGACAGGGTTTCTCCACGTTAGTCAGGCTGGTCTCGAACTCCTGAACTCAGGTGATCCGCCCGCCTTGGCCTCCCAAAGTGCTGGGATTACAGGCGTGAGCCACCATGCCCAGCCCTCATTTTCAACAGTTTTAGAAATAATTACTATCTGAAAAGAACCAGAATGACAGAATCTTAGCACTGGTAGTTTTACATAGGGTGGTGTTATGGTCCTAGATAGGTGTCCTGTAGAAATGTTAAACACGGGTGAGATGTGGGAAGTGGCTGTTTTCTACTGGAGATGGAGAGGAGCCACCTCCCCACGCTGAGCATCTGTGGGCATCATGAACATTTGGAACTTAAGCCACAATCATTTGAATTTTTTTGGATGCCCCAGTTGTTTTCCTTCTGTCACCAACAACTTTGGGACTTCCCTACTGCAGAATTGTCGCATATTAAGTAGGAGACCTCAGTTGTTATGGAGTTTTTCTCCTCCCTAGATACCTAGATCTGTGAAAGAAATCCACATAGCAAACGCTTGTCTAGAGCTACATCTCTGGACATTTTTTTTCCTTTTTCTGTAGCAATAGTGAAAAATTTCTTATTCTTACAGTCCAAATATATGTAAGTGTACTTAATTCTTAAGAAGTTTATTTTGACACTGACATTTTAGTGGTATTGATGATACAGTTCTACCTTTAATTTTATTTGTTTTTTTTTTTAATCATTAGAGATGGGGTCTCACTGTGTTGCCGTGGCTGGTCTTGAACTCTTGGGCTCAAACAGTCCTCTTGCCTCAACCCCCAAGGTGCTGCACCCTTAATTTTAACTTGTTTCATTTAAGTTACATATTTGAAATGTCAGACTGTACTTTATGAACTGCCTTAAATTACTTTTCAAACAAGATGGGTTATAAATAAGGTGATGCTTTGGCCTATTATTTTTAATATCTACATTTTTACTTTTTTGTGAGATAAAAACTAATGGGGCTGGGCACAGTGGCTCACACCTATAATCCTAGCACTTTGGGAGACCCAGAGAGGCGGATTGCTTGAGCCTAGGAATTCAAGACCAGCCTGGGCAACATGGTAAAACCTTGTATCTACAAAAAAAATACAAAAATTAGCTGGGCTTGGTGGTACCCACCTGTAGTCCCAGCTACAGGGACAGCTGAGATGGGAGGATTGATTGAGTCCAGGATGTTGAGGCTGCAGTGGGCACCACTGCACTTCAGCCTGGATGACAGAGAGAGAACCTGTCTCAGAAAAAAAAAAAAAAAAAACTGATCAATTGATGCATGCATTTATTCACTATACTAGGCACTGCGGATACAGAGATTAAGACCTAGTCCCCATTTTAAAGGTGCAGACAAATCTGAAAGGAGAGACGTGCAAATGCATATCATGATACTAATAGCAAAAACTTCAGTAGCACTTACTATATGGAAGGTGCTGTTCTAACTACTTTCTGGGCATTAGCTCATGAGTGGATAAATAGCCTGATGAAGTTCTTACTGTTATTTTCTCCATTTTATACATAAGTAAGTTGAGACCCAGAGAGATTAAGTGCTTGCCCAAGGTTACAAAGTTTGCTATGGTTGACATTTGAGTGTATTAAGTGCAATAACAGAGCTATCCATAGAGTGCTATGGCAGAACAGGGGAGCATTCAGTTGGGAAAATGGAAAACAGAGGTGTGGATATCAATTAAATTTTCCCAAAGGAGACAAGATGATTCAGAGGAGCAGAAGAGCTAAACTTCCCCATGAAATACCTCTAGTAACATAAAACGATGCATCATATATGAGACTGTAAGTTAAATGAGTGACAAAATATTGGAAGACCAGGAGACAGTAAAAATATACCAGATCCCTGCATCTCCAGTACAAATGACAAGGAAATAGATTTCTAATTTTGAGGCAAAACTTTGTTTCCAGTTGGTATAAGATATAATAAACACTTGGCATTAAAAAATTAATAAAAATTACTTATACCCTGTAAGCTTGTGGGTAAATGTGTGATCCTTTTTGAAAGCCTTAAGATAGATTTTCCATTCATTGAAGATTTTACTTGGAAAACCTGTAGAAATAGTATTTATTTGGTATAAAGGCAGGGGAAAGATTGATGTGCATCTTCCAGATTAAAAATTGGCAGGAATGACCTGATCAGGTAGATTAGTTTTAACATTACAGAGATGTAACTGTTCAGAAGGTGGGATTGGTGGCACGCATTCTTGTCATGGCTGTCCTGGATCATTGCTTTTCCCCCCTCGTGTGATAACCCTCCTCTTTGGAGCATCAGCCATGGGTAAGACACATCCTTTTGTCCACCTTGTAACTGTGCTCTGCTGACTTTCCCATCACTCCTACTCATCATTAATGACTGGCTCATTGCTTGCCACCCTGCTTCAGCTTCATTAGACAACCCATCTGTTTCTGTGACTGCTTGGGTTTTGGGTTTGTATTAGTCTGCTGCTAATAAAGACATACCCAAGACTGGATAATTTATAAAGAAAAGGGGTTTAATTGACTCACAGTTCTGCATGGCTGGGGAGGCCTCAGGAACCTTACAGTTATGGTGGAAGGCTCCTCTTCACAGGGCGGCAGGAGAGAGAATGAGTGCTGAGCAAAGGGGGAAGCCCCTTATAAAACCATCAGATCTCGTGGGAACTCACCATCATGAGAACAGCCTGGGGGAAACTGTCCCCATGATTCAGTTACCTCCACCTGGCCCCACCCTTGACACGTGGGGATTAGTAAAATTCAAGGTGAGATTTGCGTGGAGACATAGAACAAAACCGTATCGGGCTCCTCATCACCAGTGATCTTCTCAGCTGCTCTCAAACCCTCCAGTCTTTAGACCTTGTCTACTTACAGCTCAGATCAGCAAGTCAGAAATTTGAGGCCAGGTACAGTGGTTCACACCTGTAATCCCAACACTTTGGGAGACTGAGGCGGGAAGATCACTTGAGGCCAGGAGTTAGAGACCAGCCCGGGCAACATAGTGAGACTCTGCCGCTACAAAAAATTTTTAAAAATTAACCAGGCTGGCTGGGCACGGTGGCTCACACCTGTAATCCCAGCACTTTGGGAGGCTGAGGTGGGCAGATCATGAGGTCAGGAGTTCGAGACCAGCCTGGCCAGCATGGTGAAACACTGTCTCTACTAAAAATACAGAAAATTAGCTGGGCATGGTGACATGCACCTGTAATCCCAGCTACTCGGGAGGCTGAGGCAGGAGAATCGCTTGAACCCAGGAGGCGGAGGTTGCAGTGAGCCGAGATCATGCCACTGCACTCCATCGTGGGCGATAGAGCAAGACTCTGTCTCAAAAATAAATTAATAAATAAATAAATAATAATAAAAATAACCAGGCCTGGTGGCAAATGCCTGTAGTTCTAACTACTCAAGAGGCTGAGGCAGGAGGATTACTTACCCAAGGAGTTAGAGGCTACAGTGAGCTATGATGATGCCACCACACTCTAGCCTGGGTGACAGGATGAGGCTGTCTCTAAAAATAAATTAATAAATAAAAGAAATTCCCTATTCGCCCACTTCTTCGTGCCCATCCACCTTGCCACAAAAATTTATTCCCCACCTGTACCTACATTAAGACCTGTAGTCTGCTGTTTCCTTTACTTGGTGCCTTATCCATCAGTTTCTTCCCACTTTTATTTCCCTTCTTTTTTTTGAGACAGGATCTCACTCTGTCTCACAGGCAAGAGTCTATAGCCTTGACCTTTCAAGCTAAGCGATCCTCCCACTTCAGTCTCCTGGGTAGCTGGGATTACAGACACGTGCCACCATGCCCGGCTAATTTTTTTTTTCTTGGTATTTCCTGTAGAGGCAGGGTTTTGCTGTGTTGCCCAAGCTGCTCCTGAACCGCTGGGCTCAAGTGATCTGTCTGCCTCGGCCTCCCGAAGTGCTGGGATTACAGCCGTGAGCTACTGCACCCGGCCTATTTTCTTTCTTATACAACCTAGAATCCAGGGTCTGGACTGTAAATCACTCTCTAGACAAAGCCCCCCATTTCCTGATCATTTGATTCTTTTGCTCATACCTGGGCTGCCAAGCACTGTGGGAGAAAATCATACACCTGGGCAGATTGGTACCGGTGCATGTCAATTTCAGGCAATCACTTTGGCACTATGCAGTAATTGTATATGTTACTCTGGTTAGCTGTCACTCTTAGGTTTCATAGTGACTGTTACAAGCCAAGCCCACTCTCTTCAGACTTGTTCCTGCTTCTCTTCCCCGCTTCCTCTTCACAGATGATCCAATTTTCCACTTCATAGAGCCTAGCGAGGCTGTCACACAGGAGATACCGCACCTCCTTGCCACCGCACTTCAAAACTTAAAATATCCCCCTCTGCCCTCATCCTCACTCAGCAGCCTGTTTCTTCTCTCCTTTGCATGCAGACTTGGTGAAGGGTTTCTGCAGGTCATCTTCTTCCTTGCCTTCCCATGCACTGCACTCCTGCAGTAGGTCCCTCCATCCCACCTGCCACTGGGTCCCTGCCTGGTCCTTGGCCTCCAAACCTGACAACCCCCTGGTTTTTATGTCTCTCTCCCTGCCCTTTCTTTTAGTTGTCTTTGTTGATTTCATCTCTGTCAAATTGACTTCTGTCAACAGGCACGCACAGATGTCTGTTTTCTCTTTTAACTATAGCAAAACAATTTTGGGCTTCTGTTCTCTTCCTTCTGCTGGAGGATCGGAGTCTGTTGCAGAGTGAGCGGCACCTGGCTCTTTTGTGCTGCATGAATTCGGGCACTTGCATGGGCCCTAGGACTTCTCACTATCATCTTAGCTGAATGCTGTGCCAGGCCATATACAGTAACCGCGTCTCTTAGCTGCTGAGCAGTTCTACACGCTGCAGAAATAGTACCCTAGAGTTTATTCTGCACACATGGATGGGGGGATGTTTGACTGGCATCTTTCAGATTAGAAATGGGCAGGAATTTCCCTGATAGACTGGTTTCACCATTACAGTATTCTGAAAGTGTGGTCCTCTGCAAGGCTCAGCAGTGCCTATGAGAATTATCAAGGTGCACTGAAGTGGCAGTTTTGGCCCCCTCTTTTTTTTTTTTTTTTTTTTTTGAGATAAGGTCTTGCTCGGTCACCCAGGCTAGAGTGCAGTGGTGCAGATCATAGTCCCCTGAAGCCTTGACCTCCTGGGCTCAAATGATCTTCCTGCCTCAGCCTCCTGAGTAGCTGGGACTACAGGTGCATGACACCACACCTGCCTATTTTTGAAATTTTTTTGTAGAGACAGGGTCTCGCTAAGTTGCCCAGGCTTGTCTGGAGCTCCTGTTGGCCTCTCCCTCTGCCAAGCCTCAGATCTGTTCTATTTAATGCCTCTGCATCACTGATTCTCTTCTTCACTGTGGAAGGGTTGCTGCCCACTTCCCTCCTGCTCCTTCAAAGCCTACCTCTACTCATCTTGTTACTCCTCTCGTTTTCTTTCCTCTTGTCTTATCTCTTCAGTTGACTTTCACGTCAAAATCTGAACATTTAGTAGGCATAATTCATTGATTTATGTTCCCGAGCTGGGCATTTGGGGATGGAAAGATTATGAGAATGACACAGCACTGCCCTTCAGGTGATCCTAAGAGAGAAACATCTCAATGTAGAATTCCAGTAGAATATAGTAAAGACTGCTACAGTCTATGCTGAGCATTTTATTTACATAATTTTATATAATCTCTATTTTTTATTTTTTTGATACGGAGTCTTGCTCAGGCTGGAGTGCAGTGGTATGATCTCAGCTCACTGCAATCTCTGCTTCTTGGGTTCAAGCAATTCTCCTGCCTCAGCCTCCTGAGTAGCTGGGACTACCGGCACCCACCACCACACCTGGCTAATTTTTGTATTTTTCCTAGGGATGGGGTTTCCCCATATTGGCCAGGCTGGTCTTGAACTTCTGACCTCAGGTGATCCGCCTGCCTCAGCTTCCCAAAGTATTGGGATTACAGGTGTGAGCCACTCTGTACCTGACCAGATAATCTTTAAAAATCTCCTCAAGACTGCCGGGGCTATCCTCATTTTACAGAGGAGGAAACCGAGGCTATGAGAAGTGAAGTCGTTTGCTCAAGGTCACTTAAACAGCAAGTCACAGAGTGGGAAATACAGTCTAGGTCTGGTGAGGCTGCAAAGCTCATGCTCTTAACTCCTGTTAGTACAAGTACAGTTTTCTGCTCTCCCACATCACCTTTTTCAAAGGGCTGATTAGATAAACAGTAGAATTCAAGTCCTAAGAATAGACTATTTACATATTGAATATTAGCTTTAAGTTTATAGTGAGGTGTTGGAGAAGTAACTAGCTAAAAGTCATTTGTGTAGTGCTGGGTTTTTTCTCCATTGGTTACGGTATGATTACTAGTAATGCAGCATCCTTAGTCTGCCTGAAAATTATACTAGCCTCATTTATTTTGTAATGCATTTGTTATAACTATGTTTCTCATTGGTAATACATTTCTAGCAAAATATTGTATTTGCCTACTGCTACCTTAAAAGCTAACTTCAAACTTAAGTCTTAAAATATTTCACAGCTTTGAAATTTTAAGTGACTTACAGCCGAAGGAGGAAAAAAGGGTTATCTATCGTGGAAGGTATGTAGGAACCACTTTATAGATCGCTAAAGATAATTTAGTCCGATTTAATCTATTACACTTATCAGGAAACTAGCACCTCTGCATCCTTCTGGGGAACCTAAAATGCTTATATCCAGGGCCTGGCACTAGTGATGTGAACCTGGATTCAGTTCTTTTTGGAGCGCTTCCATGTTATATGTTCTGACCGTCATAGTACTGTCTCCCAGTTTGACTGCTTTTGCTTCTGTTGTTTTACTCCAGACAAGGAATTCACAGTAGATGGTTCTGAGGGATGGTTCTATGAGAATTATTTATTAATTGATCTAATAAGTATGTATTGAGCACTCCTACCAACCAGGCCTGGCTCTGAGTGCTAGGGATGTGGTGGGGCACAGAACAGCATTGCTGCCTGTTTGAGCTTTTGCCCTAGTGGGTAGGGGGCACCCAGTAAACATGGGGTGCCATGTCAGGTTGTGATAAATGCTGTGAAGAGGTGCAAAGCCAAGTAGAGGGATAGAGAGTCACGTTTCGCTAAGTCTCCAGGCCTCTCCGAGCAGGTGACAGTTAGAGGAAGAGCGTTCCAGGCAGGGGGAATCACACCCTGGGGTGAGAGAGTGCTGGGCAGGTCAAAGGAGCACCTCTGTCAGCCCTCGTGTCACTGGAGCAGAGTGGGCAACAAAGGACAGAGCATTTGGAAATGGAATTGGAAAGGTACCCAGGGGTCAGTCCATGCAAGCCTGATGGGCTGTGATGGGCAGTTTAGATTTGACTCCCAGTGGCCTGAGAGGCCCTTCCTGGACAGGGGAAAGGTGTGTTAGGACTTTTAATTGTAAAGGGTTACTGGATGCTATGGGGGCAGCGGGAGTGTGCTGGGGACAAGAGTGGAAGTGTGGTGTGGCCCAAGTGAGCGGGGTGGTCCAGGTGGGTAGGTGGTGGCTGAGACAGGGTTAGTAGCATTGGGAGTTGGAAGAAAGGGTTAGATTGGGGATGTTGAAGATAAAGCTGGTATAATTTGTTGATAGCTCGGTTGTAGGGTATGAGAGAAAGAAGAACCAAGGATAATTCCAAGACTTTTAGACTGAACAACTAGGTAAAGGGAAGTGCTATCTACTGAAATGGGGAAAGTGAGGGATGTGCAAGGTGAATAGGAGGAGATGTTGGCAGGTGTTCCATGAAAAAAGGATTTCGTAGTCAAATTTATTTTGGAAACATGGTTCTAGAGCATGACCAGGGGCTGGAGTAGAGGTGGCAGAGGTGGCAGAGAGAGGGCTGAAGAAACCCATTTGTCTTTATCCCCCTACTTTCACCTCCTTACTACTAATATTCCTACCAGGGGTTGCTGTATGAGGGTGTAATAAGGGAGAACAATCAGCTAATTCCACTATTTCAGCCATTTGTCAGTTTAGTCAAACAATGGGTTGGTGATATTAATTGACCATAATCATAATGATTGCACCCATTGTCCAGATAGGTCCAGCCACTGTGTTTGATTGAAGCAGAGCAATCAAGTTTCCAGTCAAAGTCTCTTGAGGAATTTTTTCACCACTGCAGACAAGGAGCATAGCATTAACCCACAATGTTGAATTCCAGTAGGATGCTGAGTGAAAGTTCCTTGTGGGGAATATGGTAGGAAATAGCAGAACAAGATGAAAAAATATTCACAGAGAAAAACTCCAGAGCAACAGCTGGATCTGTGGCTGTGTTGGAAACATAAAGTGTTGGAGAGGTTAGGCGAGTTCCCTCATGGTCCCTAGGGTTCAGGACAAATTCTACAAGGCTTGTTAGGGAAAAGGAAATCTTACAAAGCTTGGTTGAGAACAGGGAGGAAGGCGGTCCACCAGGGCAGTTCTGTGTGACTGATGGAATGTTGCCCCTGACATTCATTCATTCATTCATTCATTCATTCATTCATTCATTATTTGAGACAGAATTTCTCTCTTGTCGCCCAGGCTGGAGTGCAATGGCGCGATCTTGGCTCACTGCAACCTCTGCCTCCTGGGTTCAAGTGATTCTCCTGCCTCAGCCTCCTGAGTAGCTGGGATTACAGGCACGCACCACAACACCCAGCTAATTTTTGTATTTTTAGTAGAGACGGGATTTCACCATGTTGTCTGGGCTGGTCTTGAACTCCTGACCTCAGGTGATCCACCTGCCTTGGCTCCCAAAGTGCTGGGATTACAGGCATGAGCCACTACGCCTGGCCTTATTTTTAATAGGTTTTTGAAGGCAAAATCCACATAACATAAAATCAGCCATTTTGAAGTGAATAATTCAATGGCATTTCAGTACCTTCACAATGTTGTACAGCTACCCTTCTGTCTAGTTCCAAAGCCTCTTTATCCCCTCACAAAAGAAACCCTGTTTCCATTAAGCAATCAGTCCCTATTTTTCCCTCTCCTCACCCCCTGGCAACCACCCTAATCTTTTTTTTATGGGGAACAAGAAAGCAGCTTTGACCGTGGGTGAACATAAAGGCTGCTTAGGATCGGGATATATGGATTTGGGATGGCTGTTTGCAGGCATTGCTTGGGAATGCCAGCATCCCTGTACCTGGAGACCTCAGTATCTGTGGGAAACCCCGGTATCCCCACACTCAGAGTGGAGGAAGCCACTGGGCTTGTGGGAAGCTGAGCTTGAATATGACCTCTTCCACTGGAATAAAGTGCCTTTGGCTTCCAAAGGAAAGAGCTGGGAGAGGCTAGTTGGTTGAGGCAACCCAGAGGGAGCTTCTGGGACCATTTTAAGGTAGTTCAGCTCCTTGCAGCACAGCAATGAACAATGAACAAGTATGGTTAAAGGTAACAAGGGAAGTGTCATTTCCAGCTTGCCTAGCATGGATTTGGCACCTCCATTCATTTGTTGGGGTCATCAAGAGATTGTGTAAACATGAGGACTTTGAATCACTAGTACATTGTTTCACACTGGAATTTATAATAGCCTAAGGTCCAGATACTTGGTTGCATATCTGCTTGGTTGGAAATGCCATTGTTCCAGCTATTCAAGAACCAGGCCAGGCACGGTGCCTCACACCTGTAATCCCAGCACTTTGGGAAGTTGAGGCAGGAGGATCACTTGAGGCCAACAGTTTCAGACCAGCTTGGGCAACACGGCAAGACCCTGTCTCTACCAAAACAAAACAAAACAAAACACAACCAGATTTCAGATGCCTAATGTTTCCATAGTACTTATTAAGCTAAGCGAATGGAGTGGAGAAAAATACAGAAAGGAGAAGGAATCTTTGATTTTTCCCTTTCTCCTTCTGTAATGGACTGAATGTTTTTGTCTTCCCCCAAAATCCCTATATTGAAGGCCTGACTCCCAATGCGATGGTATTTGGATGTGGAACTTTTGGGAGGCAATGAGGTTTTCATGAGGTCATGTAGGTAGGGCCCCCATATTGGGATTTGTGTCCTTATAAGAAGAAGGGAGACCCAAGTGCTCCGTCTCTCCCTGCCTTGTAAGGGCACAGCAGGCCAGGAGGAAAGCCCTCACCAGGAACCACATCTGCCGGCCCCTTGATCTTGAACTTCCAGCCTCCAGAACTGTGAGAAATAAATTCCTTTTGTCTGTGTCACCCAGTTGATGGTATTTTGTTAGAACAGCCCACGCTGGCTAAGATACCTCCCCTTTTTATCTGTTTGTTTAATGCATTGTACATGCCAGTTGTACACAATTAAATAAGTAGATCCAAGCAACACAGTGGTATTTAAAGTAAGTAAAAGTTTATTTTCTTCCCTCCAGTCATAATCCCTGGGAGGTAGCCATTTTAAGTTTGGGGTTTGTTTAGTCTTCTCGCACCATCTCATAAGGTAGTCATTAGCCACTTGTGGCTGTTTGAATTTAAACTAATTAAAATGAAATATAGTTAACCATTGAGTTCCTCAGTCACACTAGCCATATTTCAAGTGTGCCATGGCCACATGTGGCTGGTGGCTGCCGTGATGAACAGTGCAGACATAGAACGTTTCCATTCTTACAAAGTGTCCTGTTAGACAGCAGTGTTCTAGAGGAATTGTATTCCTATACAAACATATACACTGACATGGTTGGCATAACATTGTACATACCGTTCTGCAGTTTGTTTTTTTCGCCTAACAGGGAAACTGTTAATTTAGTGTGATCCACATGCAACGTCATGCCAGGAAAAATGTAAAACAGAATGCATAATCAAACATAGAGTTTGGGTAAATTAAAATTATTTTAATTTCAAATTTTAGAGGTAATTGCAACATAACTTGATGCTTGTTCCAACTTTAACTAAACAAATTATTTTTGGAACTGGTCCACTCAGCCTTGCATATGTTAAGAAAGACAATTCTTAGGAGATGTGCTTGGGCGTAATCTGCTAGGCTTACCCTATATATTCATACACAGTTCCTGTTATTCCTCTGTTTTATAAGAAGAGTTGGTATCTTTTTCTGACTTCCCACAATTCAGTGACCGCTAGGCACATGTGGCTATTTACATTTGAATCCGTATTTTAAATTAAACTGAAACATTCCTCAGTTGTACTAGATGTGAAGTACTCCTTAGTCCTTTGTGGTTGGTAGCTCTGGTGTTGGATAGCATGGATGGGGACATCTCCACTGTTGCAGAAGGCTCTGTTACACAGTGCCGCACTTGGTTCAGTTACATCTGTCGTTAAATGCAGTGACTTTCCACAGGAGAGAGATGGGAGAAGCGATAACTCCCAGGGAGGACATCGTGAAATTTCTGTGATTGGATGGAGAGCTTGCATCTTCATTCCCTTCCCACTTGAAGTTCTGATGCTTTTCTCGGAAGACATGTCTTCCAGCTGTCTGTTGAGAATTAGTGTTCCATAGTAAGTTAATTGTGGGAAAGAAAATTGGTGCCAATAGCTTTTCAGGGTTGGACTATTACTGATAATTGGTGAGGTCCATACATAGTTAAACAGCACCTATATATAACGGTAAATGCTGCTGTTCAATTTCGGCTCCAGAGCGTTTAGTAACATTAGTTACAGCAAGTGCTGATGATTACATTGAAGCTTTGTAAAATGATAAAAAATTAGAATATTGGAAATGCATTCTGTATTGTGTGCAAAACAGCATGTATTTATGCCACCTTTTATGGTTAGGAAATACGTAATCTAGAAAGATTCACAAGAAACAGAATACTTTGCTCTGGGAATGGAAACAGTACAAGAAGACTGGTGAAAAAGATTGACTTTCACCGTATACGTGTTGCTTCATATACTTTGTAAATATATGCTTGTTTTAGTAGTAGAAAAAAATCAATCAAATAATGAAGGAGAAATAAAACACATTCTTAAAATGTGCAGGATGCAGAATAGGTCATTTAGGAAACTAGGGTCACGTAGGACAGAAAGAATTGCACGGTTGAGTGAGAGCGTAGGGCTGGCTGCTTGTGGCCAGAGCGTAAACCCGCACGAGGCCGCTGGGCACACCTTCTCCTGACGCCGGCCCAGCATTTCTTAGCTTCTGGCTATTCTGCAACAATTAAAGCTTTAAAACTGTTTTTCTTACATAAATGTAATACGTTTTAGGAAAAAAGTATTTCTAGTACTGATTTTTTTTTTTTTAAATACAACCCTTTTTAACACTTGTAGAACACAACTTAGGAAATGCTGATTGAAACTCTTGGAAATAATTAGAACAGAAAGATGAGATTGAAAAGAAATTATTTTAGGTCTGGGTCACCCTGATTTAGCACCAGTCTGAGGCAGGAGAATGGCGTGAACCAGGGAGGCAGAGCTTGCAGTGAGCCAAGATTGCGCCACTGCACTCCAGCCTGAGGACAGCCTGAGGGCGACAGAGCAAGACTCCATCTCAAAAAAGAAAAGAAAATGAATCTTAGCGTTAATTGAGTTTAAGTCAAATTGTGACGCATTGTGGCTTATTCGGCACAGCCTGCTCACAGATAAGCCACATGTGCATTGAAGGTTCTCTTAAAAGTCCACACTGCTCTTTCTCCTCCCCCATCCTTGGCTGACAGGTACTGTCAGTGAGGAAGAGGTGGGAAGGACAGCAGGGTGGGGACGTAGACAGTGGAGACAGTGGCTTTCTTCCACCACCACGCCTCCGTACTTGTGCGTCCAGGAGACAGCAGCATCAAGATGGAGTGCCTGTAGAGTTAACGGTGAAGTGTTCCTTTTTGAAAACTGAACCCTGTAATTCAGCAAAATTAATTTTTCTGTTAAAGCAAGTTGCTGGGCTCTGTACCTTTTCAGGAAAGAAAACTAATCAGTTTGGGGAAAATGTATGTCCCAAACAGCATGTGCTATTAAGGAAATCTTGTTTGTTGTGGAAATTTAAGGCAGAGCTTCCCAAAGGCAAGGGTAATTTGCAAAATATTTAACTACTAGGACAGCATGGGAATCCAGTCATTCAGGGCGGATGCCAGCTCAAATAACTGGCATGCTGTACCAGTGCCTACAGGCTGAATGTTACTCCTCCTGGAAGCTGAAGCCACTGGAGATAGGAGATGAGCCATTACTGGGTTTTGTGGCAGAGCCTGCTGGTTGGCCCCCAGTGTCCATACTCCTGCTTTATATAGCAACCTGAGACCTACTTCATAGCTGGGGCCGTGGCAGCTATATGGTCATGTGACTAAATTCTGGTCAGTGGGAGGTGAGTTACCACGTGGGCCCTTCCAGGAACCTTCCTTAAGGGACAGTGTGTCTTCCTGCTTTGCCGTTTCTTCTCCGTCCCTTTCCCGTTCTGTCTGGAATGTGGAAGCCACCATCTTGAACCGTGAGGTTGAGGTCACACATGGGTGGACTGCCATGCTAACCTTCCTGGGCACTTCCCTGAGAAGGAAACTTCTCTTGTTTAAGCCACTGATATTTTGGGTCTCCTGCCACCCTGAGCCAAACCTAATTCTAATTAATGTAGGTTCCAATCTGCTAGGCAAGTTCAGCTTGATGTTACTTAAAACTTAACCATCCTGTGAGCTGGGTATTTCTGTTTTCCTTTAATGGCTTACGGGACTGGGATTAAAGAAAAATTAAGTAACTTGCCTCAGTACTTCCCAGCCAGCTAGGACAGCATTTGAATCCCTGTCTGACCTTTCTGAATTCCAGTCTCCAAAAGTTTAATCCTTGCTGTAGTGATTAACATGAAACTGAAGGAGGGCATGTGACACATGGTTTTGCAACATTCACGTTTTGGCAGAGCCCCAATTTTGTGGAATTTTTTTTTTTTTTTTTTATAAAGACGTTGGGTTTTTCAGAGAAATTCATTTGTGGCTTTTTGAAAGTGACAAACATGTTAACTGTATTTCAGTCAATAATACTTATCAGAAAAGCTTTTTTTTTGTTTCAAAGAATCCCACGTGGTTCCTCTAATTTCTAGTATTAATTGTAGTTCGCTAATTAGGAGAGTTCTGTGAAAAGAAAATAGTTGGAAGAGAGACTGTGGTTCATTTTCTTTAGTTATATCTACATTGGAGAACATTTCAAGACAATTAGGAATTTTTTTTTTTTTTTTTTTAGAATTCTCTATGCAATAATTCCAAAATGTTACCAATATTTATTACATGATTATGTAGAAATTAGGATGATAGTGGAATTAAGGCCATAAATTGTTCGGATTGTGACATGGGAGCAGCCACTGCAGCCAGTGTTTCTGCAAAGTTTAGTCAGAGGAGAACAGAGACCTAGGATGGCCCCGTGCTGTGCTGCTGGGGCCTGGGAGGCTGGGTGTTGGGGAAGGAAGCTGGCAGCGGATGCCTGGAAGGCCAGTGGGGCCCAGCAGGTCTGGGGAGGTGGCTAAATGGGGCCCAGTGCAAACTAGTAGCTGGCAGCAGAACCTGCAGTGGAGTCGAGGGTCTTGATCTGCAGCCAAGGCTCCTTCTGGTGGGGCCCTGAGTGGCCCTTCAAGTCCATTCATTTTTGTCCTCAGAGTGGAACACTTAATTGGCCACAAGCACAGCAAACTCCCAGTTGTTCCCGGGAACACAAGATCTGCAGGATTTGCCCTATGAAAAAGGATGCTGTGGCAACTAAGTTTGGGAAAATGCTCTGTTGTAATACCTCTCCTAGCAACTCACATGCCCTCTTAGCACTGTAAAAGTCTAGGATGTTGAGAAATTTGTTTAACTTTATTTAACCCAGTTTCTGAAACTGACTTAAACATGGAAATCAAATCTTTTTTTTTTTAATGTGATGACCCGTGGAACTACTACGTGCATTTTCTGACAAGCAGTTAACAGTGCTCTCGGAAATAGTTGTGTGAGTAGGTTGAGTTCCTGAGAAGACGCTAGATTTGAATCTGAGAGTCTGGGACTTTTCTTGCTGTCCTACTTGCTTTTATTTGCCAATCTATATTGTCTACACTTGAGTGTGCTTGCTCATACGTATTTCACAGAAGCAAAACTTTGATACTTGAGAGGCCCTTTGAGGTCATCTAGTTCTGCCTTCTCATTTGCTGGTTGAAGAAACTAAGGAAGGTTAAGTCACTTGCCAGAGGCCAGTAAGTGAGTATGCTGGAGCCATTCAGTGTGCCATTAGTCAATCTGAAGTGGAAATTACTTGAGTTAGTTCCTTACTTTCAAGACTTTCATACTGATATCTTGAGATTAGGATGGGATAAGAATGAAAGCATTGCTGTTGGATTTCCTGCCAAGGTTTGGGATGGGTAAAATGAGCAAAAGAAAGTGCCCTGGGTATAGATGGTGCTTAATAATAGGACTGCTGCAGAGGAAAGCAAGAATCCAGATCAAGACTGCCCCCCAAAATTAACTTATTTGTGTGTCTAAGAATGACTTAAAATAGGCTCCTATTGCAAAAGAATGTAGGAAGTGCGGTGGTGCAATCACGGCTCACTGTAACCTCGACCTCCCAGGTTCAAGCGATCCTCCCATCTTAGACTCCCAGGTTCATTCATTTTTGTCCTCAGAGTGGAACACTTAATTGGCCACAAGCACAGCAAATTCCCACAGGTGTGCACCACCACGACCGCCTAATTTTTTTTATTGGTAGCGACAGGGTCTCTCTGTGTTGTTCAGGCTGATCTCCAAGTCCTGGACTCAAGCTGTCCTTCTGCCTCGGCCTCCCAAAGTGTTGGGATTACAAGCATGAGCCACTGCGCCCAGCTGCTTCTGAGTGGCTCCTAAGCAATGAACTGATGAACAACTAAACAGATGACATTGTAGCTATTGCCACATTTCATAGCATGGCGACTACCTTGAGCCTGTCAGTGCTCATTAGCTGCAGGAGGTAACGCTTGTTTGTTTTTCATAGAGTTAAAGGTATGAAAGCATGTTTTTTGGAACTTTCTGCAAGGCCCATGTTATTGACGTCCTTAAGATCCAAATTATTTTGCATTAACTTAGGTTTTTTTCTCTTTCTTGGTGAAGTTAGTAGACCCTTGCTTATTGATTGGTATATGAAATTGGATCATTTTATTGTTGTGAGAGGTTCAGTTTTATTAAATATCAGAGTATCACCTTTCATACATTTTTTGGAGCTAATTTTGAGTGTTTTTCTTGTATTTTATGAAATACTATCTATAGTCATCTAACGAAACAATGCTGTTTTTCTGTTACAAAGCTTTCTGTTCACGTGTCTACATTTGAAGTTACTGCATTCAGAATGAAAGCCATACATCTGACCTCACAATGTAAGGATATTCAGTTTTCTTCCTGATAGCCTAGAAGAAGGAAAAGAATCACAAGGTTGTAGCATTGCCCTGTTTCTGTTAGACAAGAGAAGTCCTCTAATGGCAAACCCTTGATGGTGTGCAGTTTCCAAAGTCTGGTCCCCGTTGGAGCCTCTCACCTCCCATAGAGTTAAAGAGAGATTTGCCTCAGCAACTGGACCATAGCCATCAATGTCTATTGAAACTCCAAGAATAAGTTTAAATTAAACCAAACATGCAGAAGATGAGAAAATAAGTCTTATTTCTAAAAATAGGAGGCTTCCCCCCCCCCACCCCCCAATGGCTGTAGACCTGAGGGCTTTTAGTAAGTAATAATGAACTTTTACAGTAACTGTAATTTGAGTCAGATAGTTTTTCTCTGATTTATGCTACCAGAGTGACTCATGAGGGCACAGCATTTTAGAGGCTCTTTCTGAGACAGAAAATGTCTCTGACTTTTGTCAAGTAAGTAATTATTGATGTAGCGTGAGGATCTTATAATCTAGAAGAAAAAATTATTTATTTTCATATGCCTATTAATTTTCCATCTGTTGAACTGAAGCCAGGGAGAGATGAATGCACAAAGCTGCTTCACCCTTCTGCTTCCTCCCAGGCTGAGTCTCTACTTCGTGTGTCCCCTCTCGCTCCTGGAGTCCCCAGTCAGCTCTTAGAGGAATCCTTGGGAACCTTGTTCACATGATACTAAATGACAAAACCTTTTTTGACCTTTCCCCCTACAGACAGACCTTCCTCTAGTGTCTTTGTCCAAGGTTGAATGATTGCACTTATTACACTCGAGTGGAATTATTTACTTACATGTCTCTGTCCCTTTCTAGAGAGTGACTTCCTTAGAGCAGGGCCTGGGTGGTCTTGATTTTGTATTTTAGGTAGGACCAAGCACAGCGTCTGAAACACACAGTAAGCCTTTAGTAATTGTGAAAGTGAACTTCTCCACATAACAAAATAGTGCTTTGGAATTTCTTTTCATTATACTGCAGTGATTTTTGTCTTTTTGACTTCAAAGTCACTCGCTCTCAGAATTGAAAAAATTGAAAGAAATGATAGTATTCTTCATCATTCCTTTTATGAGTCTAGTGGACTCTCTAGTCTTCACAAACATAGGACTGATAACTTGTTTTATATTAATATTTTGTTGTATAAATACCTGTATATTTTGTGTTACTGTGTGACAAAACTGAGTCTAAAATATGTGGCTAGAAAATCTAAGAAACCAAGATGAGAATCTTCAATGATTTGTAGATTATGTCATCTTTATATCATCATGGTGTGAGGTGTTTTCTTGGATTGAGTTCCGCTGAGACAGAGATGTATGTTATCTGTTTGGAAGGTGAAAGAAACATTTTAAGGGAAGCGAGATAGGGAAACAATTGGAGCCTAACTTTGCTGGACACTCTGGGAGCCAGTGTAAGGACCAGGCCTCAGTGTTAGCCCACATGGGTCACTTACACATCAGCTTTGGCCAGTTGCTGACTGAGAGGCAGCAGCGGGGTGCGGCATCAATTTCCAGTGCTTTGCCTGCCATGTGGGCCCCATCCGTGCTCATGGTACCGCCCTCCAGCGGAGCGATGGCAGCCAGCTGCCCGTGGAGAGCCCAGCAGCAAGCCCAGAAATAAGGCCCAGGGACTAGGGGTGGGGGCAGGTGGTGTCAGGCAAATTTGTGTGCTTGCTTATTTGATGTTTCAGTCTCAGTCCTTTGAATCGTGAATTATCAAGATAGAGACTATTTGAAACATTTAAGAATTAGAGAAAAATAATAAGCACAGTATTTTCTTCTACTTGAACTGGGGCCGTTCTTCCTTCAAGAGGGAGAAGCTTACGAAAGATTATTCTGCCTGAGGAGACCTCGCCACCCCCTGCTTGAACTTTGGTCCCTGATCAATTCTGCCTTTGAATTCCTCCAATTATTATAAAGTTCTTCCTTATATTGAGTAGAAGTCTGCCTTATGGTGATACGTTGTATTTCTCAGACACGGACCCGGAAGTGGCGCCTTCCAATTCCTCCTCCTCTTCTTTTCTCTTTCGTCAGCAGATGGCGTCTTCCTTCTCTTTTTCTTTCTTTCCTCCCTCCTCTCTCCCCACCCTTGGCAAACATTTGTCACCAGGATGGATGCTGTTAGAAAAACGTCTCCCTGTGACATGTTGTCTTTTCAAAAGGACAAGAAGGAAAGGAGGAAACAGGTTTTCATTGCTTAAGGCACATTAAAACTGGCTGGTTCTCTCTAGCACATTTCTTAGACAAACACCCGTTTTCCTTTAGACTCAGAGCTGATATGTTATTGTAACAGTTAAGTTTGCCTTTACATTTTTATTCATGCTGCCTTGCAGGTAGATGGTTCCTTTTGACTTTTTTACGTAGATGGGCACCTTTTGTTAATTTTACCTTTTTAAAATACAAATGTAGGCCAGATGCAGTGGCTCACACCTGTAATCCCAGCACTTTGAGAGACCAAGGTGGGTGGATCACTTGAGGCCAGGAGTTCGAGACCAGCCTGACCAACATGGTGAAACCCCGTCTCTACTAAAAATACAGAAATTAGCTGGGCGTGGTGGTGCATGCTTGTAATCCCAGCTACTCGGAAGGCTGAGGCAGGACAATTGCATGAACCCAGGAGGGAGAGGTTACAGTGAGCCGAGATCATGCCACTGCACTCCAGCCTGGGTGACACAGCAAGACTTGTCTCAAAAAAAAAAAAAAAAAGTATTTTCTAGAGAAAAATCTTTTGATGTACAGATAAATAGATTAAAATGGATTTGTACTTAGTTTTGGGAGTAAAACTGGTAAGACAGTGATTTGGCCTAATCACTTTGAATGCAGACATCGCTGGACACATGAAGATTTAAAATTGGGCAGAGAAAAAACTGGGCAATTTTTTTTTCACCTAGATTCTTCCAGTATTATGGGCAGAGAATACATACAACTTAGTGAAAGATTGTTAGTGACTAGAAGGATTTAATTCACATATATTGTAAAACCAGACTGCATGTGGAACAAACTGTGTGTTTGAACTAATTAAGTATTCAAAGAAATATTTAATATTTCTTATTCACCCACCTTGCCCCCTTTTCTCCTCCTTTCTCGATCAGTAAATATTTACTGGATGTTTCCAGAATGTGAATGTTGCATAAAAACAAGTATATGAAATTGTCTTTGCTATCAAGGATAATATAACTGAACGTAATATATTAGCCCACTTTGCTGCTTTAGGAAGAATACTAAGGTGAGCCCAGTTTAATCTTTAACATATTGTTACCTCTCATTTCTGCTTGTTCAAATCCAAGCTGCAACTCAGTGCCATCTTCTTCATGATTATCTTTACTCCTACCCCTCTCTACCTCCATTCCCCCAAAAAGTGATCTCATACTCCTGTGAGCATCCTTAGCATTTATGCAGTCTTTTCTTTTTTTTTTTTTTTTATTATTATACTTTAAGGTTTAGGGTACATGTGCACAATGTGCAGGTTAGTTACATATGTACATGTGCCATGCTGGTGCGCTGCACCCACTAACTCATCATCTAGCATTAGGTATATCTCCCAATGCTATCCCTCCCCTCCCCCCACCCCACAACAGTCCCCAGAGTGTGATGTTCCCCTTCCTGTGTCCATATGTTCTCATTGTTCAATTCCCACCCATGAGTGAAAATATGCGGTGTTTGGTTTTTTGTTCTTGCGATAGTTTACTGAGAATGATGATTTCCAATTTCATCCATGTCCCTACAAAGGACATGAACTCATCATTTTTTATGGCTGCATAGTATTCCATGGTGTATATGTGCCACATTTTCTTAATCCAGTCTATCATTGTTGGACATTTGGGTTGGTTCCAAGTCTTTGCTATTGTGAATAGTTATGCACTCTTTTCTTGGACTTTGCTCTTTCTCCTTTGTCGTATAGTTATATTATAGTTGTTGACCTTGGGCTATCTTCATTCCTAACGTTCTCATTCTAGTACCTTGTGTAGAAATGCTGTTCACTAAATGACATATCGAATGGGTATTAAATTTATTATTAAGTGCCTTGGCTCTTAATTGGTCAGGCTTGGATTTCAGTCTCAGCTCTGCCATTTACTATCTCTGTGATTTTGGCCAAGTATTAACCTCTCTAAATTTCAGTTTGCTATTCTGCAAAATGGGAATGATGATAATGACTACTTGAAGGAGACTTTGTGAAGATGGATGATTTTTGCAACAGTGTAGGTAAGAGATAGTGCCTGGGCATAGTAGTGCTTGGTAAATTTGGGTGTGTGTCTACATGCTTTTCCAGGCTATATGCACAGACACACAGACACACATAGTGTATGTGCAGGATGCTAGGCACTAGAAGAAAGATGAAACCACACAAATCCTATGCTCATGTTGCTTAAAGAAGAAATAAAACTGTGTAAGGTAGAGGTGAGGTGTGGTGACTCACACCTGTAATCCCAGCGCTTAGGAAGGCTGAGGTGGGAGGATTGCTTGAGCCCAGGAGTTCAAGACCAGCCTGGGCAATATAGTGAGACCCCATCTCTACAAAAATTTTTTTAAAAAAATAGCCGGTCATGGTGGCACATGCTGGTGGTCCCAGCTACTCGGGAAGTTGAGGTGGGAGGATTGCTTGAGCTCGGGAGTTAAAAGCTGCAGTGAGCCGAGATCACTCCCCTGCACTATGGCCTGGGCAACAGAGCGAGACCCTGTCTTCAAAACAAAGCCAAAAAAACCGTGTAGGGTGGAAAATGATGGCACTGTTGGAGCAGCAAAGATGGAGTGCTGTGGGAGTTCACTTCTTTCTCCCAGAGATTGCGCTAGGCAAGGTATGGTTTATGGGAAGTTTTAATGCAAAAGGTGGCAGTTGTGCAGAAAGCAGAAAAGTGGGTAAAGCTTGAATGAGTGGAGATGGAGGCAAGAGAGACAGAGAAATAGTAAAAATATATATTTTTTATCTTTTCAAAAACTTGTTGTACATTGGAATTTTCCAGTCAAAGGCTGAGATTGGAGATGGATATCCCCACTGGTCTGCAAGTCATTTTATAGACTTGCCAAGTGCCTGTGTGGGTTCTCAGATGGCCTACTGTCTTTGGTCCGAGTGTGGTAGCTGTCAGGTCAGAAATGAGGAAGTGCACCAGGACTCCAGCTTTGGTAGTCTGTAGCACTGTGTTGGGTATATTTCCCACAGATATGGAAAAGGGGAAGATGTAACTTGGTAATCATCTCTAAAGATATGTCATCAAGAAGCTTTTCAGCTTAATTGTTAAATATTCAAATATAGGCCAGGTGTGGTAGTTCATGTGTGTAATTCTAGTACTTTGGGAGGCTGAGGTGGGTGGATCATTTGAGGTTAGGAGTTCAAGACCATCCTGACCAATGTGGTGAAACATCATCTCTACTAAAAATACAAAAATTAGCTGGGCATGGTGGTATGCGCCTGTAATCCCAGCTACTCGGGAGGCTGAGGCAGGAGAATTGCATGAACCTGAGAGGCGGAGGTTGCAGTAAGCCAAGATCACACCACTGCACTCCAGCCTGGGCAACAGAGCGAGACTCTGTCTCAGCAACAACAACAAAAAATTAAATATAATAGAAGCTCTCTCATCAAGTATGAGTAAACCATTGAAAAAAATATGTGCAATGTTTTGTACTCCAGCCTGGGCAACAGAGCGGGACTCTGTCTCAACAACAGCAACAAAAAATTAAAAATAATATAAAGAAGCTCTCTCATATTGTGTATATACAGATTTTTCTAAGTAATTTGAAGTAGATAGGGAATAAGAGGATCAAGTATGAGTAAACCATTGAAAAAATAATGGAATGTTTTGTGCTTGTTGCGCATTGTATCGTCCAAATTCAAGTGTGGACTTTAATCTCCAGTCTACAGTCCGTCCATAAGGTTAATCTCAGTGATTCCAGTTGGCATAAAAATCTACCGCTCACACTAGTAAACTAACAAGTTTGCCCTTCTTCTCCCACCTTCAAATGCCACCCCCAATTCTTACACTGTTTAAATAGGAAATTGGGAAGCATTTATTTTTTTCCCAGGTTCAGCAATCCCATTTTGACTGTAAACTAAAGTTAGAAAGAAGAGTTTAGTGGTATATCCTCTGACAGACTAGATTGCTGGTCCTATCAATTACTAGCTGTATAAGCTTAGGTAGGTCATTTTCCAGAGAATTCTGTTTACTTATCAGTGTTACTAGGCTAGTAAGACCTGTTTCCCTAGAAAACATAGATTCTTAACCTGGCGTTCATAGATGGTCTTCCTTAAAACTACATGTATAAAGCTAAGAATGGTGGTGCACATCTATAGTCCCAGCTACTTGGGAGGCTGAAGTGGGAGTATTGCTTGAGCCCAAGAGTTCAAGATGAGCCTGGACAACATAGCCAGACCCTATCTCTTAAAAAAAACAAAAAATAAAAATAAATTTAAAAAAATATGTAGTTATGTGTTTCTGGGACCATTATCTTTTTTTTTTTTTTTTGGATTCTCAGAGGGAATTCTCCCCTGCTCCCCCCAAATTAAGAATCTCTGCCTTAGAAGTTAGTGTGCATTTGATAAGCCATAATAGATAGAAAATGCTGTACTAATGTAAAATGCAGCATTATTTCAAGTAGATTATAATGACTCCCTCCTTAGACCATTTAATGTTCTCTTAAGTATGAGCTTATCTTTTGTAGGTCATAAACAGAAAGTAGAAAAAAAAATCTACAAAAGAATTTAAAAATCTAAATAAACCTAGACTTATTTGAAGTCTCTTGCATTCTAAGGCAGATACCGTTTCCTAGTTGTTTGGATTGTCTATTACTATATAACACACCACCCTAAAACTTACCACATTCATACAACTATCATTTTATTTGCTCATTAGTCTGTGAGTTGGCTAGGGCTCAGGTGGATGGTTCTTCTGCTGGTCTCTCTGATTATCTAGAGTGGTTACAGTAAGATAGTGACTGGGGCTGAAATATCCAAGACAGTTCACATGTCCAACACCTTAATGGGGATAGTGGAGAGGTTTTGACCTCTCTATCTACATGGCTTGCTTAGTCTTTTTAATAGGGCAGCTGAATATCACTAGATATTCTGAGAGATACTTTTATTGGACGTGTCTCACCTAGTATGCAAGCATTCATGAAGCTTCTGCTTGCATCATGCTTTCTAATGTCCCACTGGTCCAGTCCAGAGTTGGTGTGGGAGGGCACGACCATGGGTGTGATCACCAGTAGGCATGATTCCTTGGGGACACCAAGATAATATGCCACATTACCATATAGGAGTGACTCATTAATATTTTTATTGAATGGGATACTTGTTTTCAATGTAGTATAGTTCACAAGTCTTCACTTTGATAAAGCTACTTTTTTTTTTTTTTTTTTTTTTTAGAGACAGAGTCTTACCCTGTCACCCAGGCTGGAGTACAATGGTGCGATCTCGGCTCACTGCAACCTCTGCCTCCTGGGTTCAAGTGATTCTTCTGCCTCAGCCTCCTGAGTAGCTGGGACTACAGGTGCGCACCACCACACCTGGCTAATTTTTGTGTTTTTAGTAGAGATGGGGTTACATTATGTTGGCCAGGCTGGTCTCAAACTCCTGACCTCAGGGGATCTGCCCACCACGGCCTCCCAAAGTGCTGGCATTACAGGTGTGAGCCACTGCACGTGGCCGATAAAGCTACTTTTTAAAGTAAATGTGCACTCAAGTACTCCCTTTATTGTTTGTGGTAATATTTATTTATTTAGATAATCCAGTTGTCCTCCTTTGGTGTCCCCAGTTCATACACACCTAAACATAACTTAAAATTTGTTTGGAATTTGAAAGTACAGAATTTTCCTGTAATTGAGACTTTTTAAACTTTTGTGGTTGGAGAAGGTATTCTATTTTTTGAAAATATCTGTAAGTTTTATCTAAGTAGTAAACTCTAAGTATTCTTCCCCTTTACTTACAGCCACCCTGGGAATCTGAGACTAGAGAAAATAAAGTTTGTCTCTTGTTCTAAGGAGGGTCTGGTTTAGAAATCTGATTTAGACATAGAAAAATTGCAAGAAGCTTGAGGTGATTGGAAGATACGATTTTGTTATCAAAGTATGTTTCTGTTTTATAGATTTTATTCATCTACAACTCCTTATTAATATATTTAAGAAGTCATTAACCCACCATTGATTACTTGATATAAAAGGAGAAACGGTGGTAAAAGGTGAAATAGAATTTTTAATTTTTTTTTTTTAAGTTTAGGATTTTTTTTTTAAATTCTAAGAGTTTCTGTCATTTGGGGACAATCAGAAACAAAAAAATAAAAATAAAGCATTGATGGTACTAGTATATATCAAGGAAATTATTGCCTGTGACACAGCTTATGTGGAGTCAGTGTTTTATAGATTGATGAACATCAGCTCATTTTTCCAGGGAGAGTAATAGCCGGTCTCTTCCTTGGAAATATTTAAGGAACATTTAGTTTATAAGAAAGCTCTGATAGATGATTGAAATCACAGAACAGAAGACTGATCACACTTAAACACAGTGCATCTGCATTTACTTAAGGTACTGAAGTGCAGTGCTTCTCAAACTTTACCCTGCATGGAGAACCCTGGGGCATCTTGTTAAAAGATTCTGATTTAGTGGCTCTGGGATGGAGCCCTGAGGCTCTGCATTTCCCAGAAGCTCCTACACAGTGGGAGTGCTGTTCGCTTACCAGCAAGTCTTTAGTATAGGTAACCCTGCTGAAGTCTTTGTCCTAGGCAAGAAGCCCACAAGAATCCCGTCACCCATTGGGATGTTGTGGCCTTTCACTTTTGGCATTCACCTCTAGCAGTACAAGAAGGAATCCTTTTAGGATCTTTTCACACATGCTCAAGTCATTCATCTCAAAACTAGAAAATATATCTTAATTTAAAACCATTTTTGGGGGGATGTGGCATTAAGTTCATTTGTATAAATCTGACATTTGTTAATAGCTGTAATTTGAAAATGAAAAAGTTATTTGGCTTACATCAAATAAATTAGTCCCTCAGCGATTCTTTGTCAAGGCCCCCCCTATCTGGATATAACAGGACTCTTGCTTCTATCAGATTGTCCACTAAAAACCGAGGTATGTGGAGGGCCAGCATTGTTCACCAGCGTAACTGGCTGGTTGCCTGACTTACTGCCAGTACTTCATCTGAACGAGGACACCTAGAAGTATGACCGTCCTTCTTTCACTCAGGTGGATTCATTTCTTTAGAAATTTGTTTCTTGTATCTGGTTTAAACATATCTCTGGAGGTATTGAAGACTGACCCGCTGTCAAAAAACAAAATGCCATAAAATTAGCTTAAAGATCTAATTGGCTTTTATTTGCTGTTCTAAAGTACAGCAACACCTCATTCTATAAAATACAGTGGGTGTTACGATGAGCCGAGCAGAGGAGGTTGGTTTTATAGGCAGAAAAGGGCTGAAGAAAACAGTGAACAAAAAGTTATTCATCATTTCGAAGTTGTTTTCCTTACAAAGGTTAAAGCAGAGGGGACTTCCTTATCATGCCAGCTAAAACTGGCCTTTTTGGAGATTTGGCTCTTATCTCTCTCTCTCTCCTGATTTCTTGGAACAACTTAGTTTTGACTTGGTGGCTTGGGATTTCAGCCTGAGCGACTCCATTTTGGTTTGGTCTCTGGGGCCTAGTGCAGGAGCTCAGTCCAAACCACTGGACTACTATAAATTTTATTTACCACTGCATTTTAAAAAATACAGAATCTTCACTGTAGAGTCTTTTCTCCTAACTTTAATAGAGGGAAGCCATTGTAAATACAACCCCTTGGTTTAGAGCCCATCCAAATAGTCCTTCCAAAAACCAAAAACTTTTTAGTTAGAAAATATTTTTAATTGAAAAACTGCATACTGAGAAGACACTACTGGTGATCTATAGTTGGTGGAACTCATGCTTGAACAAGTTTGCTCACACAGAGGCAGCATGGGCAACAGGAGTGAGGGCTTTGGAGTCAGACAGACTTGGCTTTGAATCCTTGCTCTGCTGTTACTAGCTGCGTGACCTTAGGCTAAACCTGATTTAAATCATTTTTCTGAATCAAATAGAATCTGATGAGGGTTCCCGCTTTTCAGAGTGTGTGGGAAACCCACTCTCGTTGTTGGGATCCCTCCCTCCACCAGAGGGGAAGAGGGACTCCTGACCCCGCTCCATTTGTGGTTGCTCTGTTCATGTCCCTGGCCCAGTCCCCTGGCGTCCTCTCAGAAGGGAACCTCTGTTAGTGCTTTGCAGGGGGTTTCTGCAGAGTGCCCCCAAGCCTGTGTTCACTGAGGTCTCCACTCTGACAACACTTTCATCTGGAATCCTGCCTCCTGCAGGTGTGTGAGTGGGTCAGGGCTTTTCTCTTCATGGGACCCTAATCCCTTCCCCTCCCAGTTTTGGGGAAACCAACCCCAGGGATTGAGTCACTTCCAGCTGTGTTCCCACAGGCCCACAACCTTCACACTTGCAGCTCTGGGCTCCAGCACCTAATTCCTTCAGTCTCTGCCTTCAAAACACAAAGGTCTCAGGTTAGACATACCTCATACATGGGGAATGTTCCTCTTTTTTTCTAAAACCACAACAAAAATCTGTTTATAACTACAACCAACATTTATTGTGTGCTTACTACTTGGAGTCAGGCACTATTGTAGAAGACAGTTAAGTGTCTTCAATTCAATTTACTTAACAATCCTTATGGGTATAAACAGGAATAATATATTCACACATACTGTATTATTCCTGTTTATAAGGAAATTGGGGCTCATAAGATTGGATCAGGAGCCTACAGCTAGGGAGTGGAAGAATCTGAATTTGAACTTAGATCTCTTTATTTAGTAAACCATGGAAACCTGGCTACTGAGTTCTCACTTTGCCAACAACCTGTTTCATCTTGCGTATATTTCTTGTTTCTTAAATATATTTCCCTTATCTGAAAAAAATCAGCATAGAGTAGTTGCATTTCAGAGTATCTTTGTGTCTGAAAAATCCGTGATTCTGCTCAACTGCTGTTTTACTTCCATATTTTTAAGCAAGGAAACTGTTTTTAAACTGTAAAGAGTTCAGAACTGCAGAGGCCTCTGGGAAGTGTAGCTTAGTGTGGGAGGAGATATTCAGTGACTACTGTTAAAAATTAGTGGTTCTGCAGTGAGAACACATGGACACAGGGGAGGGGAATAACATACTCTGGGGGTGGGGGAGAGAGCATCAGGAAAAAGATCTAATGCTTGTGGGGCTCAATATCTAGGTGATGGGTTGATAGGTGTAGCAAATCACCATGGCACACGTTTACCTGTGTAACCAACCTGCATGTCCTGCACGTGTATCCCAGAACTTTAAATTAAATTTAAAAAATATTAATGGTTCTCAGCTGGGCGCGGTGGCTCACACCTGTAATCCCAGCACTTTGGGAGGCCGAGGCCGGCAGATCATGAGGTCGTCAAGAGATCGAGACCATCCTGGTCAACATGGTGAAACCCCATCTCTACTAAAAATACAAAAATTAGCCAGGCGTGGCGGTGCACACCTGTAGTCCCAGCTACTTGGGAGGCTGAGGCAGGAGAATCACTTGAACCCGGGAGGCAGAGGTTGCAGTGAGCCAAGATCGCACCACTGCTCTCCAGCCTGGCAACAGAGCGAGACTCCATCTCAAATATATATATATAATTTTTCTCAAACTCTCGGGTGTGCTGAAGGAGCATGCAAATATTGAAAAACCCTGATGCTGACTTTGAGAAATCATGCAGAATAGGGGCCGAATGCAAGAAAAATCATCTTTGTCCAAATTTTAAATAAAGTGAGATTCTAGAAGCCACACTGATGCTCTGGCTATTGATTGTCAGTGAAATTTTAAGACAGAGTTAAATAAACTCTGTGAATATGGTATTAGATTAGTGGTTTCTTTTCTTTCTTTCTTTCTTTCTTTCTTTCTTTCTTTTTTTTTTTTTTGCCTAAGTTTAGATTCTTACCTTTGTACCTATTACAAGGAAATTACTGAGGAAAATGGTCCAGGAACACGTGTATGAAAACATCTTCTCCAGGTGTCTTACAGTCATTCTACAGACTGATGTTTGAGGAACATTAAGAGAAGTTTTCAAACTTTTGGGAAGCAGTGAATCCTTTCATTAACTGAAATCTTACATGAAACTCTACCATGTAAAACAGATAAAGTGCTATCTTACTAGGATAAACTCTTTGAAGTTTACGTTCATGAAGTTTATTTACTGCCGTGTCAGTAAGAACAATGAGGCTGTTACGAAGACAGAAAACATTTTAAGTCAGGTGTTGTTAACTTATCATGGCTATATTCACATCATCTTCTTTCTTTAATAAAATTGTATACTTTGCTTTAAATGCAGGATATTTTTAAAGTCTGTTTTTATAGAAAATTGTTTGCAAACTATAACAGAGTTTTTGGTTTGGTTTAAATACCTTGCCTTAGGATCCCAGGATACATTTTAGTTCAGCTCGTGGAAGGTAGGGAGTATTTGTTTCAAAGCTGTAAGAGAAACCCTGTAACTGAACTTAGGAAACAGTTGCTCACATTCCTTATCATAAATCTAGTCATACAGGAAACATCTAATTCTTAGAATAAATATTTACTCTCTCTCAAGTGGGATATTATCACAAAGGACTTTATGGTGCCATGAAAGCAAGGCCGTACAGATGGCCCTGAGCCTTGCCTGGCATTTAATCGAAGCCCACGCTAGGGTGTGGTTTTGTATTCATGTGCTTGCTTGAACAACTTTAGGAGAGCAGACGCTGCAGGCAGGTATTTCTCACAGGGCCGAGCTGGGGCTACAGCTTCCCTCACCAATGTCACACTTAGGAGAAGTTCACATGTGAGCAAGCACAGAGCGGGCAGAGCAGCCTCCTGTGAGGGCTGCGAGGTTGCCCGGCCTGGCCGGGTTTATTGGCACACATCTCATTCATGGGCAGAGATCTGCAGTGCGTGAAAAGTTTGCATATAAACCATTTCAGGTTGTTTTCTTAAATTAAAGCTTAAAAAATATCCAAAACATATTTGAACATCAGAAACAGATGTTTGTGGTATCCTTGGAGCACTTCCACAGGAGTCTTTTAAAAAACAGCCTGATTTTTACTAGATGCTTGGTTTACATTGGGAAGAATGTGTGGTTCCCTGTGGAATACAGGGAAGAAGTTAGGGACAAGTTGGTAGTGCACATGAGAAAAATAACTACAGTTCAGAAAATGAATTGTGTACAAGAAGAAAGAACAAAGTACCTTTGAGTACAAACTGGGGAGTGACCTCTTCTGGCCAGAAAGCCAGGGAACATTTCCTGGAAAAGAAGGCATTTGGGGAGGACTTTGAGTACACAGAGGACTTGGATAGGAGACTGTTGGGAGAAAAGGTGATGTCCTAGGGCACGTTACCTATTGGGAGAGTATAATTTTAGGGGGAAATTACATAGACATCACTTCCTTCTTAAGCCATTTATTACCTTCTTCATTAGGTATATTAGCTCTGCTGCATATGCATTTTAAAATATAATCTTTAAAAAGACCATTCTCTACATATACAACTTAAACATGCCTGAGGTCTCTTTCAGCTGTTACTATCTGGCGGAGATTTACTTGTTCACATTTAGACTTTTAATGTGATAATTTTGCCTAACTTGGCTGCCCCTGTGATACCTACGTGTGTCATAGGTTTGCCCTAAACCTAGCATCTGCAGGAATGACAGCCATTCATTCATTCGTTTGTTCGCCCACGCTGGCAATATTGAGCACTTATTTATGTGCCAGGTCCTGGAGAGTTCCAGGTACCCAGCAGGGAACAAGTCAGAACTGGACAGGTGAATCAGATGCCTGGAAACCACCTGAAGTTCTTATCATTAAACTGTATTTAGAAAGATAACAATGCAACTTTTCCTACAAAGCGATAACAGCATAAAGTGAACGCCTCCCAGAAGCTTGTACATTTTAACAGGATCAAAGCTTTGCCTAGAACTGCTTCTAATCAGGCTCTGTGTGAGAGTGAATTGTGGTTTGAGCCTTGGGACTTTTCCAGCCCTCCTAAAATTATATGGCTTTTTAAGCAGCAGGGTTGGTACTGTCTCATCTGTACTTTGAGGTTGAGACTGGCTCTGATAGTATTCCTTTCAAGAAAGTAGCTTAAATAAAACTCTACCGCACTGGGAAAATTAATTAGATATACCATGACTGAAACAAGCTCTTTTGAGGGACAGGACGGCGGAGCACAGAGAGGGAGTATAGCAGAGTGGGAATGCACAAACTATCTGGGTGCACCACCCGGCTGTTGTTCCTTGGGTGAGTCACTTAACCTCTTCATGCATCTGTAAAATAAGCAGGACAATAATATTAGTATCCCCCTTAAAGGATTCTTGTGAGGGTCAAATAAGTCAATATATACAGAGCATTTAGAATTGTGCCTGCTTTAGAGTAAGCATTATAATTAGCTATTATTTCTTTGAGCTATGCATTTGTCCAGTGTGTCAATTTTCTGAGAATATATAGTAGATACAAGAATGGTTGGGAAGCTAGATCAAATGAGAGTGGTTAATTTCTCCTTCCCCTTCTTGTCACTCCCTACCCTCCTGCCCCATAGACCCCAAAGTTATTTGTTTCGTAAGGCTATAACATCATATTTGAATGTATGACCTTGAAAAATCCTGATTAAGTAGTTCTGGGCAAAGCTCTAATGGTTGGAAAATAAATCAGGCCTCCCACACATACCTGCTCAGCCAAGAATTTGTTTGCCCCAGAAACTGTGGGTGGGCGGGAATGGAAGCAGGCACACGCCCAGGCTCTGCGAACTCTCTGTTCTCGCTACAGACTGTGTTGTCACCCTTCTCCTGCAGCTCGCCAGTGCTTTCTGGGCATTTCTTTGCATTCTCAATTCTAGACAAACATTTTCATGTTAAAAAACACGTTTTCTCTCTTTTCCCCAACTCCAAGAACTGCCGCTGCTCCCCTGTTCATTTTCCACAGTTTGGCTTCTTATTTGCCCCTTGGTATTGCACTTAGGTACATTTCTGCCAAGCCCAGAGGGCAACATACAGTGGTGAACAGTAGGGCTCCCTACGTGGTTCCTGAGTTTCGAGATCTTTGGCAAGGCTCTCTAGAAGTCCATGAGTTTCTATTGATTCTCGTAGCCAGGAATAGAGGCCTCTTGCCTTCGCACTGGGCCAGAGCTTGAGCCCCTCCCAGTTCTGGAGGCCAGGAGTGACTGCAGGGCATCTCCCGTCTGCATCCTGGGGGAATTTGTGGGAGTGTTTCAATGCAGGGGTTCTAAGAGGTGCTTGTGTGCCTCTTCCTGTGAAGCAAGCCACATTGGGCCTTGCAGGTCTGTTTGACACTTAGTTATTGGTTCCTGGCTTGTTCGGCATTTTTCTTGTTAGCCTGGTAAACATTGAATCCTGTTGTCCTAGTTAAGTCCCCTCCTTGGGGCAGGTGTGCGTTTCTTTTGTCTGTGGAACGGGTGAGTGTGGGGCCTCTCCTGTGGAAGGTGGCGTGGGATAGGGTGGAAAGAAGGCTCTGCAGGTCGGAAAGCTCCCCTGGGCAGAGCTGAGCTTAGAAAGTTTAACATGCACTCTGAGCCCTGTCTCATTACCATCCGTTACTGTTTCCCCAGGGGCCGCTCTGAAGGTGAACGTGAAACTGTGGGCACTGAGTGAGCTCTCAAGAGTTTTCTTTTTCCTCTATCTTCTTCCCAGGTTATGAACTCCAGGCTTATTGTGGGGATAGTGAGTGTTGGGTAAATCCTTTTTTTTTTTTTTTTTTTTTTTTTTTAAGACAAGGTCTCGCTCTGTCGCCCAGGCTGGAGTACAGGGGTATGATCTTGGTTCACTGCAGCTCTCACCTCCTGGGCTCAAGCCATCCTCCTCCCTCACCCTCCCAGGTAGTTAGGACTAAAGGCATGTGTCACCACACCTGGCTAATTTTTTATTTTTTGTAGAGGCAGGGGTCTTTCTATGTTGCAGGCCGGTCTCAAACTCCTAGGCTCAAGTGATCCTCCTGCCTTGGCCTCCCAAAGTGCTGGGATTACAGGTATGAATTCTTTCTAATAAGTTAACCAGGCTTCAAAATGGGGCCTAGGATTTGGCGGCCTTTGCCCTATACTCAGAATCCGGATGATTCTTCCTAAGAAACAGCATCCTTCTCCCTCATGGCTGAGGAATCTTGGAGGCAGCAAGAATTTAGTTTGAATTTTGCCATTTTATTTCCCCTCTAATTAGTTCAAATATAAGAAAGAACTGGCAAAACAAGCAAAGAAGATTTTATTTTGAAAATTAGACCCTATGTACAAACAGCCTCAAATCAAGAGTAGCCGCCAGACATCTTATTTCTCAGCATGTTTGCTTTTGTTCCTGCTGCAGCCATCCTGGTTGGGTGATACATGAATATTTTTCAATTGGAAGTAGATTCATATTCTGTATCATGGAACACAGGCCACTTCTTACTGCCACTTTAAAACTTGTCAGATGAGGCTGGGTGTGGTGGCTCACGCCTGTAATCCCAGCACTTTGGGAAGCCGAGGTGGGTAGATCACTTGAGGTCAGGAGTTGGAAACCAGCCTGGCCAATATGGCGAAAACCTGTCTCTCCTAAAAATACACATACACAAAAAATTAGCAGAGCATGGTGGTGCATACCTGTAATCCCAGCTACTCGGGAGACGGAGGTGGGAGAATCACTTGAACCTGGGAGGCAGAGGTTGCAGTGAGCCAAGATTGCACCCCTGCACTCCAGCCTGGGCAACAGAACGAGACTCCGCCTCAAAAAAAAAAAAAAAAAAGAAAAAGAAAAGAAAAGAAAAGAAAAGAAAATGGGCTAGGGCCACGCACGGTGGCTCATGCCTGTAATCCCAGCACTATGGGAGGCCGAGGCAGGAGGATTGCCTGAGCCCAGGAGTTTGAGACCAGCCTGGCCAACATGGTAAAACCTCCTCTCTGCTAAAAATACAAAAAAAAGAAAAAAAAATTAGCCGAGCATGGTGATGTGTGCCTGTAGTCCTAGCTACTTGGGAGGCTGAGGCAGGAGAATCATTTGAACCTGGGAGGCGGAGGTTGCAGTGAGCCGAGATCGCGCCACTGCAACTCCAGCCTGGGTGACAGAACGAGACTACATCTCAAAAACAAACAAACAAAAAAAAAGTGTCAGATGAAGTCAATATGCAATCTGTGCTTGGCCAATTTGCTGCACCATCCTGCCTTTTTTCCATTTTATAAATACAGCATTTTATAGAAAAGATCTGCTAAAATCAGTTTTAAGATCTGATTTATGAATTGTTGTCAGACCACAAGATGTCTGCTTATGTTTCTAAAACTATATCTTGAAGCTATTTTTTTTTTAAGTCTCATGAAATAAAGACCTTCCTTCACTCCTCCTAGACTATGGTGCTCTCATGCTAGAGAAGGTCCACTGTGTTTCTCTCTGTAGTAACACAACGAAACGGGGCTGGCAGTTCACACGCACATGACCCTGACACCCACGGTGTGGAGGCTGCAGGCTCCTTCTTTAGGCCTTGCCCCTACGGCAGCCCGGGTTGGCCTTGGTGTCCAAAGAGTCCAGAAACCATTCTGTTGTCCCTCAGGGCAGTAGTCCAGGATAGAAAGTGGGACTAAAGGAACCAGGCTGCTGGGGAGGTGAGTTTGGCAGTGTGCTGATAGGCCCCACTTTGGGGAAGAATGGGGAGACAGCAAGGACAGCCGGGATGTGCCGGTACTGAGTCGGTGCCCTATGCAGCAGCAGAGCCCAGCTCTGTGGCTCGGGTGTTGGTTCCATTGTCGGAGGGAAAGGTGCTGATGTGCCTGATGGTGATCATTCTGAATAGTAATGAGCGTTGTTAGCAATGGCTCTGTAGTTCCCAGATGTATTCGCCTACATGTCACGCCCCTGAGAAGCCCTAGTCAAATGGCCCTTGATGGAAGTGACCCCAGAGCCCAAACATGTCATGTCTTGAAGTAGGTTGTTGCCTTGGGTGTTAGAGTGTGAGAAAATGAACAAATGGTAAAATAAAACTTCCCAGCCATCTCGGTGGCTCATGCCTGTAATCCCAGCACTTTGGGAGGCCAAGGCGGGTGGATCACCTGAGGTTGGGAGTTCAAGACCAGCCTGAGCAACATGGAGAAACCCCATCTCTACTAAAAACACAAAATTAGCCGGGCGTGGTGGAGAATCACTTGAACCCAGGAGTTGGAGGTTGCAGTGAGCCGAGATTACACCACTACACTCCAGTCTGGGCAACAAGAGTGAAACTCCGTCTAAAATCAATCAATCAATCAATCTTCCCTTATTGGTACTAATTAGTAATTAAGGTAAAGTCTTGTCTGAATTAGGGAAAGTTTGGAGACTCACTTCACTTTCTGATATTCAGCGTTCTAACATAAAGGCTTATAAAGTGTTGCTGGGTAGTTTTGCCAGTAGAGGCCCCTGTGCTTGTTTTAATGATACAGAGTTATTCCAAACTGCAGTGAAATGCTGTGGACACATTTTCTGCAGGCGTCTCAGTAACTTTGAAAGATGGTTTTTAGTATAAAAACTTAGACTTTATTTACACTGCTAAATACTGACATATATATGAGTAAAAGCAAAATATTGGGACTGTTTCTAAACAGCTAAATAACAATAAATGGATTGTTAAACATACATAAAATAACCTTAATGAAGGCCACAGTAATTCATGTCTGTGTAGAATAAGTTCATTGAAATCAACATTCCTCTCAGTATCAGAGTTCCTTCTACAGTATGCATAGCAGATGATAATTTAGGCATCATCATCTCTCTCTTTACCCACCTCCCCTCTTCTTCCTTCCTCCCATCATCCAGTGCATGCTGTATCCAGGTCACTATGGTCAGCACTGAGGATACACAGGGAAATAGCATGTGGTCCTGCCCTCAGAGACCTGACAGTCTAGATATTTACAGCAGAGGGAGATGGTGCAGGGGAGAAGTACGCTGAGCGGGCGAGAAGCAGGCTAGCCACTCTGCTTGGAGGAGAGAGAGCACAAGATTCACAGAGGAGGTTGGGTTTTCAAGTTTGCAGGGATGGCCCAGAAATGAAAAGCGTTGTAGGCACAGACCATGTGATGCTTGCAGTCGTGAAGCTGTCTGGGGAGTGGCATCCGGCTTGGCATGTTTACAGTGTACAGTACTGGAGAGGAACAGGGTGGCAGGTGGAGACTATCTCAGGAATGATGGGAGCTCCTTACTTTGCAAAAAGAAAAGTTCTGTGTCCCGAGAAGTGTATTTTGTTAGAAGGTATGTGTGTATCACGCGACACGGGCCACTTCTTACTGCCACTTTAAAACCTGTCAGATGACGTGGGGCACAGTAGCTCACGCCTGTAATCCCAGCACTTGGGGAGGCCAGGGCGGGCGGATCACCTCAGGTCAGCAGTTCGAAACCAGCCTGGTCAACGTGGTGAAACCCATCTCCACTAAAAATACAAAAATTAGCCAGGCTTGGTGGCATGCCCCTGTAATACCAGCTACTTGGGAGGCTGAGGCAGGAAAATCACTTGAACCCAGGAGGTGGAGGTTGCAGTGAGCTGAGATCGCGACACTGCACTCCAGTCCAGGCGACAGGGCAAGACTCCATCTCAAAAAGAAAAACAACAACAACAACAAAGGAAGGTATTTTCTTATATTGTGCCCAAGTCCATCTCTGTTTCCTTTTATTATTATTATTTGAGATGGAGTCTCTCTCTGTTACCAGGCTGGAGTGCGGTGGCACAATCTCAGCTCACTGCAACCTCTGCCCCCCACGTTCAAGTGATTCTCCTGCCTCAGCCTCCCGAGTAGCTTGGACTACAGGCGCCTGCCACCACGCCCAGCTAATGTTTGTATTTTTAGTCGAGACGGGGTTTCGCCATGTTGGCCAGGCTGGTCTCAAACTCCTGACCTCAGGTCATCCGCCCGCCTCGGCTTTCCAAAGTGCTGAGATTACAGGTGTCAGCCACTGTGCCTAGCCTCTCCTTTTCTATTTTACCTTTGGGTTCAAGCCACAGGAGCCACACAGAATGAGTAGGCCTGCTCTCTGCCACATGCCTTTGTATGTAGGTGGGGTTATGCTTCTTCAAATCTTGCCCCAAGCTGTGTATACCTTTGTTTTTCCTCCTTAATAGATGTTGGCTAATAGTTTTTTTTTCTTTACATAACTCAATGGTAATTCTTGTTGGTCCTTTCAGAGTCTATAAACAATTGATTGTGATCTCCCTGATTTATCTTATAGATCTCCAAGCAGTTGTTGCCACTATAGCCTCTTGTCTGTTGGCTTCCTTTCTGCCAGGTCCCTCCCTCTGTGCTTTTACAGGATTCCCAAGGTATAAGAACAATCATGGTTGTTAGACCAGCCTCTCTTTTGCTTACTGACTTACATTCAGCCTTTTTTCACTACACTTCTTCTTTTGGTCATCTTAGGATTTCAGAGAAACAAAAAAAGTAGGTCACGCTCACAGATATGCTGGGGATCCTTTTGTTTTGTTTTGTTTTGTTTTGTTTTGTTTTGTTTTGTTTTTGAGACAGAGTCTCACTCTGTTGCCCAGGCTGGAGTGCAGTGGCACAATCAGGGCTCACTGCAGCCTCCATCTCCCAGGCTCAGGTGATCCTTTGCTGGGCGTCCTTGTCATAGAGAAGCAGTATTTTTTTTTTTTAAAACCTCATCACTATTATCTTTATACTTCAGAAGCAAACTAAGAAAGAAACACATGTCTGAAAAATGTTAATAAAAATGAATTAGGATGAATTAAAATAGCTCAGAAGAGTTGAGAGATGTACATTATAGCACAGGCGATGTTGTCATAAGAGTTATCTATATAAGAATCTGCTTTTTAACAGGACTTGCAAGCAGCTCATGTGCATCTCGGAGTTTGAAAAGCTCTGCTCTGGTGGACAACTGATGCTCCCCGAGTCACCATGAGTGACTGATCTGTTGGTAGCTCTGTTCGAGAGAAGCTAAACAAATATGCCATATCAGCCAGAAGAGTCAAATGTTGAGAATCACAGTTTAATTTTGTTTGCAGCTACAGACCAGGCCAAGTCATCATGTTTGACTAAACAGCAATGTTCTGATTAGGGGAGGACGTGGCTCTGTCTCCCAAACAGATGAGATTCTTGGTGGCTTGATGACAGCATGAAGAGCTGCTCCCCTGCCCTGGAGTAGGATGGTTTCCATGACAACAGTTCTGCGCACTGAGCTTCCCCTACCTTTTTTTTTAACCCCCGTGTTAATCAACAATGCAGAGACTAAAAAGGGTACTTTATTTCATTTTTTAAGAATTTCACCATATCTAAATTTTACTTTACATTATGTTATCATCATGGGTGTCTCTAAGAGAAAGTCTTTGTGCAGAAAAGTGTGGTTTTGTGAGTGATGGGCCAAACATTTCTTCATTAATCTCAAACTGGCACAGCTGAAAGATTTCAGGGTTAGACCATACTGACCTAAGCTTGGTTTTAAGAATACAGTACTTCTGTTTGGTGTTTGTCCTGCTGTATATCAATAGATCTTCAATGGAAAACCTTTTGTTACATAGAGTCATTAACTACCATGGTCATGTGTATAGAATGATCTTTCTCCTCACCTAGGGAAGAAGTCTTTTATTTTCACGGATTTAAAATGCTAATATATGGTGGTGACAGTATAAGAAACACTTGTATGTTAAGTTCTTTTATAATGTGATGCACAGGTTTGGTTTGCTTGACCTTTTGCACTCTATAATGATCATCTATTTTTTTTTTTTTTTTTTTTTTTTGATGGAGTCTCGCTCTGTTGCCCAGGCTGGAGTGCAGTGGCACAATCTCAGCTCATTGCAGCCTCTGCCTCCGGGGTTCAAGCAATTCTTCCACCTCAGCCTCCTGAGCAGCTGGGATTACAGAGGCACACCACCACGTCCGGCTAATTTTTGCATTTTTAGTTGAAACAGGGTTTCACCATGTTGGCCAGGCTGGTCTCGAGCTCCTGACCTCAGGTGATCCACCCGCCTCAGCCTCCCAAAGTCCTGGGATTACAGGCGTGAGCCAACACACCCAGCCTGATCATCTATTACTTCTGTAGCAGGTTAAAACCCACTAAATTTTCTTTTGTAAAAGTACTAATTAAAACAAAAAACATGGTTAGTGAGAAGAGCATTAAGATCACTAAGATCAGCCCTTAGGGAAGTGAGAGTTAGCTCCAGGGCCTTCGCTTCAAGCTCTGTGAAGACCCCAACAACTCTGTGGAAGTACCTGTGCTGCTGCACCTAGTCCAAGCCCTTGTCCTCTCGTACCTGCATTGTCCCAGTAGCCCGGTCACTGGCCTAGCTGCCTCCTTGCCTTCTTTTCAGTTTATTCTCAACACAGCCAGATCATGTCCCTGCCCCTCTTCAGCATTCCACAGGGCAGGGTGCGGCATGCATCACCTCAGTTGCATTCCATGGCTCTCAGAATCAAAGCCAACAGTCTTTAGTGCTGGACTATGAAACCCCTCACTCACCTCTATGATCTCACCTCCTATTACTGTTCCCTCATGTGCCCCAAGACAGGCCATGCTTCAGCCTCAGGCCCTTTGCACTTGCTGGTCCCTCTGTCTGGAACTGTCCTTCCGGAGATGTCTGCATGGTTCTCCACATTCTTCAGATCTTTGCTCATATGGCAATTTCTCAGGGAGGCTTTCCTTGAACACCCTATTTCAATGTTGACTCCCACCTCCCACCCCCAACACACACACATTCTCTGTCACCCTCTCTTGCTTTACTTTTCTTCATACCATGTATTGTCATCTGATGGGTTTTATCTTTTACTTTAGTATTTATGGTCAGTCTCCTTCCAGAATGTTATCTCCTTGAAAAGGCCTTTTGTCTTGTTCAGTGCCTATCCACACCACCTAGAACGAGGTGCACACTATTTGCAGTGCACACTATTTTGAAAGGATGAATGAAATTGACCCTCTCTAACCCCATAACTAGATATGAATTTAGAGCCAAATGTATTATGGGGTTTCTTCCCACCGGTTTTGTTCTCATCCCTATCACATAAGAAGACTGAAGTGTTAGAACATCTTGTAAAAATTAACCACAGCTGTGAGCCATTTAAAACACTCTACGCAGTGAGTTAGGAAATGCCCATTGATTGTTGGTTTGTTAGGTAAATGGGAGAGCACCACACTCAGTGCACACCGGGTCTCCTGTGTGCCAAGCATGCACGGCAGGCCCTGGCGATCAGAGGAGG
Source organism: Homo sapiens (assembly GCF_000001405.40). Classification (NCBI taxonomy): domain Eukaryota; kingdom Metazoa; phylum Chordata; class Mammalia; order Primates; family Hominidae; genus Homo; species Homo sapiens. The sequence continues at coordinate 130,986,518 of NC_000007.14, read as the reverse complement.
GGCAGGGAGTGGGGCCTCCTTCTAGGATCTTCACACTGCCTTGCTGTTGACCCCCTGGTTGTGGTGGCATCCCGCAGCAAACCCAGGATCTCATGCACCCTCATCTGAGAGCCACTGCTTTGGTCTGTGTGTGTATGTGTATCCACTTGCCAGGGTTGTTTCATCAAGGACTTCCTTTGGCTGAAATTTGTTTTCCTTTTTGTTTCTAGTGTTTCTTAGTAACCCACTGCCGTGAGTCTTCTCTGCTGCGTTGCTACCCAAATGTGTCTTGAACTTTGTGCTATTTCTTTTTAATATCTGAAGATTTATTTTGGCCATGGAAGTGTAGGAAACAAAAATTTACATAAGTGTATGTAGACAATGCCCATCTAATTACTGGTGACCCAGGGGTGGGGGTGCACAATGTGGGGGATGGAGCCCCTTCAGCAGAGCCCCGTGTCTGTCTGGCAGAATTATCCCTGTTTTTGGCAATGGATGCAACAGATTCTGAAAGCCCGAAGCCACCATTCATTCAAGAACATATCTGTTGAGTAGTCACTACCGGGGAACACGCTAATAAAATGAGCTCAGTGTCCACCCTCATGGAGCTTCTTATAGTCTAGTGAGAGAGAGAGAGATCTAAATTAAATAACTGCATAATGCATAGTTACGTGTAGTTACAAACTGTTTAAGTGCTCTGGTGGAGAAGGTCAAGGTGTCCTGGGAGCTTAGCATAGGGGAATGTGTCCCTATGTAGGTGAGGATGTACAGGTTCCTGGGTAGGCATGTATATCGGGGGAGGGAGGGCAGAATATGTGCATTAATTTTCAAGGAGAGAAAATAAGATGTGCAAAATCTCTGAGGTGTTGAGGGATCTTGTTTATTCATAGGAGTGAAAGGAGACCAGCGTGGCTGAAGTGAGAGGATGACAAGGGAGAGTGGTGCATGGAGGGGGCAGGGCCCCAGCAGGGCCAAGAGTCATCCCCTGTGTTTATCATAGACCAATGCAGAGCACTAAAGGTGGGGCGGGTATAGGTAGGGCTGAGCCACAGTCTGTTTTCTATTTTAAAGGGTTTCTTTTGTGCCAGGCATGGTGGCTCATACCTGTAGCCTAGCATCTCGGGAGGCTGAGGCAGGAGGATCACTTGAGGCCAGGAGTTCCAGGCCAGCCTGGGCAACATAGCAAGACCTTGTCTCTACAAAAAATAAAAAATGAGTGGGCATGGTAGTGCACACCTGTACATTATCTCAGCAACTTGGGAGGCTGAGGTGGGAAGATCGCTTGAGCCCTGGAGTTTGAGGCTATAGTGAGCTATGATTGTAGTACTGTACTCCAGCCTGACTGACAAAGTGAGACCCTGTCTCCAAAACAAACAAACAAACAAAGGGTTTACTCTGGACACATTGTGCATAATGAATTGGAAGGGAGAAAGTGTGGAGGCTGGGAAAACAGCAAGAAGTGTTTTGTATTTGTCCAGGAGAAAGAACAATGGCAGCTTGGACTAGGATGGTGGTGGAGAAGGTAGGATAATGCTTGGCTAGAGAGATCGTTTTGGAGGCCATTGGCATCTAGGTGGTGACTGCTCCGATATGCTCACTGAGCAATCTGCCGTGAATTTGGCCTAATCTTTGCCTGCCTGTGAGGTGCCTATGCCTTGGATTTACTGGCTTCCAAACTGGACGGAGCAAGTGTCCAGGATATCTGACAATTACATTTTTCACTATAAGTCAATACTTTGCCATTTTGGCTTTATCAGTCTCTTGTGAGCTTTGTTAGCATGAATCAGTATTAATCAACATGATCATCTCTGGCACCTTAGTGAGAGAGACTTTTGGAGCCAGAGATTTCAGGGACAGAACCTAGACACTCATGAGTTCCCAAAGGTAAATGTCACCTGCCAGAGATGATGAACAATTACCTTTTCTGGGAAATAACCTCTTTTTTTTAACAAATGCTTTCCATTATCATTTTTTAAAAATTTTCAGTAAATCTTTAAAATCAAATCCACCAATTGTTTCTATCTTTAGAACAGCAATTATTTCACCTAGTGAGGAAACATACTGCCCACCTGAAAAAGAACTGCAGAGGGAGTGTGGTTTGAAAAGTCGTATCAAATGTAGAAGGATTCAAAGTCCAAGAGAATCTTACTCTGTTTCCCTGTGCATCTAACTTTTTATTGTGTCACCTTAATTTCTTTTGAAGCCACAAGTTATTTGTTTTTCAAATCTCTTATTATCTGTGTATGTAGTAATTATGTCTTCTTAAGATTCTATTTAGGAACTCAGTAAAATTAGGCAGGTGAAATAATTGGCTAAAGTTCAGTGAAGCCCTTTTGGCACTCTGAGTTTGGAAAATAGCAAATAATAATGTAAAACATTTTGTGTGCATTTGTACCTACTCACTAACGATATTCTCCTCCTATTTTGCAGGAGGAAAATGGAAGAAACGGAGATACTTTTAGTGAAGCAGAATAAACCACTGAACAGGTAACTGAGATTAGTAGTTCTATATACATTTATTAAATAAGTTAATATTTGTAAAGGCCTAGAATAGTACATAGCACATAGTAAATAGTATGTAGGTGTTTGCTGTTATAAAGTTCTTTTAAATATACGTAAGCCCCAAATAAACCAATTATACAAACCAAAAATACCCAACAAAAGCAAACTCTCCTCCTAAGGCAAGTGCGAACATCATTGGTAAGTTCTGACGTGGCCTCTGTATAGTCTGTTGTCCTGGCTCTGAGAAACGTAACTTAAAACCTCTTTGAAACGTCTTAATCTTTGAGCACCCTAAGTCCTTGAGCACCCATTCATTTTTGTCTTTGACCTTCTAAGTGTCAGATTGGTTTCCAGTTTGAAACCAAACAAACTTCTTTGAAATTCTTGAAGACGTAGTTCCAGGGGAGCATAGCATAGCTTCCAGGTGGCTACTGAAATGGCTGACAGTTACTAAAGATGGTGAGGATAGAGTTAAAAGCAGCAGCACTCCCATTTTCTGATGATGGCAGGTGATAACCTTGGAATAAGAAGCTCCAAACTATCATGCCTGCTTAGGCACTAACTTCCTGTAATTGTAATAAAATTGTTGGCATTGCTGAGACCTACTGACACCTTCAGCAAACGTTAGTAAGGGGCATATTACGTGTCCAGTCCTCTGCTTGGTGATGGGATTTGACATTGAATGGGTTATCTTTCTCCTCACTCCACTCCCATCTCTCTGGATCTTCACCAATTCCTGCCCAGATAGATGCTGTATGTCCTGCTATCCGCCTCGTCCCCAGCCTTGCTGTCTCTCCTGCCAGCTCCCCTTCAGCCCCTCAGCATCCCTTTATTCAGGGTGGGAAAAGATGCCAGAGATGGGGCTGAGAGTTGCATCTGGTAGTTAGACTTTTCTCTCATGGAGTTTATGTTGCATCTTCCTCGGCCCTGACTTCTGCTTCATAATTTACATAGTTTATTTTAAATATGATGATGTATGTTTTACCATGTCTTCCTTCGGGGATTTTGGGATATTACCTTTGACAGTTATGTTTCTGTTTTGGAGGTCTTGCAGCTGGCATTATTAGCTTGAGGGAGAGGTGGGGCACTGGGGGTGCACTGAATATCTCCATGGCTTTCAGACCTTTTTATTAGAACCCCCAGGAGGAAATACCTGTTACCTTAGGGCCCAGCACACATATTTGTACATGTGGGTATGTGGTTTCCTGAAGCTTACTTTATGCAAGCTGGGATAGAGTTTTTTAATTCTATCACTTTTTCTTTTCCCTTTTTCTCTCTTTTTATTGTTCATCATAACCAGCAAAGTGGATTTCTTAACCTGCTAGTCAGTCGGTTGTCCTTTGACAAGCTTGCAGTATTTCAGTGCTATGGTAGGGACGCATGGTTTCTTGCCCTTCTCCCTGTATTCTTCAGTAACTTCTACAGCATTTTTTTACCCCTAAAAATGCCTCAAACCTGCCTTAACTTTATTCTTTATGGGCCGAGCTCTCTCCTTCCTTTTGTAATAAGCTTCTGTTTCTATTTTCTCACCTACTGTTCCCTTCTCAACTTTCTGTCTGAACTTGAACATTCTTCTCCTCCTGATCAATACCTAAGAATGCTTTTGTTTACCGTTTCGAATAAGATCAATCCTTCTGTGCTGTTAGATACCTGGTTATCTCTTGGTTGGTGCCATGGGTTGTAGAGAGACATCTGCTGGCCCAAGTGTAGTGTTGCATTGTTTTTCTGTGCTGAATCACCTTGTCATTTTTTAGTACCTTAAACTTTCATAGTGTGCAAGTGAGCTTGTATATTGGAATGTGTTGAAGTCATCTACCTAATCTCTTCAAGCATTTTTAGCATTTAGCTCAACATCTAATTAATTGAAATGTAGTCATACATTATAACCCAGTTTAAGGAGCTGCAATCTAGTAGGGGAAAAGGATTTCATGGTAAAACCTGAGTCCTCACCTTCATGTATTTTTTAATGAGACTGAAAAATGACAGTTAAATAAAGGTTCAGATCCATTTAAAACTTTTGGAAATGATAATTCACTCTTCCAAGATAAATGAGAACTGAATTTTTTTATTTGTATAAATTTGAAAGGTACAAGTGCAGTTTTGTTACATGGATATATTGTGTAGTAGTGAAGCCTGAGCTTTTAGTGTAACCATCACCTGAATAGTGTACATTGTACCCATTAAATAATTTCTCATGCCTTACCCGCCTCCCACTGTCTCACCCTTCCAAGTCTCCAGTGATTGTTATTCCACACTGTTATGTCCACGTGCACACATATTTAGCTCCACTTATCATTGAGAACATGTAGTATTTGACTACTCACTTCTGAATTTTTTCACTTAAAATAATGACCTCTAGTTCCATCTATGTTGCAGTAGAAGACATTATTTCATTTTTTATGTCTGAGTAGTAGTCCATTGTATATATCACCACATTTTCTTCATCCAGTCATCAGTTGATGGACACTTAGGTGGATTCCATAACTTTGCTCTAGTGAATAGTGCTGTGATAAACATACGAGTGCAGGTATCTTTTTATATAATGATTTGATTTTGGGGTGATATATACCCAGTAGTGGGATGGCTGTATCAAATGGTAGCAGAACTTAATTTTTAACTGGTGTAGGTTTGCAGCTTGGTTTCTTATGTGAGAGGTATGGTTGGTGCTAGCTATAAAGCTAGTGCTGGAAAAAGACAAAATCTGAAATCTATTGCTTCTTTACTTTGAAACTCTAGTTAGATTATCACAGTGATTCTGTACCATCCTTGTCTTAGCAAAATTCTCACTGATTTCAGATGCAAGTTTATAAAGGAATTGCAATTATGTACATACATCTAAGATTTCTCCATAAATATGACAAATTTTAAAGATTATAATTGCAAAATTGTTCTTTTAAACAAAACTAAACCAACATTGACCTATCTTTGAGGGCTGTTTCTAAAGCTAACAGGCAATAAACAAGATATTGTATCCCAATTTCCTGCTTTGAAAAGATCTCATTGGAGTAGTTGGTAGTTGTAGAAGTTTCTAAATGTTTTGTTATTGAAGCCAAGTTGAAGTTGCTCATTTGATTCTTTGACTATGTCCTGATTTCAATTATGATTAACGAAGCCTTTCTGTATCCTTAAATATAACAGATTCACCAAAAATTTAGTCGAATATTAGTATTGTAGATTAACATTTTCCTATATTTTACAATTACTTTTAATTATTTACAGTTATTTTTAAAGCACATAGCACAATTCGGATTACTTTGTTTTGTGGTATCCAGAGTTTGAAAGGATTGTGAGAAGATAATAAAGCAGACTTGAAGGCTGGTGGATGCCGCAGTGTATCTGTCAAAATTATTTGAAAAAGTCACTCTCTAGGATTTCATTTTGATTTCTTTTTTAATTTTCTAAGATTATTTTTAATGATCCATAATGTGTTTTTTTCATTAGATAAATAGAACCCACACAATAATAAAAATTTTCTGATGTTTTCTTCTTAGCCTTACATTAGAGGACATGAATCCTGCTTTGGACATCTGTTCCTCAAATACATTCATTCTTCTTTGACTCACCATTTACTTTGAAGGATAATTAAACCAGTCCAGTATTTTTTTTTTTTTTTTTTGAGATGGAGTCTCGCACTGTCACCTGGGCTGGAGTGCAATGGTGCAATCTTGGCTCACTGCAATCTTCACTTCCCGGGTTCAAGCAATTCTCCTGCCTCAGCCTCCCGAGTAGCTGGCATTACAGGTGCCCGCCACCACACCCAGTTAATTTTTTGTATTTTTAGTAGAGACGGGGTTTCACCATCTTGGCCAGGCTGGTCTCGAACTCCTGACCTCGTGATCCGCCCACCTCAGCTTCCAAAGTGCTAAGATTACAGGCGTGAACCACTACACCTGGCCAACCAGTCCAGTATTCTATGGTCTTGTGCATTTATAGCATTTGGGTTAGGAAACAATTAGTGCATCATCTCTTCCTAGAAAAGGGTCTAGAAAGGCCCGAGGCGATGCAGTAGTACTTTCCTGGCAGTCACATCATTTCGAAGCAGCTGAAAGCCAGTCCTAGGAAAATGACCAAGGGGTTAGACTAGTAGGTGATCTAGAGCCCTCTATAAATTGAGGAAAAACAAAAAAGAGAATAACCATAGACAGCTAATTAAAAATCCTGTCTCGGAAAAACTAAATAAGCAGCTGCTGTATAAGAGCCACAAAGACGTACTCTTTCTGCCTTTCCCAAGGTAGCAACGTGCTATGTAGCTCAACATCACCAGTGTCCTGAAACTGCTCCAACGTTGATCTTGCATTTGCCATTGAACTGAGTTCATTCTCTTTCCTTTCGCCTTTTGAAACACTCTACTACTTGTTCTCTTGCCTCTCTGATTATTTCTTCCAAGTAATTTTATAAGCTACACTAAAACTTGGGTTAGCAATGGGTATTTTTCCCCCCATTTCGTTCTTGGTTGATCAAGTCAAAGTATTATCTCAGCATAGGCAGAGTCCGGTGCTTGGGAAGTGGTATTAAAGAGATTTCAGATAAATACTTCAAAGCCACTTCATTGGAATCCCCAATTTAAAAAAAGTTAAGAAATCATAAAATGAGTCTTTAACTAGATTTTGGTGGTTGTCATTTGGAAGAAATTCTAAGAGTGAATTCCAGCCTGTTTCCTGATTTCCTGTTGTCCTTATTTACTCCTAGTACATGGTACATGACTGGAATCCAGTAGAAAAGCCCCAGAATGTGTATTTTAGTCCCTACAGCCAACAGCTTTGAGAATGTACAGAAAAGGAGGCTAAATCCTTGCCCCTGCTGTGGCTTCAATTCATAAGCTTTTGTCTCTTCTCTGTTCCATTTCAAAAGCTAAAGCTAAGTGTCACAGGACAAGATTGTAGTGGCTTCAGAGAATGGTAGGCTTGAGAAAAAGACTATTGATGATTCAAGGGGATAAATTATGGTAGAAATTTAAACAGTATTTGGGGACATAAAATACTGTTTTTGAGTTGAGTAACCCCAAACAAGAAGAAAAACATGTATTTAAAAAAATATTTTATATTTTTCCCATTTTTTTCTGGCCATTTTTCTTTATTCATTTTCTGAGAGGGAAATGGAAGCGAAAATAGAAACTATTATTTCTTTTTTCAAGACAACCAGGTCGATCATGAAAAGTGTAAGAGGTCACCATCAGGTAGCTAAGCACTTCTTTTAAACCTATGAATAAAGGAAAAAACACAAGATGTTAAATAGTAAGTGTGTATGGTTGCTAGTTTTGAACTTCAGTGCTTAACAATGTCAAAGTCAAAGTGTTCCTGTGTTGCTGTGAAATAAGTACCAATACATGCAGAGTAGCTACTATTGTTGCCACATGCAAAGAAAAGACAGCACACTCAGTAAATTCTTTTAGTTGTGTTTCTTATAGTTAAGGAATGTTGATCTATTTTATGTTTTTGTGGTGTAACTTAACATGGCAAAGAAAACAATCATGTTAATAACATTTTGCGATTATTTTCCATATGCCAAGCGTTGGCTGAAAAACATAAGGGTAAGTACTACAGGTACTATCATTCCAGTTTTATAGAATGTGCATGCTGTAAGAAAGACAAAATTATATTAGTGTATGAATGAACACCATTACCTACCCCTGTTGGGAATCAATGATGATAATCTCATTAGAATATTGTGCTAATTGGCTGCAAATAATATGTCAGCAATATTTACAGCTTTAAAAAGCTTTTGGTTTTAGGTGGTTGATTAGCAGGGATGGCATTACCCGGAAAATACAACTAGGTTATAGTAGTATTAAAAATAACTCAGGTTTTTCTAAGTTTGAAACATTAATATTTTTTATGCTAAAAGGTTTTAAGAAAACACTTGCAATTTACAGCGCCTTGTTTAGTCCTCAGCGATAGAATAGTGTAATTTTAAAAAAACCAAAGTAGGGCCAGGTGTGGTGGCTCAAACTGTAATCCCACCACTTTGGGAGGCTGAGGCGGGTGGATCACCTGAGGTCAGGAGTTCAAGATCAGCCTGGCCAACATGGTGACACCCTGTCTTTACTAAAAATACAAAAATTAGCCAGGTATACTGGCCTGCGCCTGTAATCCCAGCTCAGGAGACTGAGGCAGGAGAATCGCATGAACCTAGGAGGCAGAGGTTGCAATGAGCTGAGACTGCACCACTGCACTCCAGCCTGGGCGGCAGAGTGTCTCAAAAAAAAAAAAAAAAAAGTAGTATTCCCATTTGAAATGTGTATAATCAACATGATACGCCCATATCAGTATTTCAGGTATGCCAACACCAATGATTGGGAAAAAATATATATAGAAGTGGAATTGCTGGATCATATGGTAGCAATTTTTTATTTCTGGAAGAACCTCCATGCTGTTTTCTGTAACAGCTGCATTTTACATTCTCACCAATTGTGTAAAAGGGTTCCAATTTCTCCATATCCCACCACTATTTATCTTTTGTTTTTGTTTTTCTAATAGGCATCCTAAAAGGTGTGAGGTGACATGTTAAGATTTTGATTTGCATTTCTCTTAAGATTAGTGATGTTGAGCACCTTTTCATATACCCGATGGCCATTTGTATGCTTTTTAAAAAATGTCTATTCTGCCGGGCGTGGTGGCTCACGCCTGTAATCCCGGAACTTTGGGAGGCAAAGGCGGGTGGATCACTTGAGGTCAGGAGTTCAAGACCAGCCTGGCCAACGTGGTGAAACAACATCTCTACTAAAATACAAAAATTAGCCAGGCGTGGTGGGGCACGCTTGTAATCCCAGCTACTTGGGAGGCTGAGGCAGGAGAATCACTTGAACCCAGGAGGCGGAGGTTGCAGTGAGCAGATGCACCATTGCACTCCTGCCTGGGTGACAAGTGCGAAACTTCGTCTCAAACAACAACAACAACAACAAAGTCTATTCAAGGCTGGGTGCGGTGGCTCATGCCTGTAATCCCAACACTTTGGGAGGCCGAGGTGGGTGTATCACTTGAGGCCAGGAGTTCAAGACTAGCCTGGGCAACATAGCAAAACCCCATCTCTACTAAAAATACAAAAATTAGCTGGGCATGGTGGTGCAAACCTGTGATCCCAGCTACTCGGGAGGCTGGGGCACGAGAACGCTTGAATCTGGGAGGCGGAGGTTGCAATAAGCTGAGATTGCACCACTACACTTCAGCCTGGGTGAGACCTTGTCTCGAAAAAAAAAAAAGTCTATTCATTTAAAAATGTCTTTGCCCATTTTAAATCAAGTTCTGTTGTTGTTGTTGTTGTTGTTGTTGTTGTTGTTTGGCTTGTTTGTTTGCTGTTGAGTTGTAGGAGTTCATTATATATTTTAGATATTAACTCCTTACTAGATATGTGGTTTGCTAATATTTTCTCCCATTCCGTAGGTTGCCTTTCACTTTATATTTTTTTTTCCTTTGCTGTACTGAGCTTTTCAGCTTGATGTCATCCCACTTGTGTATTTTTGCTTTCATTGCCTGTGCTTCCGTGTCATATTCATGAAATCATTGCCTAGACCAGTGTCAGGAAGCTTTCCCCTATGTTTTCTCCTAGGAGTTTTATAGATTCAGGTCTTACATTTAAATCATTAATCCAGCCAGGCACAGTGGCTCATGCCTGTAATCCCAGCACTTTGGCAGGCCAAGGTGGTTGGATCACTTGAGTTTAGGAGTTTGAGACCAGCCTAGCCAATATGGTGAAACTCTATCTCTACTAAAAATACAAAAAAATAAAATAAAATAAAATAGCCGGACACAGTGGCGGCTGCCTGTGATCCTAGCTACTCAGGAGGCTGAGGCACGAGAATTGCTTGAATCTGGGAGGTGGAGCTTGCAGTGAGCCGAGATCACGCCACTGCACTCTAGACTGGGTGACAGTGAGACTATATCTCCCCCCAAAAAAAAAATCATTAATCCATTTTGAGTTGGTTTTCTGTATGGTGTAAGATAAGGTCTTACAAGAAGACCTGTACTATAAGAAGAAGCAGCTTGTTATAAATTACCCCGTCTAAGGTATTTCTTCACAGCAGTGCAAGAACAGACTAATACAACCTCATCTAACATAGTTGTGGCTCACAGTTCTGGAGGCTGTACAGGAAGCATAGTGGCTTCTGCTTCTGGGGAGGCCGCAGGAAACTTACAATTGTGGCAGAAGTCAAAGGGAAAGCAGGCATGTCTTACATGGTCGGAGCAGAAGAAAGAGCAGTGGGGACAGAGGAGTGCCACAGGCTGTTAAATGACCAGACCTCACAAGAACTCAGTCACTGTTACGAGAACGGCACCAAGGGGGAAATCCACCCCCATGATCCAATCACCTCCCACCAGATCCAGCCTCCAACATTGTGGATTACATTTCAACATGAGATTTGGATGGAGACACAGATCCAAACTGTATCATTCCACCCCTGGCCCCTCCCAAATCTCATGTCCTTCTCACTTTGCAAAACCCAATCATGCCTTCCCAACAGTTCCTCAAAGTCTTGACTTTTTTCCAGCATGACCTCAAAAATCCAAAGTCTCATCTGAGACAAGGCAAGTCCCTTCTGCTCATGAGCCTGGAAAATAACAAACAAGTTAGTTATTTTCAAGATACAATGGAGGTACAGGCATTGAGTAAATACTTCCATTCCAAAAGGGAGAAATTGGCCAAAAGAAAGGGGCTACAGGCCCCATGCAAGTCTGAAACCCAGCAGGGCAGTCATTAAATCTTAAAGCTCCAGAATAATCTCCTTTGACTCTAAGTCTCACATTCAGGACACAGTGATGCAAGGGGTAGGCTCACAAGGCCTTGGGCAGCTCTGCTCCTGTGGCTTTGCAGGATTCAGCCCCTGTGGCTGCTCTCAAGGGCTGGTGTTGAATGTGTATGGCTTTTCCAGGTGCAGGGTGCAAGCTGCCAGTGGATCTACCATTCTGGGGTCTGGAGGACAGTGGCCCTCTTCTCACTGCTCCACTAGGCAGTGCTCCAGTGGGGACACTGTGTAGGGGCTCCAATCTTACATTTCCCCTCTACACTGCCCTAATGGAGGCTCTCCATAAGGGCTCTATCCCTGCAGCAGACTTCTGCCTGGACATCCGGGCTTTTCTATATATCCTCTGAAATCTAGGCGGAGGCTCCTGAGCCTCATTCACTCTTACACTCTGTGTACCCACAGGCTTAACACTACATGGAAGCTACCAAGGCTTATGGCTTACATCCTCCAGAGCAGTGGCCTGAGCTATACCTGGGCCCCTTTGAGCCATGGCTAGAGCTGGAGCTGCTGGGATGCAGGGAGCAGTTCTCATGGCTGTGCAGGGCAGCTGGGCCTGATCCACAAAACCTTTCAGTCTTACTAGGCCTTTGGGCCTGTGATGAGAAGGGCTGCCATGAAGTTCTCTGAAATACTATCGAGGCCTTTTCCCCATTGTCTTGGCTATCAGCACTTGTCTTTCTTTTAGCTTGAATTGCTCTCCTGAAAATGGGCTTTTCTTTTCTGCCACATGGCCAGGATGCAAATTTTCTAAACTTTGGAAACTCTGCTTTTCTTTTATAAAAAAGTTCAAATTACAGGTCATTTCTTTGCTTACACATGTGAGCAGCCAGGCCATGTCTTGAATACTTCACTGCTTAGAAATTTCTTCCATCAGATACCCTAAATCATCACTTTGAAGTTCAAAGTTCCACAGATCCATAGAGCAAGGACACATTGCAGCCAGGCTGTTTGCTAAAGCATAGCTTTACTCCAATTCTCGGTAACTTTCCCGTATTCACCTGAGACCTCCTCAGCTTGGACTTCATTGTCCATATCACTATCAGCATTTTGGTCACAACAATTCAAGTCTCTAGGAAGTTCCAAACTTTTCCCTCATCTTCCTGTTTTCTTCTGAGCCCTCCAAACTGTTCCAACCTCTGCCTGTTATCCAGTTTCAAAGCTGCTTCCACATTTTCAGGTATCATAGCAATGCCCCTTTTCTTGGTACTAATTTTCTGTGTTAGTCCATTCTTGAATTTCTATAAAGAAATACCTGAGACTCGGTAATTTATAAAGAAAAGAGGTTTAATTGGCTCACAGTTCTGCAGGCTGTACAGGAAGCATAGTGGCTTCTGCTTCTGGGAAGGCCTTAGGAAACTTACAATCATGGCAGAAGTCAGAATGAAAACAGGCACATCTTACATGGCCAAGATATGGAGTGAGAGTTGGGGAGGGAGGTACCACACACTTTTAAATGAGCAGATTTCACCAGAACTCACTCATTCACTATCATGAAAACAGCACCAAGAGGGAAATGTGCCCCCATGATTGAGTCACCTCCCACCAGGCACCACCTCTAACATTTAGGATACAGTTTGACATGAGATTTGGGGATACAGATCCAAACCATAACAAAATCCAATTTGATTATGTTGCATGTGGATATTCAGTTTTCTGAGCATCATTTGTGGAAGAGATTATCCTTCCCTGATGTATGTGTATTCTTGGTACCCTTGCCAAAGATCAGTTAACTGTTTATCTGTGGGTTTATTTCTGGGCTCTATATTCTGTTCCACTGGTCTATAAATCTGTTTTAATGCCATTGCTGTACTGTTAAAGTTACTGTAAATTCGTAATAAATTTAGAAATCAGGAAGTATGATGCCTCCAAATTTGTTCTTTCTAAAGTTTGTGTTTGACTATTTGGAGTCCTTTGTTGTTCCATATGAATGTTAGGATTTTTAAAAAAATTTTTGTAGAAAATACCATTAGGATTTTAGTAGGGATTGCATTGTGTCTGCAGATTGCTTTGGATAGTATGGATATTTTACCAGTAGTAGGTCTTTCAATCCATGAACATGGGCTTTCTTCCCCTTTATTTGTGTTTTCTTCAATTTCTTTTATTAATCTTATGTAGTTCTCAGTGTAGAAATATTTTATCTCTTTGGTTAAGTTTATTCCTAAGCATTTTATTCTTTTTGATGCTATTGCACATGGGACCCAGCAATCTCACTTCCGAGTATATATCCAAACACATGCACACGTATGTTTATTGTGGCACTACTCACAATAGCAAAGACTTGGAACCAAGCCATATGTCCAACAATGATAGACTGGATTAAGAAAATGTGGCACATATACAGCATGGAATACTATGCAGCCATAAAAAATGATGAGTTCATGTCCTTTGTAGGGACATGGATGAAGCTGGAAACCATCATTTTCAGCAAACTATCGCAAGGACAGAAAAACCAAACACCGCATGTTCTCACTCATAGGTGGGAACTGAACAATGAGAACACTTGGACACAGGAAGGGGAACATTGCACCCCGGGGCCTGTTGTGGGGTGGGGGGAGGGATAGCATTAAGAGATATACCTAATGTAAATGACGAGTTAATGGGTGCAGCACACCAACATGGCACATGTATACATATGTAACTAACCTGCACATTGTGCACATGTACCCTAGAACTTAAAGTATAATAAAAAAATAAAATAAAATAATAGAAATCAGGATCTTGAAGAGATGTTAACATTCTCACATTCATTGAGCATTATTCACAATAACCAAGATACGGAAACAACCTAAACATTCATTGATGGATGAATGGATAAAGAAAATGTGGTATACACATACAGTGGACCACTATTCAGCATTAAAAAAAGGACATCTGCTTCATGCGACAATGTGAAGGAGCCTGGAGGCTTTCTGCTAAGTGAAATAAGCCAGTCTCAGAAGGACAAATACTGCATGATTCCACTTCTGTGAGGCATCAAAAATAATCAAACTCATAGAAACAGAATAGAATGATGGTTGCCAGGGGCTTGGAAGAGAGGGAAATGAGAAGTTGCTGTTCAATGAGTGTATATTTTCAGTTATACAAGATGAATAAGTTCTAGAAGTTTGCTGTACAACACTGTGCCTGTAGTTAACAATACTGTATTGTGTACTTAAAATTTTGTTGAGAGGGCAGATCTCATATTAAGTGTTCTTAAATAAAATAAAATGCTCTGTAAAAATAATAATAATTGGAAAAAATCCAGCATCTCTGGTGGAGGGAGCAAATAAATACATACCTATAATCAATTTTCAGTTTACTACCTTAATGAATGGGAACATTAGCATGGGTAATCAAAAGCTTTCTTTTCACTGTAAGTTATTTTCTTGTTTAGTTTTTTTGCTTTAGATTCTTTGTTTTTGAGAGTGAATAGCTGCTGGCATTGGATTTGGAATAGCTTAGTATGCATTTGTGAAAGAGAGGAATCTCCTTATAATTTAAGATATGTTCTAAATACTGCCCCCAAATTAAAATTAATACATAGTTAATTTTATTTCCATTGTAAATTGAAATTCATAAGCCTATTCTTAAAACTATAAACTCCAGGACAGAGCAAGCAGTTAACACTTGAATCTGTCTTGGCAAATTCTCCTGTCTTCTAGCACCCCCCCACCACCTTTTTTTTTTTTTTTTTTTGGAGACAGAGTCTCACTCTGTCACCCAGGCTGGAGGGCAGTGGCACTATCATGACTCAGCTCACTGCAGCCTCAACCACCTAGGCTCGGGTGATCCTCCCAGCTCAGCCTCCGAAGTAGCTGGGGTTACAGATATGCATCACCATGCCTGACTAATTTCTTTGTATTTTTTTGTAGAGACAGGGTTTTGCCATGTTGTGCAGACTGGTCTCAAACTCCTGGACTCAAACCATCCGCCTGCCTTGGCCTCTCTTAAGTGCTGGGCTTACAGGTGTGAGCTAGCACGTGCCCTTCACCCTCCTTTTAAAGTGAAATTTGTGTAAGACTTAGATAAAGGATATTTGGAGGAGAAGATAAAGTCACAAAATAATTAACCATTTAAATTTGGAGAAGGGAGGAAGGTTAGAGGACATCTACCTTAAGATTTTCAATTTACAGACGAGGCAGCTGAGTCTCCAAGCTGATGAGAATTCCACAAGGCCATAGAGCTATTAAAGAGCAAACCTTTTACTGACAAATGAGTAGTACTTATTCAACACGTTTCATAATTTTGAAAAATGAATGTTAAACCTCAATCTTTTTTGTTTTTAAATACCCAACTTGGAAAGTATTTGTCTTAGGAAAATGTAGTGGAAAGCAAAACCTACTTATACCCAGTTCACACTATTTTTCCACTCTGCTAGATTGAGGGCAGCCTGCCATGTGTACAGATAGGAAAGGAAGAGAGAGGCCCACTCTTTGCTTCAATGACAATGAAGGTTTTATGGGATAATTTTTAAAACTGCAACTGCTTCCTTCTCTAACAGTAGTTGCTCCCTGAGAAGTTCCCTGTCCTTCTCAGCTGAGTGTACCTTTCTTCAACTCAGAGAACAACTGCCCTAATTCCTATATTCTAGGGAGGCCTCTGCCAGATTGCTTTAACAAACAAAATGCTGTTCTCCACATTATTTTCTCCTGAGTTGATACAATTTTCATATTAACCATGAGCAATTGACATTAGTGCATGACACTAGCTCAGGCTGCAATTCTACCCTTGATTCCCATCCCCTGCCCCATAAGCCATTCAGCTTCCCAATTAAAAAAAAAATTCTCATTCCCACAACCAGACACTACTCTCTTCTGATGATCTTAAAAATGAATCCTCTTGGTCCCAGGTGCAGCTAATGAAACAGGGTAAATGGGGCAGGGAAAATGCACATCATCACCCAAAAAAGTCCCAGCATGTTAATACCACTTGCAAAATGTGTCATATTAATTAAGTGCAGACATTACTACTCTTTTATCCAAAAGCTGTATATTTCTTAGAAGCTGATAGACTAGATAGGTACATACTTGAATCATCCTTTTATTTTTTTTTAAACTACAGAGAATCTGTCCAAGCCCATGTCAAAAGTATTGGTTTTAAACACAAAGAATACTTGGTAGAAATAAACGGTTTAATCTGTTTATTGAAAGAAATTACCTAAATATACCTAAAAATAACTTACAGTTTTACAGTGATGAATAGTAAAATCATATTTCCTGCTTCTTGAATGATATTGACACTGGCGTGTAGACAGTATTATTCAATGAGAAATTTTATTTTCATAGCACTCTACTTTAGCTCTATTTTCCAAAGGAATATTAAACTTTCATTGTCTTCATTTTAGTAAGTTATTTGGAGAATGTATATACAAGCAAATTATGGTAAAGCCTTGTCACAGTCTACTTACTCCTCAGATTTTGTCTTTTTTTTTTTTTTTTTTTTTTTTTTGACACGGAGTCTTGCTGTCACCTGGGCTGGAGTGCAGTGGCACGATCTCGGCTCACTGCAACCTCTGCCTCCCGGGTTCAAGTGATTCTCCTGCCTCAGCCTCCTGAGTAGCTGGGATTACAGGCATGCGCCACCACGCCTGGCTAATTTTTGCATTTTTAGTAGAGACGGGGTTTTACCATGTTGGCCAGACTGGTCTCAAACTCCTAATCTCACGTGATCCACCCACCCCGGCCTCCCAGAGTGCTGGGATTACAGGCGTGAGCCACTGCACCTGGCCAGATTTTGTCCTGATTATCTGCATATTTCATTGTGTTTTTAAATAATACCAAATTATTCTAATAATTTAATTCTCCACATCACAATGTGCTGTCCATCATGATACCTTAATTTTTAAAGATTCTTAAAAAATGTTTGAAAGATGCTATGTTTGTTTGGCCACAGGGCATTTTCATTAGCAAAATATCAAATTATGTGGCCAAGATATGTTGGTAGATGAAGACCTAAATATTATTTGTCCTTCAGTTGTAGGATTTATTTGCACTGGCCATTTTAACTCACATATGAGGGACACAGTGCTTATTGTGTTTACCCAGCACTTAAACGACATTTAAAAAGTAAGGTTCTTACTCGTGGACCCAATTCCTAGGAAAGGTAACCATGCTACCAAAAATAGTGTTGATTTTTACTGATTTTACTATCTGTCTAGGCGCTATCTGTAGGACTTATTATATAACCTGAAGACAAGGATGGATAGATTAGAGGAATAAGAAATTTTGGGCACATATCTTTTCATATTTTTTCTGAAATGCATTGGTACACTTGCCACAGTGTACATTATACTTGAGATTTATTTGGGTTCTATTCAAAACCAATGAGGAGAATAGCACAAGTGGGTGCTAAGAAAGAGGCACCCCTAGGAGCTCCGTCTAGCCAGACTAGCAGCAATCGCCCCTGTGACAGGATTCACTGGTTTGGGGGAGATAAGACCTGGAAGATGTGTTAGAAATGACCGGCTCATACGAAAGGTTTAAGAACCAACACCTGAGAATGAATTCCTTTAAACTTTGAAATAAATAAGAGTTAGATTCAGTACAGAAAAGTAGAAACCCACTTAATTGCATTCTTACATGTTTTCTAGAGAAGGAAGAAAGAGATGGAGTTTGAATGAATTTGCTAAGAACTGTGTTCAGAATGCATTAGGGTATCAAAGTGGAAAAGAGGCTATCTGTAGCATAGACTATGGACTATACTTGAGCAGCAGGAGAAATGAGGACAGACAGCAAAGCACAAGCAGTAATGTTTCCTTCATGTGTTTTTTCCCTTCTTTTCTCTCCAGTGTGAGTCTTAATCTCCATTATGGATGATTGTGGCATTAACTATTAAGGGTACGATACAGTTGGGATTAGGATTCTGGACCCAGACTTCCTAGGTTCAGATACTGGCTCTGCCTCTTAGGCAACTGACTTAATTTCTTAGATTCTTTATCTGGAAAACAGGGATAATATTAGTATCTACCTCCATGGGATTATTAAGGGGATAAAATGCGTTAATGATGTAAAAAATACTTAAAATACTACCAGCACATAACAAGCACTCAATATATGTTAACTATTATTATATGACTGTATTTCATGGATTTTTTTTTTTATTTTCTCAAATTTTATCCTCTCCCCATAACCCCTTGTGGGGAGAGTAGGGACCACACTGGGTGAATGAGTGAATAATGACTTGCATGATATCTTTAGAATTGTTGATGATTAATGTAAATGCATCTTGATTTGTGGGTTGGTTTCCAAGTTAAGGACATAGAAGCATAGCACTGATTAAAATTAAATTCACACAAGATCCACTCACCTAATTTCAAACGTGATTTTTAATATTCTTTTTCTTTTTTTTTTTTTTTTTTGAGACGGAGTCTCGCTCTGTCGCCCAGGCTGGAGTGCAGTGGTGCGATCTCGGCTTACTGCAAGCTCCGCCTCCCGGGTTCACGCCATTCTCCTGCCTCAGCATCCCGAGTAGCTGGGACTACAGGCGCCTGCCACCAAGCCCGGCTATTTTTTTGTATTTTTAGTAGAGACAGGGTTTCACCGTGTTAGCCAGGATGGTCTCAATCTCCTGACCTCATGATCCGCCCACCTCAGCCTCCCAAAGTGCTGGGATTACGGGCATGAGCCACTGCGCCCGGCCTTTAATCTTCTTTTCTAGTAGTCCATTTTTCCTGGAACTCACAGAAAGGATTATGTTTTACATCATGGAAAAGTATATGCAACACATACACATATATGAAACTACTTTATGAAAAAATAGCTGCCCCACTAAATGTGAACTCTTATTTTCTGTTTTATTCTAGTCTGTTTCATCTTCATAAAAACGCTGCTTTCAGTGCACTGGATTTATTTTACAACCCACTAATGGATTACCCTACAGTTTGAAAAACATTGCGTTAGACCAGTTTGACTGTTGTCAAGAACCAAAAAAGGTACCCTTGATTATAACCAAAAATCCCTTCCTGTTCATTCCCTTCCCTAACTTCCCCTGCTACTGGAACTGGAATTCACCAATCTTACAGACACACACACACACACACTCACACTCACACTTTAACATGTCACCAGCCTATTTAGTAAGGTCATAGTTTGTGTTGTCATTTAAAAGACCATATTTATAATATTAAATGCATAAAACTCATTACTGTAAGATAGGGTCCAATGATCATTTTCAGTAAACAGTTTAAAGTTAGCTATGTTAATAGTAAAGGATTTTTCAGATTCTGATATCTTAACATCTACACCCCTCTTCTCCTCCACAGTTAAGTAAGGAATTAAGAGTGTCATGCAGGAAAATGATTTTATTCTAAGAACAGAGCCCTAGAGGCCGTGTTGCTTTATACTGAGCTGTCCATGGGCTCTGGCTTGGTCCTTCTTGGCCAGCACCATGTTTGGGAGCTAACTCCTCCTGCTCATGCTCTACGACCATGAAGCCGAACACACACCACCACTGAACTCTTGACTTTGGGCTCTCATCAGTTGAATCACCAGCCAGACCAAATGACTATCTCTTTGAAAGACTGACCACTAAATTCTTACCACATTTGCCACACAAGGCCTTCCCAGTTCATACACGCTGGCTTTGCACACATCCCATTCATGCACATGGCTGGTCACACACATCACCTGCCTTTGGTCAGCCTCTTGTCCTCTGCTTCACAGAGCAGCCAGGTTGTCCTGGCTCAGGTCATATATCCAATCCAGCACCTTTTCCATCTAAGTTGGGAAAACTTTCAATATTATGTTCTTTTCTCTTTCTGCCTTTTTTTGAGGTTGTCTTGTTAATTCCATACATACTTTTTATCACATTTCTTCCATATTTCAAGTAAATCTGTTTCTCTTTCTAAGCTTTTTTTCTTTCTTCCCACTTTGAGAGCCCCCAGTGGTATTAGTAATTTTGGAGAGCCCCCAGTAGTATTAGTCATAGCGGATGAGCTTAAGAGTAGTGATATAGCCTGGTGCTGTAGTACATGCCTGTAGACCCAGCTACTTGGGAGCCTGAGGCTGGAGGACCACCTGAGCCCAAGAGTTCAAGTCCAGCCCAGGTAACATAGCAAGAACCTATCTCTTTTTTTTTTTCAGATGGAGTTTCACTCTTCCTGCCCAGCCTGGAATGCAATGGTGCAATCTTGGCTCACTGCAACCTCTGCCTCCCAGGTTCAAGCGATTCTCCTGCCTCAGCCTCCCATGTAGCTGGGATTACAGGCATGCACCACCATGCCCGGCTAATTTTGTATTTTTAGTAGAGACGGGGTTTCTCCTTGTTGGTCAGGTTGCCCTCGAACTCCTGACCTCAGATGATCCGCCCGCCTCGGCCTCCCAAAGTGCTGGGATTATAGGTGTGAGCCACTGTGCCCAGCGACCCCATCTCTTTAAAAAAAAAAAAAGAGAGAGAGAGAGAGAATAGTGATATAATTGTATCAAGGGAAAAGCACATGATATATTTGGAGGTAAAGTAAGGCATAATAACCAGTGTCATCAACTTCCAAAGCTCTTGAGAGTCTCAGTTGGCTTCCTCCTGACTAAACCTTCTCATATTTGCATACAGATAAAATCATTCTTAGTTATTATTTTATGCTTTATATAATTATTAGTATTGCAACACAATTAAAATATATATTTCATTTGGATATGTAATATTACATATAGGATACATGATATGAAATAAGTTTTGTGAAATGACCTGGGTACTATCATTAGCAGCAATATTCCTAAGGGAAAAGTAGCCTCAGTCCTAAACCACAAATATATGGATACATTTTGGGAACATAAGCAAGTATTTGAGGACTACTTTAATGTCATTATTTCTCTCGCCCTCTTTTTTTTTTTTTTTGAGACGAAGTCTCACTCTGTTGCCCAGGCTTGAGTGCAGTGGTACGATCTCCACTCACTGCAACGTCTGCCTCCTGGGTTCGAGCAATTCTCCTGCCTCAGCCTCCCAAGTAGCTGGGATTACAGGCACCCGCCACCACACCCAGCTAATTTTTGTATTTTTAGTAGAGACGAGGTTTCACCATGTTGGCCAGACTGGTCTCGAACTCCCGACCTCAGGTGGTCCGCCCGCCTCAGCCTCCCAAAGTGCTAGGATGTTATTATTTCTCTTAACCATGCTTCTGTTTTTGGAAAGAGGTTGACTATTTTTAGATAACTGTAAGTCCTACTACAGTGCTTCCATAATTATTTTATTGTCAATAATAAATTAAAATGGAAATCATAGGAAATTGAGAGTATTCTGAAAGCAAGGATATGGTTAAACATGGATTTTGAAAAGACGGTTCACTTTTATTCCTTCTGTGTACATGCTTCTGACACTTGCTTGGATATAAAGTTCCCTTCTTTTAAACACTGTTTATTCTATGGGACAGTTGATTACAGAACATTGGGACCTTCCCTGATTCAGGTTAGTGGTCCCAGGTGACCCAGGATAGCTGCTTCACTCTGGACATTTTCTCTTACATACATTTGAAATGTGACGGCTTTGCCAAATGAGACACATTATCTTTTTTAAAACTGAGAAACAGCTCGACATGGTGGCTCACGCCTGTAATCCCAGAGCATTTTGGGAGGTCGAGGTGGGCAGATCACCTAAGGTCAGGAGTTCAAGACCAGCCTGGCCAACATGCTGAAACCCCCTTTCTACTCAAAATTCAAAAATTAACTGGGCATGGTGACAGGCACCTGTAATCCCAGCTACTCGGGAGGCTGAGCAGGAGAATTGCTTGTACCCGGGAGGCAGAGGTTGCAGTGAGCTGAGATTGTGCTATAACACTCTAGCCTGAGCAACAGAGCACGACTCTGTCTGAAAAAAAGAAACAAACAAAAAAAAGTGTTATTTCTGAGAAATAACACTCAGAAAAAGAAAAGATTATTAAACTTTTGTTAGCAGAAGAAGTACATATTGCCTCTTCATGAAGGAATTTCAGTCTTTGTTCTCTGTGCTGACCTGATATTATTAATAAATTTTTTTGATAATAATTACCTAGCAGCACTTTAAATTCATTTCCCATTTTAGAGCTGAGGTATACACGCACACACACAGGCACACATACACAGTGTACAAATATATATATATATATTTGCTTGAGTGTTAATATATAGTCCAAAGCTTACTGTCCCCTATGTAGCAAACTAATGCTCACTAGTGGAAGTGAAATTTGGCAAGGGATCTTAATCATCAAGATGATATTCTCATTCATTTAAACTTTATATCTCTGCAAAATTTTGTGTTTCTAAAATGACCTTGAACTTGCAAATATATTAAAGGTGTTGTTTCCAAAGGGATACAGATGGAAATTATAATTTTCATGTCAGGGTCCACACTGGCCAAATATGTCCCAGAATTCCTAAGCTCAGTGTTGCACGTAGCATGACTGGACATGACTTTGAAAATGTTTCAATGTATGCCCCACTTTGAGACGCAAAGGCATGCATAAAATAAAATGATAAAGTATTAATTTAAAAAATCATCAACGTCTGAGAAAATAGAAAACAGAGCCTTTGGGGTTTGGCAGCATTGCCTCTGTAGCGACCCTGGGGGTGAGTTGAGAAAGTGGGCCCAAATAAGGAAGGCCTGTGGGCCCCGCAGCCCACCCGCCACAGCAGCGAGCATGTGAGGATATTGGACCTTCACCCAAGATTTCATTTAGGGGAATACAAGGGGTTTTAGTGCTAACACAATTTGAGAAACACTGCCCCAACAGATCTGCATTTACCTATTAGGCAAAACACTTGGAATACCAAATGTACCAGATCCGCTCATAGTAGTAAGTCAGAAGTCAGCTTCCTTCCCCTTTGTGTTAGGATACCACCATGCGTAATCATCCTGAAACAAAGGTGCGGGGGAGGATTTGGAAAACTTGTTCCTAAATAAGCTGTTTTCTAAGTTGAGCTCCCCTTCTCTAGAAAGTTTCCTTAGGAACATTATGCATATTGGAGACAAAGATAAAACCCTTTTTATTAAAGTAAAAAAAATGTTGATAGTTGTTGGTGATGTCCAAATAATATTTTCAAGTCATATTATAATGATGGGGTTTCCCCCAGTACTTTGGATTGAAATAAACGGGTTAGAATGGAGAACAGATGACAGGAGTCTTCTCTGAAATTTCTGAGAGGCCACACAATCTTAGGTTGAATAAAGAAGGAATAAGAATAGGAAATACGGGGCCGGGTGTGGTGGCTCATGCCTGTAATCCAAACACTTTGGGAGGTCGAGGCAGGTGGAACACCTGAAGTCAGGAGTTGAAGACCAGCCCAGCCAACATGGTGAAACCCCATCTCTACTAAAAATACAAAATTAGCCAGGTGTGGTGATGGGCTCCTGTAATCCCAGCTATTTGGGAGGCTGAGGCAGGAGAATTGCTTGAACCTGGGAGGTGGAGGTTGCAGTGAGCCGAGATCGCGCCACTGCACTCCAGCCTGGGCAACAGAGTGAGACTCCGTCTCCAAAAAAAAAAAAAGAAAAAAAAAGGAAATACGGAAAGATGATGATTTGTTTTAAATACATTTCCAACAGTATTTCTCTGTTTCCTTTTTTAGAAATCCTTTCTGTTCATAGGGCAGTTGGGGTAGAAATGGACACACTTAGCCAGCACGGCTTCTTCCGTGGAGGATGCACCATGTGTCCCTGCTGTGAGATGTAGACACCTGAGTTTGTGTGTTCAGATACTTTCGAAGAAGTTTTTTTGGTGAGACTTCTTTGGCAAAGAAAGCTGCATATAAAGTTGTTGATGCAGTGTCTGGAACATAGTAATGATCGATGCAGGAGGAAGATAAGGGGGAAGGTCCCTGGAGAGTCTCCCACCAGCCTGTGCACTGGGAGGAGGGGATGGAGCCTCAGGAAGTTCTCACCCTTTGCAGCTAGGAGCCTGGCCTCTCCTGTTCCTGGGTGGTGAGTTGGGATTCAATCTGTGAGATGGGGGCCTGTTCATAAAAACTCATCTTGCTTTGCTGAGAGTCTTTTTCCTTTTTGCCCAATAGATTCCATAACCCCTCACCCTTCAAAGGGTCTGTGTGCGTAACTTTTCCTGGTCATGTGACAAGAACCCAGTTTTTTCTACAATAGTAAGGAATCAGTGAGCATTAGTATTCTTTCTCTTTTTCTTCCTCTTCTCTTTGGCAGTATATTTTTCGCTTTCCAGCTGTAGCATCTGTTAGTGTAATATTCATATTTGCCCTCAAGTACTGCATTTTCCAGGTTTCTGCAGCTTGGACTTTTCTGTCTTGGTGGAGTGAAGCAGAGGTAGGTGGGGAGGGGAGATCAAGTGAACCCAGCCTGGCTCTCCTTTTATTTCCCTGGAGTTAGAAGCCACAAGTTGTCCTGAGGAGGCTTTGCTGTTCTTGTCACTCCTGACTTCAGCAGGAATCAAGGACAAAATAATTGAATGATAAAGGAAGATGGAAGCAGCTATAATCAGCTGTTCAGTTCCAGTAACAGGAAAAGTAGTCCTCAAACTTTAGAGGACATAAGAATGACCTAGGATGCCAGTTAAAATTCATTTTCCTGGGCTCCTCCCCAGAGATTCTGAGTCCAAACTTAGGTAATTCTTAGTTTTTAATGTTTTGGTTGATCACTAGTATAGCACAAAGATTAATATATTTTTAAGAGTTTTTACCACTCTTTGGTAAAGTTTGCTACCCTCAGGGAGCCCCAAAATTACGGCTTAGAATTCTTGGCTTAAAAAATGAGCCAAACCATCCCCATACCTATGTATGACTCTCGGGCAGTCATGTAACACGAACAAGCTTTGGCAGTGGTGTGAGACTTATTTGTAAATTGCCAGTGTCAACATAATTCTTTTCTCATTGGCATTGCCTAGTTAAGGAGTCAAGTCTCACTGTGGTTTGTTCTCTCTGTGGTTTCCGTAGGGTTGGGGAGAAGGCTACAGAAAAACGAACCCTTTCTAGTTTTGACTGTCTAGGGAGTAAAAAAAAAAAAGCCTGTCATCTTTCTGAATTAGGATATAAGACGCCTGCCCTGAAGGTGGCAAATCAGACTTCCACACGCATTGCCTTCATTTAGCCAATAGCCCGCTCTGAATGTGTATATTACGATGTGCAGTTTCATTCATCAAGGGGATTTCGGGCTCCAGCAGCACGCAGCCTCCAGTCTTGAGTGACTCCTGGGCTTTGGCTCAGCAGTAACTCCTCCATAAAAACAAGTGTGTGCATCTGGCTGTTAGAAGAATTCATGCTCATCCGGGTAAGGATAAACTGGAGAAATTATTCCTTTTTTTCCCTTTGGGTGGTTTTGAGGTTTTAGAAAAATTGATCCTCTCTTTGAGAAGAGTTCAGAACTATTTGTCTGAAGTTTTTCCATCCAAACTGCTTTATCGTATTATCCACTGTCTTACCCTTTTCCTGTGAAATCTACCCTCTTCAAAACATAGTTTCATTTTCAAATTTTAAAAGATAAGATTCCATTTTTCTTTCCGTGCATGAAACTTTAAAAATTAAATCACCACAGTTGCTACTGGCTTAGAAGTGGGGTCTTATATTTTTAGGAAGTATACTTTAAAAGTTAGGCAGAGGGGAAATCTATGTTTGCATTTGATTTATGAAACAGTGACTGTTACATTAAAGGGCGGATTTTCAGACATACTACTTGATCTGCTCTGACAAGCTATGAGCTCTCTCTCTCTGCCACTTTTCTCCCGAACTGTGTTCTAATGGTGGAATCAGCTCATCTTTTTTCCTTAGGCATGTGGTTTAGTCTGTGTACATTCAGCGCGGTGGCATTTTTCTTGAAGAAGTGACTAAGGCTTCTTGGATGAATTCTGTCTTTGAAAGAGGTAGTAGAATTGCATCAGAAAGGCATTTACAGTAAATGGCTACCCCCCCTTCCTGTAATGACCGCATGTGAAAGAATGCATTAATTCTTGTTTTGAGGAAATGAGAGTTGTAGAGTTCTATGAAAAACTCCCTTTTTTATCATTAGTTAGCCAGGTTTGAATGTTCACATTTTAAAAATCAGGCTCATTTTGTGCTATCTAAATAAAAGTCACAAAGATACAGCTTTCCACTCCATGTTCTATGTGGAGTAACCAATCATCCTGAACTCAAAAAGAGGAAATTATGTTGAATATGGCTACAGTTAATGGCATAAGCCTAAACTAAATTAATTTCTTCATAGTCTTTTTTTATATTAAGTTACTGTGCTTCCTAGCTATGTTGCTGATTTGTCCATCAGGATTTGATTCTCAGTGCGACGGACGATGAAGACTAAAAGGAAACTCCCATAGATGATCTGGTCAGGAGTTCTCATGGAAGCAGTACCGCCCCCTAGGTGACAGAGTGGAAATTTATGAGGGTATTCTGGTGGTACAATGAAGGATTTTTCTGGTTTTTTTTTGAGATGGAGTCTCACTCTGTTGCCCAGACTGGAATGCAGTGGTGTGATCTCAACTGACTGCAACCTCCGTATCCTGGGTTCAAGCAACTCTCCTGCTGCAGCCACGTGAGTAGCTGGGATTACAGGCCCAAGCCACCACACCCAGCTAATTTTTGTATTTTTGGTAGAGACGGGGCTTCCCCATGTTGGTCAGGCTGGTCTCAAACTCCTGACCTCAGGTGATCCGCCGGCCTCGGCCTCCCAAAGTGCTGGGATTACAGGCATGAGCCACCTCGCCCAGCCTAATGAAGGATATTTCATGAGTGAGAGCGAGAGAACTTAATGTCCCACAGTAGAAAAGAGATAAAGAATTGCCCTGTAGTACACATGACTTTCAGTTATCCTGTTGGACATTCGTGTAGGGAAAGATCAGTTTATAATTTTCTGAACCTAGACTTTATTTTTTCATAAAAATGCAAAATAATTTTTGCATACTTTTAATATACACAGAATAGATTCATTTTCATTCTCTGGTCCACCTATACTACTTCTTTCATTTTCCTGCACTTTTAATATGGAAAGCTTCTAATCTGACTTCTCTTAAATACAAGCTTCTTCTTTATAAGTAAGTTACAAGCATCTATTTGATTACATAGTTAATTGTACCTGAAAATTATTTATATAATGAAATGTGAAGTATTTTTTATTATAAATTGCTTCTTTTAGATTATCTTTTATGTACATTTAGGATATTCATGTTTTAAAGCTGCATGTACAGTAGTTAATATTATCAACAAATTTGATTTTAGAGTAGTAAATGGGACATGACAGAATTTTTTTGTCATATAAAGAGAGCTATGAGAATAATGGATAGGGTTTTGAACCAATGAACCAATCCGTGCCTCAGCGTTTAAGGAAGGAGGGTATGCAAATTACCCAGATAGGAGGGATGCTTATCTTCTTCATGAAGTTCCCCAGGGAAGATTTCACGTGTACCTCATTAATTTGTATTAGTATTTTGAAATCTTCATAGTAAGCTAGTTCTTCTGTATTAATATTTTCTAGGAGTCTTCATATGTCACTCTAAAAACATGACCGGGCCAGGTGCAGTGGCTCATGCCTGTAATCCGAGAACTTTGGGAGGCCGAGGCAGGTGGATCACTGAGGTCAGGAGTTCAAGACCAGCCTGGCCAACATGGTGAAACCCCGTTTCTACTAAAAATACAAAAATTAGCTGGGCATGGTGGCAGGTACCTGTAATCCCAGCTGCTCGGGAGGCTGAGGCGGGAGAATCACCTGAACCCGGGAGGCAGAGGTTGTAGTGAGCTGAGATCGTGCCATTGCACTACAGCCTAGGCGATAGAGCAAGACTCTGTCTCAAAACAAAACATGGCCAGGCACAGTGGCTCATGCCTGTAATCCCAGCATTTTGGGAGGCCATGGTGGGCGGATCACCTGAAGTCAGGAGTTCAAGACCAGCCTGGCCAACATAGTAAAACCTTGTCTCTACTAAAAATATAAAAATCAGCCGTGTGTGATGGCACACTCCTGTAATCCCAGCTACTCAGGAGGCTGAGGCAGGAGAATTGCATGAACCTGGGAGACAGAGGTTTCAGTGAGCCGAGATTGTACCACTGCACTCCAGCCTGGGTGACAGAGTGATACTCTGTCTCAAAAAAACAAAACGAAAACAAAAAAAACCTGTGACTTTTGGTTACTCCCCTTCTGTAGAAAAGATGAGCAGGTATTGAGAGAAGTAAACTGTAAACTTGCAGAGGAGTTAAAAACAGACTCAGGTTTTCTTGAACAGTGGACATGGTGGCACTGTCCCTTTGTCATGAACATAGTCCACATATGCCATTACAAACTGTTGACAGTACTGTAAAATATAACACATTCTAGGTAAGGTATTGTCTATATGGTAGATTAAATCAGAAATACAAAGGCTGGGTGTGGTGTTTCACGCCTGTAATCCCAACACTTTGGGAGTCTGAGGTGGGTGGAGCACTTGAGGTCAGGAGTTTGAGACCAGCCTGGCCAACATGGCAAAAACCCATTCCTACTAAAAATACAAAAGTTAGCTGCACGTGGTGGTGCACACCTGTAATCCCAGCTACTTGGGAGACTGAGAAAGGAAAATTGCTTGAACCTGGGAGGCAGAGGTTGCAGTGAGCTGAGATCACGCTACTGCACTCCAGCCTGGGCGACAGAATGAGACTGTGTCTCAGGAAAAAAAAAAGAAAAGAAAAAAAGGAAAAAAGAAGTACAAGTGTGAGGTTAAGTTACTCAAGCATGTGCACACATAGTGTTCCCTATTGTTATTTGAGGCTTGCATTTTTAATTTCATAGAGCTTTTTCTTGTAGTTCTTTTTTGTTGTTGTTGTTGTTGTTATGTTGATGTAATTCTCAAATATTTCCAGGAATACTAATAAATTGGGGGTTTTTTTTTAGTTTTTTTAGAAAAAAATCTTTTTCTTAAATATTCTGTTTCTTTTTTGTTATTGTTGTTTATCTTGGTTTTTCTCTTTCATGTTGCAGACTTTTAAAATATATATTTGATTTTCTTTTTAAAAATGAAGTGCCATTACGGCTGCCTAGAAGTTCTGCATGACAGCATCTGCCTCTAGCAGGCTTCAGCCTGGGTACACAGAGCCACCCTGAGCCCTCTTGCTGGGGAACTGCTAGATGTCAGAATGAGGAGGGCTTGACTGTGGGGTTCTCTTAACCACACTAGCTATTTAGTCTTCACCAGACGTTTGTTTAATTTTTTTTAGAAAATTATCTCCCTTTTCTTATTTTTGCTCTGAAGTGGGGAAGCTATAAGGTTTTTTTTTATAAAGACAGGAAGTAGTCATGAAAAGAATAATTGTTATTTCCAGACTTTTCAATTACTCTTCTCCTTTCTACCTTTCTTGTCACTTCTGTCACAGTTCTTACTTTTCCTGAGTCTGGAGCCTGTTTGGGGTCCATCTGAATAAAATCAACTCTTCACTGCCTTGGCAGTACCCGCTCAGAACTCTCCGGGCTGTAAGCTGCCTCTGCTCAGCTTCATCGCTCAGTGCTCTCCCCACATCCTTCTGGCTTCCTGACATTTGGTGAAATCTCTCAGGCCCCTGAAACTTGTTGTTGTTGTGGGTCTACATACCCCTTTTATAACCGTAGTGGGGTCTTCCAGGCGCCCTGACCGCCATCATGAAAGGAGAAGTACTTTCATTTGTTGATTTGTCAGAAATATATCTGAACAAGTAAATTGGAAATACCTTTAGTCAGGCATTTAGCCAGGAAAAAGATTAGATGGAGCATGATGACTGCAGTGGGTACTGGGGCTTGGGAAAACAAACCCTCACAATTACTGGATTGGGAGGAAACAGTGGGCTGACACTATTATACAAAGATACACTTTCCAGCCAGTAAAGACATAGCCATTAATCATAGAGCCCCATAAGAGGATCTTTTAGCTTTGTTGCTAGAAGAAAGTTGCATCTTGTAAAACATCCAACTTAGTCATTTAAAAAAATCTTTAAGTAGTGGTACTTGTTCCTGATCTTAATACAAATTAAATGTGGATACGCTTGCTTGATTTCTTCCCTGCCCTTTAGCATAAGAGCTTCTGAGAGAATTTCCTATTCTTCCCTTCTGTACTATTTATTTCTTGGGCTATAGACCCTCATACTCCCTCTTCTTTTCCTTATAAGAAGCAATTCACATTCTCTTTTCCCATCTCCTTTGTGGAAAAAATCTCCAAACCCTTGTTAATTATCCCTTTGTCATGTTCGTCAGGTCGGTCCTGAAAGTGTCAGCAGACACTGTGAAGATGGGAAAAGTAAGATGTTGACTAGTTCTTTAACTTTTGTGACACAAGTGGTGTCCGTTTGTGTCAGAAGAAAGCCTGAATTGATGTTTCCATCTCATGCTTCCCTCCTTTTACTTAGAAAGCAGTTTCTTTGTGAAAAATCCCTGGAGATCTTTCTCAGAGGTATTCCACAGTTAGGGCCAATTACTGCAACATGATGGAAGCTTTAGGTTCTTCTCAGGCCTAGCCTCATTTCTAGCACAATACTAGGAGGCTAAAATCTATCTCTAAAATTTGCAAAGTAATAGTGATGGATGTTAGCTATTTTTAATGTAGCTGCTTAGAGACAGTTGAAGATAGTAAGGGTCATAAGGGCCTTCTCCTATCTGACCTCTGTACCCCTGTAAGTTGTTTACCAGCTTAGAGCCTCCTGTACAGTTCTAGATCAAAGAGCAAGTCCTCTGAGGCCATGCCCTTGGAAGCAGAGATGGAGAGTAGTGAAATCTACTTAGCTCTGAGGGTGTGAGCTCCCAGGCAAGCAGAACACACTTGGGATTTTATTCCTGGTATTGACCAGAACATCTATCATCAGCCTATGCCAAACACCCCCTTTCCACACCTTGTTTCTCCCACCTATTTCGCATAACTTCCTAGAGATGAAGAATGTTTCTGAGTGTGGATTGTCAGATGTCTGCTGAAAAATGGTGGGCCTAAAAAAAACATTCTGTGACTGCAAGAATGTAGAACACTCCCACACTGGTTCTGGGACCTGGCCTATTGGTTGGCTATTACTGTTGAATGAGAGGAGAACCAGCAAATTCTTTCTTTTCCTCTGGAGGAAATACCTTGTATGGATGGTCCCCCAGAGAAGAGAGAGCCATGGCTAGTTGTGAACTGAAGTAATCCAGATACAGGCACCATTTGATGGGATCTAAGTGTGCGAATCAAATTGCATTCTTCAGGAGGACATGGGGATGTCAAGACAATTAAGGAAATCCTACCATCCCTCCATTTTAATTGATGTAAAATTTACATGCATTGAAATGCACAGACATTCAGTGTACTCCTGTTCCCAGACCCCAGTTAAGAGAGAGAACGTTTCTATCACCAGGTTTCCTCTTGCCCCATTCAGTCATTCGCCACCCTCACTGGCAAAAACTTTCTGCTTTCTATCATTGCAGTCTTGTTCTTGAGCTTCCTCTAAATGGAATCATGCAGTATATACTCTTTTGCGTCTGGCTTTTTTTTTCACGCAACAGTTTTATATAGTTGTCTGTATCATTCTTCCTTTATTGCTGGGTGGTATTCCATTGTATGAATAGACCCAATTTTAAACTCTGTTCTCTTGTTGACTGACATATTGATTATTTCCCCATTTTTGGCTACTATGAATATTAAGCTGCTGTGAATGAGTTTTCTCTCACTCTCACTCTTTTTCTTTTCTTTCTTTTTTTATTTTTTATTTTGAGACAGTCCCACTGTGTCACCCAGGCTGAGCTGCAGTGGGGCAATCTCAGCTCACTGCAACCTCTACCTCCCAGGCTTAAGCGATTCTCCTGCCTCAGCCTTCTGAGTAGCTGGGACTACAGGCACGCACCACCACACCTGGCTAATTTTTAAAATTTTAGTAGAGATGGGCTTTCACCATGTTGGCCAGGCTAGTCTCAAACTCCTGACCTCAAATGATCCACCAGCCTCGGCCTCTCAAAGTGCTGGGATTACAGGCGTGAGCCACCACACCTGGCCCACTCTCACTCTTTTTTAGGTTTAATTGCTGCACCGTACACTAGGTGTATGTGTACCTCTGTAAGAAACTGCCAAGTCATTTTCCAAAGTAATCGTACCATTTTACACTCCAACAAGCAATTTATGAAAGTTCCAGGTGACCAGGTATCTTAACATTGTATATTGCTGGTTTTTCTACTTATAGTCGTTCTCTTGGATATGAAGTAGTATCTCATTGTAGTTTTCAATTTGCATTTTCTAGATGAATCACATATACTTATTGGCCATTTGTGTATCTTCCCTTTTGAAGTGTCTGTTCAAGTCGTTTGAGTCTGTTTTTCTTTTGCCTGTTTTAAAATTGGATTGTCTTATTATTTTGGTTGGTAGGAATGTTATACATATTCTGAATAAAATATTCTTGTCAGAAGTTTATAATGCAAATATTTTGCCAGTCTATGGTCTACCTGCTGTTTTTTAAAAGTGTCTTTTGATGAGCAGAAGGTTTTAACTTTGAAATAATTTCATTGATCAAAAATGTTTTTCCTTTGCGAGGCCAAGGCAGGGGAAGATCGCTTGAGCCCAGGAGTTTGAGAGCAGCTTAGGTAACATAGCAAGACCTCAACTCTCTACAAAAAAATAAAATATATTTTTAAAAATTAAAACAAAGATTTCTATATTATCTGTATTTTTTGTTTCCTAAGTAATCTGCCTCCCCAGGATTGTGCAGATATTTCTCTGTGCCTTCTGTTAGAAGACTTATAGCTTTAGCTTTTATGCTTTAGTTTATGATCTATCTCCAGTTGATTTTTATATATGGGGTTAAGTAGAAGTCAAGGTTCATATTTTTGCATACATTTTCCCAGTTGTTCTAACATGGATTGTTGGAAAGACTTTCCTTTTTCCATTGAATTGCTTTGGCGCCTTTCTTGAAAATCAGTTTTCCATATATGTGTGGGTCTATTTCAAAGGAACTTAAAGAATGTTTATATAGACCACATGCGGCATGTACTCAAGTCTAGGAAATAACAGTTCACATTGGTCAACCCTCAAGTGACTGGCATACTCTTTAACTTCTATATCGTGAAACATTTATGTCAAAGATCACTGATAGAAGCTGTATGTGGTGGGAGGCATTTTTTGCTTGTTTTTTGAAGCTAACCCTGCTGAAGCCTCCAGAAGTTCCAACATTCCCATGTTAAATGTGATGTTCTTATCTGCACAGAAATAGACCATAAAAAGTGAGATCTAGCCTGAGCCTGCAGGCGACTTCAAGAAGAACAAAATTAACTTCACTTTTCTTATCTGAAAACTTGGATATGTGTGGATTCAAAAATGAGTGATTTGGAACTTATTATAATGAAATGTGGGCCAGACAAAAAATAAATACTCTTAAGAAAGATGTTTTTCATAATGTAAAGATGCTTGTAAAGGAAAAAATTGTTTTAATAACAAGTATATTGTATGCAAAAGTAGATCTGATTTTAAAGAAGCCTTGTCTATGAGTAGAATCTCTACTTGGAAAGGTTTTTGTAAACGGTTTGGTTGAGCATATTTATTTGAATATAGAACTTTCTTTCTTTTAAAAGATTCCTTGATTTGGAAACCAAAGGCTGAATAGAGTAGGAAATGCACCCAAATTATTCTGTTAGAAAGGTACAGTAAATGGTGATGCTCTCTTTTGATACCCTAAATTTTAGGACTTTGAATTTGGTGCTTTCATGGTGTGGTGGTATAGGGAAGTGATTAGCGCGGGACTCTGAGGCTGGGCTGCCTGGATTGGAATACCAGCTCTGCCACTGAACACCGGCGAAGGAATCGACGTTCTTGTCTCTCTCCCTAAATGGGGAGAATAAGAGTACGTGCCTCATGGTTTGGGTTAAAGTATACAAAAGGCTTAGAGCTGTGCCTGGTTCATAGTGAGCACTATGTAACTGCTGGCTGGTAATAATATATTAACTTTATAATAAAGGAACACCAAAAAAGGAATGAGTAAAGGAAAAACATATAAAGCAAAAGTGCATTCCACTCTGCTGTGATTCAGCTGTCTCACTCTTCATAATAGACTCCCCATTTGGCTGAATCGGTCACGTTTTGTTATTTAATTCCCATTCTCTCAAAAGGATATAGAATTAAAGTGTTTTCTTTTGAGCTCCTTGGGAAATGCATGCTCTGAAAATACCCGGGGATGCTTCATATTCATTACCAGAATTATTTGTCTCTACAAAAGGACTTTGCAAGGAAACGCATTTCAAGTTTACGTCGTCCTCTCCACTCATTTGAAATACCACCTTCCCAAGCCTGTGTTTGGACTTGTATCTTTGTGCTCAGCTCCTGGCCCCTGTTTCTGCTTTCTCTAGCAGTTTCCTGGCAAAAGCGGGAAGGAGAGCCGAGCCTGGGAGAAGTGGCCAGGACAGGCCTCTCCCCACTCAGCTTCCCACCATCACCCGGGCAGCCAGGAAGAGCCTGGACTGTGATCACCTGCCCACATTTAGTAGGGTTGACAGCACCAGAAACAAAATCTGGCTCAGACCAAACATGAAGGTCTGTTACTAATGATGTAATTTCCGTCAAAATCCCCCATTTGGGTTGCACAGACAGACTGGGTTTGACTATAGAATGAAGACGGATTGTGCTGCACGTTGTCATGGGGGGCCATCGTGTTCTGTGTAGACCATTGTCTTTGTTGTACATATGCGATGAAGGCCTACAGAAAATTGATGTCACTTACTACAGCTGACTTCCCGGATCTCACTGTGTGGAAGATGCGACTTCTCCCAAGGCCCTGCTCAGCATAGTCACGGTTTTGTTTATGTTCTTAGTGTTGTTTGATAGATGCCACACATGCATAGAGGACTGGGATGTGGCGCCCATGACTTGGCAGGCGGGAGAAGCACACTTGAGGAGGCAGCTTTCCACTCTCCAGCTGCTGATCCGTGCCATCCCAGTGCCCCTGCATCTCCCAGCGGTTCTGCACACACTGCCCACTCTCCACCTCCTGCATCTCACTACTTACTCTCAGTAACTGGCCATCCCTCTGCTGTCACAGAGGGAAGAGAGTCCAGAAGGTGGACTCACTTAGGTTCTCGCTGTGAATCAGCACTCTTCATCTGCACCTGCCTGGCTTTCCTTGCCTCCTGTTTCAGTGGAAGGGGAGTCCTTCCTCGTGTCCAAGGCCCTGAACCCCATGCCCTTCCCTCTCACCTTCTCAAAGACTTTCTCTCTCTGACCGTGTACTTTTTATTCCCCACTGACTTTGTCCTGCGAGCACTGAAACCTACTTAAGTCTTTCCCATTTTAAACAACACAGGCCTTCAGTATCACCCTGCCTTTCATTACCTCTCCATTCACTTCTCCTGCCAGGGCCAGCCTTTTGGATGGATTGTCTCTAGTTACTCCCTCCCTGTCCTCACTCCTGCCCACCCCTCAGGCTGTTCCAGTCTGGCTTTTGCACCGGTGACCAAGTGGATTCCGCTGTAGCCAAAGCCAATAGTCGCCCTCCTCTCTTTCCTGTGGGCCACGTTCGTCAGATGCATTTGGATTCTTGTCTTCCCCAACCTCTCAGTGGTGAGCAGGCTTTGACTCGTTCTCCTCCCTGGCCTTTGAAGACTCACCCTACCCTTCTTGCTTTTCCTTCTCATTGCCCTTTTCAGGTTCTTTCTATCAGTCTCTAAGCTCCTTACTAATATTCCAGTGCCCACTGGGCATCTGCACTTGAATATCTTTTTGGCACCTCATATCCAAGAGGTTCCAAATTGATCCAAATACCCAAGCTTGAAACCTGTGACTTATTGATCCTTTCTCCTCACCTTCAGAATCCAGTAAGAAGGCAAATCTGGTCAGAATTCTACCTATCAACAATTTTCAAACCCATCTACTTTATCTGTCATGTCCTTCTTCTTGGTCACCATGACCTTTTATCTGTGTTAATGGATTAGCAACTCTCTCCCTGCTAAATTTTCCCTAATCCATTCTCTGACTGCCTTCAGGGCGATGCTTCTAAAAGCATCCTCATCCTTCTCCTTCCCTGCTTTAATTCTTACCCATTTGTTAAATGTCCTGTACCCAGATTGATGGGGGCCTCTGCAGAGCACGTGTTCCAGCCTGTGCATAACCAGGTCATCACAGCACTAACAAGTTCATGGGGAGTTGGAGAAGAGAGTTGTTTCCCACTCCACAGAACTTTATGAAAATCCCAAATGTAAATCAACCACTCCTGCCCCAGAGCTCTTGGTCATGGGCTTTGTATCCCTTCCATCCTTCCTCAGCCTCTCCCATCTGTAGTAACCCTACCCTATTTCTCCCTCTTTACTTATTCAGAGCATCACAGTTCTTTCCTGAATGTTCTGATCCTTAAGTTTCATTCCTGTCTTGTCTTTGTTTGGGTTTCCCTAGAAGCAGATTTTGAAAAAACATGCAATCTGGTCTGACTTCACTACTTAGGAGCTGTGAGACCTCTCTGTGCCTCAATTTCCTCATCAGTAAGATTCTACTTTATAGGATTGTAAGGAAGATTAAATTATGCATAGAAAGTTTTAAAGCCCTATCTGACCTATAATGGTGGTCAATAAAGCTTGCTGTGATAACAGTGATTACTATTATTATTAAAAATATCACTACCTTCGGGTTGCCATCCTCAACCAATCTAGCTAGAACAGATTAGAGCCCCCTCTTATGTGTACTAATAGCATTGTATGCCTCCTTTACATTGTAATTGCCAGTTTGCTACAGGAAGGATGATGAAATATTGTTCATCATCTAGCACCTAGCCCAGTGCCTGGCAGAGTTATACAAGATGTACTCAAGTATTTTTTGAACAAAATTAATGAATAAAATGACTTGTAGAAAGAGCCTTCCAATTACACTTGCTTTCTTACCTTTAAATAGCCACCTCTTTAAAAAAAATAAAACACGGCCAAGCATGGTGGCTCATGCCTGTAATCCCAGCAGTTTGGAAGGCCAAGGTGGGCGGATCACCTGAAGTCAGGAGTTCGAGACCAGCCTGGCTAACATGGTGAAACCCTGTCTCTACTAAAAATACAAAAATTAGCTGGGCATGGTGGCGTGTGCCTGTAATCCCAGCTACTCAGGAGGCTGAGGCAGGAGAATTGCTTGAACCGAGGGGACAGAGGTTGCAGTGAGCCGAGATTGCACCATTGCACTCCAGCCTGGTCAATAAGAGCGAAACTCCATCTCAAAATTAATAAATATATTAAATAAAACACAACAAACAAAATAGAACTCTTCTCCAGGGGCTTGTCTTTAAATCTGGCATTGCTCAGTGACCTTGGGGAAGCCTCTTTAGACATCTGAGTCCTGGAACAGTTCTATCTGAGAGCTTCTGTCCAGCTCTAGAATTCTTTAAATCTGTGGTAATAGCACAAAATGGGTATCGAGTACATTTTAAGGACACTCAGAGTTTCCCTTATGCTTATGTTTTTTCCTGTTGATGAGAAAATGTCATCATGTTGCTTGGATTTGTAGGTTCTTTCCTAGTTGTGGGGAATTTTTCCAAGCTGGCTATTATGAGAGGGTCTCAAAAAAAAACCACAAAGAAGTTTGGTATATTATGTTCAAATTACACACAGTATCCCTTCTTATTTTCACTTTTGATCTGGATTTTCACTTCTGAGCTGACTTCTATAATTTATATTTAAAGAATTTAGTCTCAGAAATAAGGTCATTTGATGCTTGCATCATTGACACTCCTAAACCTTTCTTGCATTCCAAATCGGAAACTTATTCAGGACTTCTAATTCTGATGGTTTCTTTCTTTCTTTCATATATTTATAGATGAAATATATATATATATATATACACAGATAAGACTATATCTATATGTAAATACAGATACTTAAAATATATATGTATATATTTTAATCGTGGTAAAATATGTAACAGAAAAATTACCATCTTAACCATGTTTAAGTACACAGGTCATTGGCATTAAATACATTCATGTTGTTGTGCACCCATCACCATCATCCATCTCTGGAATCTTTTCATTTTGCAAAACAGAAACTCTGTCCTCAT
Organism: Homo sapiens; assembly: GCF_000001405.40. Taxonomy (NCBI): domain Eukaryota; kingdom Metazoa; phylum Chordata; class Mammalia; order Primates; family Hominidae; genus Homo; species Homo sapiens. Next base: position 130,948,446 of record NC_000007.14, on the reverse strand, counting down.
TAAACAACAACTCCCCATTCCCTCCTCCCCCCAGCTCCCCTGAAAACCATCATTGTACTTTCTGTTTCTTTGAATTTGACTATTCTAGGTACCTCAAATAAGTGAAACCCTACAGTATTTGTCCTTTTGTGACTGGCTTATTTCACTTAGCACAATGTCCTCAAGGTTCGTCTAATGTTGTAGGATTACAACAACATTGTAGCATTGACATGATTTCTTTGCTTTTTAAGGCTGAATAATATTCCGCCATGTAGATATGCCACATTTTATATATCCATGTGATGGACACGGGTTGATGGACACAGGTTGCTCTCATGTTTTGGCTGTTGTGAATAATGCTGTTAGGGACGTGGGTGTACAAATACCTGTTTTAGTTCCTGCTTTCAGTTCCTTTGGATCAAATAAGTTATTGATCCTTCTCTATTGACGCTTCTGTTTTCATGGACTCTTGCCTTACTCTTTTGATCATTTACTGTTCCTCCCCCCATCGACCTTTGGGCCATTTTTCTGGTAATGTCCCTACTATCAAGGTTCTCATACTTCAGTTGGACCTCACAGAACTGCTGCCTGGAGAAAACAGTTTGACAGCTAAAAAAAAAAATATGATTCATTATCACCTCCTACACACACACCAATTCCTACTGTTTTCTGAAGGTATACCAGTGGTTCCTAAATTAAAAAAAATCTCTTGGTCATAGGGCAAATTTTTGTAGCTATCGATACTCTGTATTTTGAAATTTAACTGTTGATAATAGTAGCTTCTTGATGTATTAGTCCTCTAATTGTGAAACTGTTATCTGTTTCTTATTATGAAAACAATATATGACAATCACAGAAAATTTGTAAGGTGTAGAAAAGTATTACACACAATGGCACTACCTAAAAGCAACAACTATTAACATTCTGATGCATAGGCTTCCAGTCTCTTTCATGTAAATTTTTACATAGTAAAGATCACATTGTTTTGCACCTTCTTCTTTGCATTTAATAATAAATATAAGAATTTCTGGCTGGGTGTGGTAGTTCATACCTGAGTAGCTGGGAGATTGAGATGGGAGGATAGTCTGAGCCCAGGAGTTCGAGGTTACAGTGAGCTATGATTGTACCATTGCACTCCCCCTGAAGACCCCATCTCAAAAAAAAAAAAAATTTCTTGTTCAAAAGTATTTGCAAATATTTTCATGATTTTATAAAGCTGAGAAATATTTAGAGGGTGGTAATTAGCATAAATAGAATTTTTCCAGTTATAAAAACAATATATTACAGAAAATGCCAACCATCTCAAGATTATAAAGAAGTAATAAAAAATCTAATGTCTCCGTCTGCCCTTTTTAAGCTTTTTTAATGTATCCTAATCCAGTCTGGAGACCAGCTTGTCCCTCCCTTCTTCTTCACTTTCTTTCTTACCTGGCAACATTAGTATCATGTTTATGTATGATTTTATATTCAGCATTTGCACCCAATATTATATTTTGTCATTTCCAGTATCATGAAGCATTCTTCAAAAATCATGATTTAAGCGTACGAATTTTTACTGTGATCTGTTTAGTCACATGCTCCATTCCATCTTTGGATGTTTAAGTTGTTCCCGATTTTATGCTTTTGCTAAGTATGTCCTTGCCATAGTTATCTTCCTATGTATCTACGATTATTTCCTTAGGAGATATTTATAAACATCTTAGGAGTCAAAACAGTTTTAAGGCTGAAAAAATACATATATTGCTAATTTCCTCAAATGGTTGTCTCACCTCACTTCATGAGCTTTCCTTTTTTTGTTGTCCATCTTTGTGATCGGTGAAATGAATTTCGGTGTTTGCTCATGAAATCGAGCATTTTTTTTCATATTAATTGGCCTTTTATATTTTTGTGTGAATTGTCTGTTATTACATTTTACCTTTTACATTCAAATACTATACAGAATATTATCCTGTTACAGCTATTTTATTTTTTGCTTACCTTTTTATTTATTTAGAGACAAGGCCTCCCTCTGTCACCCGGGCTGGAATGCAATGATGCAACCATAGCTCACTGCAGCCTGGAACTCCTGGGCTCAAGTGATCCTCCAACCCTGGCCTCTGCTAGGACCACACATATGTGCCACCATGTCTTGCTAGTTTTTAAATTTTTTTGTAGGAACAGGATCTCACTACATTGCCCAGGCTGGTCTCCAAGCCTTGAGCAATCCTCCTGCCTCAGCCTCCCAGAGTGGTGGGATTACAGGTGTGAGCCAACACACCTGGCCTTTTTTTGCTTACCTTTCAATTCTGTTTGCTGTTTTTTGACATATAGGGGTTTTAAATTTTGTTGCAGTTGGATTACATTGCCTTTTGTTACTTTTTTCATTGCTTCTATAAAGCTAAATCTTCTTTTCCCATTCCAAATTCAGAAATAATTTTCTACTAATTTAGTTTTCTTCCTTTTTTTTTTCCTTTTATATTTAGCTCTTTAATCTCCACAGAATTAATTCTGGTGAATCTTATGAAGTAGGAGTTAATTTTACTTTTTCTAGAATATTATCTGGTTCTTGTGTTTATTCAGAATCCCAGTATAGCTGTGACATGAACCAAAACAAGTGATTTTTCTTATTTTAGTGCTTTGATTTTCCCATTAGGAAAAATGAGGAAGCTGTGAGTACCAGTGGAAGGAACGAGCCAGGAAGAGGGACTGGAACCATCTCAGAAGCCATGCCCCTCAGGCTGGAACTTGCCCTGTCTCCTCGCAGATGAGGTAGGAGGCTCAGCACGGGCTGGTGGGAGCAGCCCACAGCAGCAGTGAGGGTCAGTGGGCCTGTGAGTTAAGAAGAAGGTGGCACAGAGCGAGGGTCTCTGGATCCTGACTGTTTGACTTTTCCATGATTAGGATAAGTAGCCAGGGCTTGGCTAGTTGGAGAGTTACTCGAACCTCAGGTGACAGTTGTAAGGCAGCACATAGTGAAAAAGAGTCCTAGCCTGGGAAAGTCCAAAACCTTAGGTCTGGTTTCAGTTCACTCACCTATCTCTGTGACATAGCAAAGTCTGTTAATTTCTCTAATTTTCTGATTAGTAGTATAGTTGCAGGAATGAAATAAAAATGGTCCTGATTACTCAGAGATTCATTTACTGATTACTCTTTTTGTGACCTGAATAAAGAGTACAACATCTCTCAAAAGGTAACAATATGATGTTTCAGGAAATTAGAGAAGTTAAGAGACTTTGCTGTATTTACTATACAGATAGTTGACTGACAGCTGAGCCCGGACCCAAGATTCATTTATAAAATGAAGGAGTTGAGAAGTACATACTCTGAGGTTTATCCTAAATAAACTGAAGTCTAGGCAAGTGGCTGAGCTAGGTTTGCCATGAATCAATCTGCTGAGTATATTTCTTGGTAACTAGTTCATCTTTCCTTAATTCAGTCAACAAATATGATATCAAGTTTAGTAAGATGATGACAGTTGTCATGTAATACTCCATCTGGAAGATTGTATGCTTCTCAGCTTCCCTAACTTTTCTTAATCTACCTTAAGCTTCCTTTCTGAAAGGTTTCTGTCTTTCCTAACAGTCTCTTCTTTCCGCCAGCTACCTCTTGTGTTTAAGAATTAAAGGAAGATGAGCTAGGAATCAAGAAATACGCAGAACTGATTCCTGTCACTGGCGCCACCCTGCCACTTGCCCAGAGCTGTGGTATAAATTTTTTTAATAGGCTGAAATAAAAATATGAATAGCATTTTGGTATTAAGCATTAAATTGATAAAGGCTATGAGATACACCTGCTCTCAACCATGTTAATTTTTTATTATTGGTATTAATAAATTATTACTTACTAACATATTAACAAGAATTGCATTGAGAAACAAAGCATCCACAGGCCAAATCTTCTGAATTTCAAATGTTTATATTAATGCGTTGTATTCTAGAAAAGTAGAATTGTCTTAAGTAGCTTTGTAATATAAAGTCATCTATCAGCCCATTACACCTATTAGAATGTTTTAACCTTTATTTCCCACTTTTTTGTTTCTAGACTGAGTGTACTTGGTCTGGTATTTGTGGCATAACTTACGGAACACATAAGAATGATACAGATACTATTTAATGATGACCTAATACAAGCTTAGATAGCTAAGGTGAAAGCTTCTATGGCCTTAACATTTTCCTCTTGAAGAATGTATTTTCTGTAATAAAATACAGTGGCTACTTGAAATCTATAAACTTATGTGAGGTCTGGATAAATCTGAGCAACTTTCTTCTTTGTGCTCCAGGAACCTACGCACTATATATATAAATAAAGCTTAAGTAAACATCACTGCAATCTGTGTTTTGTTTGATTATATTACGTATTGCCTGATCTTTAAATAATGATGAAAAATAGCCTTTAACATAAACCATGAATGGATATGCACTTGAGGGAAACAGTTTCTTGGATAATTAAACTTTAATTTCTCACCGTGGATTCCTTGGATCTTGTAATATTTTTTAAAACAGTCCTGGGGATTTATTTTTAAGGCGTCCAAATGAATTATTAGTTCTCAAAAGCCATAGTATATTCATGGGTCGATATATCCTCAAAACACTATTTTTAAACTGCTTAGTTTATTTTTCTTAGCGTGCTCATCTGCTGCATAATTTTCTTTGCTATGTATGGGTCACATGCTTCCTCCCGTCCATAACTCACGCACTTAAAATTCTCACTTCCTGATTGAGCCATCAGATTACGTAAAATGTAAATCAGCCTGAATACCTAGGAGCAGGAATTTTAAGGGAGAAAATGCCGTTTTCTTTTTCTGTGTCATTATTAACCCTTAAATATCAGAGTGAGTGTCTGCTCACCTATTTGTATTTGGAAACGAGATACTGTTAGGGGTTTTTCTTGGCCCTTCCCTTTCAGATTGAATCAGACTTTGCTGCTTTCCTTATACAAAATAATGTACCAACTAGATAGACGGTGGGAGTGGTATCGTTGCAGGAATGAAACCAAAAGGGTTCCGATGATTGAGAGAGATTCATTTATTTTTTAACTCTTCTCATGATCTGAATGAAGAGTACAGCATCTATCAAAAGGTAACAACCTAATATTTCAGAATTGCAAGTGGCCATTTAGCCTTTCTGCTGCCTGATATAAATGAAAGTAATTCCTAGCAGGCAGGATGACACTTGTTTTATCACGAATCTGACAATCCAGCACATTTTCTCAAGCAATTTTGAAGTTGTCGTAGTAACAGCATGGCATTTGGAGGGTCTTTTTAGTAGTTCTTTAGCTAGAGTTAATTAATTGTATTAACTCTGGATGTTTTTCTTTTTACTCCTCTTTGACAAACAAGGGCTATAATTGCTCAAATATGTATTTTGTGTTCTATATTTTTTGGTGACTATAGTTTAAGGACGTGATGTTTTTAAGTGGTTTCAGTAAAAGGTTATCAGTTGATTTCAGACACATTAAACTTGGGTTTTTAATTTCTCTGTAAAATTCCACTATCATTGTAGGACCAGGATTTAGTTTTATTTAAGAAGTGAATCTGGGGAGATATTTGCACAAATTGAATTGTGGCTTGCTTCCAGTGGTTGCAACTATCCGTTGCTTTGATTTTGGTGTATTTAGAAAAAGAACTGGGGAATGCAGAAAGGGAAATGTGTCAGGCTTACAGGAGAAAATTGTTTCTTTAGAAATGCAACAGGCAGGCACACCACCAAAAGCATGTTCCATAAAAGAAAACAAATAAATTTGATTTTGTGAAACTTAAGAATGCAGTGCTCTTTGAAACTCTAAAATATACTTAAATAAATTCTCCCCTAGGAAGATTTGTGGGAACTTTTTATTGGTGGAAAGTAGGTTGGAACTTCTAGTATTAATAGTAAAACTCTGTGGCAGAAATTCTTGCCAATATGGCGGTTGGTGAGAAAGGAATCCCGTTTCTTGGGCAGGGAGAGGGTCAGAAGAAAGAATTGTCTGTACTCAGTCTGGATGCCGGGACTTAAAAAGTATCAGATATACAATGCTTTTGTTTTCTTGTATAAGTGAACAGAGAGATGTGACACTTCTAAAAGGTCTTGTGAGTTTTGTGGGTTTAATGCTAATGCCACTATCCTTACTGTTCTGTGAGTATTTGTTCAGCCACGGGTGATTCAAGAGAGTTGGGGTATCAGCATGTGCAGCCAACAGCAGTCCAGGTGCTAATGCACCACCGGTGATGTCAGGAGTTACGAGACAGCGGTTTCCAAACACTGCAGTAAACAAGGTCAAAGTGTCCCGTTTCGCTGGAAGAAGTTTTGTTTTTATGAGCTGGACAGTACATGGATGAAGTAATTTTTCAAAACAAACTTTAAATTTATACATGTGTTTTTTTTCTTCTTCTCTTTGGATTAAAATAAATTGGCCCGTTGAGATTAAATAATGGTTATGTTTTTAAGCAGAATTATATTTCATATGTTTTTCCAGTCTTTTATTGATTTTCTGTTTTTCACAGAAGAAATGAAAATAACTTCTGATGTAGGGTTTCTTAAATGCAGTTTGAGAGAGCAAGATAGGAACCAGTACTTTCAAAATATGGCAAGTGCAAGTCACAATCCCTAGTAAGATATTCCTTCTCATTTTGTGCCTTTGACTCTTATTTAGACAGACGTTTAAGTACGAGAAAGCTAATGGCGCAGATTCTGCTGACTGTGTGGCTCTCGTCTTAATGCGTTTTCCAACCTTGAACCTGAGAATGCCAGAGGATTGAGTCTCTGGACGTTCATCTGAGCAGATATCTGCTGGCCGCCTGGTTCCTGAGCTAACAAGTGGGTGTCCCGGGCTTGTGTGTGTAGTCACAACAGTGGAGGTGCCACGTGGCACCCAGAGGTCGACTGGGGCTACCGCGGGGCTTCCCGATCCTCACAAGTGTGTCTTCAGTGTCTGACATGAACTGGGAACTTGGGGCATCTTTAGAAGCACAGACATTTGGAGTTCCACGGCAAACCTGGATGTAAGCACTCACACAGCTTTTAAAGTGAAAGCAGGGACCTTGAGGAAGGAATCGCCGTCATCTCATTGCCGACCTGCTTACTGTGCTGGGAAACAAAGTAAGTTCTGTTTGTTTCTTTGTTAGTCTCTCCTGCGTGTTTTTTCTTGCTAATGTTATTAGACACTCAATATCCGGCAAATGCCAAGTTTTTTCCCCTTCATTGGGAAGTAGGATATAGTTTATTCAATAGCTGATTGCTTCTTTTATCTTTTCCCTCTTCCCATATCTAGTGTGCCGGCTTGCTGTTTAGAGATAGGAAGAGATTGAAATTTATTATCAAGGAGAAAACAAAAAGTGTTTTGTTTTGTTTCTAAATGGTCCAAGAACTTTGCCATTAGGTAAATGACTATGACACAGACAAGGCGTTTTGCATGGTATGACCAGGAGCACCTCTAGCAAAACAGCCCCAGTTCGCCGCCCTGATTTCCATTTGGAAGCAGGCACAGTGGGTTTCCCCAGGACCGATGTTAACGCAGAGGGTCCTTGTGCAGGAATTGTGCAGAAACTAGGTGGGAAGGTGTCACAGACAAGAGGCTGCAATTTAAAAACGCATCAGGAAATGGAAAAGAGCTGCGAGAATATCAATTATTTAATGATGTTGATAAAAACAAATTTAATATAAAAATGAGATACAATGTATAGAGACCTAACCCTGTCAACAGCAACTAAACTTTACTTTCATGTTAGAAAGTTTTGTGCCATGTAGATTTATGGAAAATGTGCTTAATTGCCTCTAGAAAATAATGAAGAGGCTTCGTCACCTCCATAGAAGATCCTGTGACACTAGCCTAATTCTGACACATGGCTCCTGTTTTCCATTTTGTTTGTTTTTTTATGCTGATCCTCTCTCCAGAGATGTGATGTGGATTGATTAACTTGTAATATAAAGTTCTATGGTTTCTGAAAATGCAGAGCAAATAGAGATGAAGAGTGGTTTGTGATTTGTTATTAAATGATCTTCCCTTCTACATTTAGGACTGATTTTTACTGTAGAATTTTTTTTTTTTTTTTTTTTTTTTTTTTTTGTCAACTTGAACAGCAATACCTTGAAGGTAAAAGGTGGGAGCACGACTGGAGTGTGGAACTGGAAAGCAGAAACCAGGGGTGTTACTTCTATGTCTAGTATGGAATGTTGTGAATTTAAGTTAGAGCTTCTGTGTCCTGGGAATTCATATTTTATCTCAAAGTGGTGCTGATAGGACTGGAGGTAGCTGTATTTCATTTGAAACATTCCAGCCTCTTTATAGGAATATCTGTGAATTTTTAATTCAGCAAACATCTTTAAGTGTGTCATTTATGTATAGCGTTGTAGTCAGAGCTGTAATTGTTTCACCATTAAATTTACGGAAATTCAGTTTGTAAGTGAAAAATTAAGAACAGTTTGAAAGAAGGGCGAATGAGCAGAGCATTGCCATCTAAACAGTCTTGTTAAAGATAGTGCCAAGTGAGCAGGACTGTCCCTTCTAAGCTGCCCCTCCTAATTAAAGGGAAAGGTGGCTGCCATCTGTCTTCTTTCATTCAAGGCAGTAGGGGGTCTAGGGTGGAAGGAAGCAACCCCCACTTTATTTTTCTCCCACTCTTTTTTATAGTCAGCTTTCTCCCTAGTCAGTGACCCAGAAGGTCATTGATGATCTGTCTATCTCAGAATGAATAGTAGCATAAGCACGCTTGGCACTTGCAAAAAAAAGAAAGTTTATAACATGCACTGATCCATTTAAAGTTCTGCTTGAATTATGTCTGAGAGTATTGTAATCTCTGTATTGGTGTCTCTGCCCTGTTTGTTACCAAGGGCACTACTGGCAGGAAAAGTGGGGAGTTTTACTTTTATTGATTTTGCTTTTTCATGAAAAAATGTTTACACTCCACTGGGCATAATCAGAAGATGGCAGCACATGGCTATGTACAGGAGATGTGGGGATGTACAGGAATATTGTTCTTATCAAAATCAAGGACACCTATTAATGATGATACATATATGTCATCTCAGGGGAAAGCATGAACAAGCATGGCAACAGATGTCCAAGTTACTCAGTGGCCTGCTGCAGCTTTTTGGACCAGTTATTGAAATAATTCACATTGTTTAGCTTTTGTTAAGCAATAAGGCTTTTAGCCTTTTTCTTGTAAGAATACGTTGCAGGAGAGTTTAGTTTGGGGTCATGTCTTCATTGCTTTGGAAATGTAGAATAGTCCTCCAACAAAATGACTGCATTTGCTTGCCTTCGTTTCCACCTCTGTAAATAGAAGAAATATCTGCTGTTTTTATAAATATATAAGAGAATATGAAATATTTTCCATCTTTCATAAGAACTGTGTTATAACTGAAAAATTCTCAAATCTTCAGTTATGTTTATTTTCAATTTTTACACACTTAAGCAAGGTGTTAACAGTCTTCTAAAGAGATTCAGTTGTTACAAGCCTTGTTTAGTTCCCAAGTAGCAGGTATGGACTTCTCAGAACATACTGGTTTTTAGAACTCTCTTTGTGACACAGAAGTGTGGTATTTCTTAAACCCATAACAATATATTTGGAGAGCTCAAATGTGAAAGTCATGTCTGTAATTTTATTTAGAGCTTTTTTTTTTTTTTTTTTTTCCAAATTTGTCACCAACTTGCAACGAGCTTTCTTGGAAACATAGACGTGTTTATGTTGTTGAGTCTTGAGATGAACATGTGTGGGCTTCTGACGACACTGATGCCCAGTTTGTATGATTGGATGATACCTGAAAAGTGGGTCACTTCCTAGTCAGTGAAGGGTACACAGGGCTGAATAGGCAGGGCTTTTTGGCTTTTTCCGTGCTTTTGTTTTTGTTTTTGGTGTGTGTGTGTACTAATTTTAGATACTCAGCTAGGTACTTGACTGGCTATCCTTTTTAGCATGTGATTTAATTTGGTTTTACCCATCAGTATTTATTTCAAGGGGACTAAATAAACACATTAAATGAAGCACTTAAGAACTTTCTATCTTCTTTTGACTATCCACAGCGGTGGGAAATCTCTGTCCTTTGAGGGTAGGAGGGAGCCAATAGTTAGGTCTCATGAATATGGTAGGTGATCAAACCACTGATTCAAGTCATTGTTTCATGTTATAAACATGGACTGAGCCAGCTACTACATTTCAGTAGAAGGTACTGTAGATTCAAAAGTGAACATGGGTCTGGCATTTCAGAAAGACACAGGTTAGTGAGATAAATGACTATAAAAAGAGGTAGCACTGTAGACTGATGTCCTGTAACAGAGGTACACGTGTGCTGTTAGAGCCAAGAGGGGGTCAAAATAAAAAGACAGGGCACGGTGGCTCATACCTGTGATCCCAGCACTTTAGGAGGCTGAGGTGGGAGGATCACTTGAGGCCAGGAGTTCAAGACCAGCCTGGGCAACATAGATCCCCATCTCTACAAAAAAATAAAATAAAATAAAAAAATAAGCCACACATGGTGGCATGCATCTATAGTCCTAGCTACTTGGGAGGCTGAGGCAGGAGGATCCCTTGAGCCCTGGAGTTGAAGGCTATAGTGAGCTATGATCACACCACTGCACTCTAGCCTGAGCGACAGAACAAGATCCCATCTCTGAAAAAATGGATGAGTGAATTAAATTTCAAAATAGAGATTTAATGGAAAAATGAGAATTGTTGTGTACATGATTTATGAAGTGGCTTACATAATATAATTTTGGACATGAAAGCCCTGAAAAATAGCTTCTTATTTTAAGGATGAACAGACTGGGATTTATTTCTGAAATTCTATAATTCTCAGTCAGTTGTAAGGCTTTCATTATATAATAGACTTTTTTTTTTAACCAACGGAAGTTGGACCTCTTCAAAATGTGAGATCCAAAAAGGTTTTGGATATTGTTTGAATAACTCTCTTCTCCAAAGGAGACTGTTTTTGAAAAATGATTCTTTCTGACATGTTAAAATTGAATATTTTTGACACGCCAAATGCACCAAAGTATTATATGTCATGTTTATTGCCGAGAGTAGCTATATAGCTTGTGGGAGACAGTTAACGTGAAGCTTTCTTGCATCTGGAAGTATGGGGAGAGAGAAGGCTTCTTCACACCCCCTTTCATGTTATATTCTACAGGGAAAGAATTTCTATCATGTAGACACTAGGTGACTCCCTTGTGGATAATTTCATTTAACAATGATTTCTGGGTGTTGCTCTATGCCAGGCACTGTTCTAGGAGCTGATGCGAAGGCTCAGCTGATGGGCTACAGACCTGAAGGCCTGTGCTCCTCAGTGGCACTCTGTAGGTAGATACAGAGCCACCATCTACTGGGTGCTTCTCCTGAGTGTGACAGTGTAGGCTGGGACACGATGCTACCCTTCAAGGAGCTTGAAGCTAAGGTTCTGTGCACAGATAAAATTAGAATAAATGCAGAGATGCTATAACAAGATGTCTTAGAAAAAAGAAAAACAAAGAATAAATGCAGAGAGAAAGAGAAATGTATAAAAGGTAGAGAGATAAACATACCACAAGTTCATAGAAAAGAAAGGTTGTGTGTTTATCTGTGGCTGGGATGATCAAGAAATGCTTCATGGATAAAGAGCCTTTGAGCCAGACATTGAAAGAAAGGTAATGTTGGACTTGAGGTCTTGGAGTATCCTCGTTGAAGGAAACATGAGCAAAGGCATAGGTAGGGATGGGAAATGCCGGGGTGCAGAGTGGGCAGGAATCGATTTGTAGTTGCTGGGCAATGATGTGTGTAAACCACTAAGGAGAAGATCAGGTAGCAAAGGTCCTTGGAGGCCAGAACCCAGAGGGCCTTGAATGGCACGTGACTAAATGATTTAAACTTAAGTTACTGGGGAGCAATGGAAGAATTTGAGTGGCTAGAGTCCCCATCCTGAAGAGGCCTTGCGGGGATCAGCATGTGGGTGCCTCTGGACTGTGAAATAGCCAGAGCTGGGAAGCCTTTTAGAGCTGCTGTTGTGGTCCAGGAGGGAGGTGGGGAGGGCCTGGGTGAGGGGAAGGCCACTAGATGGAGAAATTGAATTTATGAGATGGGATTTAGGAACTGCCTAGATAATAGGGGTTGGCCGATGGGAAGCAAAAATGCCCCCAGAGCTTTGAACCCAGGTGCCATTCATTATTTCTATGCCATCTGCCAGGCATTGCATAGCTATTATCTCATTTAATCTCCTCCTAATCTTGTGGGTTGGTATTTTCATCCTTATATCAGAGACGAGAAAACTAAGGGTCAGAGAAAATTAGCAATTGGTCTAAAATTGTACAGTTGTAACAGGATCTAGAACAGGGACTTCAGTACAGGCCTCCCTGACCCCCAAGCCTGTGTTCTTTCTACTGTACTAGGCTTGGAAGACAGCGTACGTGAGAGCAAAGACAAGCTCTGTCCACTCTGTGCATATTCAGTGTAGGTGCTGGTGAGATTCCCGCCTTCAGGTGTCCAGCAAGTGGTTGGAGACATGGAGCCGAATCTCAAGGACATTGGGAGGATTGAAGGTCAAGGCTTAAGAACCATCTGCATCCTCATTTATTTATTCAGCAGCTATTTGTTGTGTCTTCGTGGACCAGCTTGGCAGCATGAATGCTGTGACCAACAAGAGAGGTGTGTCCTTCACGGAGCTGCCAGGCTGGGAGGGAGCCCTGATGGCGTGGCTTGAGTGTAAGGCAGGAGGTGTGCAGATTGGCTGTGGGAACTTACTGGCCTAACCTTGTCAGGTCAGGGAAGCTCTCTAGAGGCAGTTGTGGTTCTCAACATGAGACTCAAATGATGAGGACCCAGTTAAAAAGTGGGAAAACAGCATACCCCAGGCCGTGGAAGTAGCGCGTACTCAGGCAGAGCAAGATAAGAACACAGTGTCTTTAAACCAAAAACCACGTGTGGCTGGAATGGAGGGAAGAGCAAGGAGATAAGACAGGTGAGCAGGAACCAGAACAAGAAATGCCCTGGAAGCTGTGAGACGCTTGGAATTCACCTGTGAAGAAAAGAGTAGCCTCATCTGAATTCCTTGCCTCGATTATGGTCTCCAATAGAAGATTAAATGGCTGTGGAGTCTAGAGGTTTTTTCCTTCGGTGTGGGCATCACCCCTTCTGAAAGGATGGTGTAATGGCTAATTGTATGTATCAGCTTGGCGAGGCCACAGTACCCAGATACTTGGTCAAGCACCAGTCTAGATGTCGCTGTGCAGGTAGTTTTTTAGATGAGGTTTAACATTTATATCAGTAGAAGGAGTGAAGCAGATTATCCTTTGTAATGTATGTAGGCCTCATATATCATCAGTTGAAGGCCTTAAGAGAAAAAGATTGAAGTCCCTAAAGAAGAAGGAACTCTGTCTCCAGTCTCCCTTCAGACTCAAGACTGCAACATCGGCCTGGCACGGTGGCTCACGCCTGTAATCCCAGCACTTTGGGAGGCTGAGATGGGTGGATCGCTTGAGATCAGGAGTTCAAGACCAGCCTGGCCAACATGGCAAAAACCTGTCTCTATTTAAAAACACAAAAATTAGTTGGGCATGGTGGCAGGCGCCTGTAGTCCCAGCTACTTGGGAGGCTGCGGCATGAGAATCACTTGAACCCAGGAGGCAGAGGTTGCAGTGAGCTGAGATCATGTAACTGCACTCTAGCCTGGGCGACAGAGTGAGACTCTGTCTCAAAAAAAAAAAAAAAAAGACTGCAACATCAACTCTTCCCTTGGTCACCAGCATGCCCTGAAGATTGTGGATTTGTCAGTCCCTGTAATTGCATGAGCCAGTTCCTTAAGGTAAATATCAGTATCTACCCCCACCCCCACCACTCTCTCTCTCAATCTCAATCTCAGTCTCTCTCTCTCTCAATCTCAATCTCCCTCTCAATCGCCCTCTCCCTCTTCCTCTTCCTCTCCCTCTCTCCCTCTTGGTTCTGTTTCTCTGGAGAACCCTGACTAATGCAGATAGGAAGATAAATAAATTTAAGTTGTTTGGCTCCAGTTGGTATTAGCAGAAAGCTGCATCAGGCTTCTCTAGGTGTTCTTGGTGTGTGCGTATATTGCTTTTTGTATAGATGAGAATAGTGAAATATAGAAGGGAAGTGATGTACCCACAGTCATGCAGACAGTTGATGGGAGAGCCAAGGAGAAAACTCAAGTTTCAAACCTCTGGTGTAGTTCAGTCGCTTTCTTGCTATTTGGCCCTCATGTTTTTATTAGCAAGGTAATAAAGTTATTGAGTTTGCCATGCGTAATTATTGGTAATGTTTATGGAATGTTCTCTGTATGTCAGGTGCTGTTTTAGTTGCCCTACAGGTGTTAGTGATTTTAATCCTTACAACTACCTAATGAGATAGGGAATAATACTATCCCATTTTACAGATTTTAAGCAATGAGTCCAGTGAGCGATGTGGTCATTGCTACACAGCTAGTGAGTGACAGAGCTGGACTGAAGACTCAGGCAGCCTGGCTGCAGAGGTTGTGCTATTGACTACTCCACCGCTTCTCAGCTTAATGCCCCGAGCACAGCTTTTCATCTCTCCCTTTGGAACCATTGTCCAGAATATTTATTATGGTAGTGTGCTCTTGGTAGGGCTTGTATTGAAAGAGAAAATGCTTATAAGTTATTTTTCAAGAGACCATCCGATAATGCTTCTTAGCTCCTTGAAAAACAGAAAACATTCCCATTACAGCAACACTGTAGACCACCTGCTGGAGTATATTTTTAGCAACTAGACTTTGCTGTCTAGCCTAGTGACACTGGTGGGCATCTGATTTGCCCAGGGTCATACAGGAGCGTGATAAAGTGGTGATATGAGTTGGCTCCTGGTTCAGCATTTTGGGGTGTGTTCTGGGGGAGAAAATAGCAAACCTCTTTGTGTGTGTCCCTTGGATCTTTGAGAGAACAATCATCATAACTCCCATTTATTAGGTCTGTTGGGTGCTAGATGCTGTTGTAAGTGCTTTATAAACATTGTCTCATGGAATCTTCTCAATAGCCCTGAAAGGCTGGCATTACCATCCCATTTTACATATAAAGTAAGCAGTGATTAGGGAGTGACATTTCCAAAGCAAGTAGCAGAACCAAGGATTAAACCTCATCTGAATGACTCCAAGCCAGTGCTCTTGGTCACTTGGCTATGTCTATACTGGGTGTCTGTACTGGACCTCTCTCTGTATATACTGGGTATCTATACTGGAGCTCACCATTCTTCCCCATAGACTATGAACTCCATAAGGGACTTTCTCCATTGATTCACCACCATACTTCAGCACCTGCCAAGTACACTACCTGACACACAGTAGGTACTTAATGCACATACAGTCATGTGTCATTTAACAATGGGGATAGGCAGTTTTGTCATCGTGTGAACATCATAGAGTGTATATACATAAACCTACATGGTATAGCCTACTACATCCCTAGGCGATATGATATGGCCCTATTGCTCCTAGGCCACAAACCTGTGTGGCGTACAGTACGACTGTACTGAATACATTGTAACACAATGGTAAGTGCTCATATATCTAAACATACCTAAACATAGAAAAAGTAAAGCCCTGCAGTGTGTTACAGTGGCTACAGTGTCACTAGGCAATAGGAATTTTCAGCTCCATGTAATCTTGCGGGCCCACCATCATGGGTGCGGTGCACCATTGACTGAAATGTTATGCTGCACATGACTGTATATTGAGCGAATAACAGACTCATTGTGTTCTCTGTGATCGCTTCCGAATGGCGAGAGGGCCAGGGCCAAAGGGCACAGACCTGTGAGTGTGTTATGGACTCATGTGGGTTTAGCCTTCACGATATATATGAATATATCATAATGTGTGTATCTAGTGTGTGAATATATATCATAACTTATCCACTTTATGGATATCATAATTTATCCATTTTAGTGATTCCAGGACATTTTGTCTATCTATGCTTTTTTTTTTTTTTTTTTTTTTTTGAAATGGAGTCTCACTCTGTCACCCAGGCTGGAGTGCAAGTGGCACAATCTTGGGTCACTGCAGCCTCTGCCTCCCCAGTTCAAGCGATTCTCCTGCCTCAGCCTCCTGAGTAGCTAGGACTACAGGCACATGCTACCACACCCGGCTAATCTTCGTATTTTTAGTAGAGATGGGGTTTCACCATGTTGCTGGTCTCAAACTCCTGACTTCAAGTGACCTGCCCGCCTCAACCTCCCAAAGTGCTGAGATTACAGGCATGAGCCACCGTGCCTGCCCTCTAGCTATGCTTTAAGGCAGGCCTATCAGCCCAGACTGGAGTCATGTAATACATGGCTCTGTCAGTAGCTCTCCTTCCCACAAATAAGTTTTGATGATCTTACACTCATCCCTGCCATTAGCATTCAGGACCAATCTTCTATAGCCTATACGCCACACTGGTCTAGGACAGCACCTAAATAATACTCATGCTATAAAAAATTCATCAAGTTATATATTTTTAAAAACATCCCTAAAATTATCTTTTTCCTTTACTGAAAAGAATTTCAGGATCCCCTCTCTCTCACTGCCTCTCTTCACACACACCTACCTTAGTTGGTCACCTATTTTGTAAACATATCTTCTTTAAAAAAAGAAAGAAATGGCAGTACATGAAAAACTGCTTCGTAAACAGAAACTATATTATTTATATTTGTAGCATTTTTTTCCCCTTGAGGTTAATTTCCTTTGCTTCCCATAACTGGAAGCCAATGATTCAGTGCCATTATATAAGCTTATTTTCCCTCTTGGAAATAGTAAATTATAAGAGGTTTGACCCAAAAATATACATCAAAATTAGGCAGTATTCGGTGTTTAGCCTCCATCTGCCTTGTCTTCTTGTCTTTAGTTGTGCAAGTAGATGCTGATGATTTCTGGCAGAGCTAAAGTAAGTAAATCATGTGAATTTATTTTTTTTCCTCATAAAACAGATGGCATGGTCTAGCTCTGGGCTTGTATGTTTCATGAAGTACATGGGTCTGAGTGCGTATTTATTTTGTGAGCCAAGGTTTATGCCTTCTTCTATAATTTTCTTTCACCGAAAATTACCTGGAGAGCTAGAAACTCCATTTGTGTCAGTGTAAGAAGCTTTAGAATCTATATCCAGACCAAGGCCATGGAACAATGTAGATTCACTCAGTAAAAACTCACTAGCGGCCTTCTTTGTACTAGTCTGTCACCTTTGCTTGGCTTTGGGAAGCTTCAAACTAGGGCAGTTTATGTTTGGGAGTGACCAGTCAAATAGCAAGACAGACATAGGCAAGGATGTAATTTTTAAAAATTTAAGTGGGGAATGGTGAAGCATGAATCAAAACAGAAGGTAGTCTTACCTTCTTGGAACTGTAAAATAAATACATTTGAAAAAGGCACCCTCTCAACCTTCTGCGAGTCAGAATTTTTGCTGCCACCCCTCATTTTGAATCTCTATTCTGCATTTTTTATTCTTTTTTTTAGGAAGGAGGAAGAAAAATTTCTCCTGAAGAATTCATTGGAAATTAAAATTAACTTGCGTATTTTGTATTCTTTGGAATGTGATGAAGACTGATTTGAAAGGGCAGTGCTGGATTTGGTCAGGCATAGGAAAGGAAGACATGCAGTCGTCCTGCCTAGCTCATCCCCGCCACGATGGAGAAGTGGGGTTGCTTTCGTTGTACTTTTTTTCATTTGTTTCTTGCCAAGCCCAGTGGCTTCTGTTATAACATGTGGCAGCTTCTCCCTTGGAGACTGATTCAGTCCAAGTTACCATAATATTTAGGACCAGCTACAGAGACGTTTCTTCCCCTAAACCCATGCCAAATCTAAATCAAACTATCTTCTTCTCCTTAGCCGTTCAAATAGCTCCAGCTCTTATATAAAAATACGAGAAATACACAGGCCTCTTTTCGTTTTATTCCTGTTCAAACAGATAAACAAACAAGGCACATCATGCCTAGGTTGCTTTGAGCTTGATCACTTCCTCCTAAAGCAGTCTTACGCTGTGTTGATTTTAAGAATTGCAACTTAGGTGTTCTAGAACATATTCTGAGAGCATAGTCATAGTCTGTGATCTCAGAATATGTTTGCTTCCTTCTAGAACATCTGAGTTCTAGAAATTGCGTACAATAAACTGCTGTCAGTGCTGCTGGAGGAAGGAAGAGTAACTCTGACATCACTGGCCTTCAACAGGTGTGGCGCTGAGCTTCTGGGCCTCAGAAGCCCTGACTTCTAGAGGCTGGGGGCCAGCGGGGCAGGGAGGTGATCTCATCATGGATGGCCACAGATCATCCACCTGCCAAACAGTTAACCCTGAACAAGTCATGTCAATTTATTTTGCTTTTAAAAAAGAAAGTCTGCAAAATAGAAAAAAAAAAAAAAAGATTCTTCATAAATACATTTGTTCTGATCTGTAAATACCCTGGTCATTTCCCCCTTGGCATTTGATACACATAGTATAGACATATTTTAGTCATCCTTGCTCAAGTAATTATATTCCATAACCAACTTTATTAGCATAAATTAACTTCCTCATATTTTTAGCAAGAGTTACTTTCCTTCATTGCTTAGCTTATTGTTTTGAAATATGAATTACTTCAGCACAGTTCATTTTTGTGGATGGCATTTCTGTCTTTTTAATTTATAATTATTTGATATATACAAAAGATGGTATGTAACATACAAGTAAACTCTAAAGCACAATTTTAAAGGTGCTCCAGTGAACCACCATCCAACTTAAGAATTGGCTCATTACAAATACTTGGAGATCTCGCTAAGTATCTTATTCCTAGCATTTTCCTGCTTTCCCACTATTCCGAAATTTGTATTTATAATTATCCTGATTTTTAAACAAACATATATTTTTATCACAGTGTAATGAGTAAATGTGTGTTGCTAAAGGTATTTTGAGACATATAAAAATAGTATCGGACTTTGCATGGTCTTTTTGGAACTTGAGATTTTCCTCCATATATTTGCAAAATTCATCCATGTTTTCAGGAATAGCTACAGTTCCTTCATATTGCCAGAATATTCTAGTGTGTGAATATATCATAATTTATCCACTATCTTATTTATTGAGGGGGGGTGGGAAACAAGGAGCTCTTTTTATAGACATGTTGAGTCTGAGATCTCTATTAGAAATCCATTGGAAATGAGCAGGCAGGTGGATGCTGTTATTCAGGAGAGATGACTGAGATGGAACTAACAGCGTGTAGATGGCATCTAAAGCATTGTCTTCCCAACTATTCTTAGAATGATGGGCCATTTAGCCCATCAACTGAGATTTCTGTGTTAACAGTTTTTTGTTTTTTGTTTTTTGTTTTTTAATTTCTTAAAGGTCTATCTGGTGTTTTTTGTTTGTTTGCTTTTTCCCAAATCTGCCTGGTCACTTTGTTCAAGTGTGACTTGTAAGGGAGTAAACAAGGAGAGTATGAGCTTCAAAGAAAATGGGGGGAAGTATTTTGCCAGCTCTCATGGAGTTTTGTGAGATCCAAAAGAAATGCTATATGTAAATTTGCTTTGTAAACTGAAAAAAGTTATGCACTCAATTATTATATTTGATGATGGCACCTTGTTGGGTTCTGGTTAATGCCTCATATTCACTGAGTGCTTACTTTATCTATATTAACACATCTCATCTTTATAACAATCTGTGAGAAGTAGGTACTGTAGATTCATATTTTACAGAGGAAAGTACAGCTTATAAATGGTAGACCCAGGATTTGAATTCATAGAGTCTGCTTCTAGAAGGTGTGTTCTTAGCTCCAGTGCTATGCTGTCATATTGATTTCCTGCCTGCCTTCTCCTTCCTTCCTTCTCCCCTCCCTCCCTCCCTTCCTTCCTTTCCTTCTTTTTTTTTTTTTTTTTTTTTTTTTTTTTTTTTTTTTTGAGACGGGGTCTCACTCTGTCACCCAGGCTGGGGTGCAGTAGCATGACAATAGCTCACTGTAGCCTTGACCTCCTGGGCTCAAGTGATCCTCCTGCCTCAACTTCCTGAGTAGCTGGGACTACAGGCACATCCCACCATGCCTGGCTAATTTTTAAATGTTTTGTAGAGATGTGGTCTCCCTATGTTACCCAGGCTAGTCTCAAACTCCTGGACTCAAGTGATCCTCCCACCTTGGCCTCCCAAAGTGCTGAGATTACAGGTGTGAGCCACCACACCTGGCCATACTGTCCTTCTTTAAATGACAGGTTTCTTCCCACTCCTTCAGCTTCAAGAGTACAAACATTTTAGGGTCACATTTCAGCATGTCCACCTTGAACCCAGCTACAAAAATCCTACCCCAGGCAGTGGGCCCCCAGCAAAGGGCTGTGTGTGCTGACCTAGTTTCACCACCGAACCCAGCCCCAGACCTCACAGGGCACTGCTCACCTGCCAGGTGCCCACTCTGTGCTTGTTGAAGATGGTGTCTTCTTGATTTCACTTATTTGCCTGAAGCCACCCAATAAGTCAGTAGTGGGCCAGAGAATAGAAACCAAGTCTCCTGCCTTTCAAGTGTCACATTTGTTTTGTGTTAATAAGCTATATACCTCCAGGGGATCTGGCAGAAATTTGAAGGTGGTTAATTTTACTGCAATAAATACTTAAGAATCCTTTTTAAAGCAAAGAAGTCAAGCCCCCGCCAGGGAAAACACAATCTGCTCTGAGGGCCTTTGACAAACTGACATGGGCACTAGGACTAGGTCATGGATCATTGGCCCTTGATTCTGTCTCCCACTGAGCATCCCAAAGGGGTTGAGACCTCTGCTGGAGCCACTAGGCTTCAGCCGGACCTGGAAATGTTCTCGCAAATGAAACTGGAATGCATGATGTCCTGGATTCAGCGGGTCACAGCTGACTGCCATCAGGAGGTGTGACGGAGAAGGTTCCATTTCTGTGACCCTGTGGTGATACAGGTCGGGACCCAGGCGAAGTAGCTCAGCCATCTGAATTGGCACCTTTCTGCTTTTCTCGCTGAGTGACGGGTGCCTTGCAGTTGGCTTCAGATGTTTGTGAATGTGCTGTGTTTCCTAAAGCCATGTCAGTCAGGAAGAAGATGCAGGTATTCAGGAGAAGGGAGAAGAAAATCTGAATTAGAAACAACGTGAGGATGGGGAGCACAGGGAGGGATGGGTTACCTTTGTCATCAGAAGAACGCCAGGCAGATTTTAGTCCCTCAGCTAATAATACTATTTGAAAAATTGATGGAGAAATTTAACTGGAAGGTTTCAGCAAGACAAAAGCTGCATCTCCAAGGCTGGACTCAGCGTGTTCACGTGGGAACTGGGTGTGAGTGTAATTGTCAGAGGGGAGGGTTGTCACAGGAGGTGCACGATGTGAAGTCACAAGGGGACGCATTATTTCCATGAGTTCTCACAGTTCCCAGGGCAGCCACAGATGGTAGTGGTTTATGTCTGCCTCTGCCTTGACAGAAGGGCAGTAGGCAGTTGTGGCAAGAAAAATGGACCAAATGAGGGCTGCACTCAGCAGGTTAAATTTGCTGTCTGTTAGTGTTCCTAGGTGAGATGCTTCAAAACTAGAATGCTCTGCTGGGACTTTTATTTCCCTTAGAAATAAAAGGCCAGGCGCGGTGGCTCATGCCTATAATCCCAGCACTTTGGGAGGCCAAGTCGGGCAGATCGCCTGAGGTCAGGAGTTCGAGACCAGCCTGGCCAACATGGCAAAACCCCATCTACTAAAAATACAAAAATTTGCTGGGTATGGTGGTGGTGGGCGCCTGTAATCCCAGCTACTTGGGAGGCTGAGGCAGGAGAATCACTTAAACCTGGGAGATGGAGGTTGCAGTGAGCTGAGATCGTGCCCCACTGTACTCCAGCCTGGGAAACAGAGTGAGACTCCATCTCCCAAAAAAAAAAAAAAAAAAGGTTCTTTGTTCACACTTTCTCTGCGCTGCTGCAAGTGACTTTGGTGCCGTTTCCTGCAGCCTGTGTCGGTGGCTGGGACTTTCTCGACAGCAAGGCAGGCCGTGCATGAGGCCTATAGGACCCAGGGCTGCCTCCCAATGCTGACGGCCCTGCGCTGTGTGAGCTTGGGTAAGCCAGTTCGGCTCACTTCACCTCAGGTTCCTTGTTCCTATGTGGACGGGTTGCTTGTTTGGAGGATTAATAATGATGGGGAATGCAAAGTGTGGTTGGTTTTGCTGGGGAAAAGAGCAGGGAAGTAGAGACCTAGGCAGGTGATGTCACCTCTCTGATGAACTCCAAGGTCTCTGTCAACACCGGTGCCTTTGTCCTGACATTGCGGGGTTTGTGGCATGATTGGAGAGACCTTGCGTGCTCTCTGGGCAGCCCTTGTTAGTGCCCCCCAACTAGCTGGGAGATCCAGAGTTTCATGAGAACCCTCCCTCCGTGACAAAATCCGCCTTCCTCGCTGTCAGGCTCAGGTTGTCCTGTGCCCCCACTGAGCCTGCTCATTATTGATTAATGAACTTGTAAAATGAGAAGTATTGTTTTACCGGAAGCTACATGTTTATGTGGTTGGTAAAAATGAGAAGAGTTGCTTGAGAACTGGTTCTCCTTTCCATGAGTATATACAAGGTTCAAATCTGGGCTTTGTGGTTATAAGACATGTTGAGTGAATAAAAATGAAGGAAATGCTGGGCATTTATCACAATTTTTTTTTTTTTTTTTTTTTGAGACAGGGTCTTACTCTGTCACCCAGGCTGGAGTACAGTGGCACGATCTCGGCTCACTGCAGTCTCCACCTCCCAGGTTCAAGTGATTCTCATGCCTCAGCCTTCCGAGTAGCCAGGATCACAGGCGTGGGTCACCGCACCCGGCTAATTTTTGTATTTTTTGTAGAGACAAGCTTTCGCCATGTTGGTCAGGCTGGTCGAACTCCTGGCCTCAAGTGATCCATCCGCCTTGGCCTCCCAAAGTGCTAGGCTTACAGGCATGAGCTGCTGCGCCTGGCCTTTCACAATTCTTAAACTGTTGACTTACAGAAACACAGACCTGTATGAACACACAGATCACTTTAGAGGTCCGTCTCAGAACTACCTGCTGTCATGAGTGATGTACAGATAAAATGTGGAAGATCTAGAAACTAGTCATTCCTAATCTCTGCCATAAGTAAACATTTTAGTTTAATGTTAAAAGGTCACTCAGGGTTATTGTGAGATTTGATGAGATCATGGCTACAAGGAACCTTTAACTGTATGAATGAAAAATCTAATGAAACTGCAAAGTCACTCCTATTTACTAAAACCAGTGTAGTGGCTGTTTCTGCCTCTTTTCTTTCCCTCCTCCCTTCCCTTTTCTTCTCTGTTGTTTCTGTCACTTTCCTCTCCCTTCTACCTTATTTTTTTCTTCCTTTCCTTCTCCTTCCTCTCTTTCTGGCATTAGCAGTTTGTTTGTTTGTTTGTTTTTGTTTATTTTGAGACCGAATCTCGCTCTGTTGCCCAGGCTGGAGTACAGTAGCCCAATCTCGGCTCACTGCAACCTCCACCTCCCGGGTTCAAGCCATTCTCCTGCCTCAGCCTCCCGAGTAGCTGGGATTACAGACGCCCGCCACCACACCTAGCTAATTTTTGTATTTTTAGTAGAGATGGGGTTTCACGATGTTGGCCAGGCTGGTCTCAAACTCCTGACCTCAGGTGATCCGCCCACCTCGGCCTCCCAAAGTGCTGGGATTACAGGTGTGAGCCCCCACACCCGGCCCTGGCATTAGCAGTTCTTACACAAGAACAGCGTAGGCATGAATCCTGCCTTCATGGCACTTACACACTAGCAGAGGAATCTGGCAGCAAATAAGCACACAAAGGCAGCTGCAGGGTATGATGTGCCGTGACGTAAAGGGACAAACACCGTGAGAGTCTAACTAAAGCCTGGCATGTGTCAATCCTATGTACCTATTCAGAAACTAGGGTTCATGACGGTGCTTCTGTTGTTACCTAGTAGAAGTAGCTTTGTAAGCACAAAGATTGTAGTTTTGTGAAGCTATCTAGTACAGAGTCACTCTGGAAGTTTAGCATTATAGAGTTTTTTCATAGAAAGGATGGATAGATACAAGTTTTTCCTAACAAGCACAAGTGGCAGTCTTTGAAAACTAATTTTTTATGTGTACATTGTAGCATTGGAAGATAACTGTGGTTGAGTGTGATAAACTGAAACTTTTTAAAAAATCTATTATTTTTTTTACAAGTTAAGTTAGAGCCAGATATGCTGATTCTCTACCATTTTCAAAAGAGGAATTGGAAAAGGGAGAGCTTGTTTATGTGGTATTCACAATAGTGTCTGCTCCTGAAGAAAATTTTTGGAAAAATCTCATGAGTGTCCTCAGACTAAAAACAGGGATCCAGTCTGTTGTTCATGCAGGACTCAGGAGGCGAGCGAGCATGTGATACCAGGAAGGGTCCCATCCCTGCCCTGCTGGGGAGCCCTCAGTGGCGAGGTGGCGAGTTCAGGCTTCACTTCAGAGCATGGATACTGCTGCATAGGTGCTGGAAGGGTGCTGCATGGGTGCTGGAAGCTGCTTGGCATAGTGCATGTCCTGTTTCCTGCCACTTGGAAAGAGGACTGTGGAAGTCAGGTCTTCCCAGTCCTCACCAGTAAAGCAAGCAACGAATGCCTTCAGTCCAGGTAATATGTCCAGGCTTTAAATTCTCTGGATCTGTCTTTGGATACCCTGGGAAAAGTCTTGTCTCTTCTTAGGCCCTTCTGACTAAAAGCAGCCAGGACTTTTAAACTGACTAATTTTTAAAGATTTCCAAATAGAGAAAATTAAAGCAAAAATTTTTGAAAGCTGAAAATGATCTTTCCAACTTTTCTCATTCAGAGTAGAACACTGGAGCATTGAAAGTTTGTTCATGTTTGTGATTGATCACATATTTAAAAAATTGTAAAATAAAGACCTTATTTTAATGTTAAAAGTTCACTTCAACACCATCATTTCTACGAGGTTCTAGGTCTTTTGTGAACAAATTAAATATAGTGCTTTCTTTATAACATGAATTAAATCTAGATCCCAATGATATTTGGCACCTTCTAAATACCCAGATGGCCACTGCGTTTGCCTTGAAGTGAAGACGTGTGTAGAGTTTTAATCACATGTTTTATTTTTTCTCTTTTAAATATCGCCTTTTCAATAGTTGCTTGTTAATGAATGACTGATTGTTTACTGCAGTTTATAATCAGGAATTTGAACATTAAAAAATTCTAATCAGGATACAGGTTAAAAAACACTTTCCCTCTCATTCTCTCTTTCCTTATGCTAGAACAATAAAAATAAATTGTCCTCCCCTTGAAAACATAGTAGTTTAAGAAATTTTATCATTCTCTTCTTGAAAACTTAAGTTTAATAAAACAGTTCAGAGGAAACTTAATTATAGTTCTTATACTATAAAAAGCTCTTATAAAAACAGGGGTAGGGCCACAATAAATTTCACCTCTTGAGCATAACCACCACTTGAAAAAGAAAGATGTAGTTAAAAAATTATTTTTGCTTTATCTTCTCCATTGTTTAATGCCTGAACATACTTGGATTTTTTAACAGCAGGAACAAGACAGAAGACTTTGTTAGCTACCCAGGTAAGATCATTTGAGTCCAAAGACCAGATTCCAGAACAGACTGCAGATTCCTGTTGAGGACATGGGTTGTCAGGACAGCCTGGAGGCAGAGGGGTAGATTCTGTTGTAGGTGTCGTAAGTGACATTTTGGATCAGATTTTTAACCCTCTTTTGTTTTTGAAAGTGAGTAAATATTCATAGCAGATTATTCTCATGAAACAAGACTGACACTATGACCTCAGGGAAAGAGTGCTTTGGGGGGAACTGTGTATTTAATTAAGCAAAGAAAGAGCTGATGAAAGGGGCTGAGTGTCTCAGAGCTGTTGTTTCTTCTGCCGAATTTTTCCAAATAGGAGCACAGAAGTCCTGAGAACACTGCCTCTCTATATGTTGTGCTCAGTCCACACACTGCCAACAAATGTGCATACACACACACACACATACACACCTCAAAGACAACCCCTCCAGCCTGTGGTTTTCCTGAATTAGCTTTCCCAAAGTACCTTGAGCACTATGGGTTCAGACTGGGGTTTGGGTTTGGTGACAGCTGTCAGTGCTCCAAAGGCAGAGGACTGAACTTAGGGCAAATCTGTGGCAACAGAAAGCTCTTTTCTGTTCCATGAAAGTCATGGATGATGCTTTCAGATCCTGTCTGCAAATTGCCCAACATCGCATTGATAATGGAAACAAATGATCTGACACTCACATAGCTAAATATAATTTAGAATTTTGATGTGAGGTTGAAACATGAAAGATCATGCTTTTCAAACTGCTGTGATGACTTACACAGACAATTCATTTTAGATAATGGTGAGTTAAGCCTGGCAGCCTCTGAGCGTTTTCCCCTCATTTGTTCAAACACCTGCAGTTGGGTACTGATGCACATGTTTAATTGCTTAAACTTAAATTATAAAATCCCTAAAAGGATGTTTTTCTCCTAGAAAATAAGTCAGGTCTCTTGCAAAGGCTGCCTGCTTTCATGAGCTTCTTGTATTTCCCGGGATGCTTATGCGCCAGCCCCTGTTAGGTCTGCTTTTAAACACAGGAAGTTGAGCCCTTCAGGGAAAGTGCCGATGTCTGAACCATCAGCAAAATCACTACACCCATTCCCTGGGAAGTCTAGTTCATCAGAAACAAGTTTAATTCGGGAACTGTAGTTTATCCAGGTTCCGTGAAGGCAATTAGCACTGGGCAAAGGGCTGTTTGATCAGCCTAGAGAGAGACCGCCTTTACGCCTAAAGCTCCAGTCATTTGTCTCTACTCCCGCCGACTCGCAGCGGCCACAGAAGACATCAGAACTGGATGAAAATGGCCCTGCCCCTGCGACAGAGCAGGGCGCTTCTGGCTTGCGCCTTGTTATTTGTCCCTCCAGTGGTTCCTAGCTGTTGTGACGTCAAGGCTGCCATTCAGAGCAGAGAAAAAGGAAACCATGGCCTCTCTTCGCATCAGTAGCCCGGACAAGCTGTTGTTTCTCAGGCATCCAAAGCGCTTTCTGTCTGGCAGAGCTGTGCATTCCATGCCTGGGTGACCTGGTTAAATGGAGGAAACCAAATGCTATCCGCTGAATGCTCTCCAAAACAAGCACTCCGCCCTGCGCGTCTCAAGCACAGGCTTCACTGCCTCCGAGGACTGTGAAGGGAACAGCAGCACTGCCTGCATTTGCTGCTGGCATATTCAGCTTCTGGTCAGGGTCTTAAAGGAGAAAATAACATCCTCAATGGCCTCGATTAATGCACACTCACCAACGTGTTTGTGCTGCCTTTGGGGTCAGTGCTACAAAATCCTTTTTTAAAAAAGGATTCGGAATCACAGTCAGAAGTTCAAAACTGCTGAACTGCCACCTCTTCCTTCCTGTCTCACTTCGGCTCACGCCATTCCCCAATTTCAGGTTTCTGAATTCCAGAAAGGCTCTTGTGTATGTGAACATATTAATCTTGCACCGTGCCTTACTGAACGTGTGTATGTTTTGCACACACATGAGAAAGACTCACAAGTATAATGCGTGGATCACAACTCTAGGATTTTCTCAATGAAGAGTAACACCTTATGCTTTTCAGAGAAAAGGGGCTATTTCACAGTGTCACAGAACTCTCCTTAGGAGCAAGCCAAGATCTCTGTAGCAAACATCAATCCTGCAAGGCCAAAAGCTCACTAATAAAGTTCTGATCACGTAGAGTGACTGCCTAAGAATTGACCAACTTCAGACTAAATTTTCTGAGGACATACCTTCTTGGGTTTCTTTCTGGCATGAGAGACTATTTTATTAGATTCTTGGATTCAATTATAGTCACCAGAAAAAGCAAGGTTATAACAACCACGCTTTGTGTTCCAGAGTTGTCTTAGTTAACTCAGTATTCATTTGAGGTTTTATGTTACAAATCCCATTAAATCTTTCTCAAAATAGCCCTTCTCTGAACATTTGATGGAAGAATATTTGCAGGAACCAAAACCATTTGATATATACACCGGTATATGTCAGGAAGGATCGTGATACAGGGGTGCCTTTTAAAAGTGGGTTATTATACGACAGAATTCTTCCAGGTCCCTGACTCTTGTCTTCTGAAAAAAAAAAAAGTGGAGATCTTCAGAGGACTGGATAAAGACAGAATGGATGGGGTGAATTATGTAAAGTTAGGATTTAGACTGAGGGTTTACAGGGCTGCAGTCTCGTT
This sequence comes from Homo sapiens, assembly GCF_000001405.40. Classification (NCBI taxonomy): domain Eukaryota; kingdom Metazoa; phylum Chordata; class Mammalia; order Primates; family Hominidae; genus Homo; species Homo sapiens. Next base: position 130,920,392 of record NC_000007.14, on the reverse strand, counting down.
TTGCCTCAACAGTCAGACTTGCCCAGGGTCTGGCCTAATACCATACAAATGTCATATCCACAGTGGCATTGATACAGTGGTGGGAATGGGGCATGGGGGTGATGAGCATAGCTTCTTGCTGAGTGCTCTGGTCCGGGTGAGCCTGAGATCTTGAGAGAAAAACTAGGACATTATTTCCATCGTGGGCTGAAGAATTAGTTCTGCTACTTGCATATCAGTTAATCCTTTTCTTTTTTTTTTTTTTTTTTTTTGCTATTACTACCATTTCAGGAGGTACTTGTTATCTGAAGATAACTGATACAGGACCACTACTGCTGTTTTAAGAGGATTGACTTAAAACTGAATCACACATTTAAAAACAAACAGTCACTTTTTTTTTAAAGATCTTATTGGGACTAAGTCCTGAAAAAAATAAAACTAAAGTTGAAGTTTAGTTTGTTTTATATAATAGAAATTTGGGATATGATGCAACAGCATGTTATTTCTTAGAAGAAAGATTGAATGTTGACTTCTAAAGCAGAATCATATAAAGAAGATGATTTTTGTACAAGCATTCGAATTTCCCCAAAGGCCTCTCTTAATCTTTTGATATACAAACCATTCTCTTGAAGAGTCTACCTCTCATGTAATCACCTCTGTTGACTTTCTCTTCAATTGTTAACTGTTGAAACTGTCTTTCATCTTGTCAGTGACCCTATGTGATTCATGCAGTTTGCTGGTATCATTTTTATCAACTGTGTGAAAATCTGCAATTCCACCTTACAAGTGAGCTACATTGGATTTTCATTTTATTCTATGACATTATTCAACCAAGAAAGTGAGCAAGAATAGATGCTGATGTTAATGAGGACTAATAATAAGTGATCACTGTGTTTGTCAATATTTTTATATGATGATGACCTTTGCTTCCTTATGCAACTTGGTAACTACAGGGATTCAGATAATGATTACTCGAGTAATGAATCCCCACCCCCTGCCAAATATTATGTTGTGTTTAAAGTACTCAGTATGGTTTAGTGGGCTTTATAATCAACCACATGTAGATTTGGAAGCCACCCCTGACACTTCACTGAGTTCTATAACCTTGAGTGTGCTATTCACAGAACCTAAGATTCTTGATCTTTTATGTAGAGTAACAAAACCAACCTTGCATCCTCTAGACATTGTAAAGTCACAGAAAAGTTTTGAGGAATGCAGCGACATGAATTTTACTACATTTTAGAAGACCACAGCTGGGGACTCTGTATGCCCCGCATCAGCTAATACCATTTGATAGCCATTTTTTTCATGGCATAGGTGAGAACACTAAGGCCCAAGGATATGATGTACTTTCTTGGCATCACATGGTTTGGTTCTGGCACAGCCAGGCCTAGAACCCAACCTTCCTACTGCCTGCTGTGTTTCTTCACCACCCAGTTGCTCCTTGGCAAGTGAACCAATTACAAAGGCTGTCTTACTTGTCCAAGGACAGAGAGAAAGGTGCATCCTGGGTGACTGGAAATGGGAGTGGGAGGGAGAGGATGGAGGCAGCAGACATTGAAAGTAAGTATTGACTAGACTTGGTGACAGAATGGCTCAGCTCGGCTCAGTGAAGAAGGGAGTCCAGAGGCCAAACTTTCAACCCTGGTGGGATGGCTATACAGTTAAGTAAAGTAAAATCAGTAGAATGGTGTTGGTTTTTTTGCTTCATGATGAATTTAAAGGGACTGCCTTATCCAGATAGAAATATGTTAAAGATATAGGTAGGAGAGGTAGCTACCATTAAAGATACAGATTTGAGATTAATGCCACAGAAGGAGAGCTGAAACCACTGTACTACATATAACCGTGTGTGTGTGTGTTGCACATGTGCGCACACGCACTTGTGTTAAACTGGATTTGTTGGCGTATCTCCAATTCAAACCTGGGTCAGGTGATTATGTTGTAACTTACTGCCCAGTTATAATCACAAACTGTTACACCTTCATCAGAAGGAAGAGCGAGTTCCCTAGATCAGTGTGTTTGTGTGTTTGTTTTGTTGGATGGATCCTGCCGAGGCACTGAGAGACAGACTTTGCTGGGCCCTGTTTTGTAAACAAATCTGTTCACGCACGCTTTCTTCTATCATTGGATGTGTACACTGGCTCTGATTTTCCCACCCGACACGCCAAAGCCTAAGCATTTAGAAGCTTGTTTTCTTTTAGAAGTAGGCAGGCACCAAAGAAAAACCTGCATATGCATTTAAAGTGTGCACATCTACCCTAAGTAAGTCTTTGGATCTTTACAGTTTTAACTCTGGGCCATGTACAGTGTATTTCAGCCCACTACACACGGCAGACCTGCGAGACGTCCTGACAGCCCCCACAAAACTATGGACTGAGCTTAGTGCAAAAGAGAAAGCCCTTCTTACCCTTAAAGTTCACTGCACGGGCCATTGTGGGATTAGTCACCCCAGATGATAAAACATAATACTGGTTTTCCTAAGTAGGGGTGATTCAGCTTTCTCTTAGATTGGAATATGAACTTAATGTATATAATACATACAGTCACTTCCTGAACTTGTAGTTTTTTGCATGTTTTATTTAATATTCTAGCCAGGTTTAAGTTTTTATGGCAGGAAGTATGTGAATGGTTATGACAGGAGTAAATAACAGTTGATTTTATGATTACAGTACAGGAAGTAACTTTTCACACCAAATAAATCTTTGGGAAAAAAGTGCTGGCTTATAAATTTAACGTACATAAATTTTCCAGAATCTTGCATACAGTCGCCTGTGCTCTCTTAAATGGAACTAAATACCTGGCTGGTCTTTTTTCTTTTAACTTTTTTTTGTCAACGAATGTCTTTGTTTTAGAAAGAGGCATTTTCAAGTGTTTTGATGTGACCCAACGTGACCTAAAACCATTAAAAGATTCTAAGCAAAAATAATAAGGCCAAACTTTAGTGTAAATAGCATGAAAGGCTTGAAAACTAAATAAAAAATTATTTTTTCCTTTAAGAGTAAATAGCTAGGCTAGGCATGGTAGTTCATACCTCTGAACCTGTGAACCATTGCTTTGGGGGGCTGAGGTGAAAGGATTGCTTGAGCCCAGAAGTTCAAGACGAGCCTGGGCAACATAGCAAGACCCCTTCTCTATTAAAAAAAAAAAATAGCCAGATGTGGCACACGCCTGTAGTCCCAACTACTCAAGAAACTGGGGCAGGAGGATCACTTGAGCCCAGGAGTTTGAGGCTGCAGTGAGCTATGATCACGCCACTGTACGCCAGCCTAGGCAACAGAGCGGGGGGCTCTGTCTTAAATGACCAAATCATTTTTCATCATTAAAGCCCGGGAAGCCTCCAAACTGCCACCGAGTCAAGTTCCTTCCAGTGACTCCTATAGCCATGATCTGCAGGCACTTGGGAGGAACAGCCTGTTAACATCAGAGAGGCTGTTGCATGTGAACAAGTTTACAGAGAAGAGGAAAGAATTGGATAGAACTTCAGTTACATTTCATTGTAAGCAGAGCTTTAACAGAGGCTTTGTTTTTCCTTGAATAAAAAAATGAATAGCGGGAATACAAGATTTAGAGAAGATTTCTTTCTTCACCCTTTTCATCTTAAAGCCTAAAGATGTTGTAATGAGAAAAATATTGTGACATTCCTTTCTGAAGGTTACTATTACACACACGTGAATTATGTGAACGAATGGGTGGATGCCTGGCAGATTAAAATGTGGAGTTCCAGATGCATTCATAACCACCATGTGGCTATGACACAGTGGCACATCATTGGGCTGGGAGTGAAAGGATGAAGGTTCAGACTTCAGCCCTGTGTCTGGGAGCCTCACCCAACCACCCTGACGGAAAACAGGATCTCTGAATCCCTTCTACCTCTACAACTCGGTACCACACATTGTGCAACTAAGTAACTTGCAAGTTATGTGAAACTGTTTTCACAGGATCAGCAGAGTTACCACTGCTTCGTTGTCCTGAATCTTCATTACATTTTTACAGACAATATATTTGCATGTGACATGATTAAAAATCTACCTTGTGTTTTTATGGTCTTTGTAGGTTTTAAGGTAGTTTCTTATATGCTGTTTTCCTTGCTGTGCAGCCAACCTGGGTGTTACTGGCAGACATGCTGAGGGCAGGCTCTGGATGTGGAGTCAAGGTCAGGCTCCCTGGCTCTGAATCCTGGCTCAACCACCTACTGATTGTGTAACCCTGGGCATGTCCTTAAGCACCCAGGGCCTCAGTTTCCTTATCTGTAGGATGAGGATTAAAAATAGAACTTACCTCCAGGGCTGCTGTGAAGATTAAACGAATGGACGGATGTGTAGCTTGTGGTAGCGCCTGAGCTGGCCCTGCATGTCAGTGTGCTGTTCTCGCTGATGATGAAACTGGCTTAGCGAGGTTGGGTGATATGCATAAGAGCAAATTAGCAAAAAAGATGAGCCAGAACTCAAACACGGCCTTAGGACTTCTCAGTGGCTGGTGCCCTTCCGTTGTGAGACCACTCTCTCTCCTGCCTATAAAAGTGCCACGAAAGAGTGCGCTCCATTTCATTGTTTAAAAGAGAACTGAGTAAATGTTAAACATGAAGGTCATTTGTCACGGGGTTTTACTTTGTTTGGAGAGGGTGGACTCTATAACTCTTGAATGGTGTCCACAGCATAGCAAGGACCTGGACAGCCTCCATGGTTTCATCACATTCTCAACATCCAGCCTTAGAAATAGCTCCCTTTAGGTCACCAAATTAACAGGAGTTTCTAAAGGATAGCAGCTTTTTTGCAACTGCTGCATCTGTTAGATTCATGTTCTCTTTGCTCCCTTCTCCCCAAGCTTCTATTTCATGATCTTTTTGTTGTTTTGCTCTACTTTTCCTCTTTTTAAAACCTCTGCATTGGCCACCCAGGATTTAAGAGGAGCTTTTCTGGAAAGCTGTCTGAAACAGGAACAAATTACACAGAAACACTGAGAGCTGTGAACTTGTGTGTATACCTGACATAGTGGGAGAGGGGGGCTTCCTTCTAAGTAATAGAGAAGAGTGAATATTCTAATCATTGAGTAGTGGTCAGGCCTGTAATCACTGCTTTTTCTTTTGCTGAGCTCGGTATCAACGGACAAGCTCAAAAATTGTAGCTATTTAAAATTACTCTCCATGTAAAGGGTTCCTGTTCCTTTGATCCTATCACAGACTTCCTTTTTTTCTATTGAGGAGGTTCATAAGATCTCGTGGGCAAGGGCTGAGGAGATGACTATTGCGTAGTGTAGTTGTTTTAAATTAAAAATTTACCTCTAGTTATAGGTGCTACTTTTTACTTACCCTCAATTTGGAGATTACATCATGCAGGCTGGGCACAGTGGTTCATGCCTGTAACCCCAGTGCTTTAGGAGGCCAAGGCGGGAGAATTGCTAAAGGCCAGGAATTAGAGACCACCCTGGGCAACACAGCAAGGCGTCATCTCTACCAAAAAAAAAAAAATTATCTGGGCATGGTGGTACTTACCTGTAGTTTCAGCTACTCTGGAGGCTGAGATGAAGTGAGACCCTGCCTCTAAAATAAATAAATAAATCAATTATGTATATCAGGCAAATGATTTCCATACTCTTCTTGTTAAAATATCAGTTTGGTAAAGATGGTAAAAGCTTATCACATCCCAGGAAGTCGAGGCTTCCGTGAGCCAGGATCGCACCACTGCACTCCAGCCTGGGCGACAAGAGTGAGACCCCGTCTCAAACAAACAAAAAAAAAAAGTGAAAATTCCCTTTCAGAATTTCACATCCAAAAATGTGAAATAAAAGAGTTGGGGTCTAAGTGGCAAAGTGCTGCCGTGTTTCAAGTTAAGGGCTTCCATGGATTGTGTGATAAATACAGGTGTGAATGTGGGTGATTTGTTTTATTCTTCAGTGCCCATTAAGTAGAAGCTTGTATTTTCCTCCTTCCCCCTTCAAGAGCCCCCCTCCCCACCATGCAGGCACATGGAGGCCCCAAGTTGGAAGCACATTCACAGCCTGAAGCTGAAGGACAGGCTCTGAAAAATCTTTCTTTCAGCAAAACGTCTACTAATCTCAGAAAGTGAGCTTTGTCACCATTGATACTCTGTAAGGTGGGATGAAAGCAAGTTTTCTTACTCATTTTGCCCAGTTGTCAAGAAATGCTGCCCTTCTCTCTAACATAAATTAACAGGTTTGGCTACAGCCTAGAGAAATACAAAATGTCACATTTTAGCCTTAGTGGCCGGTTTTCAAAGGGTGCCTGAGTGTGAACACCATGTCGGCTGCTCTGTTAATGTGACTGGGTCTCATAAATAGGTATTTTTCTACCCCTGTGATGGACAAATCTGAAAAAGTTTTTTCATCTTACAAGCCCAGAGGATGGTATTTAGAGGCTGATTTTTGGTATCTCAGTTCCTGGTAGGGAAGACGAATTCCGTATTTGAAATTTGGGGACAAACAAAAATAATTCTTTCTCTTTCCTTGAAGGGTTAATGCTCCAACCAGCCTCAGATTGGTTCGCTTGAATCTTAAAATTACTTTTCTGGTCACGCGCACCGAAGGTCTAAGCATTTGTGAAATGTCTTTTTTTTTTTTCTTTCCTCTTGATGCTGTTCTCTTTGGGCTGTCTTAATTACACAGGGGTTGAGAAACCAAATTAAAATTAGGCGTGTCTGGTCAACAGTGATCACGTTGCATGCTTTTAGCTTTGCTTGTTGAAGTTGCTTCTCCTCCCCGAGTGGCTTTCCTCCCCACAATTTTTTTTTTTTGAAGGAAATATCATAAGCTCTTTCAGAAATACTCACAGGAAGTGAGAGTCCGTATGCTGGTTACTCACCAGCAACTGAGTGTTGGCAGGTGGAGAATGCTACCGCAGCCCGCCCAGACGGATCTGCAGACTGGCCCCATCGCAGAGGATTAGACAGAGGGTGCATGGATCATAGGGTTTTTGAACAGAAGGGAGTTTTAAGAGGAAATTGGTCACTGCGTGTCATCTCGAGGGGTGGTGATTCAGGGAGCAGGGCTGGGGGTCAGAAGGCACGTGGCTGCCATCTCAGAGGTTGCTGCTCACTTCTCAGAGGGCAGGCTGGCTTCTAAAAATCAACGCTCCCTCCACCCCCAAACAGCGATTCTTCTGCAGTGAATCACTTCCAGAAATGAATAGCCACAGTTTTTTGGAATGAACGTTGTGAAATCCCTCCTTTATAATGGCAGGTTTTCAGTTGGTGGTTTTATCAGAATTTCTCAAGATCAAAACGAAACCTTCTCTTTAAAAAGGAAAGAAAGTACTATCGATACAGAAAGCAAAAGTATTTCCAGTCTCCTACTGAACTGTCACGGCAGACCTCTCTGTATCTATATTTAGAGCTGTATGTCCATATATTTGCCTGAATGTGTGAGTTCTTGGAAGTATGGATTCATTGCCAGGAGCTGGTGATTTCCTAAGCAGAGGTCGCTAACTACAAGAAATGTTACACTCGGTGAGTAGGTGGTACTTTCTGAAGATTATTGGTAACCCAGTGTTGGTCGTCTTGAGTCATGGATTTAAATGACGGCTAGCAAGCTCTTAAACACCTTCTGCTTTATATGATACAGAGTATGGAACTGCAGGACGCACAGACAACTGTGAAGGGTTTTTAAGAATATGGATTCATTGAATAATCAGTGAATCTTGTGAATATACTAGACCTTTGGAGGAGGAAAGGGTGTTTTACAGAAGGAAGTGGTTTGTGGGGGCTTTTAAAGGTACAGTTATCGCTTTTCTATATTTATTTTCAGCATCATTCAGTCCTCCTATATGAAAGAAAGAAATGGTCTCGATAGAGAAAAAGTTATGCTGACTCTTTAAATGAAGAAACTTGATCCTCATGTTACTCTTAACTGGACTTTTTTCCTCCTAAATATTCATAAGGGAAACTATCCCATGAAGGCAACTAACTTTCTGGCAATCTCTATGATGTGTCTAATTCAGAACCCGGTGGGCTCTCCATGCATTATTGGCAGCACTTTTATCCAGGGGCACAGACAGGGAATAGGGTTACTGGAAACAGGGAGTGTAGCTCAAGGAATTGTTCTCTCTCTGGAGTGGATAAGTTGTTTGACCTACTGACTCATTTCATAGGAATTAGGAAAACAACCTAGTGTGGTTTTTATTGTTAGTCCTGGAGGATTCCAAAATCTGTGTGCCTGCAAATAAGATGAGCTGGGGAAAGGGAGCACCAGCATTTGGTGTTTCTACTTGCCTCTTTTCCTGATGGAATCCAATCCTCTGCTTCCAGGACAAGTCCTGCGCTTGGGGATCCTCTGTACGCCCGTTCACTGGTGAGTATGTATGACAGCAATTTCTGATTTCACTAGTTCTTGCTTCTAACACCTAAATGGTGCTTTGTCTAGGGAAACGCTTTAAAGAGCATTTTCCCCCAGTACGTTTATAATACATTTCATATTTACCTCCAGAAAATACTGTGGATGTGATAATAATTATAAAAGACAACCCACAGACAACAATGAAAGTTAAGAATTAAGATATATTCTGATAGATTTTTGCAGCATATTGACATAAAGGCAGTTTTGGTTTTGACATATGTACACTAAAATGATATCTGTAATGCTATTAAAACTCAAGTGTACAAGGCACCAGTATATTCTGGCAAAAATAATATAATGATCAACAGTTAATGAAAGACTTGTGCTTTGAGCTTCTAACAAAATGTTAATATGTAGAGAATCTTGTGATTCATGATGCTTTGGTTCTCAACCAGGGTTATCAAATAAGCTAAAAGTATCAGAAGAGGACAAAGAAAGTACGTAAAACATGGATAAAAGCAGAAACCGAGAAAAGATAGCTTTGATATTTAAAGTGTTAGATTATGGCCTCTATATAATGTCATATATGCCAGATCCCCCCCCAAAATCACACCCTCAAATTATGATCTTCATTATTCAAAAGATGTTTGGCGTGTTGGTGGTACAGTGGTGAGCGTAGTTGCCTTCCAGAAGATGGTTGGTGTATAATTACTATAGAATTTCTTGCTCTCTTGGGAGGTGGCTTAGTAGAAGGTTGAGTCAGGCAAGCTGGGGCTGTTTATTCAGTGTGCTGTGCTGTGCTGTGCTGTGCTGTGCTGTGCTGTGCTGTGCTGTGCTGTGTCTGAATGCCTGGGAGTTTGCGTTGTTAACCTTTCCAGGGTGCTAGATCCCTTTGAGATTATGATGGAAGCCATGAATCCTTTTCCCACACCTGTATGCAAACATGTGCCTGCCCATTTACAGACCCAAAGAAGGACATCCATGTACCCCACGTTAAGAAGGCTGCCCTGGACTAAGCCCTCACTGTGACTCTGCTGTTCTTAAGCTTCCCAGGAAACACTGTTATGTAAAAAGACGAGCCATCCAGGTCAAAAAGAAGTCATTGTGGTTGCTAGGTGGGGGTGCAAAGCCAAAGACAAAGGGTGGGGAAAATACATGACTAATAATAAATAAAGAGCATGGTTAATACCAGAGTCTCCAAACTGATAGCCCAGAATCCCTCAACATGTAGCCACGAGTATTTGTAAAGTACGTTGTGAATTCAGGTAGAGGGCCGAAGACTCAATATTAAGCAGTTGGGCAGAGTTTTCATACATATATTTGTCTCTGCCTTTTGCACAATATAAAACTATGAAATCTCTTTTCATTTTTCTATTGTGCACGCTACCACATTAGGTAGGAATCAAAATCATCTCAACTCCAGAAGTATAATTCATAACAATTATAACAAAGCAGAAAAATGATTCTACATTAGCAGAAGAAATGTAGTAGGAATAGATTTAAAATAGCATGGTTGAGTACAAAAGAAACATCGTTTTTTAAAAAATGGCAGCCTTTATCACTCATCAGCTAAACTTAAAGTCAATGCTGTGAGGCTGTTGCGGGAAAAAAATAGTCATGATTCTTGGGTGTATTAAAAGGAGTATGACATAGAAGGGTAAGAAAACAAGACGTAGTGTGTTTGTCAGACTCATCATTGTGTCCTGTTTGAGTCACACTTAAAAAAAGAATTTGGACAATTGTGAAAAGCTGATACACAAGCAACAGAAATTACACGCCCTTCCAGGAAAAGATAAGGCAACTGAGGATTTTATTCCACACAAGGCTGGAGGATTTTTTGCTAATGGCCTTTAAGTAGTAACAGTCTGGTTTATCCTTATATTCCTAGGGCCTTCCGCTCTGCCTGGTGCACAGTACTTGAGATGATCGTTGTGTTTAGTGATAATGAGTAAGGTTCCTGTGAGAGACTTAGCAGGAGTAAGTAGGTTCAAATAAAACCAGCGATAGTGTCATGACAGACGGTATATAATACATGAATTTGCTGGGTGATTAATACATAAGGATGACTGTCTCACTTGTGAGGATGATATAATACTTCAGCAGCTAACTGGGGGAAGCTACAAAATCTTGGTTTGATACCTCTTTCAGGATGAAAGCAGATAAGTCTGCTGGGGTGGTGGAAACATTCATTCATTCATTCTACAAACCCTGAGGGCCTACTTGGCTAGGTGCTCACGGTCTGGTAGAGGAGACAAAGATACAAAAACAGAGTCACAGTGTGTAATGAGTGCCATGGGAGCATAAAAACAGCATGCGCAGGGCTTGTGACACTCAACCGCCACCCCGCGCAGCTTCCAATGGAGGCAAAGTCACAATTGACCCCAATAGACAGGCTTGACAGAGTTAGTTGGATGGGAGGCAGGTGGGGCAGCCTGTCCAGAGGCGCAGACCTGTGTGTGTGGGGAAGGGGTGATGGGAGATGCAGACTCGGCAGTGCTTGTTAACAGAGGTGTGAATGCCGCGCCTTGCTTGCCTGAAGATTTCCACCCAGGATCCTGACAAAAGTCAGATGTGCACTTCAGAAAGGCCAGGCGGGCTGCAGTGAAGAGAATGACTCGAGGGGGTGCGGGTGTGGGACAGGCCATCGAGGCAAGGAGGCCAAATGGAAAGCTTTGGTCAGGACACAGGTGGTGATGGATTCGGGGGAGAAATGGGGGAGGGTGACGCAGGCAGAGTGGCCAGGGTTATCAAGTGGCATCATTCACCACAAAATGCAGTCCAAGAGGAAGCCCAGCTGTGAGGGGGGGACAGGTGGGGCCCAGGTGTGAGGGGGGATAGGTGGCATTCAGACATGTCAGTACACAGAGTCAATGGCAGAGACAGAGCCAGTGGGCAGTTGCACCATGTGGATAAGGACTTGAGTGAGACCTGTCTCCAAAGCAGGGGATCACTCTTCTAATTTTTTATATGGTGTTTTTCATTCTATTCTGACTCATTTGTAATAAAACCTCCTTTGTTTTTTATCATATATATTTCAGGTGTCAACATGCTGGTTTGATATAACATGTACAAAGCAAAATAATAACTTACACTCCAGCTGTGAGTGTACCATCTCACAGTTACCTTTTTGTGCATGTGTGTTAAGCCCACCTAAAATGCACTTAGAAATATTCAGTATCTTCACTGTGGTCATGCTGTACTGCAGATCTCTAGATGTATTCGTCTGACATCATTCCAGCTTTATACCCTTTGACCCACATCTCCCCATCCCCCCAACCACCTCTCTCTGTTTCTATGGACTGTATTTGACTATTTTAGATTCCACATATTACCTCTAATCCTCAAAGCTCTATTAGGGTTTTGTGTATTTCCTTCCAGCATTTTCCTACATACACACAATTTGCAGAATCAGCATAATTCTGTATAGGTACTTTATTTATTTATTTATTTTGAGATGGAGTTTCGCTCTTGTTGCCCAAGCTGGAGTGCAGTGGCACAATCTCGGCTCAATGCAACCTCTGCCTCCTGGGTTCAAGCAATTCTCCTGCCTCAGCCTCCCAATTAGCTTGGATTACAGGCACGCGCCACCACGCCCAGGTAGTTGTGTATTTTTAGTACAGACGGGGTTTCACCCTATTGGTCAGGCTGGTCTCGAACTCCTGACCTCAGGTGATCCACCCACCTCGGCCTCCCAAGGTGCTGGGATTACAGGTGTGAGCCACCACGCCCAGCCTGTATAGACACTTTCCTCTTTTTTTTTTTTTTTTTTTGAGACGGAGCCTTGCTCTGTCACCCAGGCTGGAGTGCAGTGGCGCAGTCTCGGCTCACTGCAAACTCCACCTCCCGGGTTCATGCCATTCTCCTGCCTCAGCCTCCCAAGTAGCTAAGACTACAGGTGCCCGCCACCACGCCCGGCTAATTTTTTGTATTTTTAGTAGAGACGGGGTTTTACCATGTTAGCCAGGATGGTCTCGATCTCCTGACCTCGTGATCTGCCCGTCTCGGCCTCCCAAAGTGCTGGGATTACAGGCTTGAGCCACCATGCCCGGCCTGTATAGACACTTTCTATCCCACTTTTAAAACAGGCATGTTCTCCCTATGCTTTAAAATGCCTTTAAAATATTTCTAATGGTGCTAATTCTCTAATTTGGGAGTGTCTAATTTGCTTCCAGTTTTTAAAAACTATTTTTTATTATAGTAATTAACCTTTTAAATACATGAATCTTGGGCATATTTTTAATGATTTCCTTAGGAGAGATTCCTTACAGTGAATTTCTTGAGTAAAAGGAGGTTAACTGTAAGATTCTTGATATACCTTGCTAAATTGTTTTCTAGAAAGCTTGAACCAAGTTCTGCACATTTTAGCAAAGTATGAAATGTCCTTCTCTCCATATCTTCATCAGCATTGAGTGTTCTCTCTTTTTTATCTTTAGACAAAAAGGTTACATTCTTTTTGGTTCATCTACTCAGAAGCTATTTAATGAATGTTCACTCCATGTCAGGCATGTGGCATGTTTTCATCTCTACCAGTAACGCTGAACTTTCTTCTTGTGTGCATCAGCCTGTTGTTTTCTTTTGTAAATGTTCTGTTCGTGTCCATTATCAACTTTTCTACTAGGGTGTGACTGTTTCTATGATATATTTATAACGATGTGTGTGTGTGTGTGTGTGTGTATACGATATTTGGGGTAAATACTTTTCCCAGCTTCTTTGACTTTTAATTTTGCTTATACTTTATTGGAAATACAGAACCTTTATTTTATTATTATTATTATACTTTAAGTTCTGGGATACATGGGCAGAACGTGCAGGTTTGTTACATAGGTATAAACGTGCCATGGTGGTTTGCTGCACCCATCAAACCACCATCTACATTAGGTATTTCTCCTAATGCTATCCCTCCCATAGTCCGCCACCCACCAACAGGCCCTGGTGTGTGATGTTCTGCTCCCTGTGTCCATGTGTTCTCATGAGAACCTTTATATTTTATGTAGTGGAGTAAGTTATTTTATCTTTTTTTTTTTCCTGTGTAACTTCTGTTACCTCAGGCTTAGGAATTCCTTCCTACCCAGAAGTTAGAAAATATTCATCTATTTTTTTTTAAAGTTTCATTTTTAACATTAAACTCACCAAATTAGAAGTAAGATGTGGCCAGGCACAGTGGCTCACACCTGTAATCTCAGTGCTTTGCGGGGGCTAAGGTGGAAAAATCACTTGAGGCTAGGAGTTCAAGACAAGCCTGGGTAACACAGTGAGACCCCACCTCTACCAAAAAATTTAAAAATTAGGCAGGCATGGTAGCATGTGTCTGTAGTCCTAGCTGCTTGGGAGGCTGAGGTGGGAGGATCACTTCAGCCCAGAAGCTTGAGGCTGTAGTTAGCTATTATCATGCTATTGCATTCCAGCCTAGGCAACAGAGCAAGAACCCTGTGTCTTTAAAAAAAAAAAAAAAAAAAGTGTGAAACAAAGATCCAAATGGACTTTGTTTCACAAAGTAAATCCCCCATCATGTTTTGAGTCATGTATCTTTCCCTATTTAATTTGTGGTGCTTCCTTTATTTTATATTTCAAGACTTTTTGCTATTATATCCAGCGGTAGGAGCCCATGAACTTGTTGGATATTGGTATGCACAGAAGATGCGGTAATACTTTTTTCCAATATTTTATTATGAAAAATACACTGGCTAGATTCTATAATTAATATTCTGTCACTTTACCATCTATTCACGTAATAATTCTTAAACTTCTCAAATCATTATTTGAATTTCAAAGTGGACTATCAAAGACATTTTCTCTAACCCTATTTTTCTCTAATTTGCAGTTTTGATTTCCAGGAAGCCTTTAGCAATTTATATTGTTAGTACAGTAAGAGAGTAAACAACACACTAAAATACCAAGAGAAACTACTTTCCAAAACATGTTTTAGTCGTTTAACTTTATGAATATGGCTAGCAAGGGGGCTTCCTGGGGGACAGTGCTGGGGAAAGAGCAGGCCCTAGGAATGGGCTTTGAAAGAAGACTTTTGCCACCGTCAGGTCACATTTGCAAGAGGCCATCGTCGTGGTCTGCCAGGGAACCCTTAGCAGAAAGGCTGCTTTGCCCAGGATCTGGCTTGCCGCCCCAGACCAGCCCTACCGCTGTCTGGCATTGAATGTCCCTGGTCCGCAGTGAGTGGCCAGTTGCATAGACCTTAGATCAAGGAGCTTAGTCACCTCTTTCCAGCCTAAATCATGAGCACCCTAAATTCCCATGGGTTGTTGAGACCTAATAGCATCCTGGCTTAGAGATGGGATTGCAGCTGGGTCTGCACAGGAAACTGGCCTACTGTGTCTGCCTCTTGGTGCAGCATACAACCAGCCACATGGAAAAACCCAGCCTGCAATAAAAGACTTGCTTTGGTCACCACCTGACATTAGCTGTGGTTTAATCTGTGTAATGTTTTTCTTCCCCCCCATCTAAGCCTCAATTTCCTATCCATAAAATATGTTGGTTTTGGCCAGGCGTGGTGGCTCACGCCTGTAATCCCAACACTTTGGGAGGCCAAGATGGCCTGATCGCCTGAGGTCAGAAGTTCAAGACCAGCCTGGGCAACATGGCAAGACCCCCCCCCTCTACTAAAAATACAAAAAACTAGCTGGGCGTCATGGCACATGCCTGTAATCCCCGCTACTTGGGAGGCTGGGGCAGGAGGCAGGACAATCGCTTGAACCCGACAGGCAGAGGTTGCAGTGAGCCGAGATCGTGCCACTGCAACTCTAGACTGGGCCATGAGCGAGACTCTTTCTCAAAAAAAAAAAAAAGTTGGTTTTATTAGATTACAGAGAATACTTTCTCTATCCAAAATCTGTGATTTTAATCTAGAACACTGAATGTAGGTCAGTATCCACCCCATTTTCAGAAATCTGGGAAGATCTTTTTTTGTTTTTCAGCTTCTCAGAATAAATACTTTCTAGGATGTTACAAACATGGATGAAGTTCACCAGAACAGATCCAGGGTTAACCTTTTAAAGTCATTAGATATGGCTCCAGTAAAAGGCATGAGAAGGCACCCGTGAGACCCTGCAGAGGAAGCCTCACTCCTGGGCAGCCTTACGGCTGACGAGCTACCTTACTGAGCATATTCCTGCCTCTACACCAGAGACTCACTCTGTGGTCCGGTGTCACCTCGATTCTAAATTCCCTGCTTCCTGGTGAATGATGCTATCACACTTTAGAAACCTGGCCAATAAATGCTTTGAAATTTAAGGATAGCTATCCTGAAAAAATTTAATATAACCTAAATTGATAGTCTAATGACATCAGTATTCAGAAGAGGCATTCTATTTCAGCAAGTGGTTTTCAGAAAAAAAAAAAAAATAAATAACCTGAGTTTTTCCCCTGCCACTCTCCCCTCTTGCTTTTATGCTGCAAAAAGAGCTTGTGGCTTGCCTGACACACCGTGTTGTTCTCTGCCTTCGAAGATCTAGCTCCCTCAGCCTCCCCACGTTGTCCACCTCTCCAATACCATTGCTCCACTGGGAAGCTGGCCCGGAGGTGCTCTACCACGTTCATCTCTCGCAGCCCAGGGCTGTCTTTAACGTTACAGAGACACAGATATCAAAGTGTTGCAATTTATTTGGCTTTCATTAATTTGCCGGAAGCAAGGGAGGGTAGATACAAAGTACTCCTCTAACCTGTTATTTTCCTTGCTGTTAAAATGTAAAGAAGACTGATGTAAGAATCTCTGCCTTCCACCAGTCATAACCATGGTATGCACAGAGCTTATGAATCATCTTCTAAATTCACAGCTAGTTTTAAAATTTAGCTTCCAGGCTAGATCTGCAGGAAATGATTGGGAGATCGTAAGTGCTATGGAGTGAATATGAAGTTACTTACCAGATCCCATAAAGTTAGCTCAGGGAATCCTGAGGAAGGTGTCACTCAGAAAGCTGCTTTCAAAGCTGAGTCAGACCTGCATGGTGTTTATTACCTCCATTGTGTTACCATGCCAAACATATAAATAGCTTCAAAGTGAGTTCAGATTAAAACACAGAAAAATCTTTGGATATATTCACAGGCCAGTGGGGGTCATGTAACAAGTCAGCAAGGAAAATAAAAGATATTTGAGGTACAGCCTCAACTTTTTAAGATGGATCTTGAATAAAAAGGTCTAATGAAATATTTTATGGTATTGCTCTCTGGGATTTAAAAAAACAAAGCAAAACAAAAAAACGAGGGCACTGGAACAATGTTTTAGATAGATCACGGGTGTTTTCCAGTATGCATTTTTAGTGCACTTACTTAACTGAGAGCCCTCTCATATGAAACTGGAATGTCACCACCATGTGATAAAGCGTAGACTAGCTGTGACCTAATACGTACTGATCATGACTAACGCAGAAGTCCAGGTC
Source organism: Homo sapiens (assembly GCF_000001405.40). Classification (NCBI taxonomy): domain Eukaryota; kingdom Metazoa; phylum Chordata; class Mammalia; order Primates; family Hominidae; genus Homo; species Homo sapiens. The sequence continues at coordinate 130,903,734 of NC_000007.14, read as the reverse complement.
ACTGCGGTTGTATTTCCTGTGGCCTCAATGTTCTGGGGTTAGGGTTAACAGGGATAATTCATTTCTGTGTTCAAGTCTCTAATTCTTCCATCATGTAAACTGTAAGTGGGAGCAGACTGGATTCAGCATTGCTACAAGAGAAAAACAACAAATAGGAACACCACCAACACCATGTGTTGGGAGCCCCATGTGCCAGGCACTGTGCCAAATACTCGATATTGATTATCTCTTTTAATACACAATCCTGTGTGGCAGATCCTACTATGAGACCCATTTTACAGATAGACAACTGAGGCTGGGGGAAGTTGGAAATGGAGGAGCCAGGATTCAAGTCACAGCAGTCTGGCTCCTGCGCCCAAGCTTTTAATTTGTATCCTATTCACTTTTCATAAATAAATGACTCGTGTTGGAGGTGTTTGTATCCTTGGGGCCACTCAGTTTTATTCAGCCAGCTTTCCTTGGTTGTGGTTTTAATGTGTTAGGGAAGAATGAATGTATTCCCCACAGCTGGGCATCTTTGTGCTGGATCACCTGGCCACAGCTCATGAATAGTGCAGATTATCACACCCCACCCCCATGACTCCAGCAAATGTGCTGTGGGTATAGGAGAGTATGTTCAAAAAAGGCAATTAACAAAGCAACTGTCCCAACTACCAAGAAAAACAAATGTGGCATAACCCATGATAGAACCCTCTTTTTTCCTTATTAGACATGAATAGAAGCTCATTAATGCCGTCCAGTAAGTTCAAGCCGCATAACTTACATACACTGTCAGGACCCAGAAAGAAACCTGTTGTCTTGTGATGTTATTGTTGCTTGGTTGACCTCATCATGTCTTGACAGGGCTCAAGACACCCTTCATGATCTGGTCTTACCTCTCAGGACTCCCCCCATCCTTACCATTGTTTGTTGATCTCTGGTGCAGCCAAATGAAGCCCATCATGCTTGTCCTCTGCCTGGAAGCTCTTCCTTCCCTCTTCCTGGCCAATGGCTACTGTCCCTTCAGAGCACCTGTTCAGATGAAACCTCCACCAGGCAGCCTCTGCTGACTCCTAAGGGCTGGGCTAGGTGCCCCTTGGGTGCTTCCACAGCCCTTTCTGCTTACCCAGTTGTACATGTGTCATACTGTGTTCTGTAATTCCTCTTTTTGTCCATCTTCCCTGGCTTGCATTGACCCCTTAAAAGCCATGATTAGGGCCGGGCGCCGTGGCTCACGCCTGTAATCTCAGCACTTTGGGAGGCCGAGGCAAGTGGATCACAAGGTCAGATCGAGACCATCCTGGCTAACGTGGTGAAACCCCATCTACTAAAAATACTAAAATTAGCTGGGTGTGGTGGCACACGCCTGTAGTCCCAGCTCCTCGGGAGGCTGGGGCAGGAGAATTGCTTGAACCCGGGAGGCGGAGGTTGCAGTGAGCAGAGATTGCGCCACTGCACTCCAACCTGGGCAACAGAGCGAGACTCCGTCTCAAAATAAAACAAAACAAAATCATGATGCCATGATCAGTGTTTACTTTTGGATAAACACCCGGACACATGATAGAGAATAAATGTTTGAGAGAGAGAAATGACCTACTGGGTAACACCAAAAACTAATGTATACCATGTCTAGTGTTTACAGTTTACAAGATGCTTTCACACACATAACTTCATTTGATCCTCCCGGCAACTCTGCAAAATAGATTTCTGCAGCCCTGTTGTACTGACCAGGAAACATCAGCCTGCCCTGATGGCAGGGATGTGGTTAGCAGGTGGAAAGCCAGGACTCAGGCTCAGGTCTTCGAACCCAGATTTTATGCCCTATGTACCGCCATGTGGATATTCTCAAGGCAACTCTCTGAAATATTTCCAGAATCTTTCACAAAAGTCCTGTGTCGTCCTTGTCCTGGCCAACTAGACTCAGAGGGAGGACTGATGGATTTTCATCTCCCTCTTCCCCTTCGTCTTTTCTTCTCAGCATCTTCCTACCCTCCCCACCACCGCGCTTCTCCACCAAAAGTCTGATGCTGGCATGTAATGGACCCTTTCCAAGTTTCAAGGTGTTGACAGTAAATCTTTTGTATTTAGACCGGGCCGGCTGCTTTCCTTTTCTTGTGGGTAGAACTCTGGAAAAGTGGAGGGGGGTGGGTGGGGCTTCAGGTAAAGTACGTCAGCAAATTGGATAAGTCGGATCTTCGTTGTGTGAGTGGGTAAGAGATGAACTGGGGGGAGGGGTGTGTGTTTGGGCAGTGAGCAAGCCGGCAAGAGAATGTGAGTGGGCGGCCAGTTGGTTGGCAAGTGAGAGGCTGTGGAGAGGTTGCTGCTGGGACGGGCTGTGCAATTAAACAGTTGAGCAGATCTTAATAGCAGACTGGGGCGGTGCTCTCCGCAGGCCTGCGGGGAGCAGGGAGCAGGGGAAGCAAGCGAGCTGGAAGCATCTTCGGGCACAGAGCTAGATACGAATTTCAGAAGCACATAACCTGAGGAATAGAATGCAACCAGAGGAGGGAGAAATAGAGATTCCAGGCAGCGTTTCCTAAACTTAAAAAGTTTTGAATACCCAGTTTTGCCTTGTTCTGGGGACCTCTGGCAATGTTGTTCAAGGGAGGAATTTTTAATTTCATAGAAAAGTGAATTTTACCACCACAAGAGAACATGAGACCAAGGTCATAAATCCCTTTGTTTGGAGTGTCCGTTCTGAACTCCTTGTATACTTTTATTTGCAGGAAGAGGCTATACCAGCAAGTATTATGGTTTTACTGGGTGGGGCGGCAAGGCCAGGAAGAGATGGAGATGCTGTTAAAGGTCCTTGCTCCAGAACATTCAGAGATCAGAGGAACTCAAGAGGTCAAAGTAGGCTGATGTCATTGTTCATCCATTTATTCAGCAAAACTTTCTTGAACACCTACTGTGTGCCAGGCACTGGTTGGCAGTGAGGTGAAGACGATAGTGATGAAAACAAAGGCATGGTCTCTGTCATCATGGAACCTAAGTAAACACATACCAAAAAAAATGGCCCAAGAAAAATCATGCCCTGAGGGGAAGGCACTCAGATGAAAAGGACCTTCTTCCCAGTGGTCCCCTGAGGAGGTGATTTCCAAGGTCTCAGCTAAGGGATGAGCAGGAATGTGTGGGTGCAGGGGGTAGGGGTGAGAGCTCTCGGCATAGAGAGAGCAGCACATTTCAAAGGCCCTGGAGTGGGGAAGGAGGTGGCAGGTGCAGCTGTGTGGTGGCTACTTCCACTTCTGGAGTGCAGTAGCATGATCTCGACTCACTGCAACCTCTGCCTCCCGGGTTCAAGCAATTCTCCTGCCACAGTTTCCCAAGTAGCTGAGATTATAGGTGCAAGCCACCACGCCTCGCTGATTATTACATTTTTAGTAGAGACGGGGTTTTACCATGTTGGCCAGGCTGGTCTCGAACTCTGTCTCCTGGAACCTCTTGATGAGCCCCTGTGAGGTTCCCCAGCCCAGGGCATCCCCCCAGGTATTCAGGAGAGACCCGTCCCCAAGAGACTGCCTGCTACTTCCTCTTCCTATGAATGTCACTGTGAGGGGAATAAATAAGGATAGACCAGAAAAGCAAATTGTAAGAAATTTGAAACCAGTTGTCAGTTTTCAGGTGCCCAGGAGCATGACAATATGCCCGAGGGACCGTAACAGGACTTGACATGGAGCTGGGTCTAAAGCAGATGACCTGGTGGCTGCAGCGTGTTCCACACAGGCGAGCACTGTGAGGCCAAAGGACTGGTGTTGAGCAGAATGAAAAAGCACAGTGTTGGTTAATCCTGAAAAGTGAAGCCTGCAAGAAATGAACTTCGACCTTGGAGTGGGGGTGGGACAGGGGCTAGAAGGAAGAGAGGCTCGGAAGTGTGTTGTGTAAACGTGGTTCTGTTTTGTCTAATCTTTTACTACCTGTAGGGACAGGTGGATGCAGTGGAGCTGCTGGCAGGAAAGGTGGAGTTTTTTCAAGGTCACGAGTTAAGCAATAGAGTAGAATATCTTTGCAGCTGCAAGAGGAGGTGCGAGCAGCTTGTTCACAAGGTATATTTTGCAGGAGTTTCCCCTTACAAGATCTTATTTGCTTGAGAGTAGCGTTAAGGATTTCTGTGCCAACAGTTAGCTGGATCTCTGGGGTTGAATCGTTATCACCAATCTATAGTTAAAATAAGCATTAAAAAAAAAAAGGAGTCTACTTTCAAAGTTTTCCCGAAGTGCCAGTCTGAAGCAGCTACCTTTAAAAGCTGTTCTTGAATAATAGGTTGCTATATCCTAGTCTGTAATCTTGGACTAATGTCTGAGGAAGGAAAAAAAAAAAAAGAATATTCTCTCTTTGTCCGATTAAGAAGTGGAGGTAGACAGCGATTCGACATGTTGTATGGGCGAGGCTGTGCTGAGCTTGCGTCTGGGACAATGACCAGACAGATGAAAGGAGAAGTGAGAGATATTTTTAGCACATCAGGACTGCTTTGAAACATTGATTTTTTTTCCATCTCCTCCCACCCCCCATAATTCCAGCAGGAAGATTCAGTGGCAGGCACTTTAATTCAGTGTAAAAACATCTTCTATATTACACACTAAAATATTCATGAGGAAAGGGAGTTGCTGATTTTAAGGCGTAGCTTTAAAACCCACGTCTGTCGGCTTGATGGTCAGTGTCCCGCCACACAGTCTGGAAGTGTGACGTGGCCAAGGAGGACCCCCAGAAGGATCCTGTGTCTTCCGTGGGGACTACTCCTTTCCTCAGAGGAGCGGGTTCACAGGAAACTGGAGCAGAAGGATGCCTTTAGCCCCACTCCTGTTGGTCCTCAGTCCCTTCTCCTTTGATCAGGTGGTTCAAGCACGCCTTGAAGTTCCGGTGTTCAAACAACGTGACCTCTGCAATTACGTTCTAATACTTGTCGGTGCCCAACTTAAACCACTAGCAATGTTAGTTAAAAACATCAGGGAGGCCGGGCGCGTGGCTCATGCCTGTAGTCCCAGCACTTTGGGAGGCCTAGGCGGGCAGATCACTTGAGGTCAAGAGTTCGAGACCAGCCTGGCCAACATGGTGAAACTCTGTCTCTACTGAAAATACAAAAAAAGTTAGCCAGGTGTGGTGGCGGGTGCCTGTAATCCCAGCTACTTGGGAGGCTGAGGCTGAGGCAGGAGAATCACTTGAACCCGGGAGGCAGAGGTTGCAGTGAGCTGAGATCGCGCCACTGCAGTCTAGCCTGGGTGACAGAGACAAAACACAAAACAAAACAAAACACCTCAGGAGGCTGTAAATCAAGCACAACTGAAGCAAAGATAAAAACGGGCAGTCTCAGAATCACCTTTGAAGGTGGAAGGAAGGGCGTTTGTGTGTGACAAGAAGAGTGTACGTTCATACAAGGGTTTTTACTCCTCCTCTGAAAAGTCCTGCTTGGTGGCTGGCCAGTTTGTCATGCTTGGCTGCCCAAGCAAGTGGTGGCAGTCGGAGCACAGGAGAAAGCCGCAGGGGGTGAGGAAGAAGTGCTGGAGAGGGCGCTCCACCTTTCGGCTGCCCTGACCTGTCTCCAGCCCCAGGGCATGTGGTTCTGGGCCGGGCACTGGCCCCCTCTCTGTGGACTGTACCAGGCAGCGGGTAGTGCACAAGCTCTGAGGTCAGGCCACCTGGGCCTAAACTCCAGCTCTGCTCCTTGCTAGCAGTGTGACTCTGGGCACGTTCAAGTTACTTCATGCTTTGTGCCTCAGTTTCCTCATCTGTGAAATGGGGATGGTAACAGGACCCTCATCCCAGGACTGCTGTGTGGATTGAAGTGCCTGCAACGGGATTTGTCTTTTCTGGGATCGCGGTGGATGCTCTATTCCAGGTGAGGGAGTCTCTTGCTTTCTCCTACCTCTTGCAGCCGCTTTGCCTCTGAGTGGCAAATAGCAAGTGGCTGAAAATCACAATGAGCCCGTCAGAGAATGGGGATGGGCCACAAGGCCACAGTCGGATGGGTTCTCCATGCCCTCGACTATGCAGCGGGGTCAGGGCATCCCTTCCTCCTGGGGTGCCCACACCATTCCCTTGGAAGTTTAGACAGCAGCCCTTGCCTCGCCAGACGCAGCAACCCCTCCCAGCTACACGTGGAATCTGTGGCCCAGCCTCCCTCAGATGACCCGCATTGCCTGACAGAGACCAGGGGCCCTGAGGGGTGGCTGTCGCTGGCCTGGGACAGGGTCCCTGCAGGTTTTCAGGGTCCTCAGCAGCATTCGCCAGCGTCGGGTCAGACTGAGTCATGGGGCCCGAGCTCTCCACGAGTTGGTTCTCCAGTTGGTTCTCGTTGGGGGTAATGCCCTTCATCGAACCGCTTCATCCCCAGCCTGTATTGTCTCCGTCTCTTCGCAGTTGTCAGAGGGCTCGGCCGCCACCCTGAAACAGCCCAGAGCTCTCTGAAGAGCACGAGCTTTTACGCTTCTCTCCCCAAATCAACTGACTTTTTCATTGCTTCTGTGGAGGCTTTCTGTGGGAGAAAAGCGTGTTTATGGGGCAAGCTCAGAGAGCTCCTGTCCCCGTGGTGGAATTTTTTTAGTGGCTCTGCCCACGTGGTGGTGAGCGCCGGTGAGGATGGGACGCATTTTCTGCTAAAATGGCTGTGCGAGGCTGCCACCTCGTGGCCAGCACAAGGCAGTGAGTGTGTCCCTTGCTGGAGCTTCTGGGTGAAATAAACTCATTTTAAAGGTCTTCAGCAAGGACCTCACTCCCTCACTCTCTCAGTGTGCATATCATTCCAGCTCCAGGGCTTAATGCGTCTGTTGTGGCATCTCTCAAATCTGTACTTTGCTATCTCTTTGACTACAGAGTCACTACCTTCCGATAAGCCCTTCTGCTGTCTCCAGACCGATCCTTCTAAAGCGTAGATGTCATTGTCTTTCTCTCATTAAAGCTCTTTCATGGCTCCTCATTTTCCAGGTTCCAGCTCATGTCTCAGGAGGCCGCTAAGCCCACTCCTCTGCCCCAGCCTGTGTCTGCGCACGTCTCTTCTCCCTTCCTCCTGGTTTCCTCTGGCTGATACCTGCTCACCTGAAAGTCATCTCAGGTGCCACCTCCTCCAGGGATTCCTCGCATTAGATTAGCTTCCTTCTTCCCCATTCCTAGCTGACTTCCTTCATTATGCCTCAGATCCTTTTTTTGGAAGAAAAAGAAAGAAATGGAAGACAGACTGGCCAGCAGGGGGAGAGAGAGGGAGGGAGGGCATATCAGAGAATTCAATATGCTGCGTTTTAACCAGATACTTTTCTTCCTCTCCCACAAGGCATCAGAGTAGAGACTGCCTTTCATCTCTCTCCCCCTTGTGTAATAGCACAGTGTCTGGCAGATAACTGTTGCTTGCTAATTATTAGAAGGAAGAAAGGGAGGGAGAATAAAAGCCAGCATCACCATGTGATCTTCCTAAGTGCGACAGATGTGAGAAAAGAACTACCTTAAGCTCCAGGGGCCCTAGAGGAACGGCGCTGCGTGCTAGTGCAGATGGTAGCAAACGCTCTCACCTGGCTTGGCAACACTTCTTCACCTCTTCTTTCTACCACCACAGCGACTGTCTCCCTCCAGCCCATCCTACTGCCAAATTCATCTTCTATTAAGCATAGCTTCAATCACATCATTTCTTTATCAAAACACTTCTACAGAGGAGTTCCAAATGCTTTAGCCGGGCCGTCCAGGGCCTCCACAGGATGACCCCAGCCCATCTAGTTTTCTACCACTCTTTATGTGTTTCCTAAGTACCATTCATTATTTTAGGACTTGGTATTTGCTGATGAATTTACTTACTTACTTGAGAGTGTGGCAAAAGCACATCCTAAACTTTCAGTTAAAAGGAGTTTGATTGATTGACCTGCTCTGAGTTTAAGGCACGTGCTGGTCACTGTGGGAGCCATTAAAGAAGGTATTGTTCTGTGGCCGCCAGGAACAGATAGCCCAGCTGGGGACAAGACAAAAAAGCAGGGGGCATTAAGGAACAGACAGCAGAAAGGAACATGTCACAAGTGCACAATTAATCGCCAAATATATGGCTCAAGAAGGGGTGGTGATCAAACCAGATAATGTCTGTGAAAGTGCCTCTCTCCTGTCAAACTCCCAATTCCGAGCAGTCCTACAGTCGGCCCCTTCCACAGGGCGTAGCCCTGTCATTCCACCTCAAACGTCGTACACACTCGGCCTGTCCTACAAAGCCCTTCGTGATAAGGCCTGCTTCTCCTTCCCACCTTGTGGGACCCCCGACCCTGGAACCCCGAGCTGCAGAGCTGGAGAGAATGCACTCTGTTGTTTGGTATACGTGTTCCTTGAAACATTCACTCCTCCCCATTTTCCTTCGGTGTTTAACCTGTTCTTCCTTTAAAATTCGGCTTTTCCTTTAAAATCCAGCCTGGAGCTCCCCAATGAAGACTTCTGTGGCGCTGCAGGCAAAACTCACCACCTGCAGAGTCTCTGCTCTCCCTTGTCAAATACGCGTTTGTGACATACATTGGAAGGCATCGGGCACATTTCTGTCATCTGTGTGACTGTGGACCTCTGCCGCAGGGGTCATGTCCTTTCCCTTTACAGTGCTTGATGAGGTACACGTCTTGTCAATGTTTGTCACGGACTGAAACTTAACACATTAGAGAGGACAGCAAAGTCAGTTGACTCTAAATTGTTAAGGCACAAGCTCTGTGAGTTCAGAAGAGACATGTGCCAGAATCGGTCCAGGGAGGTTCTTAGAACCTACCAGTTCTAAGTAGGAGTTCTTAGAACCTACCAGTTCTAAGTAGGAATTCTTAGAACTGGAAGGTCAAAGCTTTGTACATGTGAAATAGATCAAACAATAAAAAGAATTCCATGTAGAATAGCTCAGTGTCTGTGGCTCCTAATGGCTCCCCCATTCTCTGCACCAGCCAGCGGGAGGAGAAAGCCTGCAGAGTGGGGGCAGCGGAGACAGAACATCTTAACCCCAGCAGAGGCTTTATCTAAGGAAGTAGAGCGAATGCCCTGAAGGTGGGTTGGACTTAGGTGGTGGAAAGGTTTCAAATGCACTCTGTTATCTTGCAGGTAGTGGCTGCCATTTATTACTTTAGAAAACCATGGCGACTTCATCAAAGTGGTGTTTTAGAAAGATGATCCAGGGCCGTCTTTTCCCTTTGAGAGTGGGAGGTGCCCTGTGGCCCTACCTTCATTTTCTGTGATGGTATTCCCAGTGGTTTCCTCCCTGTGGCTTTGCGGCTTAGTGGTGAACCAAGAGGCTTAGGATGCAGGTGCAAAGCCCCTCTACTCTTTAATGCCTCACTTCAAGGTGCAGGATCTTTCCCTCTGTAAACAAAGGCTTTCCTTCTGGCACTGCCCTTGACCTGCTCAGAGCTGTTCTCTGATCCTTTGGGTCTCTCTGCCCTCGTGACTGGCAGTGACCTGCTAGGCAGCAACCCCCACGCAGCAGGTGGTCCTCCAGAGCTGAGTCACCACCCCGGGAACCGTGCCCTGGTGAGGCCATCCAAGGTAGACCGGCACAGGGCGGGTGTGAGTGGCCTCTCCACCTGGCCCCTCGGTCTGGGAGGGCTCTTTCAGCTTGACAGAGAGAGCAAAGGAAACTCGGATTTTTGGCAAAGCAGAAAAACATTTTACCTGTGATCACAGTTATGGGCCTTGGTCAGTCATTTGATTTCAGCACACCCAAATTGTCCATTTACAGATACCTTGAGACATGGAAAGGGAGGAAATTTTTTAATGATGTTTTAAGATTCTGTTTGACCTCATGAATTAAGAGCGGTGAGAAGTAATAGAACACGGAGAGATACCTAAGCCATTGATTGATATTGTAGGCAATAAACAAGTGAGATTCAGATTATTTTTAAAAATTTTTTTCATGGGCACTGATGGATGTTTAAAAAATTATGACGTGTTCTGTTCATGACGCGTTCTGTTCATTTCCAGAGAAGAGAAAAATGTGGTTGCTTTTGAAAGGAGGTTTTTTGTTTTGTTTTGTTTTGTTTTTAAACGTCTAGCTTATTCATTACACCAGCGAATAGCAATGACCTCAGTCTAAAAAGCAAGTTAACCATCATCTCTCTCCTTGCCTGGGAAAAGAAGCCTTTATCTAAGTAGCCAAAAGATGGGCAAGGCTGACCACCCAGTCATTTCGGCTGATCAGGATTTTCCAAAAAACAAAAAGCTCTCTGTTTTCACAACTGAGTGACAACTCTTAGGAAATACTACCAGCTTACTCAGTTTGAGTAAGGCCATGGAGAAGTCTGGTGACAGTCAGTTGCCTGGATGCACATGTTACACATGGCTAACGATGCTGTCACCACTGGGAGCTTTCAGAATTGGAGAAAATAACACCGTGTCTCTTGCTTTCTGAACATGGAATTTTTAACTTTTTTTTTTTTTTTTTCTGGAGACAGAGTCTCGCTCTGGCGCCCAGGCTGGAGTGCAGTGGCATGATCTCAGCTCACTACAACCTCCACCTCCCGGGTTCAAACAATTCTCCTGCCTCAGCCTCCCAAGTAGCTGGGATTACAGGTGCCCACCACCACGCCTGGCTAATTTCTGTATTTTTAGTAGAGATGGGGTTTTGCCATGTTGGCCAAGCCGGTGTTGAACCCCTGGCCTCAGGTGATCCACCCACCTCAGCCTCCCAAAGTGCTGGGATTACAGGCATGAGCCACCCCATGCCCAGCTGGAATTTTTTAACTTAAAAAAAAAAAGTTTCAGTGTTTGTCCTTACCCATTATGTGCCCAGTTAGTTCTATACCAGTGAAAGTTCCCCCCAAAAGAAAAAGAAAAAGAAAAAAAAGACTGTCATTTTCTTGAGCAGCTTTCTTGAGCTCTGTGTGTGTATGCCTATGTCTGGGGCATACACAAGGACTCTGGCAGGCCCACTAAACTCTACCACGTAGTTGCCAGATATGCTGTAAACTGTCACCTGGAAGTTGGGATTTACTCTTTTATTTTTCTGTTTATTTTGCATGAGTACTGTATGTATAAAAAAGTAGCCACATATGGATGGTCAAAGGGTTTCCTAGAAATATGGATAGTCAGAGGGCTTCCTAGAAATATGGATGGTCAAAGGTATCCTAGTTTTTCAGGTAAACTCCACTAGAAACCAGAACCATATCCCAATTCCATAGCCTTTATTATTTCAGATCAATAGAAGCAGAATCAAAATGCATTTGGAGCTTAGAGGTCAATTGATTTGGAAACCACTCCGGTGCAAAGAATCTCTAGATTCATTGATTTTGGAGTATTGTTTAGGGGAAAAGGACTTTAAAGGCTGGGCGGGGAAGCTTTATTCCTTTTTTTTTTTTTTTTTTTTTTTTTTTTTTCAGAAGACATTTATGAGTTTATTGATTTGGCACATTTCCAGAGGACAATTCAGTGACATATACCAACATGTACAACAGATTCATCTTTTGACCCAACTTTTTCACTCTTTTTTTTTTTATTTTTTTTTATTTAATGTTTTTTTTTTATTATACTCTAAGTTTTAGGGTACATGTGCACATTGTGCAGGTTAGTTACATATGTATACATGTGCCATGCTGGTGCGCTGCACCCACTAACGTGTCATCTAGCATTAGGTATATCTCCCAATGCTATCCCTCCCCCCTCCCCCGACCCCACCACAGTCCCCAGAGTGTGATATTCCCCTTCCTGTGTCCATGTGATCTCATTGTTCAATTCCCACCTATGAGTGAGAATATGCGGTGTTTGGTTTTTTGTTCTTGCGATAGTTTGCTGAGAATGATGGTTTCCAATTTCATCCATGTCCCTACAAAGGACATGAACTCATCATTTTTTATGGCTGCATAGTATTCCATGGTGTATATGTGCCACATTTTCTTAACTTTATAACCTGTGTGGGGCAGGAGAATTAACCTGCTTTTGGATTAGAGGCTGCAAAAAAGCCAGTTCTGGTGACCACACTAAAAAGATTAATGAGCACTTAGCACCAAATTAAATACCCCCCTGCCCCCGCCTTTATGAAAGTGGAGTTCATAGTACAAATGTGACAGCGTTAAACATTGAAGCCATTCGAAGGAACCTGGGAAGTACTCAGGCACCGATGAGTTAAAAACACAGAGACATCCAGTAAGTGAGTTCCCGCTGGGCACGGGTCTGTTTATCTTGCCTTTCTGAAGTCAGAGCCAACATTCTTAATGGTTTTGAATGATTCAGAATGTTTCTTTTTTGGCAGGGCCAGTTTCCACGCATGGGCTTATGACTAAAACCCCTTAGGTGAGGTCCAAAGCAGAAACCAGCCTCACACTTAATGTCGTATTTCAGAATCATCTTATTTTAGAGCAAAAGGAAAACTATTAAATATAGCTTGCTTATTTCAGACATGAAGGGACGGAACCAGGGAGGCTTTGGTCAGCCAGAGGTCACAGGACTGGAGAGAGAGGCCAGCCCGAGGCAGACCTCTGGGTTCTGGGCCCAGCCCTCCCTCCTCTGCACCACACAGCTCTTGTCCAGACCTCGGAAGGAGGTTCCAGCGTGGCCTCAGCCTCCCGCTGGAAGAGGCAGCTTGCCCTTTGAGATCGTTTAGAAAACGACTTGGGTCAGAAAGGAGAACTTCATTTTTACAAAATGAAACAAATCAGTTATTTGCCATAGACAGCTTTTTCAAAATATCCTTTGCCAGTGTGTCGTGAATGTATTAGCTCTGGGACAGAAACAAGAATAATAACAATTCTATCTACTATATGCCAAAAGAAGAGACTTGATATACTTCTTTTTTTTTTTTTTGGATGAGAATGAACTTATGCCACACTAGTTCTTAATAAAACAAACTGAATCCTTACCACAGGAGAAAGAATTGAGCAATGTTCTAAGAACAGGCTGTCCTCTTTGGGGCACTGAGTGAATGTAATATTTAGAAGATGCCCTTGAAGCTCACAAGTGCCTCTTGGGATGGAGTAAAGGGGGAGAAACGGCGAGAGAACTCGGACAGAGAAGCTGTCCATGGGAGGAGAAGGCCTTGGGAAGAGCCATCGACTCACCCCCTTCCTGCTTGATTGAGGACTTTGGGAATCACAGATGCCATAGGAGAGAACCCATTTCTTCAAAGCCAGGAGGTGAACCGGCCCACCCCTGCTGTGCCCACCACACTACAGCCAGTAAGGGTTCTCCTCTGGACCTGAGCCACTGTCCCCAAGGGCCAGAAACCAGCCATGTGTGGCGTCCCCAGAAAAGGACATGAGCAGGTACTCAGCCCCGCCACACACATTTGTCTAAGGAGAGAAAGCAAGTCAGCGAAATGGGATCTGCACCAAGATCTCTGCACCCAGGGAGCTGCTGTGGAGTAAATCCTATTTTTCCAGGTGGTGTTTAAACAGCTGTCATTGATCACTTTGCTTTTTTTAATTGATTATTTCGAAACGTGTTTTCCCCCAAAGGATGTTAGTATGTCATAAATATTCAGTTAAGCAACTCCAGGATGATCTTTTAGTAGGAGGAGCTGTCTTTTGGTCCTAGTAACACTAAGTGCCATTTTTTCCCTCTTCTAAGCCCATGGAAACAACGTGGAGGAAAAATGATTATATATTTAGCTTCTAGCATGATTTTAGAGATAAATGACAGCCACCTCCCAGACCTCATTCCCAACACCTGTATTAATTTTTATTTTATTTTTATTTTTTTGAGACAGAGTCTCGCTCCATCACCCAGGCTGGAGTGCAGTGCTGTGATCTCTTAGCTCGCCTAATTTTTGTATTTTTAGTAGAGACGGGGTTCCGCCATGTTGGCCAGGCTGCTCTCGAACTCCTGACCTCAAGTGATCCACCTGTCTCGTCTTCCCAAAGTGCTAGGATTACATGCATGAGCCACTGCGCCCCACCTTGTCTTTATTTTTAAAGTAGGCAATTTATTTTAATTTTTTGTGTGTGTATGACAGGGTCTCGTTCTGTCACTGGAGTGCAGTGGCACCATCAAGGCTCACTGCAGCCTCAACCTCCTGGGCTCAAACGATCCTCCTGCCTCAGCCTCCCAAGTAGCTGGGACTACACTCACCACCACACCCAGCTACTTTTAAACTTTTTTGTAGAGACATGCAGTCTTGCTGTGTTGCCCAGGCTGGTCTCGAACTCATGGCCTCAAGCGATCCTCCAGCCTTGGCCTCCCAAAGTGCTGCGATTACAGGTGTGAGCCACCATGCCCAGCCCAGTTTATTTTTAAAAGAGCTACTGGCTGGGCGTGGTGGCTCACGCCTGTAATCCTAACACTCTGGGAGGCCCAGGCGAGTGGATCACCTGAGATCAGGAGTTTAAGACCAGCCTGGCCAACATAGTGAAATCCCATCTCTACTCAAAATACAAAAATTAGCTGGGTGTAGTGGGGCATACCCATAGTCTAGCTACTTGGGAGGCTGAGGCAGGAGAATCACTTGAACCTGGGAGGCGGAGGTTGCAGTGAGCCTAGATCGCACCACTGCCTCCGGCCTGGGCAACAGAGCAAGACTCTGTCTCAAAAAAAAAAAAAAAAAAAAAAAGCTACTGAAGAGAGGAGTTTCGCTGTGTTAAGACCACTGTGCGTCCATAATGGCCTTCCCTCAGATCTCTCTTCCAGGGAGCTAGGGCTGTCTACACATGCTCCGTAGAAACAAATGCACATTTTCTACACGGGAGTGAATTGGAGAGTCGTGGTGGTGATAGTTTAACTGAAATCTACCTTGGATTTTTTTTCTTCTCTGCTTTATATTTGTTTAAAAAAGCATGATCCAGCAAATGCATCAAATTAAAGCTGTGGGTACAGTTCTCCTAACAGAAAATCACACAGTAAGCTGGGACAATGGAACAGAAAGCAGTGGGTATTGTTTTCTTCTTAAGATTTTTATATTCACATTGGATGAGAATGTCTCCTAACCCTCCCCTTGCTGTTGTTCTTGGAATGGGTACCTTATTCATGGCCTCCTTACATAGAGGGAGCAGATTCAGGACAGAGGCTCTGCATGCTCCTGGGTCCCTCCTAAGCGAGCACTCCCCTCCACTGCTCCTCCTGTTCGGCATGCTAGATTTTCTGTGCACTTGCAGTCATACGGAAACTGGCTTCCTTCTTAGCTGTGCGTGTGAAAGTCACCCCAGTGTTTCACCTGCAGTGTGAGTGTAATTTGGGGTCCCATGACATGATCATCTTCCTTTTGATTTCTAAAGCTAGGGTCAGGGAAGGGGACTCGTTTTGAGCCAAAGGGCATTTTAAGGGCATCATTTCATATGTTCACTGTCTGCAGCCAACACTGCACTCTAGACAAATGGGTACCTTTATGTCCCATTTATTAAGACATCCTGCAAAAGGGGCTCCTGGCCCCTGTGGGAAGCTTGAAAGGAACAGACCATATCCTGTTTCTTTTTGCTCATACCTCTGTGGTGAGATCTTATTCTGACCCCATAGTCTGGTGCCATACCTGTGGGTCCCTGTATCTCCTAGAATTCCCCCTATGCTAGTGTTTAGCCCGTGTAATGACAGTTATCTGTCCACAGGGCTGTATCCCCCGCCAGCTTGTAAACTCCATGAAGACCGGCCCTGCGTCTCACTCACTCCTGTCCACAGCAGTGCCTCCCACATGTTAGGTCTTAACAAACATCTGTTTCTTCTACTCTTCATAAAATCCACGCTTCTTCTCACCCCCCCGTCATCCCTGATCCCAGCTAACTTTGACCCTGTGTGCGGGGGCGGGGGATCTACATGTGGGCTCCACCCCCGCACGCCTGCTGCCCTGTCATCTCTGATCCCTGGCGGTGGGATGTCTACCATGGCTCTGCCCAATCCCCCACTGTCTTCACCCCTGCCACATCTGGCATGATTTTACCGTCCCCTTCCTAGAGTTCTCCCTTTCTCCCCTGCCCAGGCTGCACCCCTGGAGAGCCCAGCTCAGGCCCCTGGCCCCTATGAAGCCTCTCCTGAATAATCCATCAGCCTGCCCTGAGCTCATCCAGTCTCCAATGACGATTGTGCTCTCCACCAGCAGGACACACCGGAGCACTTTCTCTGTCCCTGAGAATTGGACTCCATTCCACAGTTAGGTCCTGGGTCACATACAGACATTTCACATCCCCTCCTCAGTATTCCCCAGCAGCGTGCAGCACAGTGCGGGCTTCTAGGAGGCAGTCGGTGGATATTTACCCATGATTTTAAGAGGTCTGTCTTGACCAGGAATGTTGAGAAGTGACCTGTGTCTCTGCAGCATTGCTGCTAGTTAGTCCCTCGTGGAAGAAGTGGCATGTCCCTCCTGTGTCTGGCTCACGGGGACCGGCGCCTCCTGTGTTTGCCCCCGCCATGCCCTGTGGTTTCCTTTGACACCCTCTGTCATTGTCTATTTTTATGTTTTAAACTTCAGTGGGATTTACCTCTCGTTTGCTCCCATATCCTCCTGGTAAATTGTAAACTTGGTGAATCAATGATGAGTAATCAGTAGGCAGAAATGGTTGGAATTTCCTGGTCCCAGTTTCAGATCATATCTGTCTTTCCCCAGACTCCTAACTTCCTGTTGGGACATCCCTTGGTCTGGCCTTTCCCTCCAGAGAAGCCCCCAGACCCACCCGCAGCCTTGATTTACTGATGCCTAATCTTATTTTAGTCTTTCACACCAGTTTTTAACAACTCGACTGTATAGATCTTCTGGAAATTTTACCCAAAAATGTTAGATGTGCCATCCCCTCACAGGGGAAAGTGGTGGGGTGGTGGGGGTTAATGTGTTGAAAATCTATGTATCTTGTATTTTATTTGAGTCAGCTGTGTTTTCACAACAACTCTGAGAGTTAACATCATTTCTACTTTATAAATTAAAAAAACAAAACAAAAACAAAAAACTAAAGCCCCAAAAGGATTGAATAGCTTGCCAAGGCTGTGTAACAAGTGAAATTTGAATCCGGGTCTGTATGATCCCAAAGCTTAAGCTGCCCGTCTTTCTATTCCCAGTTCAAACGTGCCTTGAAATGGGAGCTCACTTGATAGTACTTGGCTTTTAAAAGGCTACGTACATGTAAGTACCTTCACTCAAATATGCTGGGGCTCAGTAGGAGAAGCAAAGAGAAGGAAAAGGTATTGATTGATCGATTTGATTCTAAGCAGAGATTGACAGAGATAAGCTTCTAAGACCTTTCAGGCCCCAGAGTGTGACTGTTGAGCACCTAAGAAGACCTCACTTGACCCGTGACTTCCCGCCAGAGCCTTGGGAAGCCCATGAGTGCAGCGTGCTCGCCGGCTGGGCTGGAACTTGCTGCTCTTCTCTGCAGTGGCAGGCTGGCTTCTGCCCCTAGACTGGAACTGCCAAGGGCTGCTATAGAAGGGACAAACTTCCAGTGCTCACTGAGGAGCCAGGGGTATCCTGGGAAGCTGAAAATGCATTTGTCAAGCTCAGGTCTTCACAATTGAGAAACCCCATCACTAACCCGTACGGTTTTCTTGACCAAAACTTTCAGTGCTCTGTTTTTCCCATCTGTAAATAATGTTCATACATCTAAATCCTAGGAGGTTGCAGGGACAGTGGCTTAGAAAGTCACCACATTCTCTAAAGGAGTGACAGAGAGGATGAAAGAAGCATGCTCTATAATTAGGTTTTATTACATGCTTTTTAAGGTTAATTGAAGGACTTCCCAGCAGCTTCCCTAGCCACTTTTTCAAATACTGAAAGCTTCCAGAAAGCAGCAGACAGGTGTTCCTCACAATCTGACACAGACTTCAGTTACTGTTGAAAAGTGAAAGAGGGCTGGGCGCGGTGGCTCACACCTATAATCCCAACACTTTGGGAGGCCGAGGTGGGCGGATCACCTGAGGTCAGGAGGTCAAGACCAGCGTGGCCAACATGGCAAAACCCCATCTCTACTAAAAATACAAAAATTAGCTGGGTGTAGTGGCACACGCCTAAAACTCCAGCTACTTGGGAGGCTGAGGCATGAGAAAAAATCGCTCGAACCCAGGAGGCGGAGGTTACAATGAGTCAAGATCATGCCACTGCACTCCAGCCTGGGTGACAGAGTGAGACTATCTCACAAAAAAAAAAAAAAAAAGAAAAAAATGAAAGAGCTCCTGTCTGACGTTGGTTTTCTATACCCATTTTTATAATCAGACAATTTTGGAAACATGCTATTATGATAGTGTTTAAATATTCCAGAATTCTGTGTGTTCGGTAGCTTCACGTTGGTTTGATTGTTGTTTTACCCCACTGCCTCTTCCTTCCCATCTGTACTTCTCAGCTTGATTTTTTAGATGTATTTTCTGTTGTAGGACAGTATCAAATGGCTTTTTCTGACCATTTATTTTACTGGCCGAGCTCCTCTTGGATTTTAATCTCAACTCTCAAGAATCTTCCCAACATAATCTGTTCCTGTTGTGATATCATCTTTCTTGAGAGCTTCCCAGTCACTGAAGAGCATGTTCAGTAGCACCTGGCTTAAAGAGTCCACCTGCGAATCACAAATCATTGTCTTCACCATTCAGCTCCGACCCACACATCTGGGCAACATCATCCCCACTGGCCAGTAAGCACGGGGAATGCTCTGTGGCCTCAGCTGTGTTCTGGTTCCTCGGTGGAGCTGTAATCATTAACTTAGAAATTGCAATTGGTGGTAACTTAACAGAGCTTTCTTCATCAGACTGCTGAGTCATGCAGCCTCTTGCTGGGTAAAATGTGTCTTGAGATGTAATCCCCTATAAGGACACCCCCTTGGAGCCACTGTGAAGGCACTCCCAGCTTCCCTAGCAGGTCGCATCAGGGGGACGACTGAAGGATTTACTTGAACAATCAGTTTTCAGAAATGAAGACCCTACGACCTTGGCTTCCTCTCTTGTGATGCAGCTGAAAGATGCATTTCGTCTGTAAAGTTAGACCAGGTAGGAGAGAATGTGAGGTGGTTTCCATTCTTCTCAGTTGCCCTCCACCTGATTCTGAAGCCGTCACAGACCGTCCTTGCAGACCGGCGCTCCCCTCCACAAACCTTCTGCAGCCTGTACTGCTACAGCACGAGGCTGCAGAATCAGTTGTGAAAATAGAAGCCTTCTACCGTCTCCTGTGCGGGATCCTTGCCTGCCTTTCTTCTGTGATGGGATCTATAGGCTTAGACTGTGTTTTATTTCCTAAGACACCTTGCTGAGCAAACCTTGCTGCTCTGCCTCGTGTCAGCGGTTTCCTTAGCAACGGCCACACCTCACGTTTTCTCCCGCACAGAGCACCAGCATGAGGGGGCATGTGTTGCTCACTGTACAGGAACTTTCCCAACCTGTGTGTCTTAAGCAGGAAAGAGAAGGTGCTTTCTATTTCTTGTTTTTAAAAATGCATCTGTTGGTGACACTGGTGGAGAAACATGTTTACGAGAAAACAACTGACTTTTTCTTCTGCTGTTACTCCAGGAGATTTCCTAGGAGCTCATACTGTCATTTAAATTCCAGGTGCAGGTCTTCTGAACAAATGCCTCCTGAGGATTTCTGTGCCTGGAAAATATCTGTTAACAGACTGCTTTTACACCTACGTAAGTAGAGGCTTCTGCTTATAAGTCAACCTCAAGGGAGTTTTATTTTGTCCCTGGATGATTCCTCAGTACATTTTTCTTTTTCTTTTTTGAGGTAGGGTTTTGCTCTGTTGCCCAGGCTGGAGTACAGTGGTGTGATCACAACTCACTGCGGCCTCAACCTCCCAGGCTCAAGCGATCCTCCCACCTCAGCCTCCCAAGTAGCTGGGACCACAGGCGTGTACCACCCACGCCTGGCTAGTTTTTTAAAATTTCTTTTGTAGAGGCAGAGTCTCCCTGTGTTGCCCTGGTTTCAAACTTGGGCCAAGTGATTCTCTGCCCCAGCCTCTCAAAGTGCTGGGATTACAGGTGTGAGCCACCGTGCCTGACAAGCCTGATATGTTTTTTTAAATGATCATTAGTATTTGATCTCTACTCTTTTTCTCTCAACCACCCAACTCCCGGTTTACGGTCAGGAAGAATCTATAACATGAACTCCTGCTTAAAAACAAGGGTATAGATCCCATATTCAGGTCTTAGACTGGGAAGAAGAGAAGGCAGTCAAAAATATTAAATATATGAATTTCAGTAAATTCAGTTGGGGATGCCATTTCAGCTTTGCAGTCAGTTACTCCAGAATATGTCAATGTATGGCAAAGCATGTGACAGCAGGATCTCTGCACCCTCTCCATTTACCAGCTGTGGTGGATCTCTTAGCCACATCTCTGTTTATAATGTGCTTATTGAAAACTAATGTATTACTTTTATTATCATAGCTACCATTTACTGAATATTTACATTGTGCTAACACTGGTTCAGATGGCTTCATCATATTTACCTGATTTAATCCTCACAACAACCTTATGTGCTAGGTCCAGTTATTACCATCTTTTTTTTTTTTTGAGACGGAGTCTCACTCTGTCGCCAGGCTGGAGTGCAGTGGCGCGATTTCGTCTCACTGCTGCAACCTCCGCCTCCCAGGTTCAAGTGATTCTCCTGCCTCAGCCTCCCAGGTAGCTGGGACTACAGGCACATGCCACCACGCCCAGCTAATTTTTGTATTTTTATAGAGACGAGACTTCACCATGTTGGCCAGGATGATCTCAATCTCTTGACCTCGTGATCCGCCCATCACAGCCTCCAAAAGTGCTGGGATTACAGGCGTGAGCCACCGCACCCGGCCTATTACCCTCATTTTACAGATGAGGAGACTGAGGCACAGAGAGTTAAAGTGATTTGTGCAGGGTTGTGTGAGGAGCTGGTGGCAGAGCTTGGCATTCTGGCTCTGGAGTCTGCATTTGGCCATCTCACCGTACAGTGTCATAGAAACAGGAAACTCGAGAAGATAAACTGCCAGGCTGTATTTTGGAGTCAGTATTTTAACACTGTCACCATCTCAAGCATGATCTGTGGGACTCATCACTGTGCTCTTTGACTTGAACTTCTTTAAGGTTAGTGGGAAAATGAAGCTTTAGAGAAGATGGGACTGGCCTAAGGTCACACTGCATGTCAGAAGTGTGGTGGAGGGTCCAGGTCTTCTGACCATTCAGTGCAAGCCAAATTGTGCTAATTTCCAATTTTTCTCCCTTTCTCTTGGTGAGCTATTTGGTGCTACTTCTACTCCTCATGACCAAAGCTGGCTTTCATGGTTTACTCATGTACTTACTGATGAAACCCTGAGACTTGGGGCCAGTGACTGTTCAGAGGTCCATGTGAAGATGCGCTGAATGGTATAAAGGACAGAGCAGTAAAGAGTGCTGGCTGAATGCCTGGGCTGGCAATCAGGCATGTTGGAGTTTGAGTCCCAGTCTGCCACTCCAGCTCTGTGACCAAGAGGAAGTGAAGTCATGTACCCTTTCTAAGTCTCTAGCCCCTCTTCTGAAAGACGAAGATGCCACCACCAACCATGTTAGTGGTTGTGAATGCCAAGAAAGTCCATGTGAAGCACATAGCATAGTGTCTGCCATGCGTTAAGTGTTCCAAAAATGGAAGCTATGACTATTTCACAGAGTACACTTCCCATCACTTTTCAGTTCATTTTGGCCTTCTCCCTCAAAAGCACTCCAGTGTTCTGATCCAGCTGATAAAACACCAAACATTCACATAGTGCTTTAAAAGTGACCCACTGTTTTTACAGACTGCATTACATATGACCCTAACAACCACTGCAATATAGAAATTCGCATCTCCATTCTCCAGATCAGGATACCGAAGCTCAGAAAAATTAAATGATTTGCCCAGGATCACATAGTTAGTAAGCAGCCCAGCCAGATCCTGTGTTAACTTGTTCATCCGCTTCCTATAAGAAAACATCCATTCAAGGCACATGGGGCAACAAAGAAGGACTTAGAGCTGTGTGGCCCCTCGTCAGGGCAGTACCAGTTGCACCCATAGTCCGGCCTGAATACTCAGCTTAGGACTATTGTGTCCAATGTCCCAAACATTTTGAAGCTACATCTTAAAGAAGTGTCCTGCTCAGATGCAGTTCTCCTTGTGAAATCCGCAGGCCCCAAGGAAAGTGACTTTAATCCAGTTTGCTCATGCAAGAACAGACTGGCATTTCACATCCAGGAAAACAATGGATTTGTACTGTTCAGCTTTTGCCATGCAAGGAGTTCCTGGTGTGGTTTATTAATTTACATCTCAGGCTCCAGCTTCACTATCAATCAGATTTGGAAGAAAAAAGTTACAAAGAAAGGCAGCTTGCTGAGAAACAGCGGAAGCATGACGGTACAGACTGGGTTTTGAAATGGAGACACATTCTCATGGCTTGTGGGCTGAGAGACACTGAGAAAGGATTTTGTTCTTGAAAGATGATTGTTTTAATGCTGGAGATGGAGAGTTTTGACAATTTTAAGTGCATGTTCTGTGTGTAAGAAAGAGTCATTACGTTTTTTTTTTCTTTCAGATGTTGCCATGCCTTAAAATTGCTGATGATTAAAATAGAACATCCTGAGTTACAGAAATTCAGCCCTAGTGTATCCTGGCCTAAAAATACAGAACAATCAAGTTGATTGTTGGAAATGAGAGGCTAGGCAGGGTTGGAAACATGCTAATGTTTACTGAGTGAAATCTTTCCTTCTCAGTAGAGTTGCCCTTGCAGCTGAAAGTCACTGAAAGACTCAACAAAATAAGCAGATCCCACTTGTCTCACTCTGTTCTCCTATGCATGCCCTGGAAAGAGAATGAATGAGCCCTTTTTAATTTATCAACTGGTTTTCTTCCATCTCTTTACTAGTGAGCCATGGGGGTTTTTTGCCGTTAACTGGGTAGCCAGTCTCTTCATGGAGACTTATTTTCAGGAAACTAGCCTCTTGCTTTATGTGAAAACAAGGACCCAACTCAAGATGTCTTATCACAGTGTGTTCTGTTGCGTAACAGTTGCATCTGTAGTCCAGCCTCAATACTCAGGTTGGGACTGTTTTGTCCTGATGTCTCGAACATTTCAAAGCTACGTTCTTAAAGAAATGTCCTGCTCAGATAGAGCTCTCCTTGTGAAATCCTCAAACCCCAGGGGAAGTGACCTTAAGCCAGTTTGCTGGCTTTTCATGTCACAGAAAACAATCGACTGCCACTACTCAGCTGTTGCCACACAGGAGTACCTGGCGTGGTCACTACTTGCCAACTCAGTACCCCACTTTCTCCCCAAGGACATAAAAGCAATGTGGGAAGATATACCAAATGACCTTGTCACACTGGGCTAATATGAAGAGCCCACAGATGCAAAATAATGTATCATACCTTTATTCTTCTGATTTTTTTTTTTTTTTTTTTTTTCGGAGACAGTCTCACTCTTTTGCCCAGGCTGGAATCCAGTGGCGCGATCTTGGCTCACTGCAACCTCTGCCACCCGGGTTCAGGCAATTCTCCTGCCTCAGCCTCCCGCCCAGCTAATTTTTGTATTATTAATTAGTAGAGAGAGGGTTTCACCTTCTTGGCCAGGCTAGTCTTGAACTCCTGACCTCGTGATACACCTGCCTTGGCCTCCCAAAGTGCTGGGATTACAGGCGTGAGCCACCGTGCCTGGCCTTTTTTTTTTTTTTTTTTTTTTTTTTTTGAGATGGAGTCTGGCTGTATTGCCCAGGCTGGAGTGCAGTGGCATGATCTTGGCTCACTGCAACCTCTGCCTCCCAGGTTCAAGTGATTCTCCTGCCTCAGCCTCCTGAGTAGCTGGGATTGCAGGCATCCCATACCCGGCTAATTTTTTTGAAACAGAGGCTTGCTCTGTCACCCAGGCTGGAGTGCAATGGCACGATCTCAGCTCAGTGCAACCTCCGCCTACTGGGCTCAAGCAACTCTCCTGCCTCGGCCTCAGCCTCACTACAGGCATGTGCCACCACGCCTGGCTAGTTTGGTTTTTTTTTTTTGTATTTTTTTAGTAGATATGGGGTTTCACCATGTTGGCCAGGTTGGTCTCAAACTTCTGACCTCAAGTGATCTGCCTGCCTCAGCCTCCCAAAATGCTGGGATTACAGGTATGAGCCACCACGCTTAGCCTTCTGCTGAATTTTTGAGAAGCATACATAAAGACAATGTAAAAAACTTAGCATATTTGTTTGGCCCTGCTAAGGGCATGGTTGAATATATAGTGTGTGTGATGTATTTGGTGTATGAGATATATATGATCTTATCAGACATAAGTAAAAGAAATTCATTCTTCAGGAAAAATTTTCCCCATAACTGAAGTGTCAATCATTTGAAAAAACTTCTAGGCAGTAGGCAAACACTGTGACTAGTTATTTATCAAAAATAAGCAGACTTTAGAGTTTTGTAACTGATGAGAATAATCTGGCTGCTTCTTTTGTACTTCAGTCACTGATACTGCGAATTAGAGTAGCATATACAGAAGGATGCAGGGGGTCCCTAAAGGAATCACAGAATTAGTGAAACCATTATTTGAGAGTTGCAGTGATTCTTCTGTCCTGGCACTTTTCCCAGTTTTGGTGCTTAAATTTACTATCCACTTGAAATGTGTCACTGCCTGTCACTTCACAAAGTATGTGCCTTTCACTGCAGTCAACAAGCTGTTTACATCTTTGATGAAATGATTGCCACGCATCTCCATAGCCCTGGTGTTCTATTCCCTTATTCACAGAGATTTTTTTTAAAAACCAGCCTAGCAGCAATAGGTATGTGCTGTGGATGCTTCTCCATGATGATAAAGGATGAGTTTGTGCTGGGATCTCCTTATGAAAAGATAACTGGCCAAGCCCATGAGGAACAAGAATGTTATGCTAATCAGACCCAAGGTAAACAGCCTGCAGTGCACCTCCTGACTGATTAGCACTGAACCCACTTGGAATCATCAACCACAGGCACGTGGTAATTGGATGTTCTTCTAATACACATAGTGAGATTGTAAAATGAGGATGATATATGAGGAAAGTCAGACGGAGAAACTAAAGTTCAGTTCTTAAATACAAGCCAAGGGAACAGACTAAGTGAATGGTACAGCCAGGATTGGAGCCTGGTTTTCACAAGGTGGTATGTCATGATAAAACAAGCCAAAGAAAAGGTTGGGTAGTGTTTTGAGGCTAAAAGAGACCAAAGAGTCTTAGTGAATCAACCTTGATGCGATCTGGGTTTGAAAAACCTATAAAAAACCTTTTGTTTGGAGAAAGTGGGAGAAGTTGGATGTAGGCTGGATATTTGTGGGTACCAAGGAATTGTTTGTTTTCTTAGGTATGGTAAGATTTTGTGGTTATGTAGAAGAGTGTCTTCATTTTATAGAACGACCTCAAAGTAGTTAGGAGCAGTGTATGTATGGGTGGTTATCAATTTACTTTCAAACAATGCAGCAAAAAATATGTATCTATATTACATATAATTAAAGCAAAACATGATAAAAAGGAATAGTTATTGAATTTAGATAGTATGGATTTAGGAATTCATTGTATTGTCATTCCAATTTAATGTATAAAATTTTTTATAACAGTTTATAAAAACAGTGCACACCCCTTTAATTAGGTGGCCTGGGTACATGAAGTATCTTTTTGGATGCCTAGAACACAAAAAGGGACGACAACAGGCCACCTAATAAGATGATACCAAGAACTATACCATGACGGCGAAAAAGAACTGCTGCAAAAAATAATTTGCCAAGGAGAACTCAGAGTACAAAGCCTTACCTTTGGAGTAGAGGGAAGGAGAGTCTTAAGTAAAGCTCACAAAAACCCCTAACTCATAGATGCAGTCTAAGGAATTCATTCCGGAAGCGACATTAGCATCTCATTAGTGCCATTATGTGACTTACTTGGCCTCTGAGCTAGTCTATTTTCTTCCCTAGACCCCAAAATCTCAGTAATCCTTTGGATCCAAGTTATCTCCAAGTGAAAATAATAGGTTTAGGAAAGCGTTTTTCTTCAACTTCTATGGAGCACTTGCTTGCTTTGTCCTATTTGCATGTCCGACGGACGGTTCTCCAGCACCACTGCTAGTCGTCCTCCGCCTGCCTGGGTACTTGATCACAGGATGCCTCTGACTTCTCCTGCCTTTACCCAAGCAAAGGATTTTCCTTGTCTTCCCACCCAAGAGTGACGGGGCTGACATGTGCCCTTGCCTCTAAATGATGAAGCTGAACCTTTGTCTGGGCAACTTAACTTAAGAATAAGGGAGTCCCAGGCATGCTCTCCCATCAATAACAAATTCAGTGACATCAGTTTATGAATATATGAAATTTGCCAAAGCTCTGTTTAGACCACTGAGTAACTCACAGCTAGGTTTCAACTTTTCCTTTCTAGGTTGTCTTGGGTTTATTGTAAGAGAGCATTATGAAGAAAAAAATAGATCATAAAGCTTCTTCAGGAAGCTGGTTTCATATGGTGGTTTAGATTTAAATAGTGATTGTCTAGCACCATTTGAAATCAGTGTTCTTGGGGGAGACCAGCTGCGCTGCACTACCAACAGCAAAAGAAGTGAATGGGACAGCTCTGAAGTATTTGAAAGCAACAGCAGGATGGCTGTGAGAACCTGCCTCACATGTAGCTGACCCCTTCCTCACCCCTGCCAACAGTGGTGGCATATATCACAAATGGCAGTCAGGTCTCTGCACTGGCGGATCCAACTGTGATCGAAAGTTTTCCAAAAATAAGTTGTGTCTGTATTGAACATGAACAGACTTTCTTCTTGTCATTATTCTCTAACAATACTGCATAACAATTATTTGCATACATTTGCATTGCATTAAGTATTCTAAGTAATCTAGAGACGATTTAAAGTATACGGGAGGATGTGTGTAGGTTGTATGCAAATACTACACCATTTTCTATCAGAGACTTGAGCATCTGTGGATTTTGGTATCCAAGGGGCTTTCTGGAACCAATCCCTCAAGGATACCAAGGGATGAATGTAATTGTACAGGATATCGCATTGTTGGAATTTTATACTTCTTTGTGGAATAAACCTATAGCACTTAATAGATAGTACAGACTCATTCCATTGTGCCTGGGTTAAAGAGCCCAATGTATGCTGGATTTAGTAAGATTTGGGCCCTCCCAACCCTCACGACCTTCTGTGACCCCTTAGAGGATGACTGATTTCTTTTGGTGTTCAGAGTCAATATAATTTTCTAGCACCATCTGAAATCGGTTATAATGATTGGGGAAGAGCACCATGATGCTGACTGCTGAGAGGAAATGTATTGGTGACCGTTGGGGCCATGGACAAGAACTAAGAAAACAAATGCAAAGCAATAATGCAAAGGTGATTTTTCTTCTTCCAGTTTCTAAGTTGAATTTCACTGACCTGAATTGCATGTGGTATAATACTAACAAATGGTTCACTATTAGCATATCATGAATGGTTATACTTTATAGAAATTCCATAGACTTGGTGGGGGTTTTGTTTTGGTGACGGATACCTAGAAACACTCCTGGGGAAAATCGATGACTGGCTTAGATGATGGGAAAGGAGCAGCGAGGGAGTCAATTCTGTTGTTGATGAGAAGCTGCACCAGCTATCTCTGAACTCTCCTCTCTTAGCTGGCTGAGGAGTTCCCTCCATGGTTAAACAGGTCATTTTCTTACATAAGGAAAAATGGTCCAGAGAAACTGGGTTTCTATGGCTGAGACAGAACTGTGCTAATATGTGTCAGTTCAGTTTAGAAGGCAAAGCAACAAAAGCAGGTGCTACTTGAACTAGGATCCTAGAGTATACCTTTGATATGGTTTGGATGTTTGTCCCCTCCAATCTCATGTTGAAGTGTGATCCCCAGTATTGGGGGTGGGGCCTGGTGGGGGTGGTTGAGTGATGGGGCGGATCCCTTGTGAATGGCTTGGTGATGTCCTCACTTAACGAGTTCCTGCTCAGTTAGAGGGAGCCGGTTGTTTAAAAAAGCTGGCACCTCCTTCCTCTCTCTTGCTCTTTCTTTCTTGCTCCCTCTCTCGCCATGTGACATGTCTGCTCCCTCTCCGCCTTCCACCATGTATAAAACATCCTGAGGCCTCATCAGGAGCCGAGCAGGTACCAGTGCCATGCTTGTACGGCTGCAAAACTGTAAGCCAAATAAACCTCTTTACTATATAAATTACCCAGTCTCGGGTATGTCTTTATAGCAGCGCAAAACGGACTAACACAACCTCACTAGAAGTGAAGTCATTAGACCAAAAACAATACTGAGTTTTTAGGTCCACTAAGAGGCAAAAATAAAAGGCTCTTTATAGCAGCATGATTTATAATCCTTTGGGTATAAGCACATGTATGCTAGAACTTAAAGTATAATAATAAAATATAAAAATAATAAAATAAAATAAAAGGCTCAAGAATGAGCCATCTCGGCCGCTCCTCCTCCAGGGGCCCCTGTGTGCAGCTCCCAACACAGGTACTGCACAGACCGGCCACCTGCTGTCCCCATGTGGCGTCCTGGAGAACTGCAGGGGCACCTGGTGGAATTTGGGCCTTGTCCTTCTGTTTTCTTTCTGGCCTGGAAAAGCCACTGGCCTCACAATCAAGAGTTAATATTCTATCTACCCTGCTTAAGCTTTCCCGCCCTCTCACACTGCCTCCCTCCTTTTCCCTCCTGCCTGTCACTTGTCTGGAAAAGGCCTTTTCTCCTCGGGGCTAACACATGCAATTTGTAGCCAAAACATTCTGTCTACCACACAAATCCAACGAGAATCAGGATCATTCCACCACATCTTTTTCTATCCCATGGTTATTATTTTCCCAAAACTCTTGTCTTTTGCTTTCTTACCTATTCGCTGTTTTCCCTAAGTAATCTTATTTACTCCCCTGGTTCCAAATACATCCCTATGTGTTGATTTCCCTCAAACCAGAGGTCTGGCCTGGGATATTTTTTGAGACATCTTGCTTTTTATATTTTTAGTAGCTCCTAAGTATAATAGTTCAGCCTGCTCTTCTAAACTTGTCTCAATTTAATCCATTTATGCTTGAGGTTGCAATTTTTTGAATTTTTGCCATCAGACCTTGGCAATGACCTTGAGCAGTAGGAGACAACTCCCACATGCTTAGCATTCCAATAATGGAACACTAGGCATATACCAAAGCCATCCACATTGCCTTCTCCCCAAAGCCAGCTCTCCCTGCTCTGCCCCATGGTGAAAGCTGCGAACACCAGAGGTCTGTGACCTCTTCCCTCTCCCTTACCCACATCCATACTCAGCACAACTTGTTGCTGTTCTCTCTCAATTCTCTCTTTAGGATCCATCCCTTTCTCTGCTCTTCCTAGACAGCTTTCTGGGCCCACCCCTCGCCATTAGTCTAGCTTTGTTATAGCCACCAGTTAATCTTTGTAAAATACATACGTGAGCTGGGCACGGTGGCTGGTGCCTGTAATCCCAGCTACTCAGGAGGCTGGGGCAGGAGGTTGCTTGAGCCCAAGAGGTTGAGGCTGCAATGAGCCATGATTGCATCACTGCACTCCAGCCTGGACGACAGACCAAGATCCCATCTCTTTAAAAAATAAAAATAAAAATTGTTTAACCACATGACCTTGCTCCTTGTCCCTCACTTTTAGCTGAACTCTTATAAGTGTGTCAACCAGGTACCAGACCCTTCATGACCCCATGCCTACCTGTGTCACCATCTTCTGGCTGTGCTTCCTGGGGCCTGTGTTCTGTGCTCACCCAGCTGCTTGCTGCTGAGAACACTCAGGTATCTTGGCATTTCTTAGCCTGTGTCTGTGCTATTTCCTCTGCCCACATCTCCCCTCTCCTCCTCCTCGTCAGCTAGGGACCTCCAGCCCCTAGGGACTGTAAGCTAGGGACCTCCAACCTGCAGCCCCTGGCTCAGGTGTAAACTTGTCTAGGAAGCCTTCCTCTGCCTTCTGCATCAAGGCTTAGATCCCTGGGCAAAGGCTTTCTTCTCTGTACCCCTTCAGAGCCTGATGGCACTTCGCATGTTATATTCTCATGATTGATTACCTACTAGGCTTCTCTGCAAGGCTGGAAAATCCTTGCTCCTAGGAGGGACGGTAGACAAGAACAAGACATACTGTGTACACTCCATTCTTACATTCCACGTGAGCTATCCTTTGTGTAGGTGTCTGTGGCAAATCTTCCTTCTAGGCTGCAGCCTCTACTTTTCATAGTTTCTCTCCATTTTCATCTGCCATGTGCATGAGGAATAAAAACTACTTCCAATGATGACCAAAATAAGATGGAAGAAAATAACCCTGCTTCAAAGAACATTTCTGAGACCATAAATATGATTTTGATGTATCTTCCATTATGGATTACCCATGTGGTTTTTTTTTTCCTTCTAAATGCATAAACAGGAATTGTTTAATAGGCTAGAGAGCCATGAAAAGCAAAATAATTAAGGATTGTTGTCCTCATTTCATAGAAGAGCAAACAAAGACAGAAAAACAGATGTGCCTTAACCAAAAAGGGCAGTAAATTTATGCAAAGCAGACTGAACCCCCATTAAAAGTAATCATTTACAGCGACCAAGGGCCAAGCACGTGATCACCACCCTCCTCTCCCAATAGCTCTGAAGGGTGGGTAGTATTTCCCCAGCTTATGCACGAGGAAACAGATGCACAGGAAAGTCAAGTAACTTGCCTGCAATGCCACGGCTAGTCAACATGAGAGTTTGAATTACAAATCAGGTGGCGGTGGCGGTGGTGATGATGATGATAATAGCAGCTTATCATCATCATTGAGCTCTTATTTTGTGTTAGATACTTGGTAAGTATTTTGCATGAATTAGCTCATTTAGTCTGACTTTCAAAACAGCCCTTTGAGGTCAGTGTTATTATCATCATTCCCATTTTGCCATGAAGAAACAAAAGAATTAAATAATCCAAGATCGTCTAACTGACATTTCCAAGCAGGAGCACAAACCCAGATCTCTGTGATTCCAGAGCCTGTGCTCTTAAATCAGCACTGCTCATTTCAGTGTGGGAGATGGCGTAAATGGGTGTGTTCACTTGCTGGGCAGCCTCATCTGTGGTCCCCTTGATCCCCACCTACTGGCATTCATGCCCTGTGCTATTCCCTCCCCTGGAGTGTGGACTGGACCTAGTAATTTGCTTCTAATGGATGGAATATGTCAAAAGTGATAGATGTCACTTCTGAGACTAGGTTACAAATAGACTGTGATTCTGTTGTCTTCTTCCTCAGGCTTGCACCCTCACGACATGCTCTCTCTCTCTCCCTCTCCTCTTTTCTCTCTTCTCTCCCTTCTCTCCTCTCTCTTATCTCTCTCTTCTCTCTCTCGTACACATACTCTGGAAAGCCAGCTACCATACTGGGAACTGCCCAATGGAGAGGCCCACATTCCACAAGGAACTGATGTCTTCAGCCAATACCTCGCCAGGACCTGAGGCCTGCTGAGAGTCACGAGTGGCCTTCGTGGGTCCTCTCTCAACGAGCTTGCAGGTGACCACTGCGCCAGCCAAAACCTTGATGGCAGCCTATGAGTGAGTGACCCTGAGCCAGAAGACCCAGTTAAGCCATGCCCAGGATCCTGACCTGCAGAAACTATGACATAATAAATTTATTGTTTTATGCCACTAACTTTTGGGGTTACTTATGCAGCAATAGATAGCTAATACAGCTCATAGTATCCTTATCTAGCCTCAAACATTCTGCCTTTAGTATCTAACTTTCCTAACTTTTTAGATAAACTTTTTTGGGGGGGATAATTTTAGATTTACAGAAAAAAGGCAAAGATAGTATAGAGAGTTCCTTTATATTTCTCTCCTAGTTTCCTCTATTGTTCATATCTCATAAAACGATGGTTTTGGGTTTTTTGAGACGGCGTCTCACTCTGTCACCCAGGCTAGAGTGCAGTGGTGATCATAGCTCACTGCAGCCTTGAACTCCTGGCTCAAGGGATCTTACTACCTCAGCTTCCCAAGTAGCTGGGTTCACAGCATGTACCACCACACATGGCTAATTAAAACATATATATATTATATAATATATATATTTTAAGTTATTAGTAAGTATATCAAATACTGCTCCAGATTTACAAATGGTTATTTTCCACTATGATGTCAATACACATTAATTTGTAAAATATGCAAATAATTTTCCTGTAACTATTCAAATGGAAAATATTCAACAAAGAATACTAATTTCCTTCTTAATTCCTGTGTTGTGTGATCCAAGTCACTTGATCTTTCTGGGTTTGTTTTCTTTAGTATCAATTTATCTTACTAGAATTTAACAACAGTTGTGTAATACAATCTTTTAATACTTGTAAACACTCTGCAGTGCAAAATTCTGTATTTAAAAATTCCTATTTCCTAATTGCTTAAACATTTAGCTGCATTATTTGTAGCGTTTCCAAGTGATGCTTAAAGACAATCCATATAAAACCAACATCCTCAGGAAAAGAATAAGTGGTACTGCCTAGAGAAAAAGTCCCTCCTACTTATTACATCTACCCTCCTGGTTGAATCTTTTTTTTTTTTCTTTTTCTGAGACAGAGTCTCGCTCTGTCGCCCAGGCTGGAGTGCAGTGGCGCAATCTCAGCTCACTGCAACCTCCGCCTCCCAGGTTCAAGCAATTCTCCTGCCTCACCCTCCCAAGTAGCTGGGACTACAGGCACACACCACCACGCCCAGCTAATTTTTGTATTTTTAGTAGAGATGGGGTTTCACCACGTTGGCCAGGATGGTCTCAATCTCTTCACCTCATGATCTGCCCGCCTCAGCCTCCCAAAGTGCTGGGATTACAGGCGTGAGCCATTGCGCCCGGCCTGAATTTTTTTAATATGATATAGAAATGAGAAAAATCATTATGAGAAACTAACACATACTTATGAGAAAAAATTAGCTTTGTATAGATCTTAAAAAGCCCTTTAGTGAGACAGGGTTTTAAAACTCTTCTTGGTGACCTAACAAAAAAACCCAAACAAATATTTAAACAACAACAACAACAACAACAAGAACAAATCTGAAGCTGATTCACAAGAGTCCAAGTCTTGGTGGCCAGTGTTTGCTGCTTAGTTGACTCTGAGTGACTAAGCTCTTCTTTGTAGCCAATTCACCTGTTTCAATAGTTGACTAATAAAAAAAATAGGCAATAAAATATGTTGCAGAATGAGGGGGTGCCAAAGGAGAGAGAACTGAAATCTAATTGGAAAAAAGTGAAGCGAAACATAGTGTAAGCTCATTCACAAGACATTACTACCCAGAACTCTGAATTCAAGTTTTCTCTTCTTCTCCATTTTTGAAAGTGTCAGACGACAAGAAAGCAAGCTGTTTACTAAAGAACTGCAGCATGAATAATTTCTGTATTATAAATGATAAGATATTCTATTTTGAGGTTAGTTTATAATTCATTTCTGTCTGTTGTGCCTAAAATCTTGGCTATTCAGAATGATGACGGCTCCTCAGATACTATGGAAATAATAAATCATCAAAGGCATACATTTATTCACTCTTTCGTGTTAACTAAAGCAGAATGTATAGCGCAGAGACTTTGTAAACAACTCTTACTTAACTGAAACTACAATAGAATCTGTGTACTAGCCATACAAAATCCACTATACAGTGTTCCTTCCTTTATTATTGAGGTTAAAAATTCACATAACATAAAACTTACCGTTTTTACCATTTTAACCATTTTAAAGCATACAATTCAGTGGCCTTAGTATGTTCACAGTGTTGTGTGACCATCACCACTCTCTAACTCCACAACATTTTAATCACCCCAAGAAGAAACCTGTACCCATTAAGTAGACATTCTTCATTCATTCCTCCTCCCAGCTCCTGGCAAAATCTGCTTTCTACAGACTTACATAGTCTGGACATTTCATGTAAACGGAATCATACAATAGGTATGATACATGATACATACATACAACAGGGATGATGCATGATAAAAGGTACGCAGCCTTTTCTGACTGGCTTCTTTCACTTAGCATGATGTTTTCAAGATTCATCCACGTTGTAGTGTGTATCAGTACTTCATTCCTTTTTATGACTGAATAATATTCCATTATTTGGATAGACAACATTTTGTTTATCCACTCACAGGTTCGTACTGGCATTTGAGCTGTCTCGTTCTTTAAATTTAAACTTTTATTTCTGTCAGTGTAATATATATCCATAAACAAGTAAGAGGGCACTGAGTCCCAGAGCAAACAAACAGCTGTTCTCTGTCCTACTGTTTTCTCTCGCAGGCAGCTGCTTTCAAATCATTTATCTGTTTCTTCTGATAAGAGATTCTATAGACTGTTACTTCCATTTTAAAATGCTCATACCTCTATGTCTTCATTTTGACTTTATTTTTTTAATTTTTTTAATTTTTCTACTATGGGAAATGAGAATTTAGCTTTAACTCCACTGCCACCTGTACACATATTACTCCATTCGCCTTCACAATTTAGTTAGAACACAGTTTTCGGTTAACTCAAGAATGGTATTGATAATTATATAGATACTGTTGATATCATAACTACATAGTTTTAGATTTCCTTTTAAAACTTCTTATAAACTCTGAGATGAATAATTTCATCATTTTAAATTTAATTCATGATATACTTAATTCCTAAACCTTACAGAACTGTAACATTCCCCTCAGCATTTTCAGACCCCACACACAGTCAGTGTGTGTGTGCGCACACACAGTCAGTGTGTGTGCGCACACACAGTCAGTGTGTGTGTGTGTGCGCGCGCGCACACGCACACATCCTTCAGCAGTTTCCTGACAAAGGTCATTTTTTTTTAGGTTTTTCATTTTGCCCATATTTTATTGATCATTTCACTGGTTATGGAATTCCTGACTGGCTCAGATTTTGGTTTTCTAGCCCCCAGTGCTGTGAAGAGGTCTGATACAATGCTGATTTCTGGCCCTTTTGCTCTGGAAGTTTTGAGGAGATTCTGTTTATCCTTTGTGTCCTTTAAATTTCCTGAGTTTGTGCCATAATAGAGGTCTTTTTCATTTAATATACCTTTTTTTTTTTCTTTTTCTTTTTTTTTTTTTTTTTTGACAGGGTCTCACCTCACTCCCATCGCCCAGGCTGGAGTGCAGTGGTGTGATCACAGCTCACTCCAGCCTCGACTTCCCAGGCTCAGGTGATCCTCTCACCACAGCCTCCCAAGTGGGTGGGACTACAGGTGTGCACCACCATGCCCAGCTAGTTTTTTGTATTTTTAGTATTTACCTCCATTCTACAGCTGTTAAAACAGAGGCATCAGAAGGAAGAACAGCTTTCCTTGGTCAGTGAGGATGGGAAGAAGCTCTAGTGTTTCCTCTCCTCCATTCCTTCTGGGTATAATGGCCACCCATTGCAGTGGGCTTTGATTTTTTTCCAAGAATGGAGCTTGGAACCCCATAGAAATTGTGTTTTGTTAATAAGCTGACGGAAGGATTTTTGGCATCGATTTTAAATTCCCATAGTCTGCTTCTAGCGAAGCTCCACACCTCTCATTTACTCTCTCTCTCCTCTTCAGGGGCCAAAGAACAAAGTGTAGTCAACTGTTTTGAAGCCACCCTGTTTTGAAGAGGCGTTTTCCACTCAGGTGGCCTTGCACCGAATGGCCAACCCTGCCCACTGTACGGAAACAATAGATGCTGCCTTAGAAGGGAGCAAGCTGGCACTGCCCTGGTATGTGGGTGCGGCCAGGAAGCTTTGGGCCAAACTGTGCAGACTTGCTGTCTCAGGATTAGCACTTTCTACAGCCAGAGTGGAGACGAAGGGCAGGAGGCACACAGCCCTTCCTCCTGGAGATGAAAGGGGTCTGTAGGTGGATGAGGACCTTGTTCACCAAAAGTCACAGGAGGAAGTCAAAGAGGAGGAGGATAGAAACATAGTGGTGCTTCTATCACCTATAAATTCTGCATTCATGAAAAAAAAAGTCCACAAAATTATGGCCCTGAACCAATCTGTATCAACCCTGAACATGCTGGATGCCACCCACTGTGGGTTGGGCAGAAGATGGTGCAGGCCTGACAGAAGTTGGTAACCAATACTGTGCCAGAGGCTTGGTGTGGCAGGAGGTGACAGGACAAAGGTACCAGAGGATGCCAGCTGGGTGTCAGCCTTCTTAGCTGTCAGAACTGGTCTTGGAAAAAAGGACAGCCGTTGGGTATGCTTTTGTAAGAGGCATTTTTGCTCTTGCAGATAGCTGCCTCTCTCTTCCTTCCTGTGACTGAACAGGCCAGAGAGGAAGGTCAAAGGCAGGCAAGAGAACAAGGACAAAGGCACAAAGTGTGGATTGTACATGGACTCCTGTTCTAATCCAGCTCACTTACCAGCTTTCTATGTCAAAAAACAAAAAATTAGAAACTTGGATGGGAAAGAGGCTGGCACAAATGTAAATTATGAACTGAGTTCCAAAGGAAAAGAGGCAACAGATAAGAGATTCTTGTGGGTACCTTACCTGCGAATTACTTTGAAATGGCCTTGGAAGGGTCCTGATGGGCATGGAAAAAAAAAACCCACTAGCCCCATTTTCCCAATATAGAAGCGAAGGTCAATAGCAGTACCTCGAAATGTCTGGGAAGTGAAAGTGACAGAGAAAAAGAGGACTTGTGGACATATGTGTTGGCCTTTTTTATCTGAAGGTGCTATGGCTGGTGAAGATGGGCTGCGTTCTGGGTCCCTGGGAGAGCTGATCCTGAGCTCATGTCTCTGTCCCAGCAGCAGGAGCCCCTCAGTGCTATAGAATGTGAGGTCTGCTGTGAGTCCAAAAGACCAGACATGTGACACATTCCTCTGCTTTCTGGAGCATAGTATCAGCCCTTAGAAGCAGCTGTTCACCTCTCCTTTAGTAGCTCAGCAAGAATTCAGTTCAGTAAAAATTTATTTAGCACCTACCCTGCTCCAGGTACTCTCTAGGCACTGAGAGGGGTTTTCCTGTACTGTGCCCAGAACTCTGCTCCTCAGGCCTTTCTCAGCTCAGGATACTGGCTTAAGCAGCTAAACTGATCGCAAGTGCCACCCTTCCATGCTGCTAAAAACCCATGCTGTTCTCCTAGACAAAGTTAATGTCTGGCTCAACATACCACACCTTCTCTCTTAAGTCCTTAAGTTCTGAGAAAGGGATCCCAGGAGGTATGCAGGACTCTTGATGTTGAATGAGAGGCAAGACCCTCCACTCCTGTTGCTCGACCCTCTCCCAGGTCCCCTAGAGGAAAGGCTCATCCTGTGGCTTCTCCCTCCTAAACCAATCCCTGTGCATCCCTTTCTTTGTTTGTGCCACGTCCACACACTAATCTCTCTGCCTTGTGTTGGCAGATGCTGGTGGGATGGAGCTGCAGTTTGTGTCTCTGAAGCAGATTAAACACTGTCTGCCCCAGCCTGTCTTAACTATCTTCTCACTGGTTAACAGTCCTTGGAAGAATAAACAATCCACACAAGCTCTCAGAAAGCAGAAGTTCCATGATTCGTGACCAGAGTCTCATAGCACAGAATTCATCTCTAAAAACAGGTTTGTAGCTGACCAGACTCCACCAACTCAGATATGTCCACCCCTAACTTGAAATGAAAGGTGAGGGGAAGGTCGAGCTCAGAGCTCAGTACTCTAAGGACTGCCTCTGGTCAGGTTCCAGATCAGAACAGACCACTGTCCTGTCACTATTGGTCTAACACATGGGATCTCTGGTAACACACATAGTACATTCTACTTTGCATCACCCACATGCACGTTTTTCTCACCAAATAGACTGTAAACTTCTTGATTCAGGGTCCATATTCCTAGCATATGCCTAGCATAATATAGGTACTCTCTGTGTTCAATCACATTAGCATGGAAAGTACTATTCCCTGCAGATTCTGTGGGATTATGGAGGATCAGCCTATGACAGAGCTTTATATAAACCCACATTTGCTGAATGTCAGCAATGAAGCAGCCCACTGCTGCTGACTCCAGTGAAGTCAGCAAAACCCACACTGAGCAGAAGCCCTTGTGGTTGTCTTAGGAACTGTGACATACCTCTTATCATTCGCCATAAATGGCAAAAATATTGTGCTTGGCCTGCCTTGAGTTTACTTTGGGGCCAGGTTGTTTTCTGACAATTCAAAGAACTACTCCTATGTAGATGGCGTTCAGGAAATGGGAGCATCCGAATCTATAAATTTTAGCCAGAAATTTCCGCTATATTTTATACCTCAAAAGGAGCTCAAGGGAGCAGATAAGGTTGGTAGAAGTACAGAAGGGGGGTGGGGGTGCTGCACTTCCCCATATCACTTCTAGCACATCTCACAACTAAGAGTTTGAATCTACTACCTTTGTAGGAGTTCAATTTTCAAGTTCAGAGGATTCAGCACCATGGTCAGAGCCAATGACATAACAAATGTGAACCTGAAGGAAACCCTCTCTGTAGGAGGAAAACAAAGGGAGTCTTTCAGAGAAGTATTCTCTGTCTTCCCCCACTCTGATAACCTCTAAGCCAATGCTTAGGTTAGCCAGAGGAAAAAAACCAACTCCCAACTCCATGTTATGACAGGCCCCTTCTGTCTTCAAGTGTTGCCTGAACTAGGAACCATAGGTCTCAATCTGAATTTATCCCATTGTCTTTCTCACTTTGGCAGTAAGTTATGTCTTCTTTTTTGGTGATTTTTTTTTAGAGACAGAGTCTTGCTCTGGCACCCAGATTGGAGTACAGCGGTGCAACCACGACTCACTGCAGCCTTGACCTCCCAGCCTCAGATGATCCTCCCACCTCAGTCTCCCAAGTAGTCAGGACTACAGGTGTGCACCACCACACCTGGATAATTATTTTTTAAAACTTTTGTAGAGATGGAGTCTTACTATGTTGCCCAGGCTGGTCTCAACTCCTGGGCTCAAGCAATCACCCTGCCTTGGCCTCCCAAAGTGCTGGGATTACAGGCATAAGCCACCATGCCTGCCCCCTCCTTTTTTTTTTTGTATTTTTAATTTATGTATCATAGTTGTACATATTTTTGGGGTATGTGTGATATTTTGATATATGTATACAATGTGTAATGATCAAATCAGGTTAATTGGGATATGTGTCATCTTAAATACTTACCTTTTTGTGTTGGGAACATTACAGTTCTTCTAGCTATTTTGAAACATACAATAAATTATTGTTAACTATGATTTTCTTACTGTACTGTTGAATACTAGAACTTCTTCCTTCTAATTTTATTTCTGTACCCATTAACCAACTTCTCTTCATTCCCCCTGCCCCCACTCCGTACCTCTCCTCTGATAAACACCATTCTACTCTCCACTACTGGCCACTTCCATGAGATCCACTTTTTAAACTCACACACATAAATGAAAATATGTGACATTGGTGCTCAATAACATGTAGTTCCATCCATGTTGCTACAAATGACAGGATTTCATTATGTTTGTGGTGAAAAAATATTTCACTGTGAATATATACCACATTTTCTTTATCCATTCATCTGTTGATGGACACAGGTTGATTCCATAATCTTGGCTATTGTGAATAGTTCTACAGTAAACATTGGAGTGCAGATACCTCTTCGATATATTGACTTCTTTTGGATATACACCCAGCAGTGAGATTCCTGGATCATATGGTAGTTTTATTTTTAGTTTATTGAGAAGCCTCCATACTGTTTTCATAGTGGCTATTGTACTTACATTCCCACCAACACTATACCAGGGTTCCTCTTTCTCTGCATCCTTGCCAGCATTTGTTATTTTTTTCTCTTTTTGATAATAGATTTCTAACTGAAGTGAGTTGATAACTCATTGTGGTTTTGATTTGCATTTCCCTGATGATTAGTGATGTTGAGCATTTTGTAATCTACCTGTGGCCATTTGTATGTCTTGAGAAATTTTTACCCAGCTCTTTTGCCCATTAAAAAAAAATCAGATTGTTATTTTGCTATTGAATTGTTTACATTTCTTACATATTCTATGTATTAATTCATTGTTAGATGGATAGTTTGCAGATATGTTCTTCCATTCTGAAGGCTGTCTCTACACTTTGTTCCTTCCTTTGCTGTCTAGAAGCTTCTTAGCTTGATGTAATCCCATTTTTCTATTTTTTGCTTTGACTTCCTATTCTTTTGCGGTCCTACCCTAAAAAATCTTTGCCCAAACCAATGTCCTGTAGCATTTCTTCAGTGTTTTGTTCTAGCAGATTCATAGTTTTAGGTCTTACATTTAAGTCTTGAATTCATTTTGAGTTGATACTTGTATATGATGAAAGATGGGGATCCGGTTTTATTTTTCTGCAAACAGATATACAGTTTTCCCAGCACCATTTATTAAGGAGACTCTTTTCCCCCCCAGTATGTGTTCTTAGTGCCTTTGTTGAAAATGAGTTGGCTCTAAGTACAAAGACTTATTTCTGAGTTCTTCATTCTGTTCCATTGGTCTATGTGTCTGTTTTTATACCAGTACTATGCTTTTTTGGCTACTATACCTCTGTAGTTTAATTTGTTTGTTTTCTGAGACAGGGTCTCTCTCTGCTGCCCAGGCTGGAGTGCAGTGATGCAATCTCGACTCACTGAAACCTCCGCCTCCCAGGTTCAAGTGATTCTCCTGCCTCAGCCTCCCAAGTAGCTGGGATTACAGGTACCCGCGACCATGCCCAGCTAATTTTTGTATTTTCAGTAGAGACGGGGTTTCGCCATGTTGACCAGACTGGTCTCGAACTCCTGGCTTCAAACAATCTACCCACCTCAGCCTCCCAAAGTGCTGGGACTAGAAGCATGAGCCACTGCATCTGGCCTGTAGTATAATTTGAAGTCAGATAATGTGATGCTTCCAGCTTTGTTCATTTTGTTCAGGATTGCTTTGGCTATTTGGGGTCTTTCGTGTTTTCATATAAATTTTAGGATTTTTTTTTTCTATTTCTGTGAAGAACTGTCATTGGTATTTTTATAGGAATTGCATCAAATCTGTAGATTGCTTTGGGTAGTATTGTCATTTTAACAATATTAATTCTTCTGAAAAGTGAGCATGGGATGTCTTGCCCTTTTTATCCTCTTCAATTTCTTTAATCAATGTTTTGTAGTTTTCCTTGTAGAAGTCTTCCACCTCCTAAATTTATTCCTAGGCATTTTATTTGTAGATGTTGTAAGATTGCTTTGTTGGTTTCTTTTTCAGATTGTTGGCTG
Source organism: Homo sapiens (assembly GCF_000001405.40). Lineage (NCBI taxonomy): Eukaryota > Metazoa > Chordata > Mammalia > Primates > Hominidae > Homo > Homo sapiens. Next base: position 130,862,854 of record NC_000007.14, on the reverse strand, counting down.
CTGGCATATAGAAATTTTACTGATTTTTGTATGTTGATCTTATATCCTGTAACTTTGCTGAATCTGTCACTTCTAATAGGTTTTTTTGGTGGACTCTTTAGGTTTTTCTAAATATAAGATCGCGTTGTTTGCAAACAAGGATAAGTCAACTTCTTCCTTTCCAATTTGCATGCCCTTTATTTCTTTCTCTTGACTAATTGCTTTGGCTAGTACTATGTTGAATAAAAGTGGTGAAAGTGGGCATCCTTGTCTTATTCTAGTTCTTAATGCAAAGGCTTTCCATTTTTTCCCATTTAATATTAGCTGTAGGATTCTCACATGTGGCCCTTATCACACTGAGGTATGTTCTTTCTTTCTTTTTTTTTTTTTTTTTTTTTTGAGATGGAGTCTTGCTCTGCTGCCCAGGCTGGAAGTGCAGTGGTGTGATCTCAGGTCACTGCAACCTCCACCTCCCAGGTTCAAGCAATTCTCCTGCCTCAGCCTCCCAAGTATCTGGGACTACAGATGTGTACCACCATCCCTTGCTCTTTTTTTGTATTGTTTTAGCAGAGACGAGTTGTATTAGGGTTCTCTTTTACTGTATTAGTTCGTTTTCATGCTGCTGATAAAGATACCCAAAATTGGGAACAAAAAGAGATTTAATTGGACTTACAGTTCCACATGGCTGGGGAAGCCTCAGAATCATGGCAGGAGGCAAAAGGCACTTCTTACACGGCAGTGACAAGAGAAAACTGAGGAAGAAGCAAAAATAGAAACCCCTGATAAACCCATCAGATCTCATGAGACTTATTCACTATCACAAGAATAGCATGGGAAAGACCAGCCCCCATGATTCAGTTACCTCCCACTGGGTCCCTCCCACAACATATGAGAATTCTGGGAGATACAATTCAAGTTGAGATTTGGGTGGGGACACAGCCAAACCACATCATTCTGCCTCTGGCTCCTCCAAATCTCATGTCCTCACGTTTCAAAACCAATCATGCCTTCCCAACAGTCCCCCAAAGTCTTAACTCATTTCAGCATTAACCCAAAAGTCCACAGTCCAAAGTCTCATCTAAAACAAGGCTAGTCCCTCCTGACTGTGAGCCTGTAAAATCAAAAACAAGCTAGTTACTTCCTAGATACAATGTGGGTACAGGTATTGGGTAAATACAGCCATTCCAATTGGGAGAAATTGGCCAAAACAAAGGATTACAGGGCCCATGCAAGTCCAAAATGCAGTGGGGCAGTCAAATTCTAAAGCTTCAAAATGATCTCCTTTAACTCCAGGTCTCATATCCAGGTCACGCTGATGCAAGAGGTGGGTTTCCATGGTCTTGGGCAGCTCCACCCCTGTGGATTTGCAGGGTACAACCTCCCTCCTGGCTGCTTTCATGGGCTGACATTGAGTGTCTGCAGCTTTTCCAGGTGCATGGTGCAAGCTGTTGGTCGATCTACCATTCTGAGGTCTGGAGTACAGTGGCCCTCTTCTCATAGCTCCATTAGGCAGTGCCCTAGTAGGGATTCTATGTGGGGGCTCTGACCCCACATTTCCCTTCCACAACATCCTAGCAGAGGTTCTCCATGAGGACCCCACCGCTACAGCAAACTTTTTCCTGGGCATCCAGCCATTTCCATTCATCTTCTGAAATCTAGGCCGAGGTTCCCAAACCTCAATTCTTCTGTGTACCCACAGGCTCAACACCACATAGAAGCTGCCAAGGCTTGGGGCTTCAACCCTCTGAAGCCACAGCCTATGCTCTGTGTTGGCCCCTTTCAGCCATGGCTGGAGCAGCTGGGACACAGGGCACCAGCATGGGTACTCCCCTGGGCCCGGCCCATAAAACCACTTTTTCCTCCTGGGCCTCCAGGCCTGTGATGGGAGGGACTGCTGTGAAGGTCTCTGACATGGCCTAGAGAGACATTTTCCCCATGGTCTTGGGGATTCATATTAGGCTCCTTGCTATTTATGCAAATTTCTGCAGCCAGCTTGAATTTCTCCTCAAAAAAATTGTTTTTTCTTTTCTACTGCATCATCAGGCTGCAAATTTTCTGAACTTTTGTGCTCTGTTTCCCTTTTAAGATGGAATGCTTTTTAACAGCACCCAAGTCACCTTTTTGAATGCTTTGCTGCTTAGAAATTTCTTCCACCAGATAACCTAAATCATCTCTCTCAAGTTCAAAATTTCCACAAATCTCTAGGACAGGGGCAAAATGCCACCAGTCTCTTTGCTAAAACATAACAAGAGTCACCTTTGCTCCAGTTCCCAACAAGTTCCTCATCTCCATCTGAGACCACCTCAGCTTGGACCTTATTGTTCATATCACTATCAGCATTTTTGTCAAAGCTTCTAGGAGGCTCCAAACTTTTCCACATTTTCCTGTCTTCTTCTGAGTTCTCCAAACTGTTCTAACCTCTGCTTGTTACCCAGTTCCAAAGTTGCTTCCACATTTTCAGGTATCTTTTCAGCAACACCCCACTCTACTGGTACCAATTTACTGTATTAGTTCGTTTTCATGCTGCTGATAAAGACATACCCAAAACTGGTAACAAACAGAGGTTTAATTGGACTTACAGTTCCACATGGCTGGGGAGGCCTCAGAATCATGGTGGGAGGTGAAAGGCACTTCTTACAGTGTGGTGGCAAGAGAAAAAAAAGAAGCAAAAGCAGAAACCCCTGATAAACCCATCAGATCTCATGAGACTTATTTACTATCATGAGAACAGCACAGGAAAGGCCACTCCCATGACTCAGTTACCTCTCACTGGGTCCCTCTCACAACATGTGGGAATTCTGGGAGATACAATTCAAGTTGAGATTTAGGTGGGTTACACAGCCAAACCATATCACAATTTCACCACACTGGCCAAGGTGGTCTCGAACTCCTGACTTTAAGTGATCCACCTGCCTCACCCTCCCAAGGTGTTGGGATTACAGGCCTGAGCCACCATGCCTGGCCTGAGGTATGTTCATTCTATACCCAGTTTGTTGAGGATTTTTTTCATGAAGGACATTGAATTTAACTGAATGTTTTTTCAACATCCATTGAAATAATCACATGTTTTTTGTCCTTCATTCTGTTGATGTGATGTATCATGTTTGTTGATTTGCCTATGTTGAACCATCCTTGCATCCCTGGGATGAATCCACTTGATTCTAGTGAAAGATCTTTTTAATGTTTTTGAATTCTGTTTGCTAGTATTTTGTGGAGGATTTTTACATCTATGTTCATCAGTGATATTGGCCCACAGTTGATTTTTTCTTTTATTTTTTGTTTTTGGTAGTGTGTTTGTCTGGTTTTGGTATCAGGATAATGCTGGCCTGGTAAAATGAGTTTCTCTCCTCTTCACTTATTTGAAATAATTTGAGTAGAATTGGTATTAGGTCTTCCTTAAGTGTTTGCTAGAATTCAGAAGTGAACCTGGCAGGTCCCAAGTTTTGAAGGGAGACTTTTTATTGTAGCTTGATCTCATGACTTGTTATTGGTTTGTTTAGGTTTTCTGTTTCTTCATGGTTCAATCATGGTAGAGTATGTGTTCAGGAGTTTATCCATTTCTTCTAGATATTTCAGTTTGTTTGTGTATAGTTGTTCATGATAGTCTAATGATTCTATTTCTGTGGTATTAGTTGTAATGTTTCCTTTTTTGTCTCTGATTTTATTTGTTTGGGTCTTCTTTATTTTTATCTTAGTCTAGCTAAAGGTTTACCAATTTTGTCTTTTCAAGAAACCAACTTTTTGTTTTGTTGATCTTTTTTATTTTTTTAGTCTCATTTCATTTATTTCTGCTCTGATCTTTATTATTTCTTTCCTTTTACTAATTTTGGGTTTGGTTTGTTCTCTTCTAGTTGCTTGATGTGCATAGTTAGATTGTTTATTTGGAGTCTCTATTTTTTAAAAATGTGGATATTTACTGCTATAAAATTCCATGTTAGTACTACTTTTTCTGTATCCTATAGATTCTTGTATGTTTTGTTTCCATTTTTATTTTTTTCAAGAAATTTCTAAATTTCCTTCTTAATTTCTTCACTGACCAACCGGTTGTCTGGAAACATGTTGTTTAATTTCCATGTATTTGTACAGTTTTTAACATTCCTCATTTTATTGACTTATAGTTTTACTCTATTGTGGTCAGAAAAGATACTTGATATAATTTCCACTTTTTTGTATTTGTTGAGACTTGTTTCATGGTCCAACATATAGTCTGTCCTGGAGAATGTTCCATGTGCTGATGAAGAATGCGTATTCTGTAGCAGTTGGGTGAAATATTCTGTAAATGTCTGTTAGGTCCATTTGGTGTACAGTTTCACTCTGATGTTTCTTTGTTGATTTTCTGCCTGAATGATCTTTCCATTGTCAAAAGTAGGATGCTGAAATCCCCTCTTACTGCTGCATTGCAGTCTATCTCTCCCTTCAGATCTATTAATATTTGCTTTGTATATTTGGGTACTCTGGTGTTGGGTGTGTATATATTTACTATTGTTATATCCTCTAGCTGAATTGACCTCTTAATCATTATATAATAACCCTATTTATCTCTTTTTACAGTTTTTAATTTAAAGTCTATTTTAGCTCATATAGTTACTCCTGCTCTTTTTTGGTTTCCATTGCATGGGATATCATCTTTCTATCCCTTCACTTTCAGTCTATGTGTATCTTTACAGGTGAATTGAGTTTCTTGTAGACAGCATATTGTTGGGTCTTGTTTTTTAATCCATGCAGCTACTCTTTGTTTTTTTAATTGGAGAATTCAGTCCATTTACATTCAATGTTACTATTGATAGATAAGGCCTTACTGCCATACTGTTACTTGTTTACTAGCTGTAGGTAACTCCTCTCTTCCTTTCTTTGTCTTTCTTTGTGGTTAAGTGATTTTTCTCTGGTAGTATGTTTTGTTACTTTTTATTTTTAGTCTATCTGTTATAGGTTTTAGCTTTGTAGTTACCGTTAAGCTTACAAAACAAATCCTACAGTTATAACAGGTATTTAAAACTGATGCCAACTTAATTTTGATCATAAAAAAGCAAAGAAACAACCCAAACAGGTTAACTCCCTTCTTCCTCCACATTTACAGTTTTTGATGTCACCAATTACCCTTTTTTATTGCCTGTCTCTTAACAAATTATTTTCAAAATTATTTTAATAGTTTTGACTTTCAGTCTTTTGGCCAAAGATATAAGTGGTTTATCACAATTACAATATTACTATAATAATTACGTTAGAGTCCTTTTCTTTCAGTTTGAAGAATTTCCTTTAGCATTTTTTGTGGGACAGTTCTGGTTGCTATAAATATAAAGTCCGTCTGGGATAGTCTTTATCTCTCCATTTCTGAAGAACTTTTTTTGATACAGTATTCTTGGTTGGCCATTTTTTTCCTACAACACTCTGAATATTATCATCTCCCTCCTGGCCTGAAAAGTTTCTGCTGAGAAGTCTGATGCCAGGAGTATTGGATCTCCCTTATATGTTATTTGCCTCTTTTCTCTTGCTGCTTTTAGAATCCTCTCTTTGTCTTTCATTTTTGCAAGTTCGATGTAATATGTCTTGGGATATTCTTATTTGGGTTGAATCTGATTGGTGATCTTTGATCTTCCTGGCTTTGGTATTTGTATCTTTCTCCAGGGTTGGAAAGCTTTCTATTATTTCTCTGAAGAAGCTTTCTACCCCTTTGTCTTTCTCAGTTCCCTCTTTAACTCCAATAATGAATATTTTCTTTTTTGATGTTGTCTCATACATATTGTAAGCTTTTTTCATTATTTTTATTCCTTTTTTTTTCCTCTGTGTATATCCAAATAATCTGTCACTGATTACTTCTGCCATTGATGCTCTATATTGCATTTTTCATTTCATTCATTGTATTTTTCAGCTCCAGGATTTTTTGATTTTTAAAATTTTTTCAATGTCTCTATTAAATTTTTCTGATACATTTCTGAATTGATTTTCTGTTTTCTGGAATTTCATTGAGTCTCCTTAAAGCAGCTATTTTGAATTATTTGTATGAGAGATCACACATCTCTATCACTGTAGGGTTGGTCGCTGGCACCTTGTTTTACCTCATTTGTGAGGTCATATTTCCCTGAATGTTTTTGATGCCTGTAGAAGTACAACAATGTCTACATATTTAGGAATTAGGTATTTATTTTAGTCTTTGCATTCTGGCTTTGTTTGTGCCTGTCCTTCAGAGGGCCTTTCGGATTCTAAGCTGACTGACTGTTGTGTTCCCTGAGCCTGTGACCACTGCAGCCAGATATCTCAGCACTAGAGGACACTCCAAGCCCAGGCTTGCCGTGAGTTTCATGAGGACTCTGAGGTTGACATGGCTTTCCAGCCCAGATGGACCTAGAGAAGACCCCAGGCAGATACTGGACTGAGGGACCTGAGTCCAGAAAACTGTCCTTGTGGCCCAGACAAGTGTGTCTCCCAGCAGATCTCTGCATTTCTCAACTGCAGCAAGAGGAGATGGAGTTGAGACTGGACCACTTCAGGATCAGCTGTGAGAAGGAGCTGGTGGGCCTATCTCATTGTCTCAGATGAACATGCATCACCCAGCTGGTCCCTGTATGAGTGGGGTAGTTCCTAGACTGAAGCAGTAGGGGCTAGAGCTGAGACTGGGCCCCATGGAATGTGCTATGAGAGACTGGAGAGCCCAGTCTCAGCTCAGAGGGGTTTATATCACCCAGCAAGTTTCTGCACAAATAAGCTAGTTTCTTGTCTACAGCAGGAGGGGCTGGAGCTGAGTCTGGGTGTCCTTGGGATCTGTTGTGGGATGGAAGCTAAAGAGTCTGTCTTGTTGGGCCAGACAAGTACACATCTCCCAGCAGGTCTCAGCACAAATAGGATAGTTCCCTGGTTGCTGCAGAGGGCAGGGTGCAGCTGAGACTGAGTCCACTTGGGATCTGCTATGAGACAGAGGTTGGCAAGTGTGTTGGGGACATTCAGACTTCTGGGTTGTGAGATATGGGCAAGTCTCCTTCTGGGTCCTTGTATGAGCACCTCTGAACTGAGACATCAGCTGAGAAAGGCTGGAGCAGAGCCACAGGGCCACTTCCAGGTTCACTGCTGAGACTGATGTCAGTGGACAGACGAGTCTTTCTGCCAAGGCTCTAGTATGCGCAATTCCTTCTAGACTCCTTGGCAGATAGTTTCGGTTGCAAGCTCAAGGCCAAACAGGGCTGTAGCCAACGGCAGACCCCAAGGGGTCCCAGTCTCAGCTCTGGCCCCTCCTGCTGTAGCTGGGGAATGATCCTATCCATGCAGAAACTTTCTTGGCCATTTCCAGGCATGAACCTGGAAGCAAGCTCACCAGATCAACTGACCTGGGTGTTGGTCTGTACTTTCAAAACAACCCTCCTAGGTCTTGCGCCCTCTCAGGGTTTCACAAACTCCTATCTGAATCCTGAGGCTCCCACTGACAGACTTTTGACTGTAGATGGGTACAAAAATTCTTGTACCCATATTGTAGTTGGGGGATATGAGCAGGTTGCCTTCTATTTTGCCATCTTGGTGATGACACTCAGTAAATGCTTTCTTCATATTGACTTTCTGGTCCTGCTAATCTGTGAAATGGAGAGAGCCACTGTATCTCTTAGCTGTGTTAATCCAAATATCTGAGTGATCGTCCAAGACAAGGAAAGAATCTGACTACAAGGGCCCTGGAGGAAGACCCCTGGCCCCAGAATCATTTCTCTGCCTCCACCTCTCGATGGCCCTTCTAAGAGAAAAGATACATTTATGGAAGTACAGACTGATTCAGAAAGTGGGGGACATAGTGGAAGGGAGCTAACATCTGCTGAGTCCCCCGTGTGTCAGGTATGAAATGCAAACTCTCATTTTACCCTCACAGCAACTCAATGAAGGTGAGAATGTCTAGCTCCCTTTCCTAAGTACATGTACACAAACGTGGAGGCAATGCACAGTGTTGAGGTGTGCACTGCTTCCACGAAGTTGAGGAAGACCATTCTTGTTAATAATCAAGTACTTGCCCCATGTGACAAAATACATGCTTTCCTAAAGAAGTACATGAAGTTAAGTCACAGATGAAATCCTACTAATCTGCAGTTTGCATTTAAGCACTCAGTAATTCCAGGCATGGTGCTAAGCACTTTACCTAATCTCACTCAATCTTCACAACAAACTCTGCAAAACACATATATTATTATCCCCATTTTTCAGGTTAAGATATGGAGATTTGCCGAGGCTGAGTAATACAGTCAGGGTTGCACAACTACTAAGTGGCAGAGTCAGGATTTGAACTCATCTCTGCCTGACTTCCAAGGATCTCTGGGTCCTCAGACATAAGGAAAATCACAATGGAGAAAATACTTGTTATATATTGTAAGGAAAATATTATTTCCTAATAAAAATAAAAGGAGTCAAAATTACTGAAGTTGAACATCCCATCAAAGTTTCTCTGTCACCCTACAAGGTAGAGAGCAGTGGGAAAAAAAGGGACAGTCAGCTTTAAGTTTTGTTCCTTGATTTGCTGCCATGCTCCTTCAGGATAAGAACTCCTGTGGAATAGATCAGACTTGGATATGGAATTTAAATAGATAGTTCAAGTTTTTTTTCCCTCTAATTTCAGGCTTAGAATCTAGCAAAGTTAGAAGGGAAATCCTTCCACTGGGTATGTAAAATGTTAAACAAGCCCCTGAGAGTAGATGACTCTTTGCTTCTCTGACCTATACTAGAATAATATATAAAATGGAAACTGCAATAAATGAATAAAACCAAATGACACAGACACACATCTGCACACCCACTGTCTGTGTCCGAATGCTGATACACTGCAGGTACAGTACAGTGACAGGGTGTTCCTGGGAAGCCGATCAATGATTCCCTTCCACAGTTCAGGCTTTATTACAGGAGGTATTCATTAGCTAATTACAATTAGTCGAGTACCTTGGTGTGCCTTCTTCAAGAACTCCTTTAAATGCTCCTCTTTTATTCTATTTTCAAGTTCCAAAAGCAGATGCTTCTTTTATGGAAAAGCCTAATTGCTGTGGAATCTAATGCATGTCCTACTTCCATATCCAAATCTCCTCCTTCCTGTTTAATGGACAGCATTCTCATGACTCACCTTTGATTTATGGGCTGGAAGGCACCACACCTTTTTTCGGTCCTGCCTGCACATATTGTTAAGTGTGATCAACTCTGGAAAAAAGCATTCATGAGTTATGTCAATAATATGAGACACTAAAAGAGACTTGTCCTACAAACAAAACAGTAAATGACAAATCCAAGTTGTTTTAGTCCCATGTGCTTCTCTACCGCACCCTAGAGCCTATAATGATTCCGTTTTCTTCATATTTGTGGCACAAGGAATGCCTGAAAACTCATCCTTAGGTAACATGCGCCTCATTAGTATTTGTTCATTCTAACATTTTAAATTCTTTTGAATTGGCAAAAAGGAACAAAGAGAAGTGAAATTTAGATACCTAATAGATAGTGGAAAATAACAAAACAGCAGCCTATAAATCAATGGAATGTGGCGACTGTGTGTTCTGTGGTGGTGGTTCTTGTTCTGGATGGTATATATCTCTGAATAATTTCCCAGTATTCACCCAATTTGATGCTACTATGAAAAAATTATGTCTCTAAAATCCACATTCCAAATAACTCTTGTTGCAGATAATTCCCTTCTTCCCTTTTCCCATCCTAACAGAATACAATTTTGTTCAGAGGACGACGGAAAATATATCCCATTAAATACTTGCCTAACACACTGAGTGGCCTGTGACACAGGTCTGGTTAGTGATGCTGACAAAAGGCTTCTAGGTATTTATGTGAAAGCTCTTGTGTTTCTACTCAAGCACTGCTCCTTCCGCCTTGAGCGCTGATGTGAAGCCTAGAGCTGCGGCAGCCATCTTGCAACCGTGAGATGAGGAGCGTGAGAATTACAGCCTACAGCTAAGGGTGGCAGAGAAGAATGGCAGGAGCCTGGGTCCAGGATGGCACCACTGCCTCCTTTACTAGCTTCAGACTTCTTATTGCTTGAAATAAATGCCCATCACAATTGTTTAAGTCACTGCTGCTATGGTTCTTTGATGCTTGCAGGTAAAGGCTACAATAACTAATACAGGCTTACAGACACCTTAGCTTCTGTTTCTAAATTCCCAAATTAAAGCTATACATTTCTTTTAAATTCAGAAAGAAGCTAAGTAGCCGTGTTGCCCTTATTTGGGGTCTGGCATTGACACTCCACAACAGCCTCTTGCATTCATTACAATCAACTAGAGACAGACAAATACTGGAGTTAAATGGGGGAAAAAAAGAAATTATAAGCGTATAGGTAATTATGAATAGTTACTGGATCTCACAGTGAGGGACAACTATGTATAAAATCAATGGAATTATAACCTTTAGATGGGCAAAAACCAAGTCTGATGAGACCAAGTATTGCCAAGGTTGTGGGGAAATAAGATCTCTCACATACTGCTTGTGAAGTGGGTGGACTGGGCAACTACTTCAGAGGACAGTGTTTCCACATCTAGTAAACATACCTTCTGCTCCAGAAATCCTTGCACATGTGCACAAGGGCTATGCACAAGAATGTTTACTGTAGCACCATCTTGTAGCAGTGAAGCCCTAGACATAGTCTAGACGTCCATCAATAGGGTGATGGATAAAAACATTGTGATACAGTCTTAACATATAAAAACTAAAAAGCAAAACTCAGATCTCCACATCAACAGGGACGGATTTAGTAGCATGCTGAAGCTAGCTCATGAGAACTAAATGCTAACATTTCAGTTTTGTGAGCTGGCTGATGTTACTTCTATAGCTTGGTATAAGCTATGTTAAGAGTATTTACAACATGGAAATTAGCAAAAGCTACATATCATTCCCTCCCCACAAAAGCTGGTTGTTAAACATTTACTAGCACGTCACTGGACAGACTTCAAAAAAACAGTTAAAGACATGTTTCAGGGGAGAGGAAAGTTTCAGTGATGCAAGATGAATTAGTTGAAGAGATCTACATAGCATCGTATTAATACACAGTCAACAGTGCTGTATTATACACTTTAAAATTTATTAAAGATGAGAGTTTGTGTTAAATGTTTTCACCATACATGCACATATCCCAAAATAAAGGGACACAAGGAAACTTTTGGAGCTTATAGTTATGTCTGTTAACTTGACTGTGGTGATGGCTCCATGGATGTAGGCATATGTCCAAACTCATCCAACTGTATGCATTAAATATGTGCAGTTTATTGTGTGCCAGTTATATACCTCAATAAAGCTCTTTTTAGAAAAAAGGCAAGTTGCAGGATGAAAACAGTATGATAGCACATACCTAAAGTTTAAAGAACATGTTGAGACATGTAATATTTGTAATACTAATAAGATATAGTCTAGAAGGACAGATACCAACTTGTGATAATCATTATCTCTGGAGAGGGGCCACGTAATAGGTGTGGTAAAGGGGAAAAGGGGGCTTAGGTTTTTTAATCTGTTATGTTCTATTTACTTAAAAATATTTGAAGCCAAAACAATGCACTAATGTTGTTCATTTCTGGGTGGTAAATATAAAATGCTTACTCTCCTCTTTGTCTATTATTTAAATTTCAAAATAAAAGAGGCAAAATGAAATGAGAGTCAAAGAAAATTTGCTCATCACTTTTCATTGCCTGTTGATGAGAGTCTGCAGGAATCCCACTGCTGGTAGAGACGTAAAATGATGCAGCCACTGTAAAAGCTAGTTTTGTGGTTCCTCAAAAAATCAACATAGAATTACCATATGACCCACCCATTCCATTCTTAGTCATATACCCAAGAGATTGAAGAGCATATGTTCAAACAAAGTGTTTGTTTGAACACACACCTGTGTTGTACACAGTTGTTCATGGTATTATTTGTAGTGTTGTTTATAATAGTAAAAAGGTGGGAACAACCCAAATGTCCCTCAACTGCTGGGGAATGGATAAAGAAAATGTGGTTCACAACTACTAGGTTGGGAAGAATGAAAATATAACAAGTGTTGAGGATGTGGAAATATTGGAACGCTGCTACATTACTGTTGGAAATGAACAATAGTACAGCCACTCTGGAAAATACTCTGACGGTTCCTCAAAAAGTTAGACATAAAGCAACCATATGACCCAGAAATTTCACCCCTTAGTGTAACTTAAGAGAAATATGCATAGTCAAAAAAACTCTGTACACATGTTCCTCAACTTATGATGAGGTTACAACCTGATGATAAACCCATTGTAAGCTGAAAATCTCATAAGTTGAAAATGCATAATACACCTAACCTACCAAACATCATAGCTTAACCTAACATAACTTAAACATGCTCAGAACACTTATATTAGCCTACTGTTAGGCAAAATCATCTAACACAAGCTTGTCCAACCCATGGCCTGAGGGCTGCATGCAGCCCAGGAACAGCTTTGAATGCAGCTCAACACAAAGTTGTAAATTTTGTTAAAACATTATGAGACTTTTTTGTGATTTTTTTTTTAGCTCATCAGCCATCATTAGTGTTAGTGTATTTTATATGTGGCCCAAGACAATTCTTCTTCTTCCAATGTGGCCCAGGGAAGCCAGAAGATTAGACACCCCTGGTCTAAGACAAAGCCTATTTTATAGTAAAGTATTGAATATCTCATGTAATTTATTGACTATTGTTCTGAAAGTGAAAAGCAGAATGGTCATATGGGTACTCGAAGTATGGTTTCTACTGAATGCATATCATTTTTACACCACTATAAAGTTGAAAAATCATAAGTTAAGCCATCATAAGTCAGGGACTGTCTGTACATGAATATTAATAGCAGCATTATTCTTTACAGCCAAAATGTGGAAGCAATCTGAATGTGCGTGAATTGAATGAATCAATGAAATGTGGTGTAACATTCGAATGCATTATACAACCATCGTTAGGGCTGAATAATGTACAACAGAATATTATTCAGCCATTAAAGGAATGAAGGACTGATTCATGCTACAACATGGGTGGACTTTGAAAACCTTATTCCAAGTGAAAGAAGCCAGTAACAAAAGATCACATGTTGTATTCATTAGTTTATATGAAATATCCAGAATAGGCAAATCGAGACAGCCAAAAAGCAGATTAATGGTTGTCAGGGGCTGGGAGGACAGGGGATGGGGAGTGACTACTTAACTGGTACAGAATTTCCTGTTCTGGAATTAGGTAGTGATGGTGGTTACACAATATTGTGAATGTACCAAAAGTCATGAATTGTATGCTTTTAAATGGCTAAAATGATGAATTTTATGTTATATAAATTTTACCTCAATAAAAAAAGTTATTTAACTATGACATATTAAATGATACTGATTCTAGAGAGACTGCATTGTAAGAAAAGATGTGTCTCAGGGTTGATAAAATGTTATATATTTGATGACACAGAAATCTGGAGCTTCTGGCCAGGCACGGTGGCTCATGCCTATAATCCCAGCACTTTGGGAGGCCAAGGTGGGTGGATCACTTGAGGTCAGGAGTTTGAGACCAGCCTGGCCAACATGGTGAAACCGTGTCTCTACTAAAAATACAAAACTTAGCAAAAATAAAAATAAAAAATAAAAAATTTGGGTGTGGTGGTGGGTGCTCTAATCCTAGCTACTTGGGAGGCTGAGGCAGGAGAATTGCTTGAACCCAGGAGGTGGAGGTTGCAGTGAACCAAGATCATGCCACTGCACTCCAACCTGGGCAACAGAGAGAGACTTAGTCTCAAAAAAAAAAAAAAAAACAAACAAACAAACAAAAAAACAAATTTGAAGCTTCTGTACAAACAGCATTGTATCAATTAGGAAATGAGTTTGCTGCATTTAACAGAAATACCCATATCAACAGTGATTTAAACAAGTTAGAAGTTTTTGTTTCACAGGAGAAGTCCTGGTGTGGATAATCTGGGGCCCATGAACTCTCTCCATGGTTTGTACAGGGACCAGATTCCTATATGTCCTATATTCAATATTTAGCTTCCATCCTCAGTGTTACTTTGTGTTCCAAGATGGCTGTAGAAGTACGAGCCAGCATTTCCCATTCCAGGCATGCAGCAGGAAGGGGGAAAGGACAAAAATGCCTTCCTCTCGGCTAAGTCAGTCTCTCTGAGCAGAAATAAAGACATGGTTAAATAAATACATACATCCAGAAAGTGGGGAAAGCTTTATGAAAGCAGGATCCCCGTCTGTTTTATCAGTGCATTCCTAGGACTTACCACAAGGCAGAGCACATTGAAGGTGCTAAAAAAAAATGTGTGAAATGAATGGATACCTTCATGGATATGGATAAATGCATCATATAACCATTTACATCTTTACAAAAATAATCAACAGGGAAATGCTTATTATAGTGAAAGCAGAATATTACACTATATTTAGTGTAATCCCAATTTTACTGAAAAAGTATACATATGCCTAGAAAAAGAGATTAGAAAGAAAGATACTAATGGATCAAGCGATTTTTCAAATATATAGTGAAATTGCTCTGATATTTTATTTCTTCATACTTTTACACATTTTTCAAATTTCTGCAATGAGCCACAGTATTACTTTTTCTAATTAGAAAACAAATCAATAATCTTACAACTCATCTAGAAGAGGACTACATCAGTCTAAGTATTAAAAACAGGTAGCTAAGCGAATTAACACAGAAACAGAAAAACACAATATAGCACATTCTCACTTATAAATGGGAGCTAAACCCTGGGTACACATGGACATAAAGATGGGAACAATAGACACTGAGGACTCCAAAAGGAGGGAGGGAGGGAGGGGGGCAAGGGCTGAAAATCCTTCCTGTCGGGTACTATGTTCACTGTCTGCTTGACAGGATCTATAGAAGCCAAAACCTCAGGATCACACAAGATACCCTTGTAGCAAACCTGCCCATGCACCCCTGAATCTAAAATAAAAAATAAAAAACAGGTAGCAAGGCCTGGCGTGGTGGCTCATGCCTATAATCCCAGCACTTTTGGAGGCCAAGGCAGGAGGACTGCATGAGGCCAGGAGTTTGAGACCGGGTTAGACAATGTAGTGAGACCTGTCTCCACAAAGAAAAAATTTTAAACGCCAGAAAGAATGTTCCCACCCACCTCCAAAAAGTGCTCCCCTCACCCCCGAAAAATAAGATGGCTGGATGCAGTGACATGTACCTGTAGTCCTAGCTACTCAGAGGCTGAGGTGGGAGGATCCCTTCAGCCCAGGAGTTGGAGGCTGCAGTGAGCCATGATCGCACCACTGCACTCCAGCCTGGGTGACAAAGCAAAACCCTGTGGCAAAAAAAAAAGAATAAAATATAAATGTAAAAACAACAGGTAGTGAACCTCTCCACCAAAGAGAGTAGCCAACAGCCCCATCCAGCAGCTTCGCTTTATTATTTTTGGAGAAGGAGGATGCTGATATCTACAGTGACACCATGTGGAGTCATACCTATCTCTGCATTTCAAGGTAGCAAACTGTTTGTCTACTTAATAGTACAACTTTTTTTTTCAGCCTAACAGTTGCGCATACATACTCATTCTTTAAATGTGAAGGCAATTTTAAGGCACACAGGGAAAGTTATCCATTTATCAACGCAAACTGATCATCTGTTTTCAGATCAAGATAACTTGCAAGTGACTGCACTGAACTCGGCCCTTCTCAGCACAATGCATACCCACTACCACCTTGGAATTGTCTGTTTTCCCACTGTCATGAGCTAAACTGTGTCCTCCGCACCACCAACACTTCAAACGTTGACATTTTAAACCTCAGAATCTCAGAATGTGACTGTACTTGGAGATGGAGTCTTTAAGTAGGAAGTAAATTAAAGTGAGATCATGAGGGTAGGCCCTTATCCAACATGATCAGTGTCCTTATAAAAAGAGATTAGGACACAGACACACACAGAAGGAAGACCAACTAAAAACACACAGAGAAGACGGCCATCTACAAGCCAAGGAGAGAGGCTCGGAAGACACGATCCCTGGCCACATCTTGATCTCCGAATCTCCGTGGTTGAAGCCACCCAGCCTGTGGTACTGTGTTATGGCAGCCTGAGCCAATGAACACACTCAGCCATCCTGTTAATTAGATGTTTGGTGACAGTGAGGGTTAATTTGATGTGTCAACTTAGCTAGGCTGTGATGCTCAGTTTTGGTTAAACACCAGTCTAGATGTTGCTATAAAGATATATTTTAGGTGTGATTAATACTGAAATATTTAAATCAGTAGACTTTGAGTAAAACAGATTTCCCTTCATAATGTGGATGGGTCTCATCTAGTCGGTTGAAGGTCTTAAGAAAAATGACTGAGGTCCCTGAAGAAGAAGGAACTCTGCCTTCAGACTCGACTACAATATCAACTCCTCCCAGAATTTCTAGCCCGCTAGCCAGCCCCAACCTACCAACCCCCACAATCAAGAGCCAGTTCCTTAAAATAAATCTCTCTATATATGTGTATATATATATTTCTATATATACACACACATATGTATATATTTATACACATACCTATCTGCATACATGCATGTATACACATAGGTATATCTATATACACACGTACACATATATATGTGTATAAATATATATATATATATATACACATATAATTATGTATGTCCGATTCTGTTTCTCAGGAGAACCCCAACACAGTGACTAAGGACTGATGTTTCATATACCTAACTCTGTGCTCTTGCTTGTTTTATTTAAAATATTTTAAAATATTTTAATATATTTTAAAAGCATGAGAGAGAAATTTTTCAGACCATATTTCTCATACTTTTCAAATATAAAATACATTTACTTATTTCCAGATTTGTGGATGAAAGAACTGGTCAAATACTTGCATCCAAGCAAACTAGTTCATCGTCGTGTTGTTCTCTCTCATGTTTTAACGATGACCTCGAGCACTGCGAGAGGATGTTACCAGATGAGAGCCAGGGAGAAGGCAGAGAGATCATCCACAGGCCTTACGGTTACACCCATAGTGTGCTGGCAGCCAGTGAATTCCACGAGAATGAACCATCAGGGTTATAATTTTCAGCTTTGTTGTGAGCATCCTGCCTTTGCCTTTTGATCCTGCCTAATCTTGTTCTCCCCTGCACATTTGCTGCCTCATTTCTTCCTTCAGAAATGGCAAGTTTTCTTTCTGCTAAGTACATAAACAGCTTCTAATCAGCAAACAATCGGCTGTAGATGTAGAGGGTTTGGCCAGGAGGAGAAACAGAGATGTGAGAAACAGATGAGAGCAGTGGGCAAGCCTGGGGAACGCCCATGGGCACAGAGCCCCTGGAGGGCAGGGCATGCGGGGGTGGAGAGGATGAGGAATGTGCCCCACTCGCACCTGTGACCAGGGACACAGACGTGTGAGCCTCGCTGACAGAAGACAGCTGTGGGACCCAAGGGATCAAGAGCTTCACCCAGCTAACAGAACTACACATACTTGCAAATTTCTAATTTTGAAGAGGCTTCCCATGAAGGTGAGGGAATTTAGAGAAAAACGAAGGGCAGGGTGGCCCTGGGGAAGACTCATTGCCTGGGATGGTGCCAACAAGGGGCTGGGCTTTGAAACAGTGAGAGATGACGTGTGGCCGGGTGCCGTGGTGCATGCCTGTAATCCCAGCACTTTGGGAAGCTGAAGCGGGAAAATCACTTGAGCCCAGGAGTTCAAGACCAGCCTTGGCAATAAAATGAGACCCCACCTCTACAAAAATTTTTTTAAAATTAGGCATGGTGGCACCCACCTGTAGTCCCAGCTAACTGGGAGGATGAGGTGGGAAGATCACTTGAGCTCCAGAACTTCAGACTGCAGTGAGCTATGATTGCACCACTGCACTCCAGCACGGGTGACAGAGCCAGACCCTGTCTCTTAAAAAAACAAATGAACAAATAAACCAAAAAAAAAGGATATGAGGCAGCCCAGCAGCCCGCATGGCAGAAGATACCAAGACCATTTGGGAAGTCTTACTCACCATAACACACTAAGAAGCAGTATTGTCCAATAGAACCTTCCGGAGTGATGGAAATATTTTATATCTGCACTACCCAATACGGTAGCCTCCAGGCATATGTCACTACTGAGCACTCAAAACATTGCTAGTGCAACTGAGCAACTGGCTTTTACATTTTACTTGATTTTAATTAGAATTTAAATGGCCACATGTGGCTGGTGGCTGCCATATTGAACAGCACAGCCATCAGGTCTTCCTAACACACTGATTGATGTGTCTCCCAACGTAGTTTGGGGAAGGAGTGCTATGAATAAATGAGCGCACAATCCTCTTGCTACTGAATGCTCCACATTTGAATTATTAGCAATCTAAAGGGTTGGCTGGAGCCAGTGAGAATGAAGACACCTCCTTTTTTTTAGGGTCTTTAGGAGACCCTAAAAGCCTGGTGGAGGAGCTTAGCCACCAGCATTACCTGATCTGGTAAGCAGTGAATCAGAATGTCCTTGGCAGGAAACACTATCATTTGGGTGCATAATTAACCCCAGTCTGGTCGTCAGTTATAACCTTAGAAACAAGAGCTAAAACTTCACACCCTTGGTCTGTTTCCAAATGTGGGACTATTGTTTTTAGGTACTTCAATGTTTAGTAGATTTAGAAGAAAATCCCTCCAGCTGTAAGGGAGCTTTATAAATAGGAGAAAATAACATTTGTCATATTTGCCTTGGGAGATTTGGGCTCAGCCACGGACTCAGAAGCTCTGGGCAACACCTCTGCGTCCCCTCCCCTCACCTGTTCCATCTGTACAGCTGAGAAAGAAAGGCTTTCTCAGGGTTTCTTTAAGGAAGAAGATTAGAACCATTATAAAGCATTTTAACAAATGCAAAGTACCCTTCTATATAAATTATAACATGTTTTTACTTACTTGATTTCTTCTTTTGGGGGGAAATGAAGCATTGCTTTTGAGTATAATATGGAAGAAGTTTAATAGCACAATTACAGCCGAGTCTTCAAAGTAGAGAAAGAGGCCGAGACCGCCTGTGTGTCCAACCGAGCGCACGTGCACCAGCGGGGCCCGAGCAGAGGCAGCACCCGGCTCTTGTGGGGGAAATGGAGGGAGAGCCACGGTTTAGAGATAGGGAAAGCTGTGGGGCACATTATGCCCTGGGAGGAGAAAGCACAAAACCAGAGGCTCTGAGGGACAAAGAGGAAGGAGGGCAGAGCATGAGGCAGAGCAACCCAACAGCCATGGAGGCTGAAGAGACGATGCAACACCTACAGGAGTTCCGTGAACGTCATAACAAGATCCTCGACCAACTGAATGAACAGTGAGGGCAGGACCGCTTTACTGACATCACCCTGATTGTGGACGGACACCATCTGAAGGCTCACAAGGCCGTTTTGGCTGCTTGCAGTAAGTTCCACAATTCTTTTTTTTTTTTTTTTTTTTGAGATGAAGTCACACTTTGTCACCCAGGCTGAAGTGCAGTGACCCGATCCTGGCTCACTGCAACCTCCACCTCCCGGGTTCAAGCGATTCTCCTGCCTCAGCCTCCCAAGTAGCTGGGACTACAGGCACCCGCCATCACATCTGGCTAATTTTTGTATTTTTAGTGGAGACAGGGTTTTGCCAAGTTGGCGAGGCTGGTCCCAAACTCCTGATCTCAGGTGATCCGCCTGCCTCAGCCACCCAAAACGCTTACAGAGATTACTGTAATCCTTCCCAAAGGGATTACAGGGGTGAGCCACTGGGCCCGGCCGCCTTCTACAAATTCTTTCCAGAGTTTACCCAAGAACCTTTGGTGGAGATAGAAGGTATTAGTAAAATGGCCTTTTGCCATTCAATTGAGTTCACATGTACAGCAAAATTAATGATACAAGGAGAAGCAGCCAGCGATGTATGGAAAGCAGCAGAACATCTACAAATGCTAGAAGCCATCAAAGCCCTTGAAGTTAGGAACAAAGAAAACTCAACTTCAGGCCAGGTGCAGTGGCTCACGCCTGTAATTCCAGCACTCTGGGAGGCCGAGGCGGGCGGATCACCGGAGGTCAGGAGTTCAAGACCGGCCTGGCCAACGTGGCGAAACCCTGTCTCTACTAAAAAATACAAAATTTAGCCGGGCGTGGGGCACCTGTAGTCCCAGCTACTCAGGAGGCTGAGGCAGGAGAATTGCTTGAATGCAGGAGGCGGAGGTTGCAATGAGCCAAGATCGCACCACTGCACTCCAGTCTGGGCAACAAAGCAAGACTCCATCTCAAAACAAAACAAAACTCAACTTCATTAAAGGAAAATACCACAGGAAAAAGTGAGGCCAAAAAAAGTAAAATTGCAGAAACTTCACGTTATCGCTGAGTCACTGCTATCTGCAGAGTCAGACTCTGTTGAAACTGAGGTAGAGAATGCCGAAGACACGACTGAAGCAGAAGATGAAGGCATGGAAACATTCGAGGAAGGGCTTCTGCCCAGCAGTCCATAAAGTACATACAGAGCACAGGTTCCTCTGATGATTCTGCTCCAGCACTGTTGCCAGATATCACCAGCAAGTACTGATACCAGAGTGGGGCAGGGAAATGCTGGATAGAGAAAGGCGGGGTCCCTGGTGAGGGCTCCCCCCTTGGGCCCGTGCTCACGGGCCTACGTGAGGACAGGCACTCCTGTTTTCGCGCCCAAATGTTGCATTTTCCAAGACCACCCTGGCCCACCACACCCCCCATCCTGGGCCTATAAAAACCCCCCGACCCTAGCGGCATAGACACAAGCAGTGGGATGTCTAGAGGAACACAGCGGCAGAAGGGCACACAGGCGGCTAGGCATCGAGAGGAGCAGGGGAATGGAAGAGCACAGGAACAGGCACCTGCACACGCTGGCAGGCCATCAACTGGCAGAACAACGCGGATGCCCAGGGGAATTTGGCAGGGGTGGTAGGAGGACAGTCTGGCCACTGAACAGCCCGACTCCAAGGGAAAACCCCCTTCCCACTCTATCCCTCTTTTGGCTCCCCATCCATCTGCTGAGAGCTACTTCCACCATTCAATAAAACCCTGCACTCATTCCCCAAGCCCACATGTGATCCGATTTTTCCGGCACACTAGGGCAAGAACCCTGGGATACAGAAAGCCCTCTGTCCTTGTGATAAGGCAGAGGGTCTAAGTGAGCTGATTGACACAAGCCGCCTACAGACAGCAAAATTAAAAGAGCACCTGTAACACACGCCCACTGGGGCTTCAGGAGCTGGAAACATTTCCCCCAAGACACTGCCGTGGGGTTGGAGCCCACGACCACAACCTGCCCCCCTAGATGTTTGAGCAGCAGCACCGAAGAAGCTAGCCACGCCCCCATCACACACCCTGTGAGGGGGATAAGGGAGCTTTTCCTGTTTCAGTACCACCAAGGTGACAGAAAAGGGCAGATTAAAGAGGAAGACAGCTGTGCAATCTGACCCCACAAGCAAACAGGAACACATGAAATCACACTTCACTGAGTTTCAACTGTGAAATATGCAACAAAAGGTATCTTCAGGAGAGCGCATGGAAACAGCACCTGAATTGTTACCACCTTGAAGAAGGTGGAGGCAGTAAGAAGCAAAGAGGCCGGGCGCGGTGGCTCACGCCTGTAATCCCAGCACTTTGGGAGG
This sequence comes from Homo sapiens, assembly GCF_000001405.40. NCBI lineage: Eukaryota > Metazoa > Chordata > Mammalia > Primates > Hominidae > Homo > Homo sapiens. Next base: position 130,841,338 of record NC_000007.14, on the reverse strand, counting down.
CTGAGACGGGCGGATCACGAGGTCAGGAGATCGAGACCATCCTGGCTAACACGGTGAAACCCCGTCTCTACTAAAAACACAAAAAATTAGCCAGGCGTGGTGGCGGGCGCCTGTAGTCCCAGCTACTCGGGAGGCGGAGGCAGGAGAATGGCGTGAACCCGGGAGGCGGAGCTTGCAGTGAGCCGAGATCACGCCACTGCACTCCAGCCTGGGCGACAGAGCGATACTCCGTCTCAAAAAAAAAAAAAAAAAAGCAAAGAACTGGTGGAAAAATTCATGTATGTCAGTACTGTGAGAAACAGTGTGACCATTCTGGACATTTTAAAGAACAGGTGAAAAACCTTTTGAATATCCAAATTGTCATGAACAATTTGCTAGAAATAGCCCCCTCAAATGTCACCTCACTGCATGCCAAATGAGTAGGGGCAAAAAAAGGAAGAAAGAAGCTCATGAGTGCCAGGTCTGCAACAGTGTGTTTAACAGCTAGAACCAGTTCAAATATCACTCAGTAATACATACTAGAGGTAAACCCAACCATTGTACTTTATGTGACTTGTGGTTTATGCAAGGAAATGAATTAAGGAGGCATCTCAGTGATACAATATATCAAAGCGTCTAGTAATGGGAGAAGTTCTTTCAGCAGAAACACAGGTACAAGCTGAACCTGTGACATCAATGATATTATAGAACAAGCTGGGAGGTACACGTGCTCCCACTGTTTCAGGTCCAGGTGGATTCAGCACAAGCGATCGTGGAACACGTCCACCCAGAACCACGCAGGGATAGCCAGGTGCCCGACACACAGGAGTGAGCTTCCAGAGCAGGTCCAAGTGAGTTACCTAGCAGTGGGCTGAATTCAGCCTGAAGAAGGTACTGAAGTACACGGAGAGGAGCCGCATGTGGAACGGGAAAATCAGATGCCAGTGGAAGTACAAAGTGAACTTCCAGAAGCAGGCTTCGTCCACATGACCCCAGAAATCATGACCCAAGAGAAGACAGAGCCTAGCCAAGCAGATGCTGAGGCTGCCAGGGAAGATCACGAAGATGCTGAGGATTAGAGACCGTGCTGACAGCACATTCTGAAGCTGAAAAGGCAGAGAATGAGGGCAGAACAGCTATGCCAGTTTTAGAATGAAATTACACATGAATATATTTTAAAATATAATTGTTGGGTTTCTGAACCGATTATAGGCAGTATGACTGTCGTTCAGCTAACAGACAAGTGGACCAAAGTTAAGCTATTTCCTGTTGTTTCTGTTTCTGTTGGAACAAGTCAATTCCCCTCCCCAAACTTAATGCCACAGCAGAGGGATCTTTCCCATAACTGAAGAGATCTTTTCTGTAACTTAAATGGATTATATTCTTATCATATAGTGGGGTACGAATGTATCTATGTTCATTGTGGTAAAAGTTCTCCCTTTTCTCTTTCCCAGGTCATGTTCTTCCTCAAATTTTTTCCATATTGTGAAATCAAACTTAAATCATTAGAATACAAGTTTATGTATTCTAATGCATAGTAGAAAATCAAATATATAGGAAACACAAGGCTGCATGATGAAAAGTACATTGTTACTGTGCAGCTGAATTTTGGCTTCTGGCTTTCTTTAGTCTGAACAAATGTTCTTGTCTAGCCCTGTAGTCACCGATGCTGTCTCTGCAACACAAAGAGTGGTGGTGGGAAAATTTTTAGAATATTAAAACACACACACACACGTGCCTTTTCAAAACCGACTAAACTCCTATAAAGCATCTCTGGTTCTTTCAAAGTTTGTATTGTAAGGAGCAATGTAGACAATGCTATGATACTTTATATTTTTACTTATAATGACAACCACCAGTTCTTTTCACTTAAGTTAGGTTGAGAAATTTTATTTAGTGGCAGCTGAAGGGCAATTTTCAATTGGGAAAATTCATTTACATCTGTGGTCAACTTTCTTTTGATGAAAAGTTGCACTAGTATTTTACCACCAGATAAAAAAAAAGATGAGCATTGTTTAAAAATTAATGTATTTAAAATAAAGTACAGAGAAAAACATGTCTATAATTATCAGGCTTTGTTTTGAATGGAATCTTTTCCCCCAGTCCTTAATGTAAAGACCCTGTGCTATAACTTTTAAAGCCATACAAATAAGAGTGCTAAACTGTGGACTTAAAAGTAGGTGTATAAATATTTTTAATCAATATTACTTAGAAAATAAAATCTAACAAACACATTTTAAAAAATAGAGTAAGAAACTTCACAAGATGATCTCAAGGTAAGAAACATACTATTGGTTTCACATGTCAGCTTTTAAGAGATTTGTTACAGACTGAAAGGGGAGTGAGTGGTTGCAGCAGACACTGTGACCAGCTTTCAAATAATGATCGTGCCTTGAGTCATTTCTGAGAAATGGGTAAACAAATTCTTTCACTTTTACTGCTGGATTATGTTGCTCAAACTCATCTGCTTTGTACCCATTTGAAAGCTCCATCACACATTATTTTGGAAATGGTCATCCTGAGTCAGACTGAGTAATCCCAGTTAATGAGTTTGGTTTCCCTCTCATCTGGTTTTTACTCAATCTTCTGTATTTATCCCATTTTTTTTTCTTTCCTCAGAGATGCCAGACCACATCATCCTAAACACTAACGAGCAAGAAGGAAATTTCCATGTTAGCGGAGGGACCCCACTAAGGTTAGGGTGCCGTACAATGTGTTGTCCAAACCAAGACATGTTAGAGAATGAAAGGGGGACCATTTTAATAATTATGCTGGGGCAGTAAGTATAAACTGAATACCCTAACTAAAGAAATAAACAAAAAACATATGTAAAGGTGGTCAACTTCATTAGTTATCAAAGCAACAACAAAATGAGACCATCATACACCCACCAGATTGGCAAAAATTAAAAAGTACAACAGGCCGGGCGCAGTGGCTCACGCCTGTAATCCCAGCATTTTGGGAGGCCGAGGTGGGCAGATCACGAGGTCAGGAGATTGAGACCATCCTGGCTAACACGGTGAAACCCTGTCTCTACTAAAAATACAAAAAAAAAAAAATTAGCTGGGCGAGTTGGCAGATGCCTGTAGTCCCAGCTACTCGGGAGGTTGAGGCAGGAGAATGGCGTGAACCCGGGAGGTGGAGCTTGCAGTGAGCTGAGATCGCGCCACTACACTCCAGCCTGGGCGACAGAGCAAGACTCCGTCTCAAAACAAAAAAAAAATGTACAACAATACCAAGCACTGGTAAACATATGGAGCAGCTGGAACTCACAGTGTTGGGAGCGCATTTTAAATCATTTTTGAAAACAATGTCACATGATCTAGCAGAGACGAACATGCATGCATCCTACGATTCAGCAACTTCACACCCATGAGACAGGTACTAGGATATTTACAGAAGCATTGTTTCCAAAAGCCTAAAACTGAAAACAACACAAATATACCTTAACATTAACATTGATACATGTATTATTTATCAAAAATAACTGACTGATTACTTGATTGAGTGGGTCTCACTATATTGCCTAGGCTGGTCTTGAACTCCTGGGCTCAAGCAATCCTCCCGCCTCAGTCTCCTGAGTAGCTGGGATTACAGGTGCATGCCTGGCAAAATAGATACATTAAAAAATAGCTACATTCATCTATATAGATAAACCTTATAAACACTGCATTCATTCAAAGAAACAAATTAAAATACTGACACTTATATAAGTCCAAAATAGCTCAAACTGAACAAAAAAATACATGCTTTGGTGGTAAAACTGTAACTAAAAGCATTGCTCTTATTAACCCCAAAGTTAGGATGGTGGTGAGCTCCTTGACAGAGGGAAGGGCACATTAAGGAGAGGCTTCTAAGACCTTGGAATTATTTTATTTATTAACCTGGATGATGGTTACATAGAATTTATCTCTCATGTAGAAAAACATTGTATAAACAGAATAATATAAGAAGTGTGATGGAGGCCCCAGAGCAGTGGTTCACGCCTGTAATCCCAACACTTTGGGAAGCCAAGGTGGGCGGATCACTTGAGCCCAGGAGTTCAAGACCAGCCTGACCACCATGGCAAAACCCTGTCTCTACAGAAAATACAAAAATTAGCTGGGTGTGGTGGCATGCGCCTGTAGTCCCAGCTACCTGGGAGGCTGAGACATGAGAATTGCTTGAACCCAGGAGTTCCAAGCTGCAGTGAGCCGAGATCACGCCACTGCACCCCAGTCTGGGCAACAGAGTGAGACCCTTTCTCAAAAAAAAATTTTTTTTTAAGTGTAAAATCTGTGATAGCCATTAGAGCTGGTTATCTTCTGGGCAGCTATATGATTATTTCTTGTGGCCCTCTGTGGCTGGGTAGGGCCATGTAACTAGTCTGGCCAATAACTTGCGATCAGAGGTGATGTGTGTTAGCTGGGCACGGTGGCTCATGCCTATAATCCCAGCACTTTGGGAGGCCAAGGCAGGTGGATCATTTGAGGCTAAGAGTTGGAGACCAGTCTGGCCAACAAGGCAAAACCCCCTCTCTACTAAAAATACAAAAATTAGCCAGGTGTGGTGGCGGGCACCAATAATCCCAGTTACACAGGAGGCTGAGGCAGGAGAATCGCTTGAGCCCAGGAGGAGGTTGCAGTGAGCCGAGATCGCACCACTGCACTCCAGCCTGGGCGACAGAGACAAAAAAAAAAAAGAAAGAAAAGAAAAGAAATGATGCATGTCATTTCCAAGCCAAGCATTTGGTTGCCTTTGCTGCGCCCTCCAGAGCCTTCTTTTCCCCTGACATGGTGACTGGCATTGTTCCAGATAGCAGCTGTTCCCTCAGCCCACAGTGAGGACAGCATGGATTGGGGTCCTCAGCCAACCTGCAACCTGCAATGTACAGTGAGCAAGAAGTAAACCTTTGTTGTTTTAAGCCACTGCAATCTGTTACCACAGCATTACCCTGCCTTTCCTGATGATAAGGAGAATGTCAGGAAGAGGTGGGTTCAGGGAAGGCAGGCAACATTTAAGATGAGACTTGGTTAAAGAAAAAAGGAGTTAATCACGGGAAGAGTTGAAGAAAGAGTATTTCCGACAGAAGAAACTGCTGAATACTAAGACCCTGCAGTGGGAATGAATTTTGAGGGACAAAAAGAATGCCAGTGAAGAGAGTAGTAAGAAAAGAAGAGAAAAATAAAACATGTGATCAGAGAGGTTGGCAGGGACCACAGCAAGTACACACTGTAGACTGTGGTGAAGAATCTGGAGTTTACTCCTAGGCAGCCACTGGTGGGTTCAGTTCAGAGGATGATGTGATACAGATCACATTTTAAAGGTGGGTAATTCTTGCTTGGAGGATGTGTTGGGGAGGCCAAGCATGGAACCATGGAGCCCACTTAGAAAGCGGGTACTGGTGAGAGATGATGGTGCCTTGAACTTCAGTGGTAGCAGGCAAAAAATAAGTAAAATTTGGGGAATGTGTTTTGCAGGTGCACCTGGCAGAAGGCAATTGAGGGATCACAGGTGACCCTTATGTCTCTCAGTTGAGCTACTATTTGATGAGGCTGTTTACTGAAATGGGGGCAAATGAGAACAGGCTTGCAGAGAGGGAAGGAAGTTAATTTTTGCTGTCTTAGCTTTCAAATCCATTTGACATCCACGTGCATATGTTAGATGAACTACTAGAGAGGCAACCCCATTTCTCAAGGGAATGCCCAGAGCTAAAAATGTCTACATTTGGGAGTCACTAGCATATAAGTGATATTTAAGTCGAGGGACCAGATTAGATCATCTAGAGAGGGAATTTATTTATTTATTTATTTATTTATTTATTTTTCTTGAGAGGGAGTTTCGCTCTGTCACCCAGGCTGGAGTGCAGTGGCGCGATCTTGGCTCACTGCAACCGCTGCCTCCCAGGTTTAAATGATTCTCCTGCCTCAGCCTCCCAAGTAGCTGGGACTACAGGCATGCGCCACCACACCCAGCTAATTTTTGTATTTTTAGTAGAAACGGGGTTTTGCCATGTTGGCCAGGCTGGTCTCAAACTCCTGACCTCAGGTGATCCACCCGCCTCGGCCTCCCAAAGTGCTGGGATTACAGGCATGAGCCACCACACCCGGTCTAGACAGGGAATTTAAATAGAAAAAAAGATGTGGAAATAGGTGAAAAGACAGACAAACGTGTGGTCACTAGAGCCAAAGGAAAAACATATTTTGAGTGCTTTTGAGAGGTCGAGTGAGACGTGAGTATTGACAGTATTTTAACATGGAGGCTATCAGTAGCTTTGACCAGAAAAGCTTTAATGGAGTTAGGGAGGGGAAAGCCAGATTGAGGAAGTTGAAGAGAGAATGGAGGAGAATGAAGAAAAAAGAAAAGAAAAGAAGAGAGAGAGAGAGAAAGAAAGAAAAAAGAAAGAAAGAGAATTTCCATAAGTTTTACTCTGATAGGGAACAAAAAGTGAGATGGAGCCTGGGCGGAGTCCTGTGGGAAGGGCAGATTTTTCTTCTCTTAAGATGGGAGATACTTGGGTGTGTTTATTTGCTGATGCTGTTGAGTAGGCAGGAGTGAACTGAAGACAAAGGAGATTAATAGATTAATTCACAAGGGAAGAAATGGGTCTGATCCAGAGGAGAGATCCTTCAACCAAGGATGGCAAAGGCAGGCAGATGTTGGTCTTACTGATGAAACTACAAAGGATTGCTCTTTAATTGTGGCTATTTTTACTGAGTTATGAACAAAATAAATGGAATAATATTTGATGAATATTAAATAAAAACTGAATAAAGACCTGAAACTGCATATTGAAAGGATGCCCATGAAGCAAATAATGGAAGGCCCTATATGTTTCTTGGTTAATATTAAATTTTAAGAGCAAAGAATAAATTCTATCAGCATGTAAACAGAAAATAAAGTTTACAAACAAAGGAAAAAGTCAGGCTGCATTTTGGTCCAGCCATGATGGAATAGTTTATATCAAGATTATAAATGTCCTACAGAAAACAACTGTAAAAGATATACCATATACATTAAAAAACTGTTTTAAATTTTTGGAGAGCATGTAACTAAGACAGGATTTGAGGAACTGTGATACCTGAGACCAGTGAGGCCAACCTCATGTTTACTGCCTTTTTCCTTGAAGGCACTTGCTATTTCACAGCAAAGCAACGGAACAGGGGTCCAACAGAAACAGCAGATGGAATTTAGGAAATATCTGTTTCATAATTCAAAAATGATACAATTGTATAAGCAGAAAATTAAAAAGAATCAACAGATGGACGATTAGAAATAATGAATTAGCAAGGACATGGGACACAAGACTTATAATAAAAAGTCAATATTTTTTACAGTGAGGCTCAAAGGACTTTGTTGAAGGCTATACTCTAAAATACTAAGGCATTAAATGCATATTTTAAATTTGCCCTTTAAGTTTTGGGGTGGTTGAGAAATTCAGTAAAAAATATTTCCAAATAACATGCAGAAGTTGTTTTTAAGCTTAAAAGCTCATATTTTAGCTACACCCACACAGATGATGTAGAAAACAGCTGAATTTCGGTGTATCTGAATGGTCCAGATTATGTTCCTTCTGAAAGAGACAGTTTTACGTACGATCATTTTTCATATGAAGCATATAAAAAGACACCCAGAAACTACCACGTATTTACCACATAGACAATGTCCATCTTTATCTGTAATTCAAAACCATGTAATTCCTTTTATGCAACAGACTGCAGTGTGTGAGAAGTATGTCAAGAGAAGAGTAAAAAAACAACCAGGAGCTGGGCGCAGTGGCTCATGCCTGTAATCTCAGCACTTTGGGAGGCCAAGGCGGGCGGATCACGAGGTCAGGAGATCGAGACCACCCTGGTTAACACGGTGAAACCCCGTCTCTACTAAAAATACAAAAAATGAGCTGGGCGTGGTGGCGGGCACCTGTAGTCCCAGCTACTCAGGAGGCTGAGGCAGGAGAATGGCGTAAACCTGGGAGGCGGAGCTTGCAGTGAGCCGAGATCGCGCCACTGCACTCCAGCCTGGGCGACAAAGCGAGACTCTGTCTCAACAACAACAAAAAAACAACCAGGAGTACATTCATTAAAAAAAAACTCAGCTGAGTGCGGTGGCTCAGGCCTGTAATCCCAGCACTTTGGGAGGATGAGGCAGCCAGATCACCTGTGGTCAGGAGTTTGAGACCAGCCTGACCAAAATGGTGAAATCCCCTCTCTACTAAAAATACAAAAATTAGCCAGGCGTGGTAGCACACGCCTATAGTCCCAGCTACTCGGGAGGCTGAGGAAGGAGAATCGCTTGAATCCAGGAAGCGGAGATTGCAGTCCGTCGAGATTGTGCCACTGTACTCCAGCCTGGGTGACAGAGCGAGACTCTGTCTCAAAATAAATTAATTAACTAAATAAAAGAAATTTAAAAAATTTTAAGTCAATGCTATTTTTATACACTAACAACAACAAAAAAATTAGACCACGGAATTTGTAAAAACCAGGTTGGCCTTACATTCTGTCACAATATGTGATGTCAGAAAATAAGAGAACATTGCCTAACAAGTTTTTTTCCTTTAAAATTATGCTATTTATTTGACATGATATATAAACTCAAAGCATTTTATCAAGTTACTTCCTGCTCCCCCATAAATAGAATAACTCTGGTTAATTTGGTCAGCCCAAATACAGTTTAACAAGTTTTGAGGGGAAATGTTTGTCATCTGTGTAAGGTTGTGCTGGTTTTCATGGTGAAATTGTGGTGTTCCTTCATTGTGGCTATTTTCCAGTAAAAATTATGATGTTGTATTTCAGCTACCTGTAAGAAGAATCAAGATAAAGAATTCATGAATGATAAAAACACTTTGAAAAGACTGGTGGTAAGTATCAAATGATTCAAAAACAAGTAATTTTAAGATACCTTTAAGTGTACTTACAAAACATACCTTTTGGGCATGTGTACAAAATATAATTTTTAGAGTAACAAATGTACAAAAATAACAGGTAGGGCATAACAAAGTCGGAGGGTAGAAGATAATTTTATCAAATATAATTCTGTGTTTCATTCATTAGGCATTAATTACTGACAAGTTTATTTTTAGCTTTTTATTGAAATATAATACGCACATATAAAGTGTAGAGCTCATTGAATTTTCACAAAATGAATACGCGTACTTGAAAAAACCGCAGAGATCAAGAAACAAAAAACATGATTCACATCTGAGGAAGATAAATATATTTTTGAAAATTAAAAGTTCCACTAGAACAAAATTAAAAAAAAAAATACCCCACCAAAACTGTAACATTAATGAAACTGCAATTCTCTTAAGTCAACAGCAGAGGGTGCCCTTGAACTGTGAAATATAGTCTGCCAACTAAAATCTTTACCCTTGCCAGATATTGCTGGTCCAGGAAAAAGATGGGACATTTCCAGATGAATGGGAAAGGGTAGACAACATCCAAATGAAGTCTCTGTATAAAGGGAATGTAAAATAAAAATCAAACACCTCAACTAATAAAAATTCCCTTTCACAAAATGAAGAAGAAACTGATGGACGCTACCAACCTGAATGTAACATTTTTTACCATTTGCAGATCTGAAAGAAACACCTAGAATGATACATTAAAAAACCCAGAACAGGAACAGACAAAACAAAACAAAAAAAAAACAGCAAACAAAACCCCAGGAAGAAATAAAATGAGAGTCTTGCAGTAATAGTGGAAGAGCTGCTTTGGGCCAATTCTCTTGCAAATAATGACCATCATTCCATTCCAAATATAAAAACGAACTACTTGATGGCCCTGGAGAACAACCAAAAGGAAGCAGAAAGGGAGAGAGGATTGGCACTTGGCAGAAGATAAGAATAGCACTGTGTAAACTTTCCATGTTAATGGCTTTTAGCCTGAGCGCAGGCAGCCCACAGTTCTCCTCAGAGAGTTTACTAAATCTTGGGTAGAAACCCACAGCCTTAGAAGCTTAAGGAATCAAAAGACAGGGTTTGAGGCAACCATGATGGATATAAAGATGGAGGCAGTTACGTGTTGAATGGTGTCCCCCCAACATTCATATGCTGAAGTCCCAACCTGCAGCACCTCAGGATGTGACCTTACTTGGAAATAAGGTCATGCAGATATAGTTAGTTGAGACGAGACCATACTGGGCTAGAGTGGTCCCTAATCCAATATGACTAATGTCCTTTGGGGAAACCTGGACACAGACATGCACACAGTGAGAATGACATGTGAAGACTGGAAGGTGACTGCAAGAACACATGTTCAAATGTTTCTAAACATCAAAACAAAATGTTTAAAGAGCAACGAAAACAGACTAAAGAGACATATTAAGTAAAACAAAACAAAGTAAATATAACATTAAAATAGCTATTGAACCAAACCTGTCACTCATTTCAATACATGTAAATAGAAACCCATGTATTACAAGGAAAAGACCTGCAGGTTGACCCACAAAGCAAAACCCAACTCTATGCTGCATTTAGGAGATATACCTAAACCAAAGTGATTCAGAATGGCTGGTAAAAGTCAAGAGATGTAAAAGTATAGGGCAGACAAACAAAATAGTAAGAAAACAGAGACTGTGCTAATGATACCAGAAAATGTTGAATTTGGACAAAAAGTGAGACAACAAAATATTTGATAATACCAAGAGCCACAATTCACAAAGATCACATATCAGTTATGAATATATATGACACAAATAACACAGCACCTACCTTTATATATCAGAAAGTTAAAGATATATAGGGAGAAATATACAAAACTACACTAAAATTAGGAGACCTACATTTCAGTCCAACATAAGACACAGGTCAAGTGGACAAAAAATAAGGTGCTTTTGCTTTTCTGCCTTAGGGGCTTCTGAAATCCACTGAAACTTGCTATTATGGATTGAATGTCTGTGTCCCCGCAATATTCATATGTTGAAGCCCTAACCCCCAGCGCGATGGTATTTACAGATGGAATCTTTCAGAAGTAATTAGGTTTAGATGAGGTCACAAGGGTGGAACTTTCATGATAGAATTAGCGCTCTTACAAGAAGAGACACTAAAGAGCTTGCTTGCTCTCTCTTTGGAGTGTGAGGACACATTAGCTCTCAGCAGGCAAAAGAAAGAGTCAACAATTTTGTAGTTATATTTATAAAGATTATGTAGACTGAAGAACAGAGAGAAAAAAAATGAAGAAAAATAAACAGAGCCTCGTGGAAATGTGAGACATCATTAATCACATCAACATATGCATGAGAAGGAGAGGAGAGAGAGAAAGGAGGAGAAATAATGGCTGAAAACTTCCCAAGTTTGGTGAAAAACATTAATCAATACATCCAAGAAGCTCAGTAAACTTTAAGTAAAATAAACACAAATGTTGGAGACCTAGATTGACAGCAACAAGATGGAGGGATAGGGGTTTCCAGTACTTGTTCCCTCACAGAAACATCAATTTGTAATAACTATCCATGCATAAAAATAACTTCACAACAGCTAGGAATTCAGATGAAGGATTAGAGTACCTGCGTGGAGCACAGATCTAAGAAAAGATACACTGAACAGGGCAGGACAGTGTTACATTACCCATGACAGCCTTCCCCAAGCACAGGCAGTGCAGTCTAGAAAGAGATACCCTTGATGTGGAGGAAAAACAGGGAAATGAGCACCCATATTTGCTGCAGACCCTAGCACCAGGACCATCCCAGTGAGCACTGGTGGCAGACCAGTCCCTATGGTCCCAGCTCCAGGCCTACCCTCGTGATAGGCTGGAGCCCATGACCCTGCACTGCAGGTGAGCACTTTCCCTAGCGCCAGACCAACCCCCATGACCCCACACTCCAGATCAGACTCACTGGACCCAGGCTTCAACCCCACTCTCTACTTGCTGACACCCACAGTCTCAGGCTCAAAGCCTACCTCAATGCCAGGCTGGGCCCCAGTGGAACCAGGTCTCAAGCCAGCCCCCACACAGGCAACAGGCCTGCCCTTGCAGACCCAGGATCCAGGCCTGTACACATAGACCCTGGCTCCAGACCTCCTCCTGCAAACTCAGGCACCAGGCCTGCCCATGCAGATCTAATACGTAGGTGTGCCTCAGTGGACTGAGGTACCAGGCTCACCCACCCACTGGTCCAGGCATCATGAAAGCTCTACTAAGGGCTCCAGCAGCAAGCCCACCCACAGACCCCGCTATAAGATCTGCCCAGAATCTCTTGGTGGGCTGAATGTTAAAGTGCTTTACCTGCTGAAGCCAGTCTGTAAAGACTCAAAGAGATGCCTACTTCTTCAAATGTGCAAACACTAACTCAGGCCACAAGAATCACAAATAATCAGGGGCACATGACACCACCAAAGGGACAAAATTAAGCACTAGTAATGACCCTAAAGAAATGGAGATCTACAATCAGAATAATTGGGGTATCCAATGGAGGCTGGGAAGGGTAGTGGGAAAGAGGGGGATAAGCAGGGAATGGTTTATAAATCATTTTATGGGCATAAAAACACAGTTAAATAGAATGAATAAGATCTAATGTTTGGTAGCACAGTAGAGTGACAATAGTTAACAATAATTTATTGTATGTTTCAAAGTAACTAAAAGAGTAGAATTGGAATGTTCCTTAAACAAAGAAATGATAAATGCTTGAGGTGATGGATACCCCAATTATTCTGACTTAATCATTCTACATTGTATGCTTATATCAAAATATCACATATACCCCATAAATATGTACAACTAGTATGTATATATAATAATTTAAGATAAGAAGACTTTAAATAAATAATGACAGAAAACTCCCAAATCTGGAGAGGTATATGAACATCAAGATCCATGAAGCTCAAAGAACCTCAAATAGATGAAATATAAAGAGATCTTCACCAAGACAAATTATAGTCAAATTGTCAAGTGAAAAACAAAACTTGGAAAGCAACAGAAAAGCAACTCATCACATACAAAGGAGCCACCATAAGATTAACAGCAGACTTCTCAACAGAAGCCTTGCAGGCCGAGAGAGTGGGATAATATATTCAAAGTGCTAAAGGGAGGAAAAGCCCCTTCAACCAAAAAGACTATACCCAGCAAAGCTGTCCTTTACAAATGAAGGAGAGATTAAGACTTTGCCAGACAAACAAAAGCTGGGGTTGTTCATCAACCTAGACCTGCAGTATAAGAAATACTAAATGTAGCTCTTCAAGTTGAGATGAAAGGATGCTAAAATAATGACGTGAGAACATATGAAAGTATAAAACTCACTGTAAAAGTAAGAATATAGTCAAATTCAGAATATTCTAATACTGTAATGGTGGTATGTAAGTCACTTTTAACTCTAGTATATACATTTAGAAACAAAAGTATTACAAATAACTATAGTTTCAATAATATATTAATGAATACATAATGAAACACAATATATAAAAGATGTAAACTGCGACATCAGTAACAAAATGGGGGGAAGGAAATTTTAAAGTGTAGAGTTCTTGAATGTGGTTGAACTGAAGTCATTATCAGATTAAAATACACTGATAAAACTATAAAATATCTTATATAAGCCTCAAAGGAACCACAGAGAAAATACCTGTAGCAGATACACAAAAGACAAAGAGAAAGTAATTAAATCACATCTCATGCCACTACAAAAAATTATCAAATGATAAAGGAAGATAGTAAGAAAGAAAGGAATGAAGGAACTACAAAATAGCAAATAATTAATAAAACAGCAATAGTAAGTCCTTATCTATCAGTGATTACTTTAAATATAAATGGACTCCAATCAAAAATATAATGGCTTCCTAGATTTAAAAACAAAAAGCAAAAGCGACCCAACAATATGCTGCCTACAAGAGACTCACTTTAGCTTTAAGGACACATACAGATTGAAAGTAAAGGAATGGAAAAACATATTCCATGCAAAGTGGTAACCAAATAAGAGCAGCAGTGGTGGTTATACCTATATCAGACAAGATAGATTTTAAGTCAAAAATTGTCACGCGAGACAAAGAAAGTCACTACATAATGATAAACAGAAACATTCGTCAAAAGGATGTAATAATTATAAATATATTTGCACCCAACGTTGGAACACCTAAATATATAAAACAAATATAAACAGAATTATAGGGAGAAATAGATAGCAATATAATAATAGTAGGGTACTTCAATATCCCACATTCAACAATGGATAGATCGTCCAGACAAAAAACCAATAATGAAACAGTATACTTGAATAACAAGTATAAACCAAATGGGCATGATAGACATATACAGAATATCTATTCAACAGCAGCAGAATACACATTCTTTTCAAGCTCACAAGGAACATACTCCAGGATAGATCATATCGTAGGCCACAAAACAAGTCTTCACAAATTTAGGAAGACTGAAATCATAGCAAGCATCTTTTCCAACCACAATGATGTGAAGCTAGAAACCAATAATACAAGAAAAATGAAATTCTACAAATACGTGGAAATTAAATAACACACTCCTAAACAATGGGTCAAATAATAAATCAAAAAGGAAATTTTTTAAATCTTGAAACAAATTAAAATGAAAATACAACATACTAAAATGTAGGGGATGTAACAAAAGCAGTTTTAGTAAGAGAGTTTATAGTGATAGCACCTACATGAATAAAAAACATGTCAAATAAACAACCTAACTTTACAGTGCAAAGAACTAGAAAAAGAAGAGCAAACTAAGCCCACAGTTAGCAGAATGAAAGAAATAATAAAAATCAAAGGAGAAATAAATGAAATAGACACTAGAAAAATGACAAAAAATATCAAAGAAATAGTTTAAAAAATATAAAAAAATTGATAAACTTTAGCTAAATTAACCAAAAAAAAGAAAAATTCAAAGTTATAAATAGAAGACATTACAATTGATACCACAGAAAAACAAAGGATCATAAGAGACAACTATAAACAGTTAAATGTCAACAAATTGGACAACCTAGAAAAAAATAAACTACTATGAATATATAACCTATCAACCATGAATCATGAAGAGAAAATCTGAAAAGACAAATAATAAATAAAGATACTGAATAACTAATGAAATGTCTCACATCAAAAAAAAAAAAAAAAAAAAAAAAAGCCCAGGACCTGATGGCTTCATGACTGAATTCTTCCAAACATTTAAAGAAAAATTAACCAGTCCTTTCAAAACTCTTCTTAAAAATGGAAACAAGGCCAGTATTACCCTGATACCAAAGCCATATAAGGACACTAACAGAAAAGAAAACTGCAGGCCAATATCCCTGATGAACATAAATGCAAAACTCCTCAACAAAATAATAGCAAGTTGAATCCAACAGCACATTAAAAAGATTATATGCCATGATCAAGTGGGTTTTATCCCTGGAATGCAAGGATGGTTCAACATAGGCAAATCAATAAATGTGATATACCACATTAACAGAATGAAAGGCAAAGATCATATGATCATCTCAATAGATGCAGAAAAAAAGCCATTGACAAAATTCAATATCCTGTAATAATAAAAATTCTCAACAAATTAGGTATAGAAGGAATATACCTCAACACAATAAAGGCCACATAAGACAAGCCCATTGCTAATATCATACTCACTGGTGAAAACTTCTCTAAAATAAAAAATAAGACAAGGATGCTCATTCTTGCCACTTCTATTAAGTACTGGAAGTCCTAGCCAGAGCAATCAGGCAAGAAAAAGAAAAGGCATCCAAATTGAAAAGGAAGAATTAAAATTGTCTCTTTGCAGATAACATGATGTTATATGTAGAAAACCCTAAAAACTCCACCAAAAAAACAGAATGAATGAATTTAGCAAAGCTGTAGGATACAAATTAAATATACAAAAATAAGTATCATTTCTGTAGAGAAACAAACTATCCAAAAAAGAAATTCAGAAAAGAATCCCATTTACAATAGATCAAAATAAAATACTTAGGAATGAATTTAACCAAGGATGTGAAAGACCTGTACATTAAACACTATAAACATTGATGTAAACCATTGAGTAAAACATTGATGAAAGAAATTTGTGAAGACACAAATAAATGAAAAGATATTCATGAATTGGAAGAAATGATAATGTTAAAATGTCTATACTATTCAAAACAATCTACAGATTCAATGCTTTCAAAGTTTTATAGCATTTTTTATAGAAACAGAAAAAAAATCCTAGTATTTGCATGAAACCACAAAACACCCTGAACAGTCAAAGCAATCTTGAGCAAGGACAAAACTGGAGGTATCCATCCTCCATCTAAAACTGGAGGTAATCATTTCACAATAAGTTTTTATATGTACAACCATCAAATTGTATACTACAAACACATATAATTTTTATTTGTCAATTATGCTGTAGGGGAAAATAAGAGGTAAGAGTAAATTAATCCTTTACTTTCCCCCACAGCAGAATTTAAAATAAAAGATAATTAATTTATGTATTTATTGAAAAAAACCACAAATACTGAGATCTGAAGATAAAGAGAACCATCTGAAAGTGACAAGAAAAAAATAATTACTTACCAAAGAACCCCAATAAGATTAATACCTGACTAATCGGAAACAATGGAGGCAGTAGATGGCATATAACATGAGTTAAAAGAAGAAAATCGGATTGAAGGATGAGACAGATCATCCAACAATAATGTATGGAAACCTCAGTGCCCCACTTTCAATAATGGATAGGACAACTAGGCAGAAAATTTTTTACAAAAGGAGAAGATGACTTCAACAGCAATACAAACCATCTAGACCTAGTAGACATTTACAGAACATCCCACCTAATAAAAATATAATAAAATGTGGAAACTACTGCTTCCAGAGTAACAAGAAAAAAAAAAACAGATAAAACAAAAAAACTCTCACACTTATCCCCAAAGCCATCGAGAAGTAGATACAAATAGGCATAATAAACTAAACAGCAGAGTATAGCAAGCCCTTTACATATGAGTAAAGAGTTGTGGACATTTTTATATATAGAGGCCAATGTCTACTCTGGGCATAGGTGAGTAGAGAAGTGGCCTAGCTATAGATAGAGAAATTTTTCAAAGAACAAAAAAAAAAATCCATTGAATACTTAATAATAGCATGGGCTGGCAAGACGAATTGGAATTTGGAAGAGCTCTAATGCAAACATAAATTATTTAGTCCAACAATTCCCTCTCCACTCTAAGAATTTGCTGCAAAAGTGACAAAGGGGTATCCTGAAGTATCAGTGGGCATGAGGCTAGAAACTAGAGAAAGTTTGTGCAGTCTTGAGTGTTCTGATTCTAAAGCCTAATTGTAGTTGAATCCAAAAGTCATCCAAACCAACTCATGTGGCAACTAATCTCCTTCCAGTTAAATTCTGACAGTATCAAAGGGATGAACCACTTAGTGGCAACAATGCAGGAAGCTGGGGTTAATACTGTAGCCCAATTCCAGTCTTCACATCTTAGTTGGCACTGGACAAACAACCCATTATCCCATAAACCTGAATGGAAGGAAGGATTTGAAAGTTCTGTGAAAACAAAACACAAAATATTATACAGCAGTATCCACTATCATTTATACACAATTTTTGCCTTACGGTAAAATATTGAGACATGGGAAGATGCAAAAAAAATCTGATACATAAGAGAAAGAAATCATCAATAGGAGACCCACAAGATGACCTAGACAGAGGAATTAGCAGACTTATGACTTTAAAACAACTACTATAAATATAGTTAGGAATTTACAAGGAAAGAAAGAAGGAATAGGTGAAGACATGGGAAATACAATATATGAAATGAAAAATTCATTGTGTACCCTTAACATCATATTGGGCACCACAGAAAAAAAGATCAGTGAAATTTGAACACAGGTCATAAAATTTTTGCAAACTGAACCACAAAAAGAAAAAGCATCTGTTTTGTCATGTCTGGCTGAGGCAAAGGTGGAAAAGGACTGGGTAAGGAAGGAACTAAGTGTCACTGCAAGGTCCTACGTATGACAGCCTGCAAGGCATCTATCTGCAAGCCTCCTATCTGGCATCTTGCTTGGTGTGATGGTGTCAAGAGCATTTCTGGCCTCATCTATGAGGAGATCCAGGAGGTTTTGAAGGTGTTTCTGGAGAATGTGATCCAGGATGATGTCACACCAAGCATGCCAAGTGCAAGATGTAACAGCCATGGGCGTAGTCTATGTGTTTAAGTGGCAGGGGTGCACCCTTTATGGCTTTGGTGGCTAAGAATCAAGGTTGAGATTTTGAAAATAATTTTGAATTTTGCTGAAAATCAGATATGCTAAAAAAAGAAAAAACTTCTCAGTACCCAAGTGTCTACATATTTAATTATCTCTACAATTCTTATGTGGAATAAGAAATTTTTATTGATGCCCTTACTATATTTGAGATCATCTATGACAATCTCAGAGTAGAAGTGTTCAGCTATAGAGAATTCAATAAAGCTTCCCTTTTCAAACGTATGCATTGCATTTGGAGTGTGTGTTAAGAAAATTAGAGCCTTAGCAAATCAGATGACCTCTCGGTGAAAGTGAAAGTTATAAAACTAGTGAACAAATTCTAATTGGTTATGTGCTCTCAAAAGACTTCAAGAAATTTCTTGGTTTTGCAGCTGGAGGCATTGAAAATTGAAAGTTACTGCTTTTCCACTTAGTCATATAATAAAGGGATCCTTTCAGCTGCTAGTTTTGAATAATGTCTCACCCAGAGTGATGTTATCTGTGACAGTCACCTGCTTCAAGCTGAACCATCTTATGAATATCAAATAAATAGTCCTCTTGTGCTGAAAACATATTTGTGATTTTAATCATGCTGCTTGGATTGAAATATTTTTTACTGGTTCCTCTGAATTGACAGTGAACCTGTCTATTATAAATGACATACTGTTTTGTTATTTGTTTTGACTTCAATTTATCCACCAAAAGCTTCATTTGTGTATCATCAAAAAAGTTGTATGTTTCAACTGAAAGAAAAAAAGAGAGAAAGATTGAAATAAAAATGTATAAAGAATCACTGATCTGTGGGACAATTTGAAGTGATCTAATATATATAATTCAAGTCCCGGAAGAATAGGAGAGAGAGAATGGAGAAGAAAAAATACTTTAAAAAATAATGACCAACATCTTCCCAATTTGAAGGTGAACAAACCCAAAGCACCACTAAGCTAAGGAAACCCTGAGCAAGATGAACAAAAAGAAAACTATGCTGAGGCACATACATAAATGTCAAACTGCAGAGAACCAAAAATAAAGAGAAAATCTCAAAAGCGGCTGGGGGAAGGGGGAAGGCAGAGAGGGATATATCACAGTACATACAACAATAAGAACTATGGCTGACATCTTACTAGAAACAATGGAAGCAGGCTGGGCACAGTGGCTCATGTCTGTAATCCCAATACTTGGGGAGGCTGAGGTGGGTGAATCACTTGAGGTCAGGAGTTCAAGATCAGTCTGGCCAACATGGCAAAAACCCGTCTCTACTAAAAATAAAAAAATTAGCTGGCCACGGTGGCATGTGCCTGTAATCCCAGCTACTCAGGAGGCTGAGGCATGAGAATGGCTTGAACCTGGGAGGTGGAGGTTGCAGTGAGCCAAGATCGTGCCACTGCTCTCCAGCCTGGGTGACAGAGCTGGAAAAAAAAACAAGAAAGCTGGGCATGGTGGCTCATGCTTGTAATCCCAGCACTTTGGGAGGCCAAGGCGGGCAGATCACGAGGGCAGGAGATCGCGACCATCCTGGCTAACATGGTGAAACCCCGTCTCTACTACAAAATACAAAAAATTAGCCAGGCGTGGTGGCGGGCACCTATAGTCCCAGCTACTCGGGAGGCTGAGGCAGGAGAATGGCATGAACCTGGGAGGCAGAGCTTGCAGTGAGCTGAGATTGTGCCACTGCACTCCAGCCCGGGGGACGGAGCGAGACTCTGTCTCAAAAAAAAAAAAAAAAGAAAAGAAAAGAAAGAAACAATGGAAGCCAAAAAGCAATGGGAAATCTTTAAAATGCTGAAGAAAAAAAAAGTCAACTAGAATTTTAGAAAACATATCCCTTCAAGAAGAAAATAAAAATAAAAATATTTACAAATAAGTAAAATCTGATAGAATTTGTTGCCAGTAGACCTGCACTACAAGAAATGTAAAAGGAAGTACTTCAGGATAAAGGAAATGCAATACCAATTAGTAACAGATCTATAGGAAGAAATTAAGAGTACCAAAAACAGTAAACACATTGTTTAAAATTTACTTGTTTACTTAACTTCTTTAAAGGAAAACTGACTAAAATAAAAATAAGAATACATTGTGTGGTTTACAAGATATGGAAAGTTTACATACAGATATGTTGTACTTAACAATAGCAAAAAAATAAAAACAGGATGGAGGTTATTAGAAATATAACATTATGGGCCGGGCGCAGTGGCTCACACCTGTAATCCCAGCACTTTGTGGGGCCGAGGCAGATCACAAGGTCAGGAGTTCCAGACCAGCCTGGCCAATATGGTGAAACCCTGTCTCTACTAAAAATACAAAAATTAGCAGGGTGTGGTGGTAGACACCAGTAGTCCCAGCTACTCAGGAGGCTGAGGCAGGAGAATCACTTGAACCCAGGAGGCGGAGGTTGTAGTGAGCCAAGATTGGGCCACTGCACTCCAGCCTGGGAGACAGAGCAAGACTCTGCCTCAAAAAAAAAGAAAGAAAGAAAGAAATATAACATTATGGCTGGGCGCGGTGGCTCACACCTGTAATCCCAGCAGTTTGGGAGGCCGAGGTGGGTGGATCACCTGAGGTCAGGAGTTCAAGACCAGCCTGACCAATATGGTGAAACCCCGTCTCTACTAAAAATACAAAAATTAGCCAGGCATGGTGGCATGCGCACCTGTAGTCCTAGCTACTCGGGAGGCTGAGACGGGGGAATTGCTTGAACCCGGGAGGCGGAGGTTGCAGTAAGCCGAGATCACACCACTGCACTCCAGCCTGGACGACACAGCGAGACTTCATCTCCAGAAAAAAAAAGAAAAAAGAAAAAAAGAAATACAACATTATAATGTTCTCAAATTATAGGTTAAGAGATACTATATTAACTCACAGGAGACTATGATGAGTTGGATATCTGTACCATAACCCTAGAGTAACCACTTAAAAGGGGCATAGCTAAAAATGAGAAAGGGGGATACAGTGGAATGCTAAAAAAAACTGATTAATCTGAAATAACGCAGGAAGAAAGAACAAAGGGAAAAAGAGCAGCTGGGATAGACGAAAGAAGATAGTAAGATGATAGGCTGAAACTCAACCATGTCAATAAGAAGCTTTCTGACTAAAAGCGAAGATTGTCAGACTGGATAGAAAATAAGACTCGACTATATTCTGCCTACAAAGATGAACTTTGAATATAAAGACATAGATACACTGAAAGTAAAGAGGTGCAAAAATATGTAAATACTAATCATAAAAAAGCTAGAGTGGGCCGGGCACGGTAGCTCACACCTGTAATCCCAGCACTTTGGGAGGCCGAGGTGGGCGGATCACGAGGTCAGGAGATCGAGACCATCCTGGCTAACATGGTGAAACCCCGTCTCCACTAAAAATACAAAAAAAATTAGCCAGGCGTGGTGGCGGGCGCCTGTAGTCCAAGCTACACGGGAGGCTGAGGCAGGAGAATGGCATGAACCTGGGAGGCGGAGCTGGCAGTGAGCTGAGATCGCGCCACTGCACTCTAGTCTGGGCGACAGACCGAGATTCCGTCTCAAAAAAAAAAAAAAAGCTAGAGTGATTATAGTAATATCAGACAAAGTAGACAAAGTAGACTCAAAACCAGGAGTAAGGCCAGGCACAGTGGTTCACACCTGTAATCCCAGCACTTTGGGAGGCCGAGGCAGGCAGATCACCTAATGTCAGGAGTTTGAGACCAGCCTGGCCAACATGGTGAAACCCCGTCTCTACTAAAAAATACAAAAATTAGCCAGGTGTGGTGGCACGCACCTGTAACCCCAGCTACTCAGGAGGCTGAGGCAGGAGAATCACTTGAACCCAGGAGGCGGAGGTTGCAGTGAGCCGATATCATGCCACCGCACTCCAGCCTGGGTGACAAGAGCAAAACTCTGTTCCAACAAAAGAAAACAAAACGAGGAGCATTACCAGTGATAAAGATGGACATTTCATAATGAAAAAATAGTCATTTCATCAAGAAGATATAACAATTCTAAATGTGTATGCATCTAGAAACAGAACTTCAAAAATATGCAGCAAAACCAACAGAATTGAAAAGAAGAATTAGACAATTCCACAGTTATAGTTAGTGATTTCAACACTCTATTTGATATAACAAGCAGACAAAAATCCATTAAGATATAAAAGATTTGAGCAATACTATTAACCAACTTGATCTAATTTATGTTTTTTAAATACTACATCTAACAACTGCAAAAAAATACATTTCTGTTCATGTATGCATGAAAACAAGATAAATTATGTGCTGGATTACAAAGCATGTCATAATAAATTTCAAAAGACTGAAATTGTACAGAATGTGTTCTCTGACCACAACAGAATCAAATTAGAAATCAGTAATAAGATGAGCAGATAATCACCAAATCTGTGGAAAAAATAAAATATTAATTTTAGAGGAAGCCAGGTGGAGGGTTTACAGGAACTGTCTCTGTTATTTTTGCAACTCTTTTGTAACTCCAAAAGTATTCCAAAATAAAAGGTTGTTTTTTTTAGGAAAAAAAAAAAAGACACTGAAGACAGACCACAGACTGGGAGAAAATATTCTCTTCAGATAGATGGATGATTCATTCATAGATAGATAGGTAGACAGACAAGATAGACAGATAGATAGATAGATAGATAGATAGACAGATAGATAATGTATGTGTAGATAAATAGATCTCTCCAAACTTTATAAAGAACTTACATTCAGAGTTTATAAAGAACTACTACAACTCAATAATAAGTCAAACCATCCAAATAAAAATGGGTAAATTATTTAGAATACTTAATAAAAGAAGATACAGGAATGGTCAGTAAACATATGAAAAGGCACTCAACATTATTATTAATAGAGAAATGTAAATTAAAGCCACAATGAGACACCACTTCACAACTCTTAGCATACTGATGAGCATATGAAACAAGTGGAATTCTCATTAATCACTGACGGAAGTGATTTATGGTACAACCTCACTGGAAAAAGTTTTGGCATTTCCTTATAAAGTAAATACCCACCTATCACAGAACCCAGCAATTCCGTTTCTAAGTATATCTCCAAGAGAAATGAAAATCAGTCTTCACAAAATGACCTGTACAAAAATATTTATAGCAGATTTATTCTTAATAGCAAAACCTGAAAATAACCCAAATGTTTAACAGGAGAATAGAGAAATCATGATTTAGTGCTTATCACCAAAAAGCAACAGATTACTGATCTACACAACAGCATGGGCATATCTCAAAAAAACGTTGTATATTGGGGAGATGGATACTCCATTTACCCTGACGTGATTATAGTGCATTGTATGCCTGTATAAAAATATCTCATGTACCCCATAAATACATACACCTACTATACACCCATAAACTTAAAAATTAAGAAACAAAACAAAAACATATTGTATTAG
Organism: Homo sapiens; assembly: GCF_000001405.40. Classification (NCBI taxonomy): domain Eukaryota; kingdom Metazoa; phylum Chordata; class Mammalia; order Primates; family Hominidae; genus Homo; species Homo sapiens. Next base: position 130,817,815 of record NC_000007.14, on the reverse strand, counting down.
AGTTCTCCGGAGAAACAACAGAAAGAGAGACAGAGACAGAGATTTATTACTACCGGAATTATCTCACTTGATTATGGAGCCCAAGAAAGATTTCTTGGCGACCATCTGCCATCTGCAAACACCTAGGAAAGCTAGTGGTCTAATTCAGTCTGAGTCTGAAGGCCTGAGAACCAGGAGCTTCACGTCCAAAGGCAGAAGAATATGGATGTCCTTGCTCAAGACAAGAGAGAATCTGTCCTTTCTCTGCCATTTTGCTCTATCTGGGCTTTCAATGGACAGGATGATGCCCAACTACACTGACAAGGGCAGTCTTCCTTACTCAGTCTACCAACTCAAATGATCATCTCTTCTGGAGATACCCTCATGGACATGCCCAGAAATAATGTCTTACCAGCTATCTGGGCATCCCTTAGCCCAGTCAAGTTGACATAAGATTAACCATCGCACATATGGTGAGTGAAGAAGTCAGACACAAAGGAGTGCACTGTGTGATTCCATTCCTATCAACTTCACAAACAGGCAACTGATCTCTAGTGATAAAAATCAGAATATCATTCGAGACCAGACTGGCCTACACAGTGAAACCCCGTCTCTACTAAAAATATAAAAATTAGCCAGGTGTGGTGGCGCATGCCTGTAGTCCCAGCTACTCGGGCGACTGAGGCAGAAGAATCACTTGAACTCAGGAGGCAGAGGTTACAGTGAGCCAAGATTGTGCCACTGCACTCCAGCCTGGGCGACAGAGCAAGACTCCATCTCAAAAAAAAAAAAAAAAAAAAATCAGAGTATCAGTTGCCTGGGGAGCTGGGGGTGGAGTTACTGGAAAGTAGTACAAGGGAATTTGGGGGGATGATGAAAAGGTTCTGTATCATTATTTGGATGTTAGTTTCATACGTTTACACATTTGTCAAAGTCATTGAAATGTATACTTAAAATCTCTGCATATTACTGTATGTAAACTATACCTCACTAAAACTGAGTTAAAAAGGAAATTCATGGAACTTGACATTCAGAAATAAAATTTCCAATTATTAAATAAAGTTTTAAGTATATTTTATTTCTACCATTCTGCTGTAGTTATCAGAGAAAGTATCTCTAATCAGGAAAAGATTCAGGTTTTGTGGGGTCTGAAATGTCTGTAATTTTGAAGGCCCACTGGGATTAAGAGAACAAAAATTTACAAATACAAATTAGGCATGAATGAGAATATTTATTTAAAATGATAACGTAACCAAAGGAAATTACAAAATTTTTAGAATCTGACAATACCACAAACATCACAAATCCAGTATTTTTATTCATTTATTGCCTGACCATCCTCTGTGATATTTTCCCCTACATTTTTGGCTTCATACGATTTGAACATCCATTTATATGACAATGATTTTGTAATATCATTTTCATAGAGATAAGCGAAAGATAATTTACACTCCTAGCACGGTTGATGTAATTTTTTTATGGTTGGTTATTGGGATGTGTAAAAGGTGCAACTTCATCTGCAGAAACTGTTGTTTGTGGTTGTGCTACAGTTTCATGCCCTGGAAATAGTCTTTCATGTGATTCCCATAAAAAATGTATGGTATATTTGTAGCTGGATATACTGCCTCATTGAACATATTCCTCATAAAAGAGTACTTTTATTCTGGCTAGGCATATATGAGAACCAAATCCTGAGCTTGTAATTTTACATGTTTAACAGCTGCAAGAATTCTCTGTGGATCAGCATCTATTTCCATACATTCCAAACCTTGTTCTACCAGCACCACATAATTCTGGTGCTAGACACACACCCTTATTGCAACAAGATCGTCAGCCCACACTTTTATGTCACGACGCTAAATGAATTGGCTCCCTGGGTAACAGCAGTACTCCTGGAAGCCCTCTCTGCACCAGGACACCTAGCAGTAACATAACTCTATGGAAATGACAGCAAATCACATAAATATATTCTGTAAGCCCTAAAATAAATGTATCCCCAGCCTGATTTCACCTTAGTCAGATCTAAGTAATGCCCAAGGCCATCCAGTAGCAGTCAACCTGAGGAAGCATGTGACCAAGGAAAAGTTGAAGAAGGAAGAGCAACCCTAACTGACAGTGGTTAAAATAAACATTGTACTTTTGGGCCGGGCACAGTGGCTCACGCCTGTAATCCCAGCACTTTGGGAGACCGAGGCAGCCGGATCGCCTGAGGTCGGGGGTTCGAGACCAGCCTGACCAACATGGAAAAACCCCATCTCTACTAAAAATACAAAATTAGCCGGGCATGGTGGTGCATGCTTATAATCCTAGCTACTCAGGAGGCTGAGGCAGGAGAATTGCTTGAACCCAGGAGGCAGAGGTTGCAGTGAGCCAAGATCGCACCATTGCACTCCAGCCTGGGCAACAAGAGTGAAACTCCGTCTCAAAAATAAATAAATAAATAAATAAATAAATATAAAATACTGTACTTAGGCAAATTTTACAGAAACACATGGCCATTTGAACACATTGCTGGAACTCTTCCTGGGAACTTGGAAAGGGCCTGTGCAAGTGTGTGGTCCTGAAGATTAGTTTTCATTAAATCTGTTTCTGTCTCTAATTCTTTTGTGTGGACACTTCTTGAGAGCCTGCTACTCTTGTTCTAATTATGCAGAAACCTCAGCTGTTTCCTTTTCTTCCAAAAAAAAAATCAGACTTTTGTGTTTGATTTGTGTTTGATGAGGGAGCTGTCCAGTTCCTACACAAGATTAATGAACAGGCCTTCAAACACTTTCCAAATCCTAAATTATACTGCAATTCTTCATTCAGAGGATGCAAAAGGAAGAAAGCCCAAATAGGAACTCAGTGCTAGCAAATGCACTAATTTGAACCACAGCGCCCTCTTTGGGAAATGAAAACCTTTCTTGATATAAGGTTTCCATTTATCCAATATCCAAAATAGGTTTTCATTTATCCAAAATAGAATTTTGGTGGAGTTGGATCTCAAAGATTTTGTTCAATATCTCCCATTACAATGAGAATTAAAAAGGAGAAACAACTAAACGGAAACTTCAAAGGCATATAGAGAGGGATATAAGGATAGCATCTGGAAAAATTCAGTCTTTCTGCGAAATACTTGCATGGGACACTGGAGTCAGTTATTTTTGCGAGAATAAGTTGATTATATCCTCGTGGAAAGAAAATTTAGACCCTCTGGCCACCTCAAATCCTTTCTGGAGCAAGATATAAGGGATATGGCCAGGCGTGGTGGCTCACGCCTATAACCCCAGCCCTCTGGGAGGCCGACGTGGGCAGATCACCTGAGGCCAGGAGTTCAAGACCAGCCTAGTCAACATGGCAAAACCCCATCTCTACTAAAAATACAAAAACTAGCCAGACGTGGTGGCATGCACCTGTAATCCCAGCTACTCGGGAGGCTGAGATGGGAGAACTGCTTGAACCCAGGTGGTGGAGGTTGCAGTAAGCCGAGATCACACCACTGCACTGCAGCCTAAGTGATAGAGTAAGACTCCATCTCAAATATATATATATATATGATATGTACATAAATTAATAAATTCATACATATATAAAAATCTGAAAGCTTCCTCAGTTCCACTCAGCTCTACTCCACTCTGGAGGCAGTGTGATACAATGCTAAGTGCACAAACAAGACTCAAGCAGACCTGGGTTCTGGTCTCTGCTCCACCACTCACTACCTTTGTGACCTTGGGTATGTTAGTTAACCTTTCTAAGCCTCAGTTTCTCATTTGCAAAACATTAATGGTACCTACTTCATCAGGCTGTTGTGATTATTCAATGAGATAATATGTGGAGATCATGTAGAATAATGTGTCACACAGTGAATATTCAGTATATGTGAACTATTGTGGTGGTTGTTATTATACGGCTTAGAATCCTTGCTCTGACACTTACTAGCCAGGAAACCTTAGGGAAATTATATAACTTTTCCAAGCCTCATTTTCCCCACCAATAATATGCACCTCTACCTTACAGGATTTCTGTTACAACTGGAGATAATACAGCTATGTTTAATGTATTTGAGACATTTAGAAATGGAAATTTCTACTTGTGAGTGGAAAGCTCAGTAAGAAATAATGATGTGTTAGAAAATAATTTTCCAATCACACTGACCTTCATTAAACAGGACACCATTTAGGATAGAAAATTAGCTGTGAAGCAAAAGAAACTATCACCAGAGTGAACAGGCAACCTACAGAATGGGAGAAAATTTTTGCAATCTATCCATGTGACAAAGGGCTAATATCCAGAAGCTACAAAGAACTTAAACAAATGTACAAGAAAAAAACAAACAACCCCACCAAAAAGTGGGCAAAGGATATGAACAGAAACTTCTCAAAAGAAGACATTTATGTGGCCAACAAACATATGAAAAAAAGCTCATCACCACTGGTTATTAGAGAAATGCAAAACAAAACCACAGTGAGATACCATCTCACACCAGTTAGAATGGCGATCATTAAAAAGTCAGGAAACAACAGATGCTGGAGAGGGTGTGGAGAAACAGGAACGCTTTTACACTGTTGGTGGGAGTGTAAATTAGTTCAACCATTGTGGAAAACAGTGTGGCGATACCTCAAGGATCTAGAACCAGAAATACCATTTGACACAGCAATCCCATTACTGGGTATACCCAAAGGATTATAAATCATGCTACTATAAAGACACATGCACACGTACGTTTATTGCAGCACTGTTCCCAATAACAAAGACTTGGAACCAACCCAAATGCCCATCAATGATAGACTAGATTAAGAAAATGTGACACATATACACCATAGAATACTATGCAGCCATAAAAAAGGATCAGTTCATGTCCTTTGCAGGGACACGGATGAAGCTGGAAACCATCATTTGCAGCAAACTAACACAGGAACAGAAAATCAAACACCACATGTTCTCACTCATAAGTGGGAGTTGAACAATGAGAACACATAGACACAGGGAGGGGATCATCACACACTGGGGCCTGTTGTGGAGTGGGGCGCTGGGGAGGAGATAGCACTAGAAGAAATACCTAATGTATACGATGGGTTGATGGGTGCAGCAAACCCCCATGGCACATGTATACCTATGTAACACACCTGCGCGTTCTGCACATGTATCCCAGATCTTAAAGTATATATATATATATATATATATATATATATATATATATATATATATATATATATATATATATAAATACTAGGTAGCAACAAAAGAAAAGTCATGTAAAACATGAGACTTGAAATAGAAAAAAAAAGAAAATTAGCTATGAAATGTGGCCTTGGATTGTCCAATGAATGGAGCTAAGTATACAGATGTTAGTAGCTGCATCCAGTTGAAGCTATTTGACATGGGAGAAGTGTAGGGTATAATAGGACATAGTTTTTTTGTTTTGTTTTGTTTTTTTTGAGACAGAGTCTCGCTCTGTCATCCAGGCTGGAGTGCATGGCAGATCTCGGCTCACTGCAAGCTCTGCCTCCCGGGTTCAAGAGATTCTCCTGCCTCAGCCTCCCAAGTAGCTGGGACTACAGGCTCCCGCCAGCACGCCCAGCTAATTTTTGTTATTTTTAGTAGAGATGGGGTTTCACCATATTGGCCAGGCTGGTCTCGAACTCCTGACCTTGTGATCCACCCACCTCAGCCTCCCAAAGTGCTGGGATTACAGGCGTGAGCCATGGCGCCTGGCCAACAGGACATACATTTTTAAAGATATATGTGGTAGCCAGCCTCCAAAACAGTCCTCAAATGCTTCCTGCCTTCTGGTATTTACCTTTGGGTAACTGTATCAAGAGTGGACCAAGAGAATATGGAAGAAGTATATCACTTTTTATACTGACTGATAATTCACAGACAAAGTCTGTGAATTTTAAAGTGTATAATTTGCTGATTTTTAGTATGTTCACCAAATTGTGCAATTACCACCACAATCTAGTTTCAAAATATTTTCATCACTCCCAAAAGAAACTCTGTACCCATTAATAGTAACTTCCCATTTATCCCTCTCTCCCATGCACTGGCAACCACTAATCTACTTTCCATCTCTATGGATTTATGGATTATAGATTTATGGAAAAGTCATAAATAGTTAATTCAGGAGCTTTCATATAAAGGAAATCATATAATAAGTAGCCTTATATATCTGGCTTTTTTCATTTAGTGTAATCCATGTTGTAGCGTGTATAAATACTTCATTCCTCCTTATGGCTGAATAATATTTCATTGTATGATTATACTACATTTTGTTTATCCATTCATTAGTTAATGGACATATGGGTTTTTCCCACCTTTTGACTGTTATGAAAAATGCTGCCATGAACTTATTTTTATTCTTTGTTGTTCATCTACATTAGTATTTAGGACTATGAATTTTCTAGATCTGATACTCTCATGTCCAGCTTTATTGTATTATGAGCAGAAGCTGTGATACTGCAATTTTTTTTTTACTATGGATTGACATTTTACTTGTAGCTTAGTAGCTAATCAATTTTGGAAACTAATCATGGGCACTTAAAAACAAGATGTATGCTTGGCTTTCAGGTGTGGAATTTTATATATCTCTATTAGATATACTTATTAATTACCTTAGCAAAGGTAGGAGGTAGTGAGTGTAAATATGCCAGTTTCCTCATCTTCTATAATAAAGAGTTGACATAGTTCAAAGCTGATAAATCAATATGAGAAATATTAGCCTATTATTTAAAGATATGACAATAATATTGGGTAGCCAAACCTAGGTGTGAAGGAAGGATAGGGAGGTGAGGTGTCGAATTATACTTATTTCCTCATTTTTCAAAGTGGGAATTCAATATAAATCCAATTATAAGGTAAAAAATGACTTAGTGTATTATGTCAATAACCAAAATATGTGAGATAACTGTGCCATTATAAGAAAACAATACTCACATTGGATCAGAAAGTAAAATCATTTATAAAGAACACACCTAAAACAAAGTTACTCATAAACTTGAAAAATAAGAGGACAGGGTGATTCATACATGGCAAATTAAATAAAGAGAATGCAGAGACTTTAATATCAGGCAATGGGAAACTGAAGACAAAGGACATTAAATGAGGCAAACATGCCATTCCACATTGATAACTTAGCAGTCATGACCACTCACACCCAAATAAACAATCAAAACAAATGAAGAAAATATTTAATTGCACTTTTTGAATTGTCTTCTTAGTGGGTTCTCTAGGGATTACAATAGGCATCTTAATTTATCTCAATCTACTTTATGCTAATGCTCATAATTCTGGTAAAACACAGAAACTTTACTGCACCATAGCTCTATTTTCTTCTCCCTACTTATATTTTTAGATGCTATTTATATATTTATATTGAATATACTTATGTTTTATATATTGATATAATTTGACATATGCAGATATGGCATATATATGTGCTATTACATCTATGTACATTATAAAACCAACAATAAAGTGTTATAATTATTGCTTTAAACAATCTATGTCTTTTAAATAAGAGAAGAAAAGAAAAATGTATATATTTATCCACAAATTTACCATTTTTGATGTTCTTTAATCCTTCCTGTGGATTTGCATTCCTGTCTGTTCTTGGAAAGCAGGTTTGATATCAGTTCTCTCAGGCCCTGTTTATCTGTTTATCACTTTATTTTATTTTCATTGTTGAAGGATAGTTTTTGGAACCCTTGCTTGCCAGATTTTTCTGTTAGCACTTTGAATATGTCATTCACTGCCTGCTAATTTCCACTGTTCATAATGAGGAGTCAGTTGCTAATCACATTACTGCTTCCCCTGTACATTTGTACAGTTATTTTTCTCTTGCTGTTTTCATGATTTTCTCACTGTCTTGGCTTGACTATGACATGTTTAGTTGTTAATATCTTATGTTTATCCTACCTGGAGTTTGTTAAGCTTCCCAAATTTGGGAAAATGTTGCCACTATTTCTTCAAATATTTATTTACCCTCTTATTTTTCTATCTCTTTTCTGGGATATCCATTATACACATACTGATATGAGAGAGAATGACAGAGGGCGGGGAGGGGTTGGGGTAGAGACAGAGACAGACAGAGACAGAGACAGACAGACAGACAGACAGACAGACAGACAGGGTTGACACTTCAATCTACAGGTCTCCTCTACCCCGACACACTGATTCTTGCTGATGTGATAGGCCCACTTATTTCCTTTTTCATCCTCACCTCCTTAGACACTTGGTGCTAAGCAGTCATCAGGAAGTCCCTGAAGCTAGACAACACACCTCCATTTTGTGATTTCAAAAAAACTGTCATGAGCTTGTTCTGTGTGTCAGTTACTTACACAACTCAATGCCCCACTGGCTCTGTGGGAGGCCATCACAGAGAACAACCTCACTCAACAGTCCTCCACTTTAATTGGCTCAGCACTCAGCTACTTTCCCTACACATTATGGTTTAAAGTAATAGGTGTTTTCAAGATTAACTAAAGATGTATTTTATTTAGGAGAGAAAGCAGTCTTCTTAAACAGAAAGTTCTTATTGGCTCATTTATCCACCTCTTTGATCAGCAAATATACATCCAATCTCAGCAAAGTATTTGTCATTGTGCGAGATGCTGAAGACATCAAATATGAAAAAGACCCTGCATTTCTGTCTCTAATCTCAGTCCTTAGATAGGTCACTTTTAAAACTACGTTAAGAGTACATCGTGTGGTAATTATTAAATAACTCCTTAAGAGTGATCTCTTAAAGCCACAGCTACACATTAAAGTGGCACAAAGTAGTTTCTGGAAATAAATAATTTCTAATACTTATGTGGCACTTGTAGTGTACCATTTTAATAAGTTCCTTATCCGGTACTCAGATAAAATAAGCATGCTTTCTAGAAGGTACTAGAATCTACCAATCCACTTGAAGTTCAAGTACCAATCTACTTGAAGTACATAGCCAAGCATGGTGGCTCACACCTGTAATCCTAACACTTTGGGAGGATGAGGCAGGTGGATCACCTGAGGTCAGAAGTTCGAGACCAGCCTGGCCAACATGGTAAAACCCCATCTCTACTAAAAATACAAATAATAGCCGGGCGTGATGGCAAGCACCTGTAATCCCAGCTACTTGGGAGGCTGAGAGAGAAGAATCACTTGAACTTGGGAGGCGGAGGTTGCAGTGAGCCGAGATCGCACCCACTGCACTCCAGCCTGGGCGACAGAGCAAAATTCCATCTCAAACAAAAACAAAAACAAGCACATGACTTTAAAAAAAAAAAAAGACATCCTGTAGTTCAAATAAACCTTGCAGCTGGTAAGTCCTTCTACCAGACAGGCCCGTGTACACAAAATGGCATCTTTTTATCTTGATATTGCCAACTAAAATGTGTCATGGAGAGAATTTCTCCTTAACCACAGAATCTAAGGATTTTAGAAGACTTGGCCTGGCACTGTAACGGAAGGCAGACTGTCCTCAGATTTGCAGATATATTATTTAGAATTCACTTAAAAGAGCTGGAAAATACCTTCCTTTAGTGAGAAGATTCCAAAGGCCTAGGTAATCCTATTTTTTCTGAATACTGACATCAGCAATGTAATATTAATGTCCTTTAAGTGTCAAAAAGATCATGCGAACATTTCCAGATATCAAAACTAGATGATACAGATTTGGCTTTTGGATACCATGCCAGCATTTAGATCACGTCAATTCAAACTCAACCCTGAATCTGACTCTACGCATTTCATAAAATTGCCTTGCCTGAATATAAACAGAATAGCGGGCAGCAGTAAAATTTCCACAACATTTTTCCTCTTTTTGTTCTATTTACAGCGAGAAGTTTTTGTTTGTTTGTTTCTGCAGACACACATTTATAAATGTTCTGCTCTGCATGGAAAGTTAACACTACCAGAGTGAGTTTTGTTTTAAACATGCAAGGAGATGTTTTTATATGTACAGAAAGGGACCTAATAATTATATCAAGGAGGAAAATGGGGTAGATATGTCCTGACAAGAGTGTGAGCACAGTGGCTGCACTGAAGTCATGAGGGCTCTTGCTAGCTAGGGATAAAATCTCATTATCTCCAGTTATGGGTGATAACATTTGGAAGAACACTGTTTCCAGTTAAAAGTATCCTAGTTATCTGCTCTGGAGTAATCCAAGATCCACTGAAACCAAGGCTGCTTCCCACACCCGGCTGTCATGTGTACCACTGTTGTGCTTATATTAATAATACGAGACTTCAACTCTCGGACTTCATTTCCTCCTGACAATAGCACCATGAGTTGTTTAGGAGGAGATGACAATTTAAAGCAACATTTTCTAAGTAACTGAAATAAATCCAGTCTCAGGTATTATGCCTAGAACACCACCAAGAAGCATGTCCTGATCCAGCTAGGTTGGGGTCATGGGTCCAGATCTAGCTACTCAATCCATTTTCCAAGATGGCGGTGGTCTGCATCAAGTTAAGAACTTGTTTCCCTTCCTAATTCCTTTGGCTGTGAACTGACTTAGAATTGAAAACATATTATTTTGGCTAAAATTTATGAGTTATTTCTTTGCCTCAGCTTGCTTTCTTAAGATTTGCTTGTACGTTTAAGAATAACTACAATGTAGAGTTAAACCCAGTCATATCAGAATGGTAGATTCTTTCCCCTACAAAAAGAACCCTCCAGATTTATGGATGTCTTGCTTTGACTTACATCTGTCCATGTTGCCACAGAGCTTAGTCACTTTTTTCTTTGCCTTTCCTTGGTTCCTCCTGCATTTTGAGGGTGGTAAGGAAATATAAACATTAAAATATATATTTGATTTATTGCCTGATCCATTTTCTCTGACAATAGAAATGTCACATCCAATAAGAAATTAAATCATTCAAATATGTCTTTGTAACTGGAAATTAATTCACTCTTTTATAAGAATTTGAAGCTATGTATTTAGAAAATATATACAGTCATTACTTTAGGAAACTGAATAAAATCCACTAGAAATTTGAGGAAAGGATCCAAGACATTTTCACAACTGTCTTCCCAAGATTCTTTATAGTTGAATACAAAATAAGACATGAGAGATCATAAGTCTTGAGAAATGTGTTTCATATTTAGGGCAAATAAATGTTTCCCAGCTGATTTATAATCTCTTCTTTTCTCAAAAGCAGCAAAAAACATCATTATAAAATGTAAAATGGAGAAGAATGGTCTGAAGGGCCACCATGCAGCCATACGGCACAGGATCTAGATTATGCACCACAGTGGTTCTGAAATGTGGTCCCTGGTCCAGCAGCCTCAGCATCACCTGCAAACTGGTTAGAGATGGAAATTCTCATGTCCTTCTTCAGACCAACTACATCAGAAACTGAGGATGGGGCCCAGCAGTCCCTGTCCTAACAAGTTCTCCAGGTGACCCTGATGCACACTCAAGTTTGGTACCACTGCACTGTGATTTTTTGTTCTGAATCTGAGGCCTGCTATTGTGAATCTGCCATACTTAAAAAGAAAAAAGTTGGAAAGTCATTTTCAACTAAAAAACATTTCAAACAGAGGAAATAGAAAAAATAAAGGACTGAAGGCCAATGTCTTGGCTGCAGAAGCAGCTAATGCATTTTATTTTTAGACCGCATCCGTTATTTATTTCTTTTCTTCCAATCCCAGTATCTTGGAATTAGGCTTTATTGTATCAAAAAGAACAGTCACCCACAATGCACTAGAACAACTCACAAGCCAGCATCTCATATGACTGGCTGGTACCCATGCCATATAAAGCTTTAAATGTATCTCCCCAACAGGGGATGGTAGAAAATACAAACACATGGAGCAACTACTGTCTTAGAATTTAATTATGGTTAATAAAGAATACAAATGAAATATACAATTATGAAGGTATCAGGGAAGGACCCAGTAGAAAGAATTCACTCCAGATGATTCAAATAAAGAGACCTTAGTGAAGGGAAGATTTTAGAGGTGTGGGAAAGATGAAGGAAGCAAACAAAGTAGACACAGGGACCCAGAGACCGGCGACAGCGCGGAGTCACCAGCATCCTTGGATGGAAGCGACAAGGGAAGAAAATAGTGTCACCGGCAAAGAAGGTGGCCCAGTGGGAGTTGTCTTCATGGAGGGATCCAGTTACTGCCCAAGACAGAACTCCAAAGCATGAAGCTAGGATGTTAGGTATATTGTGACTTATCTCTCCTGACCTCCAATCTCCTGCCTTCCACCTGCCAAACTCAACCAGGAGCTAATGGCAAGGGAGCCCGGGTGATATAACCCACACGGGTCTAACCCCCAGGGTATGGAGCCAAGCAGAGAAGAATGAGACTAACTGGGAGGGGTGGAGTACTAGAGAGTAACAAGGATTACTGACAAATAGGACTTAGAGGCTTTGACTCTCATTTAACTCTACTTTTTTGGGAACAGGTACATGCATCATTTCTCTTTTATGATAGGCAGCTTTAACGTTGAACTCCAATTTTTAAAAGGTCTTTAAATAAATATGTACTGTTTCAATGTTGTATTAACCCTAGTGATGTCAGCAACTATGACCAAATTAATAACCATAATTATCAGAGACTTTTAGAACTTTTGATCCAGAAATGGCATTGGAACAATTTATGTAGCTAAACAGCTTTAAAATATTGTTTATATCCCACAAGAACAACTCATAAAATATATTAGCATATTTTAATTAACACGTTTTAGTAGGAAAATTATATTTAAATGACACTTTGTTATCCTCTTAACAGCTTTACAAGTAATTTTCAGACACATTTGAATCCCTGCCCAGAGGGTTTTATTAGCATAAAACAACCAAATAATTTAGCAACATTTATAAAAAGTTTTGTGTGACCATCCAAATTTCTAAAGCTCTGATTTTGGGTTCCGTAGTACATGTATAATCAGTATAGGAGAGGAACACAAAGTCGCCTTTCTACAACTGTCTCTACTTTATAGATAGGGACCAACAAGAAGACCTCTACCTGCAGGGCAGACCAGTGGCTTGCTGCTGCTGGCTTACACTGGCCTTGAGAGTGGATTCTGTGCCTCTCCTCCCCACTCCATATTTAGTGGCTTCACATGGATAGTTTGAAATCTGCCACAGTGGGAGTATTGACACCATGGAAACTGACAAAAGCTAGGAATAGGACTTTATTTTTTTTTTAATTTTAATAAATTTTTCATTTTATTCAAAGTTGGTATAGAATTGCTAACATTTCCATAAAATAATTACTATGCTTCCATTGCAGGAAAAAATACCACAGAAAGGAATGTACTTTGCAAAAAATTGTAGTTCATCTTAAGTTTCCAAATACTTTTGAAGGCTAATGCAGCAGCTGGCAAAATAACACACAGTACACAAAGAACAGTGTATTTTACAGAGTCAGTAATGAAAACGGACAGCTCTTCAGCAGATGTGCTTCATTTTTTTCATTTTTTAAACAATAACACTTTGAAAGACACATAAAACCAAGATCATACATGTCCGAAGAAATTCTGGCCCTGGCTTTTGCCCTGGCTGCCCTCTCTCCCCCAGATAGTCATAGTCTCACTCCCTCACGTCAGGTCAGAGCCCAGAACAGCACTCCCTCCCACCACTTTCTTCTTTCATGCTGCATTTCATTCACAGCTCACCACTGCCTCATTTTACTTTATGGATTTGTGTTTATTGTCTGCCTTGTCCACTAAAGTGCCAGTACCATGAGGCAGAGACTTGACATGTCTTGCTCACCACTGTATTCCCAGCAACCCAAACAGTGCCCAGCACATCATAGGTGCTCAGTAAGTACTTTTATATAAATGAACAAATGAATAATAACAGCAGTTGCTTTGCAGATGAAGGGCTGGAATAGGGAGAGCTGGAGGCTTTTCCTTCCTTCCTTCCTTGACACTGAGTGTCACCTCTGTCGCCCAGGCTAAGACTTTATTATCTGTGAAAATACAGAGGCCCACTAGGCATGCAGGCTTCTCCCTGGGACCTGTAACATATTTTTTGGTTGTCTAGGATTTGCTGGGGACACCCCTTGTCTCTACGATTCCTGTGGACTTTACTACTGAAATAAACTCTTTTTCTGGGGCTGATAATACTGGAAGTTTCCATGTTGCATGTACAGTTAGTACCTGCACTGAGGTAGGTGAGACACCTCTACCTGGGGCCATTAGTATCACTGTGGCCCAGGCCTTCCAACTGTCCACCTCAGGAAGAGGCGGTCTCTTCAAACACACTGCCTCACCCCCAGCCTGTCCAGGGGTAGAGCTTAGCCAATCCCTAGACATTTCCCCGTGAGCCAGCATCCTCCTCCTCCTGCTGTTCTCAGGCCCACCTTCTATTTTGCCAGAGTTGGTCTTGCTTCTCTGGTCTCTGTAAGTGCTCCTTGCGGCTTGGCAAGGTCTCTCCCAGCTCCTGCTGTCTGAGGTCCAGATTCTCACACATTTTAATAATATGTACTTTTTCTTTAATACCATCCGTTTACCTCACACCCTACTTACACTCAAGGACAGGAAGAACAATTCAGCCCCCCTCCACCACTTTCTCTGTTCAGAAGACACATGAACTGTGGCCACAAGCCAATGCCCTACATTAGCCTAACCATAGTTTTCCCCTAATACTTGAAACTATGACAAGTTCTTAGCAGAATGCCAGATGTTTTTGCCCCAGGTTACAAAGGCCATTATTTCCTAAATAAAATTGAGCCTGAATCGAAAAACTCATTTAACTCTTTAGTGACATTTTATTTATGCCATTATATTAAAATAATTTAGTGTCTGTGTGAGCTATGGAGCCACCTGATAATGAAATTTCTATTTAACATTTTCCTTCTCGCATTTAGCCCATATATTATACTGAATTGCCAGGTTCAGAGAGCAAACAGAAGTTTAAATAAGAAATTACTTTCTAATTGCTGGCAAGATGGCCAAATAGGAACAGCTCCGGTTTGCAGCTCCCAGCGACATCGACACAGAGGGTGGGTGATTTCTGAATTTCCAACTGAGGTACCTGGTCATCTTATTGGGACTGGTTAGACAGTGGGTGCAGCCCACGGAGGGCGAGCTGAAGCAGGGTGGGGCATTGCCTCACCCAGGAAGCGCAAGGGGTCGGGGACCTCCCTCCCCTAGCCAAGGGACGCCCTGAGAAACTGTGCTGTGAGGAACAGTGCACTCCAGACAAGATACTGCACTTTTCCCATGGTCTTCGCAACCCCCAGAACAGGAGATTCCCTCCAGTGCCAACACCACCAGGGCCCTGGGTTTCAAGCACAAAACTGGGCGGCCATTTGGGCAGACACCAAGCTAACTGCAGGAGGTTTTTTTTGTTTTTTTTTTTGTTTTTTTTTCATACCCCAGTGGCACCTGGAACACCATCGAGACAGAACCATTCACAGGGAGCCAACTGATCTGGCTCAGTGTGTCCCACCCCCACAGGGCCCAGCAAGCTAAGATCCATTGGCTTGAAATACTCGTTGCCAGCACAGCAGTCTGAGGTGGACCTGGGACGCTAGAGTTTGGTAGGGGGAGGGACGTCCACCATTGCTGAGGCTTGAGTAGGCAGTTTTACCCTCAAAGTGTAAACAAAGCCACGGGAAGTTTGACAGGGTGGAGCACACCGCAGCTCAGCAAGACCACTGTGGCCAGACTACCTCTCTAGATTTCTCCTCTCTGGGCAGGGCATCTCTGAAAAAAAGGCAGCAGCCCCAATCAGGGGCTTATGGATAAACCCTCATCTCCCTGGAACAGAGCACCTAGGGGAAGGGGCAGCTGTGGGCGCAACTTCAGCAGACTTAAATGTCCCTGCCTGAGGGCTCTGAAGACAGCAGCAGATCTCCCAGCACAGAGTTCGAGCTCTGCTAAGGGTCAGACTGCCTCCTCGAGTGGGTCTCTGACCCCCATGTCTCCTGACTGGGAGACACCTCCCAGTAGGGGCTGACAGACACATCATACAGGACAGCTCCAGCTGGCATCTGGTGAGTGCCCCTCTGGGACGAAGCTTTCAGAGGAAGGAACAGGCAGCAATCTTTGCTGTTCTGCAGCCTCTGCTGGTGATACCAGGCAAACAGGGTCTGGAGTGGACCTCCAGCAAATTCCAGCAGACCTGCAGCAGAGGGTCCTGACTGTTAGAAGGAAAACTAACAGAAAGGAATAGCAACAACATCAACAAAAAGGATGTCCACTTAGAAACCCCATCCGAAGGTCACCAACATCAAAGACCAAAGGTGGATAAATCCACGAAGATGGGGAGAAACCAGTGCAAAAAGGCTGAAAATTCCAAAAACCAGAACGCCTCTTCTCCTTCAAAGGATCACAACTCCTTGCCAGCAAGGGAACAAAAGTGGATGGAGAATGAGTTTGATGAACTGACAGAAGTAGGCTTCAGAGGGTGGCTAAAAACAAACTCCTCCAAGCTAAAGGAGCATGTTCTAACCCAATTCAAGGAAGCTAACGATCTTGAAAAAAAGTTAGAGGAATTGCTAACTAGCATAACCAGTTTAGAGAAGAACATAAATGACCTGATGGAGCTGAAAACACAGCACAAGAACTTTGTGAAGCGTACACAAGTATCAACAGCTGAATCAATGAAGCAGAAGACAGGATATCAGAGATTGAAGATCATCTCAATGAAATAAAGCGAGAAGACGAGATTAGAGAAAAAGGAATGAAAAAGGAACGAACAAAGTCTCGAAGAAATATGGTACTATGTGAAAAGACCAAATCTACATTTGATTGGTGTACCTGAAAGTGACAGGGAGAATGGAAACAAGTTGGAAAACACTTCAGGATATTATCCAGGAGAACTTCCCCAGCCTAGCAAGAGAGGCCAACATTCAAATTCAGGAAATACAGAGACCAGAGATTCTCCTCAAGAAGACCAACTCCAAGACACATAATCATCAGATTCACTAAAGTTGAAATGAAGGAAAAATGTTAAGGGCAGCCAGAGAGAAAGGTCAGGTTACCCACACAAGGAAGCCCATCAGACTAACAGCTGATCTCTCTGCAGAAACCCTACAAGCCAGAAGAGAGTGGGAACCAATATTCAACATTCTTAAAGAAAACAATTTTCTTTTCTTTTTTGAGACGCCTCAGCCTCCCAAGTAGCTGGGATTACAGGCACGCACCATCATGCCCAGCTAATTTTTTGTATTTTTATAGAGACGGGGTTTCACCATGTTGGCCTGACTGGTCTCGAACTCCTGAACTCAGGTGATCCGCCTGCCTCAGCCTCCCAAAATGCTGGGATTACAGGCGTGAGCCACCGCGCCTGGCCAAAGAAAACATTTTCGACCCAGAATTTCATATTCAGCCAAACTAACCTTCATAAGTGAAAAGGAAATAAAATCCTTTACAGACAAGCAAATGCTGAGAGATTTTGTCAGCACCAGACCTGCCTTACAAGGACTCCTGAAGGAAGCACTAAACCTGGAAAGGAACAACCTGTACCAGCAACTGCAAAAGCATACTAAATGGTAAAGATTATCGAGACTATGAAGAAACTGCATCAACTAACGGGCAAGATAACCAGCTAGCATAATAATGACAGAATCAAATTCACACATAACAATATTAACCTTAAGTGTAAAAAGGCTAAATGCCCCAATTAAAAGACACAGACTGGTAAATTGGATAGAGTCAACACCCATCGGTGTGCTGTATTCAGGAGACCCATCTCATGTGCAAAGACACACATAGGCTCAAAATAAAGGGATGGAGGAATATTTACCAAGCAAATAGAAGGCAAAAAAAAGCAGGGGTTGCAATCCTGGTCTCTGGTAAAACAGATTTTAAACCACCAAAGATCAAAAGAGACAAAGAAGGGCATTACATAATGCTAAAGGGATCAATGCAGCAAGAAGAGCTAACTATCCTAAATATATATGCACCCAATACAGGAGCACCCAGATTCATAAAGCAAGTTCTCAGATACCTACAAAGAGACTTAGACTCCCACACAATAACAATGGGAGACTTTAACACCCCACTGCCAATATTAGATCAACAAGACAGAAAATTAACAAGGATATTCTGAACTTGAACTCAGTTCTGGACCAAGCGGACCTAACAGACATCTACAGAACTCTCCACCCCAAATCAACAGAATGTACATTCTTCTCAGCACCACATCGCACTTATTCTAAAAGTAATCACATAATTGGAAGTAAAACACTCCTCAGCAAATGCAAAAGAACAGAAATCACAACAAACTGTCTCTCAGACCACAGTGCAATCAAATTAGAATGCAGGATTAAGAAATTCACTCAAAACCGCACAACTACATGAAAACTGAACAACCTGCTCCTGAATGACTACTGGGTAAACAACGAAATTAAGGCAGAAATAAATAAGTTCTTTGAAACCAATGAGAACAAAGACACAACATACCAGAATCTCTAGGACACATTTAAAGCAGTGTTTAGAGGGAAATTTATTACGCTAAATGCCCACAAGACAAAGCAGGCAAGATCTAAAATCGACACCCTAGTATCAATATTAAAAGAACTAGAGAAGCAAGAGCAAAAAAATTCAAAAGCTAGCAGAAGACAAGAAATAACTAAGATCAGAGCAGAACTGAAGGAGATAGAGATACAAAAAACAGTTAAAAAAAATCAATGAATCCATGAGCTAGTTTTCTGAAAAGATCAACAAAATAGACCACTAGCCAGACTAATAAACAAGAAAAGAGTGAAGAATCAAATAGACGTAATAAAAAATGATACAGGGGATATCACCACTGATCCCACAGAAATACAAACTACCATAACAGAATACTACAAACACGTCTACGCAAATAAAGTAGAAAATCTAGAAGAAATGGATACATTCCTGGACACACACACCCTCCCAAGTCTAAACCAGGAAGAAGTTGAATCCCTGAACAGACCAATAACAAGTTCTGAAACTGAGGCAGTAATTAATAGCCTACAAACCAAAAAAAGTCCAGGACCAGATGGATTCACAGCCAAATTCTACCACAGGTACAAAGAGGAGCTGCTTCCATTCCTTCTGGCACTATTCCAAACAATAGAAAAAGAGGGACTCCTCCCTAACTCATTTTATGAGGCCAGCATCATCCTGATATCAAAACCTGGCAGAGATGCAACACAAAAAGAAAATTTCACGCCAACATCCCTGATAAATATCGATGTGAATATCCTCAATGAAATATTGGCAAACTGAATCTAGCAGCACATCAAAAAGCTTATCCACCACGATCAAGTTGGCTTCATCCCTGGGATGCAAGGCTGGGTCAACATACCCAAATCAATAAACGTTAATCCATCACATAAACAGAACCAATGACAAAAACCACGATTATCTCAATAGATGCAGAAAAGGCCTTCAACAAAATTCAACACTCTTCATGCTAAAAACTCTCAATAAACTAGGTATTGATGGAATGTACCTCAAAATAATAACAGCGATTTATGACAAACCCACAGCCAATATCATACTGAATGGGCAAAAATGGGAAGCATTCCCTTTGAAAACTGGCATAAGACAAGGATGCCCTCTCTCACCACTCCTATTCAACATAGTATTGGAAGTTCTGGCCAGGACATTCAGGCAACAGAAATCAATAAAGGGTATTCAAATAGAAAAAAACGGTATTCAATTACTCTCAAATTTATTAAGAGTAATTGTCTCTCTTTGCAGATGACATGACCGTATATTTAGAAAACCCCACAGTCTCAGCCCAAAACCTCCTTAAGATGATAAGCAACTTCAGCAAAGTCTGAGGATACAAAATCAATGTGCAAAAATCACAAGCATTCCTATACATCAATAACAGACAGCCAAATCATGAGTGAACTCCCATTCACAATTGCTACAAAGAGCATTAAATACCTAGGAATCCAACTTACAAGGGATGGGAAGGACCTCTTCAAGGAGAACTACAAACCACTGCTCAAGGAAATAAGAGAAGACACAAATAAATGGATAAACATTCCATGCTCATGGATAGGAAGAATCAATATCATGAAAATGGCCGTACTGCCCACAGTAATTTATAACTTCAATGCTATCCCCATCAAGATACCACTGACTTTCTTCACAGAATTGGAAAAAACTACTTTAAATTTCATATGGAACCAAAAAGGAGTCCACATAGCCAAGACACTCCTAAGCAAAAAGAACAACACTGGAGGCATCATGCTACCTCACTTCAAACTATACTACAAGACCACAGTAACCAAAACAGCATGGTACTGGTACCAAAACAGACATATAGACCAATGGAACAGAACAGAGGCCTCAGAAATAACACCACACATCTACAACCATCTGATCTTTGACAAACCTGACAAAAACAAGCAATGGGGAAAGGATTCCCTATTTAATAAATGGTGTTGGGAAAACTGGCTAGCCATATGCAGAAAACTGAGACTGGACCCCTTCATTACACCTTGTACAAAAATTAACTCAAGATGGATTTAAGACTTAAACGTAAGACCTAAAACCATAAAAAACCCTAAAAGAAAACCTAGGAAATACAATTCAGGACAATACCATTCATAGGCAAAGACTTCATGACTAAAACACCAAAAGCAATGGCAACAAAAGCCAAAATAGACAAATGGGATCTAATTAAACTAAAGAGCTTCTGCACAGCAAAAGAAACTTATCATCAGAGTGAAGAGGCAACCTACAGAATGGGAGAAAATTTTTGCAATCTATCCATCTGACAAAGGGCTAATATCCAGAATCTACAAAGAACTTAAACAAGTTTACAAGGAAAAAACAACCCCATCAAAAAGTGGGCAAAGGATATGAACAGACACTTATCAAAAGAAGACATTTATGTAGCCAACAAACATATGAAAAAAAGCTCATCATCACTGGTCATTAGAGAAATGCAAATCAAAACCACAATGAGATACCATCTCACACCAGTAAGAATGGCGATCATTAAAAAGTCAGGAAACAACAGATGCTGGAGAGGATGTGGAGAAATAGAAATGTTTTTACACTGTTGGTAGGAGTGTAAATTCATTCAACCATTGTGGAAGACAGTGTGGCAATTCCTCAAGGATCTAGAACCAGAAATACTATTTGACCCAGCAATCCTATTACTAGGTATATATCCAAAGGATTATAAATTATTCTACTATAAATATACATGCACATGTATGTTTACTGCGGCATTATTCACAATAGCAAAGACTTGGAACCAACCCGAATGCCCATCAGTGATAGACTGGATAAAGAAAATGTAGCACATATATACCATGGAATATTATACAGCCATAAAAAAGGATGAGTTCATGTCCTTTGCAGGGATATGGATGAAGGTGGAAACCACCATTCTCAGCAAACTAACACAAGAACAGAAAACCAAACACCACATATTCTCACTCATAAGTGGGAGCTGAACAATGAGAACCCATGGACACAAGGAGGAGAACATAACACATCAGGGCCTGTTGGGGGGTGGGGGACTAGGGGAAGGATAGCATTAGGAGAAATATCTAATGTAGATGATGGGTTGATGGGTGCAGCAAACTACCATGGCACGGGTATACCTATGTAACAAACCTGCACGTTCTGCACATGTACCCCAGAACTTAAAGTATTATAATAATAATAATAATAATAATAGATTACTTTCTGTATACCTGACCAGTGGGTCTATGTCTGGGTAAGTATGAGCAACCACAAATCTCCTCTGTAAGTTTGTTTCCCAATCTGCAAAATGTGAACCATAATGGTCCCCACCTGGCTAGACTAAGATCCAAAATACAGCTTGCACAGAGCAAACATCCAAACACATTCATCATAATTTTCATTATTATTACTAATGTGGAAGTCCACATGTCCTCTTTCATCCAAATTTTATCTCACTTTGAGAACACAGGACCTTTCTGAGTTCAAAATAGAACTTAATTTCTCATCTCTTTTTTTTTCCTACCTAGAATGTTTGGGTTTTTGGTTTTGTTATTTTGTTGTTTTAACTTTTATAAAGAGAGATAATATAAAGAGGCAACAAATTTATTAAGAGTAAATTCATATTACTGTTTGGTGAAGGTCTAGCACAAATAGTAAAAGTTGTTTTGGACACTCTCCATTCTGCTATTCTAGGGAGTGTTCCAACCATACTGAAGAAATGGCCATCTGAGGGGATGGGGAGAAGAATAATGGATTTAAGGTGGGAGAGAAATATGACCACAAAAAGGATTATATAAAAATGAGGCAAAATTGATCACCCTGGCACTGGGCTTGTTCCCCCTCTATGGGGTTTCCTCTTTTTCTTAGATCAAAAGAATTTGAAAGATTTTTGTAATCAGAGAGAACTTTGAAAGCAGAATATGCAGTTACCAGGGGAGGGCGAGATGTTTCTATCTGAGGAACACACTTCATTATTAGCACTTTATCTAATATCCATGTTAGTATCCTGCACGGTCCAATGCGTTATGCTGTAAACATTTTAAATTTATCTACATATGTATTTACTTAGCAGTAAATAAAAAATAAATGGATATTAAAAAATGAGAGTTTCCCAGACATTTAAAACATGGATAGTAGCTTAAATTTTTTACATGTCCAATATGTCAGATTCTTGTAACTGTTTTAAAGCCCTTTAGGAATAAGTCTGAACAACACAATCGTTACAAAACAGATGCATACACCTACATCGTAACTGGTTATACAAGTGTTAATACCACGACTTAGAATTTTCTTTATCTTTTTACTCCAACAGGGAGATTTGCATCATGAAAGCCTGGAGAGTTTCTCAACTAAACTCTCAGCCTCCCAAATCTAAAACCATGGCATTCATCCACTTTCATTTGCCAAATTAGGATTCTTAATGATTTTAGACCTTTTTCTGTTTTAAAGCTGAAACCAGGATTATGAGCTCCTCTACATTTTTATTGTAAATAATGCATTCTGTTACAGAGAAATTGAAGGCTCATGCTTCCTAAGCCTTTAAGCTACAAACACATTTGTCTGAATCTAATAATCCAGGTAAGGGGAATTGAAATTTACAATTACCCATGATAAAGAAATACCAATTAGCCAAGTGTAAACTGCTAGCACTGAGGCAGGAAAATAGGGTCTGGAGGCAGGGAATGTAAGGCGGATTCACACTTCAGCTATGACAGGAAATATCCTCTCCATAGGGAGTACACCAAATAAATAACTTTGTAACTTTACTTCATCCTCTATTTACATACTACATACCTAATGTAACCAACAGAATCCTCCAGAGGGTATTTAAACTCCCCAAACTTCTGTACCAGGGCCCTTGAGCCCCTAGGCTCGGGCCCGCTCCCACACTGTGGAGTGTACTTTCATTTTCAATAAATCTCTTCATTCCTTCCTTGCTTTGTTTGTGCGTTTTGTCCAATTCTTTGTTCAAGACGCCAAGAGCCTGGACGCCCTCCACCGGTAACAGTATAATTGTGCTGGTGTCTCTCACAAAGGGCTTTTATTCACCCTCTGTTTTCTTTCATCTTTCTTCCCCCTAAACCAAGCTCTACTAAAAATATAATCGCTGATCTTAAAGGAGATTAGAATACAGAGATGTAGGATGGGCTACAGAACAACTCATGTCACCATTAAGACAGGGTTGCAACGTCACTATGTTATAGCTCCTGTCACCCTGGGTAGAACTGTCCCTCAATGGAACTTTGGATTTACACATATCTTATCTTTAGCCCATAAAGGTCATCTTACCTGAACTCCTAACGAATCAACCTATTTGGAGCAGAAGGAAGGAACTATTGTCCAGGATACAAATAGGCCATGTGTGCTTTTCAGAAACTAACAGAACAACCAGAAACTACCAAAAAGAGCAGGATGGCAGGGTCTGGATGGATGCTGCTGCAGGGCAGGTCCCTCCACCAGATGGACCCAAAGAGAGCCTTTAAATATTGACCATTAGTGTGAGATAAACCACTCCTCTCCCATACGGAAAACTGCAGCAGAACACAGGCTATGCTCAGATGTGCAGATGTATCATCTAAGGTTATTTACAAGAGCTAAAGAAGGTCCTCCTTTGGTGAGAGGATTCCAGAGTTATTCAATACGTCATCATCAGTAGTGAAAGAACAGTGTACTTTAAGGGTGAACAACTCATACAGATGTTCTCAGGTATCAATGCAGATAGATGTTAAGAGCTTTTACTTTTAGAAAAAGACTGCTGGAAAGGAAATTTTCAGGACAAAATGGAAAACCAGGCAAGGATCACCAGCTTGGAAGCAAATACACAACATGGAAGAAAAAGACCAGAATTAACAGAAAAAATGTCTCCAGAGGAAACAAATAATTAAGTGAACAGTTTAGAACTGGAAAAGAACATGCAGCATCTTCAGGGAGATTTAGGGAATATTTAATCCACAAAACAAAAACGGGATCCCATAAAAAAGAAACATCACAGAACAACAAAGAGAACAACAACAATCAACAAAAATGGGATTGTCCACATGGAAAAAAAAAATTAGTATAAGACCTGAAAAATGCAGTCAAGAAATTCTAAACAGGCAGGTGTGGTGGCTCACACCTGTGATCCCAGCACTTTGGGAGGCCGAGGCGGGCAGATCACCTGAAGTCAGGAATTCAAGATCACCCTGGCCATCATGGTGAAACCCCATCTCTACAAAAAATACAAAAATTAGCCAGGTGTGGTGGGGTGCACCTGTAATCCCAGCTACTCGGAAGGCTGAGGCAGGAGAATCACTTTAACCCAGGAGGTGGAGATTGTGGTGAGCCAAGACCGTGCCACTGCACTCCAGCCTGGGCAACAGAGCGAGACTCCATCTCAAAAAAAAAAAAAAAAAAGAGAAGAAAAGAAAGAAAAAAAGAAATTCTAAACATTATGGAGGATATGAGTTTTATGCAAAAAAAAGAAAACGAAATCTGGGCTGGAATATTATGAGAGGAAAACAAGCAAGGGTCGTTGAAGCGAGTTAGGAAGGTCCAATCTGACAAGAGTATTTGAAAAAGACAGTGCAGAGAAAATGGAAGGAAGGAAGTCATTAAGCACCACCAAACAAACAAATAAAACAGGGAACAATTTCCCAGAACAGAAGGCTATTGGGCTTCATATTAGAAGGCCTCAAGTGCCCACATGCTTACACCAAAAGCACGCAGGCTTAGAATAGGTTTTCCATGGTCCCAGCTGGTGTCAAGCCATTACCCCAAACTGGCCTCCTTTACTGTGTCTCCAAGGCCTCTCTGGGTTTTAAAATAGTATCTCACCACACATAGGAAATACAACAATAAGAAAATATTTTTTAAATATACTGAAACTCTAGTGCCACCCAACTGAAGGATGCCCTAGAGACACTGACAAACTATTTCAGAAAATTAGTCTTTCTTTTGGAAGACAAAATATTTTGGAAAATAGCACTTTAAGCAAATTTATGCTGAAAATAAACACATATACACATCCATATTTAGTTATCTGTATTTTTCTAAAGTGCCTGCCTTGAAAAGATGTATGTGCAGAGGTCTGTGGGGAGAGGGTTGAGGGCAACACAGTTTTTCTGAAATCCCGATGAAATGGAAAGTACCATGGAAAACAAATCACTTACCAAAATATTGTAACAGAGGCTCAAGAACTAGAAATTTCTGAAAGAAAGCCTATGAATACGTTTCAACTTTTACACCAGAAAGCATTCTCTTATGACAGCTTCAAGATGTACTCGGAAATTGCTTTTACTGAAACTCATTACTCTTTTAAGACTGTATAGCAGTTATTATTTTCTGACATTTCCTTGTTTATTGCTTGTTTCTTTGTGCATTGCAGGTTCCATAAAAGCTGACTTTGTGCCTGGAACATTGGAAGTGACCCGTCAGTGCTTACTGAATGAATAGGCAAATGAACAAAACCTCCTGCAATACAGCTTTCTTACCATGCCTCAAGAGACTCTTCAGTCCATCCTACTGTAGTTGCTTTTGATTGGGTTCTCCCTGAGTACTGACCCTAGGCCCAGATTCAGAGATTTCTCCAAAAAAAGAGCTTCTTTCAAAGACATCATTCCTATTGTCAACCCTGTTGGCATAGACACAAAATGTAAACGTTGGACAAAGGCAATACTTGCTGTGACAAAGGCGATATTTGTTGTAACAAAACACAAATGTCTGTCCATCAGTGGGGAACGAGAATGCTGGGATTTGAAGAGGCCAAAAAAATAATACTGCTCTCTCTTTTGAGAAAGAGAGGGGATTTTTTTTTTTTTTTTGAAAAGCCATAAGCTTAGGACAGATGAAATTCAAAATCCACACTAAACTTCACTGGAGAATGTAAGCAAAATATGAGGCCACAGGTGAGCTTTCTATTTCCTTCCTCCACTCTCCAAGATGGCCCATTGATATTTGGCTGTGTCCCCAAATCTCATCTTGAATTGTAGTTCCTGTAATCCCCATGTGTCATGGGAGGGATCCAGTGGGAGGTAATTGAATCATGGGAGCAGTTACTCCCTTGCTGTTCTGTGATAGTGAATGAGATCTCATGAGATCTGATGGTTTTATAAGGGCCTTTTTCCCCTTTGCTTGGCACTTCTCCGTCCTGCCATCATGTGAAGAGGGATGTGTTTGCTTCCCCTTCTGCCATGATTGTAAGTTTCCTGAGGCCTCCCCAACCATGTGGAACTGTGAGTCAATTAAACCTCTTTCTTTCATAAGTTACCCAGTCTCAGGCAGTTCTTTATAGCAGCGTGAGAACAGACTAATACGCCCACCCAGGATTCAGTCTCCCACCTGCAGAAGCAGAGGTCCCCCAGTCACTGTACTCCTGGCATCTTTGACGGCCAGCCACTGGGACTAAAAGCTCAAAGAGGGCAGGGCCGCTTATGCCTAGTTTCTTCTCCTAGTTTCAACAGTAAGATAAATCATTCCCACCTAGGGGAGAGAATGAAGTCTGGAATCACTAATAGTGTTATACCCTGGGAATGTAAGTTCCCTCATGCAACATGAGGGGGAGGAATAAGATTTCCACCAGATAAATAAATAAATAGTCTGTGGTGCACCCAATGTTATGTTATATATCTATTTACAAGAATACAGTCAGATAAGATCTACATATACCAACACAAGAAATGTTTCAAAGGATTTTAAAAGTGGTAGAAAAATTGCAACATTATTTGTGACTTTTTTTTTTTTTTGACATGGTCTTGCTCTGTCACCCAGGCTGGAGTACAGTAGCATGATCATGGCTCACTGTAGCCTTGACCTCCTAGGCCCAAGGTGTCCCCCTGCCTCAGCCTCCTAAGTAGCTAGGACCACAGGCACATACCATTAAACTCAGCTAAGTTTAAATTTTTTGTAGACATGGGGTTTCACCCTGTTGTGCAGGCTGGTCTAGAACTCCTGGACTCAAGAGACTCCCTGCCGTGGCCTCTCAAAGCACTGGGATTACAGGCATGATCATGGCCCTGCTTATGCAGGTGCAAGACCTCTGCTTACGCAGGTAGGAGCCCTCCATGTCCCCAGCCTGACCTTCTTCTTGTAAAAGTAAATGAATAATTCTAATATATGTTAGCATATGTATAAATATGAAAAAGGAAGACTATGCATTGAACTTAATGATGGTTATCTTTAGCAGGTAGGATCACAGCAAATGTTTATTATAGTTTTGATGATGTCTGAATTTTGTATTAATGGAAAACCATTTCTTCTATAATAAGGAAAAATAATAAAGAGTAGAAAAAAGGGAATTAAATTAGAAAGCAGATGACATTTCTTTTCCTCCTAAGATTGTGCTGAAGAACAAGAGGAAGAGAGAAACCAAATGGGTGTCTGTAGGATTGGAGTAAGCAAATGGCCTTGTCCCCAGGTGCCACCACATATGGTGGGGATAGGAGAGTGCTGGCCACCTGTTGCCTCTCATGGCCTCTCTGTAGTTTTCTCCTTGAAGCCTCAGGAGCCTTCCATTCCCAGTCTCCATCCCTCCTAGTGTATTGTCACAGGAAACCACAGTCTTGGGTCTGGACTTTACAGCCAGCCTATGAGGGCACCGAAGAAAGAGCATGGGCTCTGACAGTAGATGGGCCTAGGCTCAAATGCTAATCCTGCCATGTCCTCAATGTTTGAATCTGGGCAAATCACTTGACTGCTGAGAGTTGGTTTTCACATCTCCAAAATGGATTAAATAATTCTCTCATAACAGGTGGTGGATGTAAAGCCCTTAGCTAGCCTCCCTTCCCCTGATTTATGATTTCCAAACTCTCTGCTTGAGACAGGGTGTCATGGGACACAAGAGGGATACAGCATAAGGAACTGTGTGACATTTAACTTCCTAGAATCACATACACTGGGGACTGGTCACTAGAGAAGAGAAACCAGACCCCAAAGACGCAGAGATCTTGGTGTGGGAGCAGAGATCTGTGTCCAGAAACTGCAGGAAAACCACAAAACTAGGAAGCACGTTCATTTCTCCACCCTCTCATCAAGACAATCAGCCTGCTGCTTCGGGCTCTTCTAAGAGTTTGTTTTTGCTCTGCTGAATGTCTCCTTTTTTGCACTTTGTAATACGCTTTAACATCTTTCTTTATGTATCCGAAGAAATAATCAATCAGCTTTAACTTTCAAAATTCTTGATTTTTCACTGTGGTGGCAAAAAAAGGAAGCCTCTGTGACCCCACCAATAACTCATTTGGGATGTCTTTGAAATATTTAACTGTGTTCCTTTTAAAAAAAAAAATAGTAAAGAGCCAGGCATGGTGGCTCACACCTGTAATCTCAGCACTTTGGGAGGCCGAGGCAGGCAGATCATGAGATCAAGAGATCAAGACCATCCTGGCCAACATGGTGAAACCCCATCTCTACTAAAAATACAAAAATTAGCTGGGTGTGATGGTGCGCACCTGTAATCCCAGCTACTTGGGAGGCTGACGCAGGAGAATCGCTTGAACCCAGGAGGTGGAGGTTGTAGTGAGCCAAGGTTGTGCCACTGCACTCTGCCAGGCTACAAACCGAGACTCCATCTCAAAAAAGCAAAAAAGTAACCGTGGCAATACACCAGGGAAGAACTTCATAGGATACTGCGTTTTATTTCACATTCCCCAACTCAAGCCTTGTCTCCCAGCATTCCTGAGACTAATGGAGGCATGGAAGAGGCACAGTCTGCACAAGCTCAGGCTAACAGCTCTCTTACTATAGATGGTTTTCCGACTAAACATTAAGATGACCCCAAGTAAGCATGGATTCTGTAAATGTGTCACTGAAAAGCTGAATCCTGCTATCAAAGACAAGAAAAGAGCTTCAAGAACAGAAGCTGGAAACAGTCCAGCCACACAAAAGCTGGAAAGATTCAGAAACAAGGCAAGAGTGAGGAGCAAATGATCAGGCTCTGAGAGGGACTAAGCCAAGGTGATTCTGGCATAAGAAGAGGTGACTATAACAGAGGTTTCAGAATACAGCCTCACATATATAAGCAATTGTTTTACAATTAAGAGGCTTCTGTGGTTTAGTGTTAAAAGGATGATCTTTTCAATAAACAGTGCTGGAACCATTGAATACTTATATTTTAAAAATAAGTCTCAATCCATACCTTATATCACATACAAACATCAATCTTAAATAGGTTATAGGCCTAAACTTGTAAGCTAAAACCATTCTTTCAACAATAGAAGAAAACATGAAAGAAAAATCTTTGCAACTTCGAGTTAGGTGAATAGTTTTTAGAGAGGACACCAGTCAGTATCTTTAACCTTAAAAACTTATTAAATTGGCTGGGTGCGGTGGCTCACGCCTATAATCCCAGCACTTTGGGAGGCCGAGGTGGGTGGATCACCTGAGATCAGGAGTTTGAGACCAGCCTGACCAACATGGAGAAACCTCGGCTCTACTAAAAATATAAAATTAGCCAGGCATAGTGGCGCATGCCTGTAATCCCAGCTACTTGGGAGGCTGAGGCAGGAGAATCGCTTGAACCCGGAAGGCAGCAGTTGCAGTGAGCCAAGATCGTGCCATTGCACTCCAGCCTGGGCAACAAGAGTGAAACTCTGTCTCAAAAAAAAAAAAAAAAAAACTTATTACATTGAGCATCAGAAGTAAAACCTTTTTTCCTCCAGAATATACAAGAGGCAACATCGCCAAGATAACAGAGTAGGAAATACCAGCCCTTATCTACCACACACAAAAAAACAAATATAAACAGCTATGCACAAAACAAAATAGTCCAGAGGGAGCTCAATGGTTCATTAAAGAATCTGCAGGAATACAGCAGAGCATAAAAATCCAGGGAATATTCACATAAAAAATATCGCTGGTGAGACTGGCATAGCTAAGATGCCAGGAGATGACTAGTAGCTAAAAAGAAGAAAGTCAAAGACTATCGGTATCAGTTACATGATGTGAACCACCAGCATTCCCAGGGGCCTGCTCCACAAAGGACACTGGCATCTCTTGCTACTGAGCTAACCAACAGCCCTTCTCACCAGAGAACCCCAGAGACAGAGAGATGCCTGAACACCCCGTCCCCATCCATGAATTTGATAGACTGTTGAGCCAATTCAAGAAAGGAGCCACTACCTCTCCCAAGCCCACGTGTTCTTTGATCCTGGAGCTACACTGCACTGCGAGTGCCCGCACTCCGATGATGGCATCTTAGTCCATTTGTGTTGCTCTAAAGGAATACCTGAGTCTGGTAATTTATAAGGAAAAGAGGTTTATTTGGCTTATAGTCCTGCAGGCTGTACAAGAAGCATGGTGCTGGTCTGCTCAGCTTCCTATGAGGGTCTCATGCTGCTTCCACTCATGATGGAAGGTGAAAGGCAACTAGCATGCAGAGATCATATGGTGACAGCAGAAACAAGGGAGAGAGAGAAGGTGCCAGGCTCTTTTGGACAACAAGCTCTTGGGGAAACTAATAGGGAACTCATTCACTACCACAAGGATAGCACCAAGCCATTCATAAGGGATCCTCATGACCCAAACACCTCCCAATAGGCCCCACTTCCAACATTAGGGATCAAATTTCAACATGAGGTTTGGAGGATCAAATATTCAAACTATAGCACCTGGACTCTGTGGCTGTACTGGGCCTGACACTGGAGTCATCACCAAAGTGAGCTAGTTCACACGCCAGGCCTAGGAGCCAAACCTTCACTGTCTATGCTTGCTCTCTGGGCACCAGCTCAGCTACCATAGAGAGCTAGGCCCCACCTGGACCCCAGAGCCACTCTAACTCTGCACACACCTGTGTTCCCATTCTCAGCTCCCCAGCTAATCCACAAACATCTGCAACTTGCATATCTTCACCAACTCAGCAACAGGGGTGCCTTCACCCTGGGCACCAGTGGCATTACCACCCTGGATCCCACAACTGCAGTCCCTCTACACATGCCTGTGCCTCAGGCCTCAGCACTGTGGTTGCTCCACAGGTGCCATGCATCAGACACCAGTGCCACCGCCACCAGGAGTGGGCCTACAAGCCAGACCCAGTGCCAAGAGGGATCCCCTCAGCACCAACATCTCCAGAGAGGAAAAAAGAGATCAGGAGGACTTAGCAGCCATTGCCACTGAAGATCCTAACAATCCTTACTGCCACTATAGACATCCACAATATTGGCCACTGAGGATCTCTGCAATCTTTGTTAACACTGACCTCGGCTTACAGTGCCACACACAGACTACACAGCTGCACTGTCACTGGTATCAGAATCCCTGAACACCACCAAGCAAGCACTTTCATACTCCCCTACAGGGGAAGGTCTTTCCACAGCAAAACTAGCCTGTAAAGTCTGGAAGAGGTGACTGCTCCATCAAATGCACAGATATGTACAAAGACAACAAGAAACATGAAAAACAATGGAGACATAATACCACCAAAAGAAGACAATGATTTCCTAGTAACCAACCCCAAAGAAATGTAGATATACAAACTGCCTGACAAAGAATTCAGAATAATAGTTTCAAGGAAGCTCAGTAAATTTCAAGAAAATACAGAGAAACAATTCAATGAAATAAAAAAATAATCAACTACCAAGTGAAAAATTTAACAGTGAGATTGAAATTATTTTTTAAAAATCAAGCAGAAATTCTGTAGTCCCAGCTACTCAGGAGGCTGAGGCAGGAAGATCACTTGAACCCAGGACATCAAGGCAGTGAGCCATGGTCATGCCACTGCACTCCAGCCTGGGTGACAGAGCAAGACTCTGCATCAAAAAATGTATCTCTTGAGACAAATGGAAATGGAAACGCAACATACCAAAACTCACGGGATGCAGTAAAAGCAGTTCTATCAGAGAAGTTTATGGCAATAAATAGCTACGTCGAATATGAAGAAACATCCCCCCAAAAACAATCTAATTCTACATCTCAAGGAGCAAAAGAAGGACAAATGAAGCCCAAAGTTAGTAGAAGAAAGGAAATAATAAAGATTAGAACAGAAATAAATGAAATAGAAACAAGAAAAACTGTAGAAAAGAGCAATAAAACTAGGAGCTGTTTTTTTTGAAAAGATAAGCAAAATTGACGAGCCTGTAGCCAAACTAAGAAAAACTTTTGTTCTCCAAAGACACCAAGAAGAAAATAAAAAGACGAGCCCTAGACTGGAAGAAAATATTTATTATAAATATATCTGGAAAAGGTCTTATACCTAGAATACATAAAGAATTATAAATCAAAAATTAAAAAAATAAACAACTCAATTTTTTTAATGGGCAAGACTTGAGACACTTCAAAAAAGAAGATATACAAATGGCCAATATGCACAGAAAAAGATGCTTAATATTGTCAGTCATCGTGTAAAATACACATTAAAATCACAATGAAATACCATGACATACTCAGCAGCATTAGTAAAAGTTTAAAAGATCGACAATAACAATTGCTGGCAAAAATGTTGGGCAATGCGAATTCTCACACACTGTTGGTGGGAATGTACAATGATTCAACCACTCTGGAAAAGAGTTTGGCGGTTTATTATAAAGTTAAACATACCCTTACCCATGGACTTGCAATTCCACTCCTAGGTATTTATTTACCCAAAAGAATGGAAAAACATGTGCCTACACAATGACTTGTATATGACTGCTTATTAGTGGCTTTATTCCTCATAGCTCAGAACTGAAACAACCCAAAGGTCCATCAACAGGTGGATAAATGGATAAACACATGGTGGTATATTCATGAACCAGGGAATATACGCATCATCATTAAAAATGAATGAACTGCTGATGAAGCAGCAGCGTTGATGACCTCACAGATATTAAGTTGAGCAAAAGAAGCCCAACAGAAAAGAACACACACTGTATAATTTCATTTTTATGATGCTCTAGAGTAGACAAAATGAATCTATGGTGAAAAAAATAAGAAAAAAAATGGTGGCCTCAGATGGGGATAAGATAGGAATTAACCACAAAGTGACTGCAAAGAGGCAGGGGGGACTTTGGGGATGATGGAAGGGTGGCAGTGCATAGGAATATGCCTTGGTCAAAACTAATCAAACCGCGCAGTTACAACGGGTGCCTTTATTAAATATAAATTCTCTCTCAACAAATTGATTTTATTTTTTAAAAATGTCAGATAACATCATGCCTCGAAACCCTGCCAAGATCTTCCTTTCATGCTGCATGAAAACCAAAGTTCTTGCTCTGGCCTATAAGGCCCTTCATGTTCTACACCTTCCCCCATTACCTTCTGAACTCATCTCCCACCATAAGTATCACCATTCGCCCTACTTCAGCCACTGTGGCCTCCTCCCCAGCAGCCAGCACACTGCCACCTCAGAGCCTTTGTACTAGCTGTTCCTTCCTCCTGGAATGCTTTCCCTCAGACAGCCACATATTTCACCTTCTCTTAGTCTTCGCTCCAGTTCCATCTTCTCAGTAAGACTCGTCTTGACAGTCTTATTTAAAATTTCACTCTCTTTCTGTATTCTGGACATCTTTTATTCATTCTCATTAATGTGCTGATCCTTTCCTAAATGCTGGTGGGATTATAAATTTTATAGCCATTGAAGAGAGAGCCTCGTGTACTGAAATAGAAGATAGAAGATGGGCTTGACCTACAATTCAATAGTTATACTCTTTTGTTTCTATCCTACAGAAGCATTTATACATGTGCACAAGGATGCATATATTAGGATGTTCACTGCAGCAGGGTCTAAAATAGTAAAAGCTTGGAAATAATTTAAAATTCCATCAATAGGAAGATGCTTAAATATATTTTATAAAGAACTGTTCAGCATTTAAGCAGAATTAGGTATACACTAACATGGGTGAATCTCCAGGATATACTGTCAAGTGGAGAAATTAAGTTTTTTATTAAAAAAAAATCAAAGAAGCGTAAAATGTGACTGAAGAGTAGCAGTAGGGATCTTTTTGGTAATGGAACAGTTCTCTCTCTCAATTGTGATGCTGATTAGAAAATCTACATATGATACAATTACAAAAAAAATACACACAGCAAGTGTATATAACCTGGTGAAATCTGAACAAATTCTGTGGATTTTACCAATGTTGATGTCCCAGTTTTGATAATGTACTATAGGTATATAAGATATTACCACTGGCAGAGGCTAAGTGAAGTGGGTACAGTCTCCTGTACCATTATTTTTGGAACTTTTTGTGAATCTATAATTATTTCAAAATAAAAAGTTTAAAAAGAAGAAATGAAAAATAAATGTTGTTGTACTCTGAAGATTCAATTTGATGACATCAATTCTTTCTAAATTGTCTAGAGTCCATGCAATCTCAAAACTTTTAAAAAGTAACTTGACAAACAGGTTTTAAATTTTATATGAAAATACAAGGAACCAAGTATCATGAAAACACTTGAAGAACAACAAAGGTAGAGAATTTGTTCTACCACACAAAGATGTATTATAAAAGTATGGTAATAAGGAATATGGTATTGCCACAAGAATAAGCAAATTGATCAATGGAACAGAATATAGTCTAAAGGTGGAGGTGGGGAACAATTAATGTAAGGATACTTGATTAACGGCTAAGTTGGCACTGTAAAATAGAGGGAAAAGATGGACTCTTCAATAAAAGGTGCTGGGAAATTTGGGTACTTGTATATAAAATCTGTATAAAAAATAAAATTATATTCCTACTTCACACCAAACACAAAGATCAACTTACCCATCATAAAACTGCTTCAATGAGCAATTATGAATACACCTAGAGGAAATGAAAAATAGTATCAGCAAAATAAATAAACAAAATATATAAAGAAAAACCAAATGGCAATTTAGAACAGAAAAACACAATAACCAGGCTAGGCACAGTGGCTCACGCCTGTAATCCCAGCACTTTAGGAGGCGGAGGTGGACAGATCACCTGAGGTCAGGAGTTTTGAGACCAGCCTGGCCAATATGGGGAAACCCTGTCTCTATTAAAAATGCGAAACTTAGCCTGCAGGCATGGTGGCGCATGCCTGTAATACCAGCTACTTGGGATGCTGAAGCAGGAGAATAGCTTGAACCCGAGAGGTGGAGGTTGCAGTGAGCTGAGACTGCCACTGTACTCCAGCCTGGGCAACAGAGCAAGACTCTGTCTCAAAAACAAAAAAAAAGAAAGAGAAAAAAAAATAACCAAAATTTGAAAACTCAATGGATATAGGCTCAATACCAAAATGGAGAGGACAGTGGAAAGAATCAACAAATTTGAAGACACAGGGTCCTACCAAATGTTTAAAGAATCATTAACACTAATTCTACAGGACCAACTCAAATTATGAGGTCAGTTTCACTATTATCAAAACTTGACCAAGAAAATACAAAGAGGAAAGGAGGGAGGGAGGGAGGGAGGGAGGAAGATCTGTCACGAATACAGACGCAAAATTTTAAACAAAATATTAGCAAATACAGTTTAGTAATATGTAAAAATAAGTATGCGCCATGACTAGGTAGGATTTTTTCCAAGTATACAATGATGGTTCAATAGCTGAAAATCAACCAATGCAATCAACCATATTAACGGACTGTTCCGAGAGACTCCAGCTAAACTGGGATTCCAGTAGCAGAGCAGCTAGAGACCCTGCACTGATGAGAAATGGGGAGGAGCCTGACATGGGTATTTACTGTGTGTCTTTCACAGAATACTTCTTTTACCTGGCAGATAACCCAATATCTAGCTGTTTGACCTATGACCAGGGTGTCCCTCACATGGGAAACTTGTTTATATTAGCAGGGGTCCTTGTGGCTCATATCTGACCTGTGTTCTGTTTATGCCTGCTTGACTACTGCTCTGGCACTGGGAACCCAACCCTGTTTTCTCTAGCATCCCAGAGAGAACCTGGCCCAGGGGAGCCCCTGGTTCTTCAGAGTAAGATGCAAATTTAGTGCACTACCACAATAGGAAATATCTTCAGATATTTATTACTTAAAGATTCTGGGCAGGGAGGGTGCAATGAGTAAGGAGGGCAATCCTACATTCCCAGGGAGGGCACTCCTACATTCCTGCATCACACAAGCACACAAGGCAAAGCAGAAATGAAGAGTTGGTCAGAGAGAGAAACAAAGAAAGAGAGAGAATGGCAACTAGCAGTAAATACAATGAAATGGGGTATATGGGTCACTTTAAGTTCATAGACAAATTCCCAAATGGTCCTTTTAAAGGAAGTAGTGGGAAAACCAGGGAGCCCAATCTGCTAGATGAGAGAGATGTCTCCAAGTTCTTATCTGCAGCCACGGGCTTCAGCCATCTGGATGTGGCATAGGCCAGCAACTTTTACTGTGTTGTTCCCATTACACAGATTAAAGAAGAAAAGTTGAATAATCATATCAATCAATGCCAAAAAGTATCTGACAAACTTTAACATTCATCCATGCTAAAAACTCTCAGGAAGCTAGAAATACAAGGAAAGTTCCTTGACTTGATAAAGTTCATATACAAAGACGCTACAAATAACATCATACTTAATAGCACAAAACTGAATGAATTCTCCCTAAGGTCAAGAACAAGCGAAAAATGTCCACTTTCACCACCATTATTCAGCATCGTACTGGAAGTCGTAGTCAGCGCAATAAGCCAGAAAAAGAAATAAAAACAATACATATTGGACAGAAAGAAATTAAACTATCCCTGCTTGCAGATAATATAATGATCTGTACAGAAAATTCCAAGTAATCTATTAAAAAAACCCTCCTAGAACTAATAAGTAAGTTCAGCAAGGATGCAGTTACAAGAGTTATATACAAAAATCAATTGTAGAAAAGAGTCAAGATGGCTGACTAGACACAGCCAGGAAGAGCATTTCCCACTGAGAGACCAGACCATCAAGAAAACGGACACACTCTGAGCCGATCTTCAGAGAGAAGGCATTGAGAGTGGACAGAGGGAGAGCACAGACCCTGGGCTGAAGGCAAAGGAGGCTGGGAGCCCTGCATGGGGTTTCCAAGCACCAGGACTCACTGCTGGCACCCAGAAGCTCCTGGGGAAAGGGTGGGTTAAATAGGTGAGGATTGGCCCACTCTCACCACAGACCTCCAGAATCCTAGCTGCAGAAGACTCCATCACCTCCACAGACATTTGAGCTGACAGGGAGAGCTGCTTGGAGAGGAGGCAGGGACAGGACTCCAGCCTGTGTGGAGCCCAGAGGGTTTGGCACAGGAATGGTTGCAGCGGAGCACAACCAGAAACACCCATCCTCCAAGGCTTGCCATGCTCTTCTAGGTGGCTTTGGCCTTTGTTGACTGTCAGAATTGGACAGAGAAGAGCATTCTTGCCCACGGGATGGGGACAGTCTGGTCTGAGCACCTCCTTGTCTGCTGGCCTCTCCCGGAGTCCCTGCCTGGCCACACCTGCTTGCAGCACAACCTTGGATGCCCAACCAAGGTATTTCCTGGCAGCTGCTGCCATAGCTTCTTCTCCAGCAGATCCCACCTAACCACAGGAGAATTACAGAGAAGGGGCAGGTCACCTACCAAGGGAACCCCATCAGGCTAACAGCAGACCTTTCAGCAGAAACCCTACAAGCCAGAAAAAATTGGGGGCCTATCATTAGCTTTTTTTTTTCTTTTTTTTTTTTTTTTTTGAGACGGAGTCTTGCTCTGTCGCCAGGCTGGAGTGCAGTGCAGTGGCACCATCTCGGCTCATTGCAACCTCCGACTCCCTGGTTCAAGTGATTCTCCTGCCTCAGCCTCCTGAGCAGCTGGGATTGTAGGCACACGCCACCACACCCAGCTAATTTTTGTATTTTTAGTAGAGACGGAGTTTCACCATGTTGGCCAGGATGGTCTCGATCTCCTGACCTCGTAATCCACCCGTCTCAGCCTCCCAAAGTGCTGGGATTACAGGTGTGAGCCACTGTGCCCAGCCTATAATTAGCATTCTTAAAGAAAAATTCCAACCAAGAATTTCATATCCAGCCAAACTAAGCTTCATAACTAAAGGAGAAATAAAATCCTTTTCAGACAAGCAAATGCCAAGGGAATTCATTACCATCAGACCTGTCTTACAGGTCCTTTAGGGACTGCTATATATGGAAACAAAAGGCCATTACCAGACACTACAAAAACATACTTAAATACATAAACCATTGACACTATAAAGCAAATACACAATCAAGTCTGCATAACAACCAGCTAACAACAACATGACAGGACCAAATCCACACATATCAATATTAACTTTGAACATAAACAGGCTAAATGCCCCACTTAAAAGGCACACAGTGGCAAGTTGGATAAAGAAGCAAGCCCCAACTGTATGCCGTTGTCAAGAGGCCCATTTTACATGCAATGACACCCACAGGCTCAAAAGTTAAAAAATGGAGAAAAATCTACCAAGCAAGCAGAAAACAAAAAAGAGTAGGGGTTTCTATTCCTATTTCAGACAATACAGACTTCAAACAAACAATGATCAAAAGAGACAAAAAGGGCATTACATATGACAAAGGATTCAATTCAACAAGAAGACTTAAGTATCCTAAATATATATGTACCCAATATTGTACCACCCAGACTCATAAAACAAGTTCTTAGAGACCTACAACAAGACTCAGATAACCACATAATAATAGTGGGAAACTTCAACATCCCACTGACAGTAATAGACCATCGAGGCAGAAAACTAACAAAGGTATTTGGGACCTAAACTCAACACTTGACCAAATGGACCTAACAGATATCTACAGAACACTCCACCCAACAACAAATATATGTTCTTCTTAACTGCATATGGCACATACTCTAAAACTGACCACACACTCAGCCATAAAACAACTCTCAACAAATTCAAAAAAAACCAAAATCATACCAACCAGACTCTCAGACCACAGCAAAATAAAAATAGAAA
The DNA here is from genome assembly GCF_000001405.40 of Homo sapiens. Lineage (NCBI taxonomy): Eukaryota > Metazoa > Chordata > Mammalia > Primates > Hominidae > Homo > Homo sapiens. The sequence continues at coordinate 130,778,700 of NC_000007.14, read as the reverse complement.
TCACGGCCAGGCGCAGTGGCTCATGCCTGTAATCCCAGCACATTGTGGGGCCAAGGCAGGCAGATCCCTTGAGGCCAGGAGTTCAAGACCAGCCTGGCCAACATGCTGAAACCCTGTCTCTACTAAAAATACAAAAATTAGCCAGGCATGGTGGTGCACGCCTGTAATCCCAGCTACTCAGGAGGCTGAGGCAGGACAATTGCTTGAACCCAGGAGACAGAGGTTACAGTGAGCCAAGATCATGCCACTGCACTCCAGCCTGGGCAAGAGAGTGAGACTGTGTCTCAGGAAAAAAAAAAAAAATAGAAATCAATACTAAGATGATCTCTCAAAACTATATAATTTCATGGAAATTAAACAATCTGCTTCTGAATGACTTTTGGGTAAATAATGAAATGAAGACAGAAATCAAGAAATTCTTTGAAACTAATGAAAACAAACATACAATATATCAGAATCTTTGGGACATAGAGGAAAGTTTATAGTGTTAACTGCCTATATCAAAAAGTTAGAAAGGTCTCAAATTAACAACCTAACATCACAGCTAAAGGAACTAGAAAAACCAGAGCAAATCACCCCCAAAGCTAGCAGAAGGAAAAAAATAACCAAAATCAGAGCTAAACTGAATGAAACTGAGATGCAAAAAACCATCCAAAAGATGAACAAAATCAAAAGTTTGTTTTTTGAAAGAATAAATAAGATTGATAGGCCACTACCTAGACTAATAAAAAAAAGAGAGAAGATCCAAAAAAAATCAGAAACAAAAAAAATTACCACTGACCACACAGAAATACAAAAACCCTCAGAGATTATTACAAACACCTCTATGCACACAAACTCAAAAACCTAGAAGAAATGGATGAATTCCTAGAAACATACAACCTCCCAAGATTGAACTAGGAAGAAACTGAAATTCTGAATAGACCAATAATGAGTTCTAAAATTGAATCAGTAATAAAAAGTCTACAAACCAGAAAAAGCCCTGGACCTAATGGATTCACAGCTAAATTCTACCAGATGTATAAAGAAGAGCTGGTACCAATCCCACTGAAACTATTGCCAGGAATTGAGGAGGAAAGACTCCTCCCTAACTTGTTCTATGAAGTTAGCATCATTCCGATACCAAAATCTGGCAGAGACACAACAACAACAAAAAGAAACTCCAGGCCAATATCCCTGATGAGCATAGATGCAAAAATCCTCCACAAAATACTAGCAAATCGAATCCAGCAGCTCATTGAAAAGCTAATCTGCCACAATCAAATAGGCTTATTCCTGGGATGCAAAGTTGATTCAACACACACAAATATATTATATACATTGGTTTTCATATATTTAACCATCTTTGAATTTCAGGAATAAATCTCACTTGGTAATAGTGTATAAACCTTTTAATATGCTGCCATATATGGTTTGCTAGTATATATTTGAGGACTTAAACATCAATATTCATAAAGAATACTTGTCTGCAAAAGAAATTAATTGTATTTCTACATACTAGCAATGACCACATGGAAACCAAAATTAGAAATACAATACCATTTACAATTCCACAAAAAAGGGAGGTACATGCGAACTAACAAAATACAGCATTGCTTTTATAAAACATAGCATTAAATTGTATGCTAAAAACTATAAAACACTAATAAAAGAAATCAAAGTAAATATAAATTGAGAGACACACCATGTTCACAGAATGAAAGACTCAATATAGTAAAGATGTCACCTCTTCTCAGATGGATATACAGGTTTAATACAATTCCTATAAATATCCCAGAAATATTTTTTGTAAGTTATTCCAAAATTTATATGGAAAGTCAAAGAAGTAGAATGGCTAAAATAACTGTGAAAAACAAGAATAAATTGAAGGAAAGTACTCTACTCCATTTAAGACATTATACAGATAAAGTAATCCAGATGTGTGTTACTGGCAGAGAGATAGACACATAGATCAATGAAAGAGAATACAGAACCCACTAACAACTAACTTTTGAGGATACAAAAGCAATTTAGTGATGAAAGGATACTCTTTTCATCAAATAATGTGGGGGCAATTGGATCTCCATATGCAAAAAGATAACCTCAACCAAAACCTCACAGCTTATACAAAAGTTAATTCAAAACTGATAATAAATTAAATATTAAATATAAAACTATATACCTTTTAGAAAAAAAGAATGGGAAAAAATCTGCAGTACTTAGGACTCGGGGAAGAATTCTTAGACATGGCACCAAAAGCATGATCCATAAAAGAAAAAAATTGATAAACTGGATGCCATCAAAAATAATAACTTTTGCTCTGTGAAAGACACTGTTCAGATAATAAAGAGACAAACTGAAAACTAAAAGAAGTTATTTGCAAACCACATATCTGATGAAAGACTCATGCTTAAAATAGTTAAAGCATTCTCAAAATTCAACAGTAAAGAAGGCACCCAATTAGAAAATGGACAAATGACATGAAGAGATATTTTACTGAAGAGAGCACATGGATGCAAAAAGCATATTAAGAGATGTCCAACATCACTATTCATTGGAGAATTAAAAATAAATACCATTACGAGATATCACCATGTACCTATTAATACAGCAAAATAAAAAGAAATAGTAATAACATCAAATGGTGACAAAGATGCAGAGAGACTGGATTTCTCATACATTGCTGGTGGGAATGCAAAATGGTAGAGCAACTCTAGAAAACAATTCAGCAGTTTCTTCAAAAACTATACAGTTGACCCTTATTATCCTTAAGGGATTGGTTTCAGGTCCCCCTGCAGATATCAAAATCCATGGATGCTCAAGTCCCTTATATAAAATGGCGCATCTTATCTGATCTTAGAATCAGGGTTGGGCCTGGTTAGAATAGAAAATAAAATGGTGGAGTATTTGCATATAACTTACATATATCCTCTCATACTTTAAATCATCTCTAGATTATTTACAATACCTAATACAATGCAAATGCTATTTCAATAGTTGACATACTGTATTTTCTAAAATTTATATTATTTCCTATTGTTGTATTGTTATTTTTATGTTTTTTCCCAAAATATTTTTGATCCATGGTTGGCTGAATTCATTGATGTAGAACCCACGGATATGGAGGGCCAACTGTATGTACATTTACCATATGACCCAGCAATCACATTCCCAGGCATTTATCCCAAAGAAATGAAAACTTAACTTCACACAAAAACCTGTGCATGATTTCCATGATTGTTCATAAAAACTTTATTTGTACTAGTGAAAACCTAGAAAAAAACAAAAATGTACTTCAATAGGTGAATAGTTAAACAAACTTTAGTACATCATACCTTGGAATACTTCTCAGCAATAAAAAGTAAATGAACTTTTGTTCATTTACAATTTAAATGGGGTTTCAGGGCATTATATTGAGTCTTTTTTAAAAGGCAGCCTCAAAAGGTCACATACTGTATGATTCCACTTATGTAAAATTCTGAAAATGACAAAAATCATAGGGTTGGAGAACAAATTAGTGGTTGTCAAGGCTAAAAGACGGTAGGGAGTGGAGTGGATGTGACACAGAAAAGTAGCATGAGGGAGGTCTTTGTGGTGAGGGGGATAGCTCTGCACCTTGATTGCAGCAGTGGTTAAAGGAAGCTACTCTTGTGACAAATGGCATAAAACTATATACACACATTGTAACAATGTCAATTTCCTGGCTTTGCTATTATACTGTAGTTAGATAAGATCTAACTATTGAACAAAACTGGTTGAGGGGTACATCAGATCTCTGTACACTATTTTTGCAACTTTCTGTGAATCTTTATTTCCAAAGAAAAAGTTTTACAAAAAGTACATTTTGGACTGGAATTCTAAATTTGCCACCTAAATAATTTATTTATTAGAAATGGGGGTCTTGCTCTGTTGCTCAGGCTGGAATATGGTAGTGTAATCACAGCTCACTGCAGACTTGACCTCCCAGGCTCAAGCAATCCTCCCACCTCAGCCTCCCATGTAGTCAGGACCACAGGTGCATACCACCATGCCTGGCTACTTTAAAAATTTTTTTTTATAGAGATGTGGTCTCCCTATGTTGCCCAGGCTGGTCTTGAACCCCTGGCCTGAAGCAATCCTCCTGCCTTGGTCTCCAAAGTGCTGGGATTATAGCCGTGAACCACTGTGCTCAGCCAAGAAAGAAAGGAGAAGGAGGAGAAGGAGGAGTTGTTGAAGGAGGATGAGGAGGAGGAAGAGGAGGAGGAGGGGAAGGGGAAGAAGGGTAGGAGGAGGAGGAAGAAAAACAACAACAAGAAAAAGAAGTGGAGGAGGAGGAAGAACAACAACAAGAAAAAGAGGAGGAGGAGGAGAAAAGGGATGGAGATCGGGGAGGGATTACCACCAATAAAATCTTAATCTGAAAGGCAACAATGTCTCAGCATTAGAATATCTATTAATATAATAAACAAGGTAGTTGTATTAATCACAACTTCCCAAAAGTAAAGAAGAAAACTATATGATCCCTTTAATAGATGCCCCTAAAAATATCTTGATAAAATTCAGTGCCTACTCCTAACAAGAATCTGTTATTACATATGCTAAGAATAAAAGATGTAACAGGGAGGTGTGGTGTAAGCTGCTGGGTGAGATGTTTTACTGCCATGTGAGATCCTGAATTAACAGGGGTCTCTAATTCTTCATGGCCAGGTTTAAGGCCCAGGTCTTGACAGAAGATTCTCAGCATCAGTCTAGATTGGTCCAGCCAATACAATAATGTAAGCAAAATAATTAAAAGGTAAAGTACTAGAAAAAAATGTTTAAAGAGAACAGATAAATCTGCCACCATTTGCATTTAAATGATGTTGGAATTCCTTCCCTCCTCATCAGCTTGGCCAACTACTAATACCATTTAGTGTTTGTAGGAGTGTGATGAAATGAGCACTCTCTCATACATTACCATTGGGAAAACAAGTTGGTACAATTTATAGCCATTTGAAAGTATCTTTTATAAATAAAAATACACATATACTTGGATCAGCAATGCCACTTTAGAAATGTACCAGATAGAAAAATATTCACAGATCTATAAGGAAAATACTGCATCATTAAAAAATATACAAATAGATTAAGACAACTTGAAGTTTCAACACTTAGAGAAAGGGTAAATAGAGTCTTACTATGGAAGACTATGTAGCTGTTAAAATAAAGCCTATCCATATAGTTGAACCAAACTGTTAAATAGGTTACTCTGCTGAGGAAAAAAATGTATTTTACTGGGAGAAGGTGAAAAATGAAGGATGGGTTTTCACTTTTTTGGTTTATATATTTCTGAAGTGTTGGAATTATTGTCAGTGATTATATATTACTTTTGTAACAAAAAAAAGTTTAAAGGGTACCACAGATAGAATTTTTAAAACTATCTAAAACCTTCAAATACCTGAAGGAGGTAAAAGTAAAGAACAATGTAGTCCATGCATAAAAAGAAATAACAAAGGAAATGAGGGAAAGGGGAAAAAAGCATTAAGCATAACAACAGAAGACACAGTCAGTATAAGAAATAAACTCCAACTGTGTGCTCTTTATAAGGTTGTAAATTAAACAATGTTCAAAGATATATTGACAAATACAAATAAGACAAAATTAAATATTTTGATATGTAAAGTGAGTCAATATACATTAAATTTAAAAAAGGAAATTTTTATACCAATAAAGGGTATAATCCTCACAGCAGATGTGATAGATATGGAATGTTATACACCAAACAACAATAAATCAAACTCTTAAATGCTTTTTCTAAATAAAAAAAGAATAAGTACATTATATCAGCAGAGGTAAATATAGGCTATGTGGATTTGAATACTAGCTCTGTCACCTAGTCACTATGGAAATGGAGCAAGTCGTTTAAACTTTGTCTTAATTTTTCTTATCTCCAAAATGTGGTGTATTAGTCCATTTTCAAGCTGCTGAAAAAACTGCACAATTTACAAAAGAAAGAGGTTTAATTGGACTTACAGTTCCATGTGGCTGCGGAAGCCTCACAATCATAGCACAAGGCAAGGGGGAGCAAGTCACATCTTACATGGATGGCAGCAAGCAAAGAGAGAGCTTGTGCAGGGAAACTTCCATTTTTTCAAAACCATCAGATCTCGTGAGACTCATTCACTATGACAAGAACAGCGCAGGAATGACCCATCCCCATAATTCAATCAACTCCCACCAGGTTCCTCCCACGACATGTGGGAATTGTGGGAGCTACAATTCAAGATGAGATTTGGGTGGGGACACAGGCAAACCATATCATGTGGATACTAAAAGAACCTACCTTATGGAATTTTTATGAGGATTTAATTATGTAACAAACAGAGGCAGTACATAGAAATCTCTCAATTCTATGTATATGACATATCATCATATGTCAATATGAACTATTAGAGTTAAAAATTTAAAACATAATATCATTTACATTAGTACCAAAAAGCAATGAAACACATAGGTATAAATTTAACAAAATTTTTACAAGATCTTTGTGAGACAAATTACAAAACTGTGGTGAAAGAAATTAAAGAAGATCTAAATAAATGGAGAGAGAGTCTATGTTTATGGATAAGAAGACAATATTTTTAAGATGCCAGTTCTTCTCAACTTAATATATAGATTCAATGCAATCTTGATCAAAATCCAAGCCAGTTATTTTGTGTACATTGATAAACTGATTCTAAAGTTTATATGAAAGGCAAAAGATCCAAAATACTCAGAAAATACTAAAGAAGAACAAAATCAAAGGACTGACACAACCTGACCCCACGACCTACTATAAAGCTTACAGTAATCAAGATAATGGGGTATTAGTGAAGGAAAAGACAAATAGGACAGGTGTGGTGGCTCATGCCCATAATCCCTGCATTTTGGAAGGCCAAGGTGGGTGGATCACTTGAGCCCAGGAGTTCAAGACCAGTCTGGCAACATGGTGAGACCCCATCCCTCATATCTACAAAAAATACAAAAATTAGCCAGGTTTGGTGGCACATGCCTGTGGTCCCAGCTACTCAGGAGGCTGAGGTGGGGAAACCACCTCAGTCTGGGGAGGTCAAGTTTGCAGTGAGCTGGGATCACACCACTGGGCAACAGAGACCCAGTCTCAAAAAACAAAACAAAAGCAAAGAATAGACAAATAGATCAGTAGAACAGATGGAGAGCTCAGAGATAGACCCATACAAATATAGTCAACTGATGTCTGACAAATGAGTTAAGGCAATTCAATGGAAAAAGAATGGTGTTTTCACCGAATGGTGCTGAAGCAAGTGGGCATCCACATGCAGGAAAAAAAAAATGAAAGAAAGAAAGAATCTAGATACAGACCTTACATCTTTCATAAAAATTAACTCAAAATGGATCATAGCTCTATGTAAAACAGAAAGCTATAAAACTGCCTGAAATATTTAACATAGTGGAAAATGTAGATGACCCTGGGTTTGGCAATGAGTTTTTAGATAGAACACCAAAACCGCAATTCATGAAATAAAAAATTGACAGCTTGAACTTCATTAAAATTAAAGCTTTTTGCTCTGTGACATACATTGTTAAGAGAATGCAAAGGCAAGCCACACACTGGAAGAAAATATTTGTGAAACACACATTTGATAGAACACATATCCAAAATAGACAAATAATTCTTAAAACTCAGTAATACGTGGCCGGGCACAGTGGCTCACGCCTGTAATCCCAGCACTTTGGGAGGCCGAGGCAGGCAAATCACAAGGTCAGGAGATCGAGACCATCCTGGCTAACACAGTGAAACCCGTTCTCTACTAAAAATACAAAAAAATTAGCCAGGCATGGTGGTGGGCGCCTGTAGTCCTAGCTACTCCGGAGGCTGAGGCAGGAGAATGGCGTGAACCCGGGAGGCGGAGCTCGCAGTGAGCCAAGACTGCAACACTGCACTCCAGCCTGGGTGACAGAACGAGATTCTGTCTCAAAACAAAACAAAACTCAGTAATAAGTAAACAAACAATCTAATTTTAAAACAGGCAAAAGATCAGAACAGATGTCTCACCAGAGAATATATGGCAACAAATAAGCATATGAAAACAAAATAAATTGTCATTAGGTAATTGCAAATTAGGATAACAATGAGATACTGCTACACTATTAAAATGGCTAAAATCCAAAATTCTGAAAATATCAAATGATGATGAGGATGTGGAGCAAGATGTGGAGCAACAGGAACTCCCAGTCATTGCTGACGGGAATGCAAACTGTTACAGCCACTTTGGAAGACAGTTTGGCAATTTCATACAAACGTAAATATAGTTTTACATTACAATACAGCATCTGTGCTCCTAGGTATTTACCCAATTAAGTTGAAAACTTATGTGCACACAGAAACCTGTAAATGAACGTTTATAGCAGCTTTATTCATACTTTCCAGAAACTGGAAGCAACCAAGATTCCCTTAAATAAGTGGATGGATAAACAAACTGTTGTATATCCATACAATGGACTATTATTCAGTGATAAAAGAAAATGAGCTATTAAACCATAAAAAGACATGAAAGAACTTTAAATACATATTGGTAAGTAAAAAAAAGCAGTCTAAAAAAAGCACATTCTATATGATTCCAATCATAGAACATTCTGGAAAAGGCAAACTGTAAGAGACAGTAAAAAAATCAGTCTTTGCTAGGGGCAAGGGAAGAAAAGTTGAATAGATGGAGTACAGGGGATTTTTGGAGTGGTGAAACTATTCTATATGATAATGTAGAGATAGATACATGACACTATGTCAAAAGCCATAGAACTGTACAACACAAAGAGTGAACCCTAATGTAAATTGTGGACTTTAATGAATTATAATGTATCAATACAATTTCATCAATTGTAAAAAATGTACCTTACCAGTGAAAGATGTTAATAATAGAAAAACTGCGTGCCGGGAAAGAAGGGTTATTTAGAAACTCTCTGTATTATCTAATCAATTTTTCTGTAAACCTAAAATTGCTCTAAAAAATAGTCTATTAAATTTTTAAGTCAATTAAAATTATAAATAAAAGATTTTAATGAAGCAGTGAGGTTTATATAAAACATCTTATACTTACAAGAGCCTATTTTAAGCTGCTCACTTAACTTCAGTTATGTAAAAAAACTACACACTTTAGCACCCCACACACATTTTATGTTTTTGAAGTCACCATTTACATCTTTTTAGATTGTGTATCCCTTAACAAACTTTTATAACTATTATTTTAGAGTTTTCCCTTTTAGTCTTCATACTAGAGATATAAGTGATTTATACACTGCCATTATCATATTAGAATATTCTGGATTTGACTATGTACTTACTTTTACTAATGAGTTTCATAATTTCATATGTTTCCATGTTACTTTTCTGTTTAAAGAACTACCTTTAGCATTTAAAAAATGGAAATGGGGTCTTGCTATGTTGCCTAGGCTGGTCTTGAACTCCTGGCCTCAAGCGATCCTCCTGTCTCAGCCTCCCAAAGTGGTGGGATTACAGGCCAGCATTTTTGTTTAAAGCAGATCTAGTGATGATAAACTCCCTCAGTTTTTTTTTTTTTTAATCTGGGAATGTTCTAAAGTCTCTATCATTTCTGAAAGAACAGCCTTGCTCTATATGGCAGGATTTTTTTTTCTTTCGGTACTTTGAATAAATCATTCTACTCTCTCCTGGCCTACAAAGTTTCTTTTGAGAAATCTGCTGATGGTCTTATGGGGGTCCCCTTGTATGAAACAAGGTTCTATTCTCTTTCTGCTTTCAAACTTTTTGTCTTTAACTTTTGAGAGTTTGATTACAATGTGTCTCAGTGAAGATAATTTTATATTTAATCTATTTAGGGTTCTTTGGGATTCAGGATATGGATGGTCATTTCCCTTTCCAGATTTGGAAGGGTTTTTTTCATCATTATTTATTTAAATATGCTTTCTAATCCTTTCTCTTTCTCTGCTCCTCCTTAAATTCCCATAATGTCAACATTGGTTCACTTGAAGAAGTCTTGTAATTCCCATATACATTTTTCACCGTTTCATCATTATTGTTTTTCTTGTTTTTGTTCTCACCAGGTAATTTCAAATGATCTTTGACCTCAGTGATTCTTTCTTGTGTGTGATTGACCTCTTTACAGAATTTTTCAGTTTAGCCAGTGGAGCTGGCTAAAACTGGAGCCAGTTTAGCTCCAGATTTTCTGTTTGGTTCTTTCTTATGGTTTTTATCTCATCGTAGAACTTCTAATTTTGTTTGTGTATTGTTGCCCTGATTTTATTTAGTTGTCTATATGTGTTCTCTTGTAGCTCACTAAGCTTCTTTGATTATTTTGAATTCTTTGTCAGACAGTTCATTAGATCTCCATTTCTTTAAACTTGGTTACTGGTGCTTTAATTTGTTCCTTTGGTAGTGTTATGTTTCCCTGATTGTTTGTGATCCTTGTGGCTATGCACTGGTTTCTGTGCATTTGAGTAAGTAGGCACATATTCCAGTGATGACAAACTATCTTCACCAGTAAGCCTGTCCAGAGATTCTGGGCAAGCCATCTAGCATTAATCCACAGGCAGGCATAATGCTGGAGTTTTTGAGCAGGGTGGCCCGATGCCTGAGCTGGTTTTCTGTAAGCCTCATGCTAGTTACAAAGCAAAAACATATAGTAGCTACACAAGAGATAAAAGTCTTCAAAGCACACCACTACTGAAAATCATCTAATCACAAAGAAATACAGCAAGAGAGGAAGAAGGGGAAAAAAGAACTACAAAGCAAGCAGAAAACAATGAACAAAATGTCCAAAATAATTATTATGATCAATAATCAGTTATTAAATCAATAATTATTGATTACCTATCAATAATTACCTTGAATGTAAATGGATTAAATTTTCCCAACAAAAGACATAGAGTGGCTTAATGGATAAAAAAAACGAGCTCCAAATAAATATATGGGGCCTACCAGACTCATTTCTTTTTTTTTTTTTTGACATGGAGTCTCACTCTGTCGCCCAGGCTGGAGTGCAGTGGTGCGATCTTGGCTCACTGCAACCTCCGCCTCCCTGGTTCAAGCAATTCTCCTGCCTCATCTTCCTGAGTCGCTGGGATTACAGGCGCACACCACCATGCCCAGCTAATTTTTTTTTTTTTTTGGTTTTTTGTTAGTAGAGACAGGGTTTCACTATGTTGCCCAGGCTGGTCTGGAACTCCTGACCTCAAGTTATCTGCTCACCTCAGCCTCCCAAAGTGCTGCGATTACAAGCATGAGCCAGTATGCCTGGCCTCACTTCACTTTTAAGGACATACATTGATTGAAAGTGAAAATATTGAGAAAGATAATCCATGAAAATGGAAACCAAAAGAGAACAGAGGTAACTAACCTCGTATCAGATAAAACAGACTTTAAGTTGACACTATAAAGTGAAACAAAGAAGGTCATTATATAATGATTACAAGGCCAATTAATCAAGAAGATATAATGATTGTAAATATATATGCACCCAACATTGGAGCACCTAAATAAATAAAGCTCACCTCTATGCAAATAAACTAGAAAATATAGAAGAAACGGATAAATAACAGGACACATACACCCTCCCAAGACTAAACCAGGAAGAAGCTGAATCTCTGAACAGACCAATAACAGGTTCTGAAATTGAGGCAATAATTACTAACCTACCAACCAAAAAAAGTCCAGGACCAGACAGATTCACAGCTGAATTCTACCAGAGGTACAAAGAGGAGATGCTTCCATTCCTTCTGAAACGATTCCAGTCAATAGAAAAAGAGGGAATCTCCCTAACTCATTTCATGAGGCCAGGATCATCCTGATACCAAAGCACGGCAGAGACACAACAAAAAAAGAGAACTTTAGGCCAATATCCCTTATGAATATCAACGCAAAAATCCTCAATAAAATACTGGTAAACTGAATCCAGCAGCACATCAAAATGCTTATCCACCACGATCAACTTGGCTTCATCCCTGGGATGCAAGGCTGGTTCAACATATGCAAATCAATAAATGTAATCCATCACATAAACAGAACCAATGACAAAAAACACGATTATCTCAATAGACGCAGAAAAGGCCTTTGCCAAAATTCAGCAGCCCTTCATGCTAAAAATTCTCAGACTAGGTATTGATGGAACATATCTCAAAATAATAGGAGTTATTTATGACAAACCCACAGCCAAATCATACTGAATGGGCAAAACCTGGAAGCACTCCCTTTGAAAACTGGCACAAGACAAGGATGCCTCTCTCACCACTCCTATTCAACATGGTGTTGGAAGTTCTGGCCAGGACAATCAGGCAAGAGAAAGAAATAAAGGGTATTCAATTAGGAAAATAGGAAATCAAATTGTCTGTTTGCAGATGACATGATTGTATACTTAGAAAACCCCATCGTCTCAGCCAAAATCTCCTTAAGATGATAAGCAACTTCAGCAAAGTCTCAGGATACAAAACCACTGTGCAAAAATCACAAACATTCCTATACACCAATAACAGAGAGCCAAATCATGAGTGAACTCGCATCCACAATTGCTACTAAGAGAATAAAATACCTTGGAATCCAACTTACAACGGGTGTGAAGGAACTCTTCAAGGATAACTACAAACCACTGCTCAAGGAAATAAAAGAGGACACAAACAAATAGATAAACATTCCACGCTCATGGAGAGGCAGAATCAGTATTGTGAAAATGGCCATACTGCCCAAAGTAATTTATAGATTCAATGCTATCCCCATCAAGCTACCACTGAATTTCTTCACAGAATTGAAAAAAAAACTACTTTAAACTTCATATGGAACCAAACAGGAGCCCACATAGCCAAGACAATATTGGGGAAGAAGAACAAAGCTCAAGGCATCACACTACCTGACTTCAAACTATACTACAAGGCCATAGTAACCAAAACAGCATGGTACTGGTACTAAAACAGATATATAGACCAACAGAACAGAACGGAGGCCTCAGAAACAATGCCACACAGCTACAACCATCTGATCTTTGACAAACCTGACACACACAAGCAATGGGGAAAAAGATTTCCTATTTAACAAATGGTGTTGGGAAAACTGGCTAGCCATATGCAGAAAACGGAAATGCCCTTACCCCTTCTACAAAAATCAACTCAAGATGGATCAAAGACTTAGACATAAGACCCAGGACCATAACAATCTTAGAAGAAAACCTGGGCAATACCATCAGGACATAGGCATGGGCAAAGACTTAACGTCCAAAACACCAAAAGCAATGGCAACAAAAGACAAAATTGACAAACAGGATCTAATTAAACTAAAGAGCTTCTGCATAGCAAAGGAACCTATCATCAGAGTGAACAGACAACCTACAGGATGGGAGAAAATTTGTGCAATCTATCCATCTGACAAAGGGCTAATATCCAGAATCTACAAAGAACTTAACCAAATTTACCAGGAAAAAACAACCCCATCAAAAAATGGGCAAAGGATATGAACAGATACTTATGAAAAGAAGACATTTATGCAGCCAACAGACATATGAAAAAATGCTCATCATCACTGGCCATTAGAGAAATGCAAATCAAAACCACAGTGAGAAACCATTTCACACCAGTTAGAATGGCAATCATTAAAAAGTCAGGAAACAACAGGTGCTGGAGAGGATGTGGAGAAATAGGAACGCTTTTACACTGTCGGTGGGAGTGTAAATTAGTTCAACCATTGTGGAAAACAGTGTGGCGAGTCCTCAAGGATCTAGAACTAGAAATACCATTTGACCCAGCAATCCCATTACTGGGCATATACCCAAAGGATTATAAATCATTCTACGATAAAGACACAGGCACACATGTTTACTGCAGCACTATTCACAATAGCAAAGACTTGGAACCAACCCAAATGTCCATCAATGATAGACTGGATTAAGAAAATGTGGCACATATACACCATGGAATACTATGCAGCCATAAAAAAGGATGAGTTCATGTCCTTTGCAGGAACACGGATGAAGCTGGGAACCATCATTCTCAGCAAACTATCACAAGATTAGAAAACCAAACACCGCACGTTCTCACTCATAAGTGGGAGTTGAACAATGGGAACACATGGACACAGGGAGGGGAACATCACACACTGGGGCCTGTCAGGGGTGGGGGACTAGGGAAGGGATAACATTAGGTGAAATACCTAATGTAGGTGACGGGTTGATGGGTGCAGCAAACCACCAGGGCATGTGTATACCTACGTAACAAAACTGCATGTTCTGCACATGTAACCCAGAATTTAAAGTATATATAAATGTGTTTGTGTGTGTGTATATATATATATATGTGTGTGTGTGCATATATATATATATATAGCACCGTACTGGCATAAATACACACACATAGACCAGTGAAACAGAATAGAGAATGCAGAAGTAAGTCCATGTATTTACATTCAATTGACTTTCAACAAAGATGCCAATAACATACAATGGGGAAAAGACAGTATTTGCAATAAATAGTGTTGGGAAAACTGGATATCCATATGTAGAAAAATATAATTAGACCCTAATTTCATACTATATATAAAAAACCCAAAATGGATTAAGACTTAAATATAAGACCTGAAACTATAAAACTACTAGAAGAAAACATAAAGGAAGAGCTTCTTGACATTGGTCTGGGAAATGAATTTTAAAATATGACCCCAAAAGCACAGGCAACAAAAGCAAAAATAGACGACAGTACATCAACTTCAAAAGCTTCTGCACAGCAAAGGAAACAATTAGCAGGGTAAAGAGACAATGTATGGAAAAAGAAAAAATGTTAGTAAACCATCTGATAAGGGATGAACATCCAAAATATATAAGAAAATTCCCATAACTCAACAGCCAGAAAACAACCCAATTAGAAAATGGGCAAAGGACCTGAAAAGACATTTCTCAAAAGAAGGCACACAAAGGGCTAATAGGTATATATATTAAAAAAAAAAAACTCAACATTACTAATCATCAGGAAAATGTAAATAAAAACCACAGTGAAATATCACTTGGCACTTGTTAGAATGGTTATTATCAAAGACAGAACATAATAAGAATGGGCAAGGATGTGGAAAAAAGGCAAGCATTGCACACTGTTGGTGAGGATGGAAATTAGTATGCCATTATGGAAACAGTATGGAGGGTCCTCAAAAACATAAAAATAGACCTGGAAATAATTAATCCATTCTTGAATAAAAGTATGGAGATAAAGTTTTTTCTTTGGAATGTGGAAAAGTCTTTTTCTTTTCTTTGGAAAATAGTTTGACAGTTTCTTTAAAAGTAAGTCATAAAACTAATACATAACCCAGCAATTCTACTCCTAGGTCCTACCCAAGATAAATAAAAACATGTGTCCAAACAAACACATGCACACAAATGTTCACAGAAGCACTGTTTATAATACAAAAAACTAGAAACAACCTAACTGATTGGTTCAACTGGTGAATGAATAGACAAAATGCAGTATATTCATATGATGAAATTCTACGCAGGAATGAAAAGGAACAAACTCTTGACACATGCTTGTCATGGATGACTCACAAAAATATTATGCTCAGCGAAATAATCCAGATGCAATAGATCACATATTTTATAACTTCACTTATATGAAATGTCCAGAAAAGGCAAACTTATAGAGAGAGCAAGTAGATTATTGGTTGCCTAGAGCTGGGGACGGGAATGGGAATTAACTTTTAATGGACATGAGGGATCTTTCTATGGGCTCATGAAAACATTCTAAAACTGATTTATGCTGATGGCTGAACCACAGGGTAGCGTTATTGAAAATTATTGTATTGTTAACTTGAAATGGATAAATGTTATGGTATGTCACATATACCTCAATAAGTTTTTTAAATTAATTACCTAATTTTTAAAAATCTAATGAAAAAAATCTGCAGAAAATTAAACTTGAAAAAGATGAAACAACAAAGACACCATTAGTAATGAGAAAGAAGACATCATTGGAACTATGAAATAGATTTTTAAATTGTAAGAGATTTCAATATACAACTCATATCAAATTTTTGAAAATCGAAATATGATGAACGAGCTACCTTTCTTCAAGAAAGAAGTAGAAAAACTCAAAAGACAGAAGTACAAAAACCAATAATGATGAAAAGTTGGGAGATGTTTAGCCAGACTTGAAATAGGTTAGTGGGCCTAGATGGCTATATGATGAAGCTCTTTTAGGCACTCAAGTATCACATACCTCCCATGCTACTTAACACTTCCAGAAGACAGACAACTTATTTATCTAGCTTATCTCTGCTCCCTAAACCAAAGTAATGAATAGCAAAAGACCATACTTGCTTTTGAATATAGATGCAAAAAATCTAATAAAATGTCTAATATGCAAATTCAAACACTATAGTAAAAGAATAACACAGTATGACTAACTGCCATTTGTTACAAGAACAGAACAGTTCAACAGAAGACAATCTATTAGTTTAATGCATCATATTAAGTTTTTATACCAAAATATGTATAAATCTTTTTATATGTTGGTTGATGCATCAATCTCTGGGAATAAAATAGGGAGCGATATATCCATGATTCCAAGTTACAGGGTCACAAAAATGGCCAAAGAAGATATGATGTAATATGATAATAGAAGTTCAGGGGCGACAAAGAGCACATACTATACACAGGAGGAGTATTTAGCCAAGTCTACTGAATCAAAAACAGCTTTTCACGTAGTAACCTTTAAGCTGAGATCTGAAAAACAGTGTTAGAAAGAATGGGGTTAGAGAAAGGGATTTTTTTTTTTCTGGAAGAAAGAGAAATGAGAGGAGAGAAGGGGGGAGGAGAGACTTATCTATAGAACAAGTTAAAAGATACCTTTCAGGTTTTTTGTTTGTTTTGTTTTGTTTGATACAGTGTCTCACTCTGTCGCCCAGGCTGGAGTGCAGTGGTGCCATCTCGGCTCACTGAAACCTCTGCCTCCCAGGTTCAAGTGATTCTCCTGCCTCAGTCTCCGAGCAGCTGAGAATACAGGCGTGTGCCACCACAACCGGCTAATTTTTTTGTATTTTTAGTAAAGATGGGGTTTCACTATGTTGGCCAGGCTGGTCTTGAACTCCTGGCTTCAAGTGATCCTCCCACCTCAGCCTCCCAAAGTGCTGGGATTACAGTTCTGAGCCCCCACGTCCAGCCAAAAGATATCTTTCTTGGGCGGCACTGCGTCTTAGTTGGTTAAACTGCCTGTCTAGTAAAAAAGATACCTTTCTTAATAGATGCTGTAGTAGTTTGTGTTGTGGCCCATACACACACACACAAAAATATGTCTACCAGGAATCTGTGTACGTGACCTTATTTAGAAAAAGAGTCTTTGTAGACATAATTAAGACTCTCAAGATGAGATCATTGTGAATTATCCAGGTAGGCTCTAAATCCAATGACAAGTGTCCCGAGAAGAGAAGACACAGACAGAGGAGAAGAAGATGTAAAGATGAAGGCAGAGCTGTAAGTCAAAGAGTACCAAGGATCGCTGACAGCCATCAGAGGCCGGAAGGGGACCGTGGAAGGGATTCCCCCTCAGAGTCTCCAGAAGATGTCAACTCTGCAAGACCTTCATTTTGGACTTCTGGCCATCAGAACTGTGAGAGAGTAAATTCTGTTGTTTTAAGCCACTACATTTGTGGTGATTTTTTTAGGCATCCCTAGGAAACTAATATAAATACCAAGAAGACATCTGACAAATTTAGTACTTATTCCAAATTAAAAAGAGAACTTAGTAAATAAGGCATAATGTGAAAAATATCTATGTCAAAAAAAAAATCAGACAATCCTACACTTTAAGGTAAAACAAGAATAAAGTAAAAAGCAAGACAAAAGTTCCTATATTATTTAATGTAGTTATGGCTATTCCTCCCAATGCATTAAGATAAGAAAAAATAAAAGGATTAATGGTGATTATTTTAGGTGCTGGCGATTATCTACATGAAAAACCAACAACAACAACAACAAAAAACTAAAAAGATTAAAATTCTGGCATCAGTAAGGTCTCAAAACATTTAAAAATCAGTTGTGTTACTATGCCTATATCCATAATAATTAGTTTAAAAAAAAAAGAGTCAAGGAAGATCCAATAGCCAATTCAATAAAAATACATGCCGGGTGTGGGGGCTCACGCCTGTAATCCCAGCACTTTGTGAGGCCAAGGCAGGTGGATCGCCTGAGGTCAGGATTTTGAGACCAGCCTGGCCAACACTGTGAAATCCCGTCTCTACTAAAAATACAAAATATTAGCCAGGTGTGGTGGGGGCTGCCTGTAATCCCAGCTACTCAGGAGGCCGAGGCACTAGAATCGCTTGAACTCGGGATGGGGAGGTTGCAGTGAGCTGAGATCACGCCATTGCACTCCTGCCTGGGCAACAAGAACGAAACTCTGTCTCAAATAAATAAATAAAAACAAAAACATAAAACACCTAGAAAAAAACCTTTAAATTAAAGTGCTGTACCCAATGATGAAAACTGTAACATTTGATAGGGAGAACAAAAATGAAGGTTCAAATGGATGGTGAGACCTACTACATGTCTAGATACAAGACTTAATTTAATATTATAAAGATATAAACTCTCCCCAAATAAATTTCTATATTTCTCACAATCTAAATATCAATGGAATTTTAAGCCGGGCACAGTGGCTCACGCCTATAATCTCCCAGCACAGCCGGGCGCGATGGCTCACACCTGTAATCCCAGCACTTTGGGAGGCCAAGGCAGGCGGATCATGAGGTCAGGAGATAGAGACCATCCTGGCTAACATGGTGAAACCCCGTCTCTACTAAAAATACACAAAAAAAATTAGCCAGGCGTAGTGGCAGGAGCCTGTAGTCCCAGCTACTCAGGAGGCTGAGGCAGGAGAAGGGCATGAACCCAGGAGGCGGAGCTTGCAGTGAGCCGAGATCACGCCACTGCACTCCAGCCTGGGCAACAAAGCTAGACTCCGTCTCAAAAAAAAAAAAAAAAAAAATCTCCTAGCACTTTGGGAGGCCAAGGCGGGCAGATCACCTGAGGTCAGGAGTTCGAGACCAACCTGGCCAACATGGTGAAACCCAGCCTCTACTAAAAATACAAAAATTAGCCAGGCATGGTAGCACACGCCTGTAATCCCAGCTCGGGAGGCTGAGGCAGGAGAATCACTTGGACCCGTGAGGCGGAGGTTGCAGTGAGCTGAGATCGCGCCACTGCACTCCAGCCTGGGTGACAAGAGCAAAACTCCATCTCAAAAAAAAAAAAAAAAAAAAATTAGCCAGCCATGGTGGTGGGTGCCTGTAATCCCAGCTACTTGGGAGGCTGAGCCAGGAGAATCTCTTAAAACTCAGGAGGCAGAGGTTGCAGCGAGCAGAGATCGCACCACTTTACTTCAGCCTGGGAGACAGAGTGAGACTCTGTCTCAAATAAATAAATAAATAAATAAATAAATAAATAAATATCGATGGAATTTTAAAAATGAACAAAATTTTTCTAAAGTTCACCTGAAAAAGTAACAGTGGGAAAAAGGGGAAAACTATTTTGAGAACGAATAATGTTATACTAGTGAATGTAGTAATACAAGAAAATTTTCAAAATATATTAACTTGTTTAAAGTACATTACAAAATGTCATGGGCATAAATTCTGTTAAAACATAAATTATCCATAAAAAGTGGCTTGTAGCAGATATAGCAAAATGTTGTAAGTGGTTATCTTTTGGTGAAGAAAATAATGGACTTTTTAAAAACTCATCTGTTTCCCAAATTTTCCAAAATAAACGTCAAATATACCCGTATAATACATTACTATTGTATAGAGGAAGAAATAATAGGTGCTCCTTTTATAAAAACTCAGATAACATCTAATTCTTCAGGAAGTCTTTCCTTGTCTAACCCCATCCCTCCAGATCTGGACTAGGAGGCTTTTTACTATTTTCAGATACAGTATCATAATTATTTGCTCTTCTCTATTCCAACTTTGTAAGAGTTTGATAAATAAAACTGTGTCTTTTATTTCTGTATCTCTAATACAGGAACTACTATGTATCAGGATGCAATGAATAAATATGAAAAAAAGAAATAAATAAGAAAATTCACAACTTCTTCTACCACCACTAGAGGGAACCACATTCCCTTTAGTGAGCTCCCTCTAGGAGCTTTTATCTTTTTAAACAAGACTGTTCAAATCTAAGAAACCTTCTAGAAGGGATTATCTCCTGATGGGGACTGTTATAAACATTCCTAAAAATGATATGTCTATCCTAAAATTAGTCCCAAAATATTCCAAGATATTTTATCTTATCCAAATACTGGACTCAATATCTGCTCCATACATTTTGGCACTAATCAAAAGCAATTTTATTGGTTATCAAATTGTAGCCTGTGTCTGTCTTACCTCCACAACAAGAGAGTAAGCTCATGTTTAAGATCATTTCTCTCACATTAACCAGCTCAGGTATAATCACTAAATTTGTGCAAAAACACTTTATTTTAGTTAAAAGGTTAACATGCTCCCTTCAATCATGTGCCACACTAAGAAAATCCAACAGGCAACGTTCCAAACTTACAAAACACAAAAGTTATGTGTTGATTCTAAGAATACTCTCAGATTTATTGAAGGTTTCAACAGATAGTGACAATAAAAAGCCTCTCTTGATACACTTAAAATATTAGCCTGGTTTTCGAATTAAAGTGGTAGCTACTTTTACAAGGGATAGTTACGATTTAGAGAATAACAGCCTATTCCTGATGAGACTTGGGAGCCAGACACGTCAAATTAAGGGGAAGAGGTATCTCCAGAAGAACGTGGAACTGGGATTTGCTTCATTTTTTTTTTTTTTAAGTTGGGGGCATCTGTTACTTGCAGAGCTCTGTGTTGTAAGGGCTGGAATACACGTATAGTTTAGAAAAAAAAAAAAAGACCAGGCCAGGCGCAGTGGCTCATGCCTATAATCCCAGCACTCCGGGAGGCCGAGGCAGGCAGATCACAGGGTCAGGAGTTTGAGACCAGCCTGACCAACATGGTAAAACCCCATCTCCACTAAAAATACAAAAAAAAAAAAAAAAAAAAAAAAACTAGCTGGGCATGGTGGTGCACGCCTGTAACCCCAGCTACTCAGGAGGCTCAGGCAGGAGAATCGCTTGAACCACAGAGGTGGAGGTTGCTGTGAGCCGAGATCACGCCATTGCACTCCAGCCTGGGTGACAGAGCGAGACTCCGTCTCAAAAAAGAAAAGAAAAGAGAAGAGAAGTAAAAGACCAGTGGCAACAGTAGTTAGTAGGTCTCCAGCACTGTCCACCAGGGGCCTGGTGGCTACCAGAGCTCAAATCCCAGTTCCATTACCTACTAATTTGTGTGAGCTCAAACAACTTACTCAACCTGTCAATGTGTCTGATGCCCCGGTGCAAAATGGGGAGGACAATCAGAACCTACTGCATCAGACTCTCACGAGGAGTAAAT
Source organism: Homo sapiens (assembly GCF_000001405.40). Classification (NCBI taxonomy): domain Eukaryota; kingdom Metazoa; phylum Chordata; class Mammalia; order Primates; family Hominidae; genus Homo; species Homo sapiens. Next base: position 130,757,303 of record NC_000007.14, on the reverse strand, counting down.
GAAATAACGTGAAAAGTTCTCAGAATAGTACCTGTATGTGGTAAATGCTCAAAATATTCACTATTACTCATAAACTCATTCAACCAATTACACAGAAAGACTTTAACAAACAGTGCCTGGCACAGAATAGGCACTATGAGTGTGGCCTGTTATTATTATATGGGAGAGAGAAGGGCCCCGGATACTCCCTAAGTTTCTTGATCCCCTTGAAAGATGTATTCCCATCCCACGTGCATGGTCATCAGGCTATCCCACAGCTTCCTAACACCAGCTACTATGATTATGCCTGCAACAACCTTTATTCTGATTCCAGATTCAGTAAATAACCTTTTGTTAGTAAGTTAGCATCCTATGTAAGCATTTTGCTAAGAAGAAATGTACTGGCAAACTGATACTAATATCACCAATATGGCAGTCTTTATTAGTTAAGGATAGAAAATACGATCACATTTCCATTAACGTTCAATTTGGAGGGACTTTAAGCCCCTTCCTGACCAAATTAGTAGGAATTAAGACTTTCCAGTGATTCTTTTCCCACGAATATTATGAAGGAAATAAAGTTCATTCAATTAAATCAACAAATATTTATTAAGCACTTGCTGTGTGCCTGACACCGTTCAAAGCATTATAGTTAAAGCAGTGAACAAAACAGATCCCTGCTTTCATAGGGCTAGCATTCTAGTGAAGGAGACAAATGAGAAATAAGGGGTGGGTTAAATAATATCAGAGCTAGAGAGTACTAAGTAGCAAGAAGAGAAAGCAACAAGTGAAAGGATCTATAAGAAGAAAGGGGTAAGGGTGATGCAATCTTAGGTAGAGAAGCCAGGGATATCAGGAGATAAGGGTGGCATCCATTTGTTTGAGAGCCAGTTAACTCCGTGGCTCATCTGCTATAACAAGTTGGGAGAGCCAGCTTCAAATGTTCCCCAATCCAGGTCAATCCCCACAACTGTTTGTTCACCCCATACCTCCCCTCCTGCTGAACTAAGGGGCATCCAGGGCTACTCCACCACTGCCAGGACTGCCTCTCTCACATGCAATCCTGCAAATCCACAGCCCCAGCCTCCTCTGCTACCACTCCCTCTGACAAAGACCACAGAGGCCAGTGGGGCCCAACTTCCAGGCCCTCCACAGGACAAGAGCAGCTCTTCCTACCCCAGAACCTCTTTGGCCTCCTCATACCTCCAAGTTGGGCCCAGCAATCACAGAACATCCCTCCCTCTTTCCTTTTCAACCATAGAATTAGCCACCTCCTATAATGACAGGAAGAAAGGGCTTCCTGGCCTAAATAGGCAATCCCCAAATAAAATAGCCCAACTTTGATCAATTTCCTAAGGTCTGGGTATCCATCCCAGTCTCAAGGACCTTGTTACAAGAGTATTCTGTTCCAGGGGTTAGCCAATGTTTTCTGTAAGGCGCCAAAGAATAAATATTTCAAGATTTCAAGCCATATGGGTTTTCTGTTGTAGATTCTTCTTTTTGTTTTGCAACCCATTAAAACTGCTTTAAAAATGTTCTTAGCTCATGGGCTGTACAAAAACAGCCTGCAGACCACAGTTTGACAACCCCCATTCTAATCCATTTGTTTGTTGATTACATTAAAATTAATAAATTGTTGAGGCCAGGTGAGGTGGCTCATGCCTGTAATCTCAGCACTCTGGGAGGCTGAGGCAGGAAGATCCCTTGAGCCCAGGTGTTTGAGGCTGCAGTGAGCTATGATGGCACCACTGCACTCCAGCTGTGGCAACAGAATAAGACCCTGACTCTAAATAATAAGTTGTTATGGTTTATAAATCAGTGTTCTGTTGGTTTATTCAGCATTCACAAGATACAATGACCTGCTCCATCAGATGACGTGTCACTTTGTAAGAACTGGTACATAGTAGGCACTGATTTGTTGCAGAGTGAGATGTACTTTTTGAACAGCAGGCTTGCTGTTGCTCTTGGTTACTCTTCAAGAGAGAATTGTCTTGAGAAGACCTAGATAGACTGCTTTGAATATGGAGGGTGACACCCCATGGCATGGCTGGAAAGGAGACAGTACAGAGAGAGAGTCACGCTGCTCTGCAGGACTCATCCATGAGCAGAGGAAAGTTGGGGAAATTCGTAGGTGGGAATGGAGGGGAAATGGGGGGGACCACATATGAGGTGACTGAGGCCCATGAGGGAAGGTGAAAAGAAGCACAGTCCTGTGGCAGAGCGGCCAAAGACTTTTTAAGTAAAATCAATGAGACTGTCGAACATTGCCTTTGAAGTTATCTGCACTGCTGAAATACAAACCCCTTCTCGATCCCAAACCTCTAGTCTGTGGCTTTTTCTTTTTCTTTACAAGCAAGGCTACTGGAGCTAACTTCAGAACGGCAGGATTTATTGGAAAATATGCAGCAAATCAAAGAATTAAAGGAACTATTGAAAAGCAAGGATCAGAAATGTGGTGCTGGCGACCCAGCTGGTCTGCAGCTCTTGAGGTCAGTGGGCAGCTGCCCACTCCAGACTCAGAGTGCAACTTCCCAGGTCCTTGCCCTAGAGTTGACAGGACACCTTACCAGCCCCCTGGATCCACTTCCACTGGGGAGGGGCAGCTTCCCAAAGCTGACTGGGGTTCTATGACCAGGAAGTGGGGGGCTATTGGACAGGCAAAACGATGTCTGCCACATCCCTTGTGAGTGGCATTGGGGGAATAAGGAAAGGGCCAAATTCCACTTTCTGGGCATGTGCAGTAGAAAGAAGGGAACAGGCATAGAAGGTGAGAGGTCAGTGAGACAGGGACTCAGAACCCAAGGTAATGCTGAGAAATGAGTCCCTTGAAGGTCGCATACATCCTAGGGAGTCACTGGAATTTTCCCAGGATGCTGGAAGGGGCTTGAACAAATTTTATCTAAAATCTCGATTCTATATTATTTCCTTTACCCCATTCCTCAATCTGTGGCTTTACTGAATCTGTAAGATGAAGGACCAGACCCAATGTATTGAAAGAGGGACAGCACCTCTGAGGTCATTGCCTGAGCAGCCAGACAGCCATTCCCATTTAAATGTTAACAGTTGTCTAACAACCCTTGAATGGGGAAGTTCTTCAATACAGTGAGGATCTTTTGAGATCCTTCATTCACTAACTTAACTTTCTTTACCTGTCCATAGGGATTCTAAGCAGGTAGTTCTCAAGTGTGGTCTCCAGACCCGCAACAACAACATCAAGCTGGGACCATGTCAAAAATGCTAATACTGGCCGGGTGCGGTGGCTCATCCCCGTAATCCCAGCACTTTGGGAGGCCGAGGTTGGGGCATCACCTGAGGTCAGAAGTTCAAGACCAGCCCGGCCAACATGGTGAAACCCCATCTCTACTAAAAATACAAAAATTAGCCAGGCGTGGTGGTGGGTGCTTATAATTCCAGCTACTCAGGAGGCTGAGGCACAAGAATTGCTTGAACCTTGGAGACAGAGATTGTAGTGAGTCAAGATCGTCCCACTGTACTTCAGCCTGGGCAACAGGACAAGACTCCATCTCCAAAAAAAAAAAAAAAAAAAAAAAAGGAAAGAAAAGAAAAGAAAAAGCTAACTCTAAGGTCCCACCCCAGACCTACCCGGTCAGAAATCTGGGGTGGGAGATTGGCAGGGAGACAAGCCATCAGGATTTTAACACGCCCTATAGATGCTTCTGGTGCAGGCTCAGCTTTAAGAACCACCGTTCTAGGGGGTTTGCCCTAAGTCACAGATAGTAAAGGGCAAGAGAAGATTTCCAGTCTGCATATCCTTTCTGTCTCATAGAAATCTACTGAAATTTAGTAAAGTTTCCTCCCTTTACACACTAAGTAGTAACATTTCATTCCAATTAACCCTGCATCTGTGTCCCAGAGTAACAGATTCCTACTGTAGTTTTGGCACTAGTCTTCCCCCAATTATTTCCCCTGAGATGTTATTGTCAGTGTCCAATCTATTCCTCAACTACTCTTGTCAGTAACTTAAATTCCCCTGTCCCTACTGGTACCAGTCTAGGATACATTTTAAATTCCAGTGTTCCAAGGTAATTCAGAGAAGGACAGAGATTAATGTGGCTCACCAAACCTAGGAACATTTTCTGGCCTCGTGATGGCACCCAGCATCAGAGAAGAGGCAATGTACTACCTCAAGCTTAGCTGCAGGGAGAACATGTTGACCACGGCTTATATAAATCAAGACCCCCTTCTTCCATAGCAGTATTTTCTCAATTTTCTCTTAATTTATTCCCTTCTCAGCACCACAACAACCCAATCCCCATGAGATGCTATGAAGATGTTATCAGGGGAGACAGAAAGCCTTCAATAGGAGCTCCAGGATCAATGCAGATATCTGTCCCCAGGGGATCATCTTGTTCTCATTGGATTTGGCCACCTTGCAACACACAGCACCTTCCCCTGATCACCTAAATGCTTCCAACACAATCTATGGCCTCCTAATGTCTCGACACCTCCCATGGGATATCCCACAACATCAATAATGGAACCAAATACAGAAATCACATAAACCTTACGGGAAGAGTGATAGCTCACAATGGTACACACTAGACTCAGGAAAAAGGATTATGAGCTATTACCAGGCAGTCCTGTTACGGAGCCAAGAGATATAGGAAGTGAGAAGGCTGGAAAACAAAGGGGAAAAGACATAGCAGCTAAAGCTGGTCTGAAGGCAGAGCTGTCCAGCCACCAGGCTGAACACCCATTATTATGTCCTCACACGTGACCGAGTGTTGTTTCAGGACTGCTTCGCTATGTCTGTCCTCCCTCCGCATGGCACCCTGATACTGTGAGCCTTCCAGTCGTTTTTCTTTTTAATAAAATGTTAAAACGAAATTGAGATCATGTCATACTTACAGTATACAACCTTGTTTTTGCTTTATAGTTTGTAACATTTGCAGGTCATTATATGTTTTCTACATTAGCAATTTCCTGGCTGTGTAGAGGTTCACTGTAAATAAATAGGTATCATAATATAATTCACCAGTTCCCTATTTGGAAGCATTTATATTGACTGTATTGCCTTCATAGTACATTATATCACTTATTCATATAAAAATAATTATATTTGTTCCATTTGATATTCTCATCCTGAATTCTATTTCATGTGATTTTAATATTAGCATGCATGGATGGGTTCTTTGGGTTGCATTTGCCTCTGATATTCTTGCCCATCTCATTACTTTTCTACCTTCTCTGTCAATTTCATTTTGCAGTTTCTCCTTTTGTAAACAGCTTACGACTAAATTGTATTTTTTTTACTCAATCTGAGTCTTTTGTGTTTTGAAAGATATTTTTAAGCCACATCTGTCATGACAAAAGTTATACTTGGTGTTTGTTCTGTCACTTTATTTTATGGTTTCTATTTGTAATACTTCCTGTTTCTTATTTCTTTTTTTACTGTAGTAATCAAATTTATTCTTTCTTCTCATTCATGATTTGGGAATTATATACCTTTTTGTTTTCTACTTGGGCTTAGTTAATTTAAAGTGTATAAATATGTTTGAATTATGCCTCTTTATTTCACTAACTTAAAAGCTTAGTAAAATACCAAGATATTTGTTAAGCAAAATAAAACAAAACATAAACACATTTGCATTTTTAAAGTTCCAGTAAGACCAAATTTTGTTGAGTTAAATGTGTACCTTTCCTTCATGATCCCCTACTTTAAGAACCACTGCCTGAGCTTTGATGTGTATCTACCCAGACCTTCTATGTGTGTGTATGTGTGTGTGCATGTAGATTTGTAATTTTTTTTAAATAGGACAATATGCATGTTTTCTTATTTGCTTTTTTCACTTAATAATGCATTTCATTATAAATAAATTTACACAGTACTCTATCAGTACTCACATATGTGTCATCCATCCTGTCACAGCAGCCCACCCTACGGACTCACTTCATTTATGTAACCATTCCTCTGCTGATAGATGTTTAATTTGGTCCCTATTTTTGACTACTATGATGTTCTAATAAAAAATCTTTTATATATATATTTGTGCACCTATGTGAGTATTTTATAGTATTAATACCTAGAAGTGAAATTGCTGAGTCAAAAAGTATGCACGTTTGGGTTTTTGATAGCTACTACCAAATTATCTTTCAAAAAGTTGTACAGATGTATACACTCCCAAAAACTCTACGGGACTGTTGCCTCACACCCTTCCTGGTGTTGGGTTTTAACAATCTTTAAAAGCTTTGCCTATCTGATGGTTGAAAATGATATTGTATCATTGCTTTCATTCACAGCTCACTGATGGAAAGTGAGGTTGTGAATCTCTTCCGAGCTACTGACTCTTTGGTTTCTGTGAACTCCCTATACTTACCCTGTACCTCATGTACTTTGCCCACTTGTCTTTTATAGTATTTACCTTTTTACATGTTAATTTGTAGGCACCCTTTGCATTATGGATGTTAGTCCTTTGTCTGTAATATTTGCTGAATATATATATTCACAAGCCGATGGCCTAATTTTTTGTTTAGGGTGACTTTTGTCCTATAAAAGTTTAATATTTTGTAGTCATCAGATCTGTAAGTCTTTTCCTTCACAGCGTCTGAGTTTTCACACCTTCCTATCCTACTGTGCAATTACCAAGATAGTCTACATTTTTTCACAGTAATTTTTAAATTCACATTTTGAAATTCATAAACAGCAAAATTCTCTCTTTGTGTACCACTCTATGAGTTTTTAACAAATTTATACAGTCATGTAAGCACCCCCTCAAACAAGATACTGAACAGTTCTGTAACCCTCCAAAATCATTCCTGCCCTTCCTCCCACAGCCAGCCTGTGGCAACGACGGATCTGTTTTTAAGGGATTCCTCATACAAATGGAACCATAAAGTAGGTAGCCTTTATCTGACTTTTTCTCCTGGCATAATGCAGATGAAGTCCATCCACACTGCTGTGTGTCTCACAGTCTGCCCCTTTTCATTGCTGATTATCATTCCATTGCATGAAGTGCCAGTGCGTTGGTCCGTTCACCAGCAGAACAACATCTGGGTTGTTTCTGGTTTTTGATTTTGGGCAATTATGAATAAAACCATCATGAACAGTCACATAAAGGTTTCTGGGTGAATATAAGTTTTCAGCTCTCTTGGCTAACTACCTAGGAGAGGGATTACTGGATCATGTGGTAAATGTGTGTTTAACTTTATAAGCTGGCCTACACATTAGAAATAGAACACCACATACAAATGGCGGAAGCCAGTGGCTAGAGATAAGACCTTGGAGGCATCTCTCCCGTCTAGCACACTGGGCTTTAGGGCTCCAGAGTTTGAGAGTTCCAGATGCTCTGTATTGTCTGGTTTAAAAAGAACATTTAAAAAATTCTAAAAGGGCCGGGTGCGGTGGCTCACGCTGGTAATCCCAGCACTTTGGGAGGCTGAGGCGGGCAGATCACAAGGTCAGGAGTTCGAGACCAGCCTGGCCAATATGGTGAGACCCCCGTCTCTACTAAAAATACAAAAATTAGCCGGGTGTGGTGGTGCATGACTGTAGTCCCAGCTACTCGGGAAGCTGAGGCAGAAGAATTGCTTGAACCCAGGAGGCGGAGGCTACAGTGAGCTGAAATCATGCCACTGCACTCCAGCCTAGGCGACGGAGCGACACTGTCTCAAAAAAACAAAACAAAACAAAAAACCTAAAAGGTGTATAGCGGTGCCTCACTGTGGTTTCAATCTGCATTTCCCTAACTGTTAATAGTGAGCATCTTTTTGTATACTTATTTGCCAGCCCCACATCTTCTTGAGTAAAGTGTTCAAATCTTTTGTCCATTTTAAAAATTGAGTTATTTATTGTTTAATGTTGAACTTTGAAAGTTCTTTATATTTTTTCAATACAAATTCTTTTTCAGGTACATAATTTGCAAATATTTCTTCCAGTCTGTTGCTTGTCTTCTAACTATCTTAGGTGTCTTGCAGAGAAACTTTTAATTTTGATGAAGTCCAATTTCTTTTTTTCTGTTATAGCTTATGCTTTTGATATCAAAATCTAAGAAATCTTGGCCTAACTCTAGAACACAAATCTTTCTTCTTTTTTTTTCCATGGAAGTTTTATAGTTTTGGATTTTTATATTTAGGTCTAAAATCCATTTTGATTATAATTTTGTAGAAGATGGAAGGTATGAATTGAAATTCAGGTTTTATGAACAAATATCCAACTGTTCAAGAACAATCTGCTGAAAAGACTATTCTTTCTCCGTTGAACTGTGTTTGCACCTTTGTCAAAAATCAGTTGGCTAGTTTGATCTATTTCTGAAATCCTCCCTCTGCTCCGTTAATATTTGTGTCCATTTTCCCACCAGTACCACACTGTCCTAATCACTGTAGTTTTATAATAGCTCTTAAAATCAAATAGTATGCATTTCCTAACAACCTATTTTCAAAAGTTTTTTTCCAAAATTGTTTTGATTATTTTAGTTTGTCTTTCCATGTCAATTTAAAATATAATATCTACAAAAGTCACACTCCTACTTGGATTTTGATTACGGCCATTCGAATCTATATGTCAATTTGGGGAGAAATGACATCTACACAGTACTGAGTCTTCCAATCCATGGAAGACTTGCCATTTATTTAGGTATATGCTGTCTTTCATTGGTCTTTTGTAGTTTTAAGTACACAGATAACGAAAATTTTGTTAACTATATATTAAATATTTATCTTTTTGGTGCTAAATGGAACTGGTGTGTGTGGGAAATAATGCTGTTTTTTAATTTTGATTTTTATGTATTCATTGTTAGTATACAGACCTTGTATTTTGAAAACTTACTAAAATGACTTCTTAGTTCTATGAACTTTTGGATAGATGCCTTGGGATTTTCTTAATAGACAATAATATCTGAGAATTGAAGTGAGAGAGTGAACATCCTTAGCTTATTTCCAATCTTAGGTGAAAATCATCCCATTTTTCACTGTTAAGTACAATGTAGGTTTTTCTGTAGATGTCATTTATAAAATTAAGGACATTCCTTTCTACTCCTAATTTTCTAAGAGTTTTTTAATCATGAAGGAATCTTTAATTTTGTTAAATATTTACTCTACATCTATTGAGATTATTCCAGTGCTTTAAATTTGATTTTTATGCTTACCTCCCTAATCCACCTAGAGTTTATTTTTTATACTTGAGAGTGGTTTTTTTTTTTTTTTTTTTTTAATTTTTGTTTTGAGACGGAGTCTTGCTCTGCCGCCCAGGCTGGAGTGCAGTGGCACAATCTTGGCTCACTGCAAGCTCCACCTCCCGGGTTCACACCATTCTCCTGCCTCAGCCTCCTGAGTAGCTGGGACTACAGGCACCCGCCACCACGCCCGGCTAATTTTTTTGTATTTTTAGTAGAGACGGGGTTTCACTGTGTTAGCTAGGATGGTTTCAATCTCCTGACCTCGTGATCCACCCGCCTCGGCCTCTCAAAGTCCTGGGATTACAGGCGTAAGCCACCATGCCCGGCTGTGGGAGTGATTTTTATTTTCCCCAAAATGATTAAGTAACTGTTGAACACTCTTTAATAAATTGTCTATCATTTCCCCCACTCTTTTGAAATGTCACCTTTATCATATACTGAACTCTCACATATAAATGGCTGTTTCTAAATCACCTCTTTCTTCCATCAATTTACTGGTCTATTTCTATGACAATACCACACTGAATCAATTACTAAAGCTTTATGATATGCTTTAATACCTGCTAGAAAAATGTTACTCCTCCTATTTTTTTCTCATCCGGATGAATTATTTTGCCAAATTTTATACAGAAACCTGCTGCTATGTTGAATGAAACAGTCTTAAATTTATAAATGTTTTGTAATAATTGTCTTTTATAGCATTGAGTTTTTCTGTTAAGAAACAGTGTGTTTCTCCATGTATTCAGATCTTTATATGAGAACTTTAATTCAGCTGTATACTTTTCTTCACCAAGATCTTTATAGAGTCACCCTACCAAAATCTTACTAGCTCTCAAGTTTTTCTGACATTTTCCTTGGATTTTTCTAGGTACATGGAAATGTGCATCTGCAAAAAGTTACAGTTTTGTATATTACTTTCCAATATGTATTCACCTTCTTTCTTGGCTTTTTCCCCATTGTTGTACTGAATGGGATGTCTACTTTAATGCTAAGTGGTACTAGTAAAGGCTACCCTTGTATTGTTCCTAATTTTAATGGGAATGTTTCAAGTATTTCATGGTTAAGCATTATGTTTGTTGTAGATTTCCACTGGAAACCCCTTTTCAAATATAAGATGCTTTCTTCTATGACTTCTTTACTAAGATCATTTTTTAAAACGAGGAATGTGTGCTAGATCTTATCAACTGCTTTTTGGGGTGCCTATTATATATTTTCTCTTCAGAGAATACAATGAATTCTATTAATACACTTTCACCATCCAAATACCCTTCTTCTCCTGGAAAAAACTCAACTTGGGCATGATGCACTATTTTTAAAATACACTTCTAGATTTAGAAATTTTGTACTATGTTTGTGAGAATTAGTCTCTTTTTTTTGGATCCTATCTTTATCTGATTTCAGAACTAGGGTATTAAAAAAAAACCTCTTACGAATTGAAAAATTGTTCAATCTGTTTTATGGACTATGACCACTATATAACATGGGAAATACCTGTTTTTAGCTTTGGTAGCTCCAGTTGGCGAAACTACTTGGATCTGGTGTTTTGTTTTGTTTTAAGTATACCTTTAATTATTTTTCCATTTATTTTTATGTAATGGTCCATGGAGCTTTGCTCCTTACTGAACCAACTTTGGTAATTTGTGCATTTATGGATCAAACATTTTATCTTGATTTTAATTATATTTATTTAAAGTTGTACATAGTAATATTTGGCTTTTTCCACATTTCTTGATCCTTATATTAAGCATATCTTCTTTTTTTTCTTAATCTGATTCACCAAGCATTCATCTATTTTATTGGTCTTGCCAAATAAATAGAAAATGGTTTTATTAATGAAGCCCACTTGGGGTTTTTAAAATTTCATTTATTTCTACTATTCTTATTTTGTTTTTTTGAGATGGAATTTCGCACTTGTTGCCCAGGCTGGAGTGCAATGACATGGTCTTGGCTCACTGCAATCTCTGCCTCCCAGGTTTAAGCGATTCTCCTGCCTCAGCCTCCCTAGCAGGGATTACAGGCGCCTGCCACCACACCTCGCTAATTTTTGTATTTTTAGTAGAGACAGGGTTTCACCATGTTGGCCAAGCTGGTCTCAAACTCCTGACCTCAGGTGATCCTCCTCCCTCAGCCTCCCAAAGTGCTGGGATTACAGGCATGAGCCACCATGCCCGGCCAATTTATTTCTACTTTTATTTCTTTGGGCTTATTTTTCCTGTTCTTTAACTCTTGAGTCATAAGCTTAGCTTGTTTATTTTCACAATTTCTGTTTTCTACAAGCACTCAAGGCTGCAAATCTTTCCATTTGTACCACTTTGGCAGTACGCACAAATCTTGGAATGTAGTGTGCTCATTTGTTCATTTCTAAGTAGTTTGTAATTTCAATTTTAATTCTTTTGTAATCCAAGTTAATTAGAAGTGTGCCTTCTCATTTTCAAGAGGATAGTGCTTTTTCTGTTTGTTGTTTTTTACTGTCTTCTTGTTGTTAAATAATAATTTTATGCATGTGGTCACTGTGTAGGTTGTATAATTTCTACTTTATAGAATCTATTGAAATTTTCTTTGTAAATATTCCACGTACATTTAAACTGAGTATATAAAGTTTCTCATAATGTTATTAGAATCTTCTTTATCCTTATTTTTTTTCTACTTGAAATGTTAATTTGGTTTGCTTTGTTAACATTTTCATAATACATCTGCTTTTGTTGTTCAATTTTAAATTCCTGGGTCATTTGTTTTAGATAAACAGCATATAGCTTTTTAGGGTTTTGAATTTTCTACCCTCCCTTCTCTATTTTTTAAACTCAGTCTGAGGGGCTGTATCTTTTCATTTGGTTGGTTAATTCACTTTGTGATTACTGACACTTTGGACTAACTCCTGCATCTTATTTTGTGTTTTCTATTTACCATAATTTGTTATTGTTTCTCCTTTTCTCCTCTTGCTTTTCTTGAACTGATGACATTTTCCTTATTTAATGTTTTCTTTTAATGGCTAGGAAATTAGGTATCTTATTTCAATTTTTCCAGTGGTTACTCTTTCATTTTGTAGCACATATTTAAAATTATTTGATAAAATCAACATCTTCAATTACTCAACATGACTAGCTTCTCTCTGAACAAGTCAGGAACCTTTTCACGCCTCTAGTTTTTTCCTTTGCCCTCTTGCTACCTCCCATGTAAAGACCATTAGGGATTTTAATTCCAGAATGTCAGATGGTTGTTATTTCTCTCTTTCCCTCCCTCCCTCTCTCTCTCCCCTCTACCCCCAATCAATGATTATTTTAAATTATGCTGTGTTTTGTCACTAGGTTCCCTGTCCCTTGTGCCTTCCTCTTTGATTCATTTTTTCTTTCCAGAATATGATGTTTAGTTATTGTTCCGGAGAGGGTGCTTGAGTGGTATATTTCCTGAACCTGAAAACTTCTGAAAGTGTTTTCATTTTGCTCTCACACTGAATGATGGGTTCACCTGGGTATAGAATTCTAAGTTCAAAATAATTTTCCCTCAGAACCTTGAAAGCCTGGCTCCACTGCATCCACATGGCTGGAGAGGAGTGTCCCTCCTAATGGCCAAGATGCCCCCTGCTCGCCTTTATTCTGGAAGGCAGAATAAAGGGGGAGTCCAGCCAGACATTCCAAGGGCTGCATCCCCAGTCCACTCACTTATTTGGCAGGTATGTTTTGTGTGTCTAATATTCTGGCTCTGTTCTGCGATTTAAAAAAAAAAATTTCACACACACAGAAAAGTACAGAGAATAATATGGCAAACAGCACTGTACCTAGGCTCATATTGACAAATCTCATTTACCTAATTTGCTTCAGATTTTTTAAAAAATAAACAAATAACAAAAGAATCTGTTGAAACTCCATTCCCTTTCCTCCCGTACCAGAGACACTTACTGCTCTAAATTTGGTATTTATCACACCTGCTAATGTATTCTACTTTTAATGTATGGGTGTATTATGGACATATATGAATAATATGTGGATAACAATACATAATAATGAATACAGTGCTTACTACACGCCTACGTGTGGTCTAATCATATTACATGTATTAACTAATTAGTACAACCCAAATAAAGTAGGTGCTATTCTCATTCCCTTTTATGAATGAAGCAAAGTAACTCAATCAAGGTCATGTAGTTGGTGAGTGATGGAAGCCGAATGTGGCAGTCTGGCTGCAGAGTCTGTACTATTAACAATTATAACGTGTTGATATAGTAATTATGATCATGTATTTACGTTGTGTAAAAGATATCATATTTGACACAGTCTTCTAAAATCTTAGATTTTTTTCATTCTATTTACTAAGCAGAAAGCATTATCCATGATCTAACTAGTTTTGGTCTATCTATCTAATCTAATCTAATCTATACATCTATCTATCTATTTATTTAGAGATGAGGTCTTGCCGTGTCGCCAGGCTGGAGTGCAGTGGCACCACCATAGCTCACTGTAACCTCGAACTCTTGGGCTCAAGTATCCCAAGTAATTGGAATTACAGGCTCAGGCTGCCACACCTGGCTATGATATTTATTTTTATTTTTTTAAGAGACAGGCCTTTGATATGTCGCCTCACTGCTTATTTTTACTACTGTGTAGTATTGCCTTACATTTTAATGAATAAGTTACTTCAAAAATTTGCAGCAAATGGTGCTCTGAACGTATTTGTAGAAGTCTCCTAGGGTCAAGTACAAAAATTTCTCTATGGCATATAACTAAGGTATAAAAGTTCTAAGTTACAGGGTATGTATGAACACCATCATCTTGACAGGTTATCATGAAACTGTTGCGCCAATTTCTATTCCCTTCATGGGAAAGGAGAGGGTCCTATGTCTCATGCTGAGATTTGAATCTGGCTTGTTAGACTCCAAAGTCACCACACATACTGCTGAACTATTGAGCTATCATACTGCAGAATCTTAACACCACCCACTTTTTTTTCTGTCTCATATAAACATCTCAGTTGGACCTTTGCTCTCAGTCTCATTATATAAAAATATTTTCCAATTATTTGCTATGTGCCTTTACCTTCTATGTGCCCACAACACTACAGGCACTGAAAAAGTGTTTGAAATTCACCAAAGAAAAGCTCATCTGTTTTTCATAAGGTCACATATAGTTCATTTAGACTTGTAAATTAACATGAGCGTGAATGTCACAGGAAAGAAGTTCAGCGGATCTAACAGAAGCCTGACAGCTAAGAACATAGAGGTTTTATCAAGAATGGAAATTGAACTTAAAAAAATTAGATATTAAATGATTAGATTTCCTAAAATATAAATCTTTGTTTTTATAGTTTGACACAAAACAATCGGTTTTAAGTATATTTAGATAACATCTTGTGATCATTATAATAAAAAACTATTAAACAAATAATTATACATGGCATTTTGAAAAACTCTACTAAGAGTTAGAATTCCTGTTCTCCAGAAACATACGTATAAAAACACATAGCTTTAAAAAATCCCTTTTATCCTGTTGCCCAGTCAGGGATGTAGCTGGACTTCATTGAACTATAAAAACATCAGACTATCCTGGCTACTCAGGAGGCTGAGGCAGGAGGATTGCTTGAGCCCAGGAGCTGAAGACCAGCCTGGGCAACATGGTGAGACTCTGTCTCAAAAAAAAAAAAAAAAAAAAAAAAGCATCTGACTCAGATCCAAGAGCCAACTCAGCTTCCCTATCTCCAAGTGTCCAAAAGCAAACTCCCAATTTCCACCTCCTATATCCTGCTTCTTCTAAAGCCATCCCCATCTCAAAATAGAAAGTATACTCTTCCAGTTACTGGGCTGAAATCCTTGCAGTCATTCGTGAATCCTCACATTCTCTTATACCCTACGTCCAACACCTTAGCAGATATCCCTCACTCTAGCTCCAAACAACATCCCGGATCTGACCGCACCTCACCACCTTCACTGGTCTAAACCACCATCATCTTTGTCTTGGAATTCTGCAGTGGCATATTAACTGCTCTCCTGCTTCCACTCTTGTTTGCCATTGAGTCTACTAGCCACACAGCAACCAAGGTGAATCAATCCTCCTTAAGACTTCCTATCTCCCTGTCCACATTGTTTACAAGGCCCTACATGACCTGCCTCCCACTCAGCCCAGTCCCTGAACTCATTCTTCCCTTCCTTTAGTCTGCTTCAACCCTGTGCTAGGCAGAATAATAGTTCCCCACAGATGTCCAGATCCTAATACCCAGAACTCAGATGGAATAGAAGTTACTAATTAGCTGATCTTGAGATGGGGAGATTATACTGGATTCAAGTGGGACCAATGCAATCAGAAGGGTTCTTATAAGCAGAAATAAGAAGGTGAAGAGTAGATCGGATTTATGCAAATCAGAGAACAACTCCACCCATCATTGCTGCCTTTACAGAGGGAGGAAGGCAGACAGCTGCTTCTAGAAGCTAGAAAAGGGCAAGGAAACGAATTCTCACCCAGGATCTGCAAAGAATGCAGTCCTGGTGATCTCTTGATTTTAGTCAGTGAGACTGATTTTGGATACTTCTGAACTAAAGAACTGTGAGAAATGGAATTTTTGTGTTTTAGGCCACTAAGTTTATGGTAATTTGTTACAGCAGCTGTAGAAAACCAGTGCAAGCCTCTAAGCTGCCCAGCACCCCACATGCTTCTGCTTCAAAACTTTCACACTTCCTATTTTTCTCTTAGATTTCTGTAAGACTACTCCCTTCAGTTCACCTCATCAGAACGGTCTTGCCTAACCCCTGTACACAAAATATCCCCTTTCAGAACATGCTATCTCACTGCCCCTGTTTTACTGTTCTCCACAGCATCTGTCACTGAATATCTGAAATACTATGAATTTACTTACTTGCTTGTTATCAGGCTCTCTCATTAGGATGTAAGCTCCATGAGGGCAGAAACTGCTTTGTTCACTGCTCTATCACCAGTGCCTAAAACTATGAGAGGTGAAGAACAGTAAATATTTAGTAATATTTAGTAGAATATCCACTAAATATTTGTTAAATCAATGAATGCCTGTGTAAAAGAAAGGATACAGTTTAGATTGTGGGTGTCAGGATTCTCAGAGGAAGAGAAAATGGATGAATGATACATAGGAATTATTCAGGCAAAAAGTGAAGGCAAGAGCAGTTTAGGTTTAAGGAGCAGCATATGCGAAGATTTTACAGTTTGAGCATTCGAGGAATTAGCGTTTTCAAAGGCCAATGTAAGCTGGAATACAGTGAGTGAGTAAGAGGTCAGGTAGAAAGGTAAATAGGAGCCAGATCATTGTCTGCTGTTCTGAATTTGTCTTAACTGTGACAGGAAGGTTTTGATGACTTCACCATGTAGCAACTATACGGGGAAGACACTGGAATGGAGCAAGAGTGAAGTAGAGGAACTAGTTAAGGGAACCCAGTATTATGATAGTTTGATCAAAAGCTGACGTTGATTTGGATTACGGTACTGGCAGGAAAAATGAGAAAAGAGATGGTCAAGACATATTTTGAAAGCAGAACAACCAAACTTGAAGGTTAATTAAATGTTGGGGCGGATGGAGAGGGAAGTGTCAAGAATGACCCCAGTTTCCTGCTTTAAGGAGCAGGAATGGATGAAAGTGCTGTGTACTGAGACAGGGAAGAATACAGTAAGAGTAGATTTGGGGTAGAATTTGACTTTTTAATCTATTGTTTGAAATATCAATGAGACATTCCAGGAAGGCTGGGGAGCTGTCAAGTAGTTAAGACTCTCTGACATCTCTGGAAAAGAGATCTGGGCTAAAGAGTATAAAATTTATAAGTTCTTGGGATACAGGTGTACTTAAACCATGGAAAATGTTTAAAATTACCTAGAGAGAGTGGGTAGAATTGAGAGAAGGAGACCTAGGATAGAGTTCTGCAGAATTTTAAATTTTAGAGATTAGGTAAAGAGGTGGAATGAGTAATTAAGACTTAAACTGTTAAGGAACAGTTAGAAAGATGAAGAAAGCCCAAAAGAATGTAATATCACAGAAGCCAAAAGATGAGAATATTTCAAGGATTGCTCAACTGCTCTGAGAGTTCTAGTTATTTGAGGATTGAATTTAGCAACAAGGGGGTCGATGTTAATTTTTTTCTCCTTTTGAGAAAAGAAAGCTTTGAAAATTAAAGTATGTATAATATAAAATTTCTCACTTCAACTATTTTTAAATGTACAGTTCAGTAGTGTTAAGGACATTTACATTGTGTGGTGCATCAATGTTGATCCTGACAAGAATTTCTGTAGCAAAGTGAGGGCTCGATATTGAAGCAAACTTAATAATCCATGGGGGTAAGGAATTGGTGACAGAATATACTCGGCACTTCAGAAATTTGGCTTTCATGGGCAACCTAACTATGTGGCAGTAGCTAGAAGACAAAGGAGAGTCGAGAGAGAGAGAGGGATATTTTTTAACTGAAGGTATTAATCCATTATTGAATGTTGATTCAAATTATTCTGTACAGAAGAAAAAACAGATGATGTTGGAGAGAGAGAAGGTATGTTATAGATTGTGAATCTTGAGAAAGCAAGAGATAATGGAGCTAGAACTAGAACAGACTAGCTTTTGCCAAAAGGCAGGAAGGAGACTGGCAACAGATGCAAACTGGTGTGCAGTATTTCTAGGAATGTTTAATGTCTGTTTGGGATTAATAATCATAAATGAATAGTAATACTAATCTGTCAGCTTGTATATTCCTATTCATTTATTCTACCATATTTATGTAACACCTACTATGTACATGCCCTGAACTACTTGTGACCAAAAGAATGGACCAGTCAGCTGTTCAAGGCCTTCAGGAACATCTCTTTGATGTTGTTCCTGCAAGCTTCTGAATGGGCTTGGGAGAGATAACATTTTGGTAACATTTACTTCAAGGCCACAGTATACGCTGCATTAAAAAATTACCCTTATTCTAGTTTCCTTTTCAAATAATCCCCAATTATACTTCCAGACCCAGTTCCTGAGAGGTTACACAAGGAGCACTGGTTATAGAATAGTTCAAGTGATACAATGCCAGGGAAATCCGGGGACAGCACCCTTCCAAAAATTTCATATTTAAGAAATCACAGTGGAATTATAAAGTATTTAGCACTGAATGGCAATAAAAGCACTATTTTAAAAACTTGCGGGATACAGATAAAGCAAGGGAAATTTCTCTTTAAGGGAAATTTATAGCCCTTAATTATATATTAGAAAATAAGAAACACTGCTAATGAATTGATAGGTATTTAACTTGAAAAGCACTTAAGGTGCTAAGGAATAATACATTAAACTCAATGAAAATGTAAGTGAGGGATTAATAAAAATAAATATAGAAATTAAACAAATATATACATTTTAAAAGAAACAGATATATGATCAACAAAAGCTGCCTATTTGTAAAGACTACAGACAAACCTCTGTAAGTTTGTCTAAATATACAGACAAATCTTTGTTAAGACAAAAAAGAAAAAATAGAGAATTCACAAATATATGATACAAATAATGAAAAATAGGGTATAACTACAGACACCGTAAAGAATGTTTAAAGAGAATACCATGAACCATATACCAACATTTTAAAGGTTTAAATGTAGTATCTAATTTTTTAGGCAGAAAAAAGTGAATGATCAAAATTGACTGAAGAAATAGAAACCCCAAAGAAACCAACAATCATTAAAGAAATTAAATTGAATTTTCAAAATATGATAGTTTCACAGACGAGACTTACCAAATAGTCAAGGAACAAATCATACCTATCTCATCCAAACCGTCACAGAATATAGAAAAAGAAGGAAATTTCCAAATGCATTTTCCTTCTTGCACAAAGTGCAAGAAAGGAAAGTTTTAAACCAATGTCACTTATGAACATCGATGCTAAAATAAAATACATGAAGCACTGTATTAATAACTAACAGTACATCAAGGCAAAGCAGGGTTTAACTCAGGAATGCAAGGGTAGGTTCACATTAGAAATATCTATCAATGTGACCTGTCACTTTAACACAGCAAAGATAAAACCTGTAATCATCTCAATGTTTTTAGAAAAAGCATTTAATAACATTTCAATATTCATTTCATGGTTTAACAATATTCCTACTTTAAGCATAAATGGGATAAAAGGAAACTGATAAAGGGTTTCCACCAAAGACTTACAACAAATATCATAATTATGACACATGAGAAACATTTTCAATCAGATAAAAATAGGAAAACAATGCTTGCACTCACCCTTAACTATCTGATGTTATATTGAAGGTCCCAGCCCATGCAAAGAGATAAGAAAGGGGAAAATGTATTAGGGGTGTTATTTATAGATAATATTATCATTTACATGAAAACACAAGAGAATCTACAAATAAACTATTTAACTAATAAGTTCAGCATGTTTGCCAGCATTATCTAACACAGTTTTCAGGTTATTCCAAAATCTACAGGATCTCTACCAATGACAGTAGCAGCAATGACCAATTTAAACATTTAATAGAAAAGAGATCTCACTTATAATAGCAGCAAAAGCTGTAAGGTACAATAGGAGTAAGTCTAACAAAGAGGTACAATACTTTTATAAACAAATTATAAAATGTTATTGAAAGACATTTAAAAATCAGAATATTAATGTACTAGTTGGCTCAATTTTATGAAGTTGTCATAGCTCCCCAATTTTAACCTATAAATTTAACTAAGCAAAATACCAAAAGAGTTTTTCAATGCAACTTGACAAACTAATGCTAAAGTTAGTATAGAAGAATAGAAGTCCAAAAATAGCCTATACATTCATGAAATTAATAAAGCAGATTCTACAGGTATCAACATGAGTAGCTCTCAAAATCACATGGAGGGAGAAAAGCAAGTTGCAAAATGATGTGTACATTACCTAACAATTTTTTAAATGAACAAAGAGAGGATATGTCCTTCTGCACATCAAGATTTACAAAGCCATGGTAATTAAGACTGTGGTATTGGCTCAAATTTGGTTTGATTAGTGGAAAAGGACAAACTAGAAACACATCCATGAATACATAGAAATTTAATTTACAATCATGGTGGCATTACATATTAATAGGGACACGAAGGACTGTTCAGTAAATCGGGTTACCACACGCCTTCCATATGGGGGTTGGGGGAAAGGGAGGAGTAAAATTATTGAATTCCTACTTTACACCATTCAAAAAAAATAAGTCCCAGATAGATCAATCTCGTGTGGAAAGCAAAACTTTAAAACATTAAGGAAGAAGACATAAGAGGCTACCTTTATGCATCAGGTATGGAGAGGTTTCTTTAATAATCCACAAATGACACTATAAAGAAAGAGATCAATGAATATGAGTACATTTTAAATTGTCTATAGTACAAAAGACATCAAAAGCAGTTAAAAGACAAGCCACAGACTGAGACAATATATTTAATGTTTACACGCATGAATTCCTACAAATCAGGAGGAAAAAAGATAAAACATACACGATCTACTGAAAAAAATGAATGAAGACTGTGAAAAAACAAATCACAGACTTGGAAACCTCAATAACCAACAAACATATGGGGAAAAAATGCTTAACTTTGCTAGCAGTGAGGGAAATTCAAATAAGACAACAAGATACTGTTTTTTAAAATAATCAAATTGGCAGGAATAATAAAAATCTTAATCTAGAAAGTGTTGAAGATCATGTGAGGGAAACGTGAACTGTCACACACTTCTGATGGGTGTGCAAATTGAAGCATTTGGCAGTCTCTCGCAAAACTGAAAATGTGTGTGGAGCCCGGCAATTCCCCATCTAGGTAGATACATAGAGAAATTCTCACATATGTGCAAAGGAAACATGTACAAGTAGTACCAAAATATTGGCAGCAGTTTAATATTCATCAATAGGGGAATGAATAAACAGGACACATTTGTATGCATGGATCCACACTATAGCAATTAAAATGAATGAATTGGATCTATATTTATCAACACGAAGAGAAAAAATAAAAACATACCATGAATGAAAAAAATAAGTCCAAGAATAATATGCACAGCCTAATACCATGTTTGTACATTTAAAAAAATCATATAAACCAATATTCTGCATTTTATAGGTTCACATCCAGTTAAATTGTAAAACCCAGACTGGAAAGTTACATACCAAATTCATGTTAGTGTTTGCCTTTGGGGAAAAGGGTGGAGAATGGTATTGGGGGCAGTACAAGGGGACCTTCAATTTTATCAGAAATGTTGAATACTTAATAGATCTGAGGGAGATATAACAAAATGTTAACATATTCATTATATGAGACAGGTATATGGGTGCTTGTAATGTTCTCTCTGCATTTTAAATATCTTCACATTTTTTCTAAATAATAAAATTAAAACAGCTAGTAAATTATTCTATCTGATAGATTTTAATGTGTAGATTAACGAAGAGTTAATCGTCTAGAGGAACTTCAGAAAAATTAACTGTTTTGCAATGGAATCGCCTTAAAAATAATAACACTGACAATATTATTTAAAAACTGCTGAAATGAATAAAGTAGATTCTATAGGTGTCAACCTGGATAGCTGTCAAAATCATATTGAGGGAAAGAAGTTGCAAAATGATATGTATACTAGTGAACCATTTACTTAAAAATTTTAATAAATAAGCATGGAGATATACATATATTTACATGTATAATTAGGTAATACGGGTATCAAAACAAATGCAGATTAAATAGCCACTTTATAATACTAATTACCTAGAAAAGTGAAGAGGGAGAAAGGTGAATGGAACTGGGGAGGGAAACAAAGTGACATTCAACTCTATCTGTAATGTTTAATATAAATAAAAACATGAAACAACTATAACAAAAATTTCACATTTGATTACCCTAGGCAGTAAATACATGAACGTATGTTATTCTTGATACATACGTATTAATTTTCAAAAGAAAAAGTACTGAAGAACTACAAATAAAATGCACACAATTCACTCATATAAAAGCTTGTATACATCAAAAACTAAGATATGACTATTTTTAGAAATTATCCTGTTTGTTTTTCTATGTAGTTTTACATTTTTAAAAAGAAAAACGAGGGAAAAAATGAGAGCAATGAAGACACGTAAAAGAAACCGTACATGCATTTGATTATAAAAAAGGCAAACCTCCACAATCACAAAACACCATATGAGCATTCTATATCATGTGCTGCATTTCCTTACATTTAACTTTCGTCAAAAGCAAATTACAAGATAATGCCTAATTGGAAACGTGACTTTCTATTATTAAAATGGTGGGAGTCCATTTTAATGTGTTTATCTCGCCGCTAGACTATAATTTATATCTCAGCGTTTAAATTTGTTTGGATGCCAGTGACAGGTTAATGCAGTTTAAACATGCATTTTTCTTTCGTTGGCTGAATAGTTAAATCGTTACTCAAAGGATTTTAAGTTTCAATTTCAACCGGGAGAGGATTCTTTGCTTTTCCAAGGTTAAAACTGTTTCTGGTTCGAGATGCTATTAATTAATGGCTACGTAGCGGATCTATTTAGGGAACTGCTCCCGGCCCCGGGTTCACAGTTGACCTGCTCAATGAGAAAACTTTTTTTGCTACAGACTTGGGGATATTTGCAATTTAGTCTGAGAGCGGCGAACGGGGAGTGAAATGGAATTCGAGACCACTTCGCTAACAATCGCAATTATGAACCGAAAGACATGTCAGGTATTAGCAATTTTTTTCCTTAAAAAAAAAAAAAACTTTCTGGGACTCCGCGGGACACCCAGCTGGCGACGGACCAGCGGGCGGCGGGCTGCGGGGAGGGGGGGCGAGGCTGCTGCAACCCAGAAGTTCCGACTGGGGAGTTTCGCTCTGTTACCATTACCTGGCTCGCCGGCAGAAGAAAGAACGCGGAGACAAGATAATTTCTGAGGCTGTTAAACATGACTTAGCCGGGGGCCGCGCGTTCCGAGGGGGTGTCCTGCGGGCCGGGGCGGGTCTCTGCCGCCCCCGCGGGCTCCGGTGCGTCAGGGGCGCGTCAGGCGGGGCGGGCTCCGCGCGGGCGGCGGCGGCAGCGGCGGCTGCGGCGGCGGCGGCGGCAGCAGGCGGCAGGCGGCGAGCACCCGGCCTCCTGCTTCTCGCTCCGAGGCTGCGGGACGGACGCTCCCGGGAACTCCGTCGCCCGCGGCCGGCCGCGTTCGGACGGCGCTCGCCGGCGGCCGGGCGGTCCCAGCATGTCGGCCGCCGTGGCGTGCCTGGACTACTTCGCCGCCGAGTGCCTGGTGTCCATGTCCGCGGGCGCCGTGGTTCACCGCCGCCCGCCGGACCCCGAGGGCGCGGGTGGAGCCGCTGGCTCGGAGGTGGGTGCGGCGCCGCCGGAGTCCGCTCTGCCGGGTCCGGGGCCACCGGGGCCCGCGTCGGTCCCCCAGCTCCCGCAGGTCCCCGCCCCCAGCCCCGGCGCGGGCGGCGCCGCGCCCCACCTGCTGGCTGCAAGCGTCTGGGCGGACTTGCGCGGCAGCTCTGGCGAGGGCTCCTGGGAGAACTCGGGGGAAGCTCCACGCGCCTCGTCCGGCTTCTCCGACCCGATCCCGTGCTCCGTCCAGACCCCGTGCTCCGAGCTGGCTCCCGCCTCCGGCGCCGCGGCGGTCTGCGCTCCCGAGAGCTCCTCCGATGCGCCCGCCGTCCCAAGCGCGCCTGCTGCCCCGGGCGCACCAGCAGCCTCTGGTGGGTTCTCTGGAGGGGCCCTAGGGGCAGGCCCCGCCCCCGCCGCGGATCAGGCGCCCCGGAGGAGGTCTGTCACACCTGCTGCCAAGCGCCACCAATGCCCCTTCCCGGGCTGCACCAAAGCCTATTACAAGTCGTCGCACCTCAAGTCCCACCAGCGCACCCACACGGGTGAGCGCCCTTTCTCCTGCGACTGGCTCGACTGCGACAAGAAGTTTACGCGTTCCGACGAGCTGGCCCGCCACTACAGGACGCACACGGGCGAGAAGCGCTTCTCCTGCCCCCTCTGCCCCAAGCAGTTCTCCCGGAGCGACCACCTGACCAAGCATGCTCGCCGCCACCCAACCTATCATCCAGATATGATCGAGTACCGGGGACGTCGTCGAACTCCCCGCATCGACCCGCCACTCACCAGCGAGGTGGAAAGCTCCGCCTCCGGCTCCGGTCCCGGCCCGGCGCCCAGCTTCACCACCTGCCTGTAGGACAGTCATTGCTGTCAGTCTTACCCTCAAGGATGATCCCCCAGGCCGTTGTCCCTGCTTTCTCTCTGCCCATCCTTCTTTCCCAGAGTCATTACACCAAGGCACAGACTGGTTCCTCTGCTCTGAGGGTGGGTCCAGGCAGACATGTGGACTCTGGGGAGGTACTGGGGGCCGGAAAATAGCGGGAATTCTTGCAACGTGTATATCATCCTAAAAGTGGGGGTTGCCTCAAGACAGCCCCCAGGAACTGATAAGAAGGGATGAACTCCCGTACTCTCCAGAGTACTGAAGATTCTCCCCTCCCTGGAACCAGGGATGTGAAACTGGAATTCTCAGATGCCTGAGGAGCTCCCAGTCTCAAAGGACTCTGGTGTCTCACCCATCCACCAGGGCGGACCTTGGAGAGGGTGTCAGGGGTGGCAGTCTTGGAAATGTCCAGGACTGGGATGGTGAGAGGCCTTTGGAAACAGAAATGATTTCTATTTCTGTAAACAGCAATGTTTACTAATTTATTTTTAGCATCTTTTAAATAGGGATCCCAGGTTGATGGGAGGCTTATGCCCTCCAATCCCCCAATTGCCCCAGCTACCTCTGCTAGGAGAGGCCACATAAGCTCCATGTAGATGTGTGGCTGGGAGATACTTCTTGATGTCTGGGGTGTGAGTCTGTTTGCAGGTCCTGTTGCATGATTTGGAACCCTGCGCTTGCGTCGTAGCCCTTCTCCCCATTTGGATTCCTACTTGAGGATGGTAACTTCCTGGCTCACTCTCACGCTGAGATTGGTTAAACAATTTGAAAACTACCGTAAAGGCACCAGCAAGAAAAGGGTGGTCCAGACTAGTTCCCCCTTCACTCAGAGAGAAAACTCAAGCGACCTTAAGTTTGGGCGGGGCCCGAAACAAGACCGCTCATAACCATTGATAACTTTCAGGGAAATAGAGGCGTGTGGACACAGCTGCCCCACCTTATGTAATCTCAGGAGTGGTAGATTCTGTTAATTTCCTAATGGCTAACTAGGGGGTTATTTCCCTCAGAGTCTGCAGATTTTCGTTTCTGAAACAGGTGAGTTGGTGGGTGGGAGAGGGAAGGGTAACAGACTGGTTTCTTCCAAGGAGCTGGCTGCCTTGGATTTGAGGAAGGAGTAGCAAGGTGATAGCTATTATGAAATAGGAGGAACTTTCTCCTCTGACCATATAGTCCCTCCAAGTTATATCCTCAGGGCCCCTTTCCCGATAAGAAGGAATCAGACATCAACAGTATTTGTTTTTTCTATATGTGTCTCTGCTGCTGTGGATGAAATCACTGACCACTCTGCTTGTGTATGTATGAATGTGTATATATGTGACCCTTTCTTTAGAGATGAGGCTGAAAGGCATTTCCTGCCCTGGGAGATCCCCTCTGGCCCCCTCCTGAATATTTTGCAATAGTCCATCACTGACACTTGGGGAAGATGCTGTAATCTCATAGGACCCTAACGGGCATCTGGTTAAACAAATTGCTTTCCCCTATTTTGCAGATGAGGATACTGAAGACTAGATAAGCTCAAAGTCATATGCTAGGTTGCTGGGAAGAGCCATGACTAGAACTTAGGTGTCTGGCCTGCTAAGTGACTCTTTCCCTCACACTTGATTACCCCCATCTCTTCCTCCTCTCTGGGATCTTAGTCCCTCCCTCGCTCCCTATTCTGTATTGCTTCTGTGTACCTTCACATGTTGATTGAACCCTTTGCCTATTGTGTTTGACCCAAAAGCCCTTTTCTTAACTGGTTACGTTCCCTCCCTTCACACCATGTGGACATAAAGTGAGAATGACTTTTTGGCATCCTAGGAGAGACTTTCTCTTTGGACCTGCTAGGTTAATTTTCAGTGTGAATTCCCTTCTTTTTCTGGTCCTGGGCATTCCAGCATCCTCAAGAGAGTGAATGATACAAACATGACATTGGGACTGTACTAAGTGCTCCTACACTAAGTGAGGGAGGGGTCCTTAGAAAGGACCAAAAGAGTATGGCCTATGACCCTGAAGAGGTTCAGTATTTCCTAATGAAGGCTAAGCAGGGAAGGTGGGGCTGTTGAGTTACATGTGGGAGGAGAAGGCCCCCCACTGTGAAAGTGATTTTTGGTAGTGGAAGGAGTCTTCTCTTTGCTCTGTTTGTCTCTTCAGCTAGGGCTGGATAGCTAGGGCATTGGGGGTCCTATTGAAGACTACTGTTTCCTCTTTGTCCTTTTCAGTTGAAGATCTGCCATTGGGTAAGTGGACCAAGGAAGCCAACAGGAATTTCCACTAACCATTCTGAAATTGGTTTCAAGAAAGCTTGGCTTTTCCAATCACCTGTTGATAAATAACTTTTGATTCTCAAGCTCCCAAATAGTGTCCTTATTTGGGTTCTTGTACACTAGGGACTTTTATCTGGAGATGGCCTCTGACAATCTCAATGTGACATGTCTTTCATTGGTAAAACTGACTCCTCCCAGGTCTTGAGGTGGTGGGGAAGGAGATACTCAGCACATACATGGGAGTAGCCAGATAAAGGTTTTTAGGTAGGTCTTTCTTAGTCTGAGTATTGTTGTTACCTTTTTCACTCCAGCAACCAGAGAGTTCTCAAGGAGTAGTTAGTGAAATGCCATGAAAAAGGCTTCCTAATTTTATTGGTGTTTCTTTGGTTTCTTTTTGTTAATCAGAT
The DNA here is from genome assembly GCF_000001405.40 of Homo sapiens. NCBI lineage: Eukaryota > Metazoa > Chordata > Mammalia > Primates > Hominidae > Homo > Homo sapiens. Next base: position 130,730,381 of record NC_000007.14, on the reverse strand, counting down.
GTACTCACTCAATGAGTGAGTACATATGGGGGTTGGTTGGGGTCAGACTGAACCTCTGAGCCATTGCCCCATCCCTGCCATCCACAGTTCGGATGTAGGAATGACCTAGTAGCAGAAACTATTCATACACCTCTTCCTGAAATATGGGTTGGAGGCTGGGAATGAGTTCTAGATCAGACCTTGGTTGTGAGGGAGTTGAATCCCCTGCTTCTGCTGGGAGGATGTGAAGAATACAGGCTTTGTCCCCACCCATGGAGGCAAGAATATGTCATTTGTCCCTATTTCCCTGTTCTTCTCCAAGCAGGGAACCATTCTGGAATATCATTTTTGACCCCCATCTCTACCTCTACACACTTCTCCCCAAAGGAGAAATGATTGTATTCTCTGATGGAGACATGGGGGGGGGGGGTCATTGTACACGCACACTCTTAAGTTCTCTCTTTTGCACCTCCCTGCCTGCAGTGTGCATGCACTTCACTCAGATCCTGCTTCCATAGGGTAAACACACCTGCTGAGCCCCAGACCTGCCTTCTAGAGGCAGGTTTGAAGAACACCTCTCTCTCTTTCTACTTTTGGGGCAGCTCTGTTCCTTGCTGCTATCCAGGTAAGTATTTCCACTGTATGTTTTTCTTTGGGTAGTCCAGATCCAAGACCAGGAATTAGGAGGAGTAGGGGAGACAGTGTATTAGAAAGCTCAGTTTTGACCATGATACAGCTTAATCAGCAAAGTAACAGTTGACCCTTGAGCAACATGAGTTTGAACTGCACAAGTCCACTTATGTGCAGATTTTTTTCAACCAAACACAGTTCAAAAATAGAGTATTTGTGGGATGCAGAGCCTGCTCATATGCTGTTCTCTACACATATACAAAAAGTCACATGCGAATAGAGTATGAAACTCTTCATATACATGGGTTTCACAGGGCCAGTTGGGCCTGGGTATGCGTGGATTTTGGTATACACAGGGATCCTGGAACCAATCCCCAGTGTATACTGAGGGATGACTGTACTGATATTTTGACCCTCATTAGTCTGATTCTTGTATTTATTATTCATTTGGCTGATAACATAGAGGGGAAAGAGGTAGAATTAATTTTCTCCCTTAAGCCCCACCACATTGAGATGTGCCTTGCCTGTTAAATCTTGAGAAATAGGCACTTCACCTGGAATTAGGGAATCAAAATAAGATGTGTGGAGATTGGATGTCTGTAATGCCAGAGTACAGGGCTTTAATGCTTTAATGATCTTCAGCCTTTCAGTTCTTTAGTCATTTCAAATCTTAGCAGCCTATGATCGCAAGTGTCCTCACACAAGCCACTAATTTATTAGAGTCACTGAGCATAGACTTTGGCAAAAGTGAGCTGTACAGAACACTGTGGCTGATTTTGATTCACATAGATGTAACTGAGACAGGATCACTGCAGAAAGGGAAGGCGCTATTCAATAGATCAATTTGTGCTGCCTTTATGCTCAGCCAGAATTGCAGTTGAGGATTCTAAGGTCAGTGGCATAAGTTCCATGTATATGTAAGAGCACAGGTTAGGGACATTCTAGCTCTTAAATTATTCTGGGAAGTATCAGGTGGTATCAGATCAGTTTCCCCATTATCTGGATTTGAAATGCACCCTTTAATAGGGCTAAGGAGAGGCCAATGGGAGGCTCCAAATCCTTTAATTCATATGGGATATCCAGAATCACCTTCTATTTATATTCCAAGTTGGTGCCAGATGTGTTTACTATATAAGCCCTGACAGTGGAATTTCAAGGCCTCAGCTGAATTTCTTGTGTGTTCAACCACAGAGAAATGGTGGATTTTATCACAAATACATAAAGAGGAATGGAAGTTTTTGTTATATAGGGGTTTGAGGAAGAGAAAAGCATTGTATACCATAATCCCAAAGGCAGGAAAAGTATTAAAAAGGCTTTTGCCTGAATCCTTCTCTCCCTAGGAATCAGGGTCTATTCAGGAAATAAAATGGGAGCCATATTTGTTTCAAATATATATATTTAAATCTTGAAATCAAAATAGAAGCAGTACAAGGGTGAAAACTGAAGAAAGGATGATGGTTTGATTAAGCTGAAAGAAGAGAAGGATTTATTTAGAAGAAAGGTTGTGTTTTCAGAGGACAGTATTGATGATGTGAAAAGAAAAATAAGAAAGACCAGTAGCCAACAATCTTAAACATGGAATTATAAAGGAGAGTGGCATTTTAATTATTAGTAGGTTAGAGGAGGTGATTAGAACCCTAAGAGATCTAACAAAAGAATGGACGCAAGCTTTACATGAATGTCTGTCTTCACTCAGGATCTCAGGCCCAAGAAAATATTGAGAGATACCTGTTTAAATTTGCAGAGAAAGCACTGGGAAATCATCCCTATCACTGAGATAGGTATAGTAGATGATTACAGAAAATGTAAACAATACTTCCAAGTATTTTTAGCTTAGTTTCAGTGATATTACCATTGTCAGTGGGAATATAGATGGTTGCTTGGAGAACGTACAGAAAGAAGTAAGTCTTTAGAAAGTGTGGGAAGATGAGACACATGAAATATATCAAAGTTATTGATCAAATTAATAGAAATTAGGAAGCAAAAAGGCATAACCGTCTCAATAGTTTCATTGTTAAAAATCAACAATGATTTGTGATTTAATTTAAAAATACCTTAGTAAACTAGTAACAAAAGATAATTTCTTAAGTTGATAAAAGGTATCTGCCAAAAGCCTACTATAAAAATCAAACTTAAATGTTGAAAGATTGCAAGCATTCCTATCGGCCACATGGTAAGATACAAAGAAAGTCTAGACAAACTTCAGGCAGGTAATCACATAAAAATACAACAAAAATATCATTAAAAATCCATAAATTGAGAAATCCGTAAAAGGAAGCCTCTACGTAAGTCAGACAGAAGGGGAAATTGCAGAAATTTGGAGCTGAATGAAAACAAAAAGCACTATATAGCAAGCAAAAAACACTAGGGGAGGAAATGTAATTTATAGCCTTAAATATTTTATTCAAAAAAGAGAAAGGTTGAATGAAGGTGAATGAACTAAGCTTTCAACTCCAGAAGAAAAGGAAAACATTTAAATATTACAATGGTTGTGGCCTCCAAAACAGCATACTACATAAATAGATATACACTATATGTGTGGTTTAAGATTTCATAGGGATGTGGGGAACGGGGAGTGATTAGGAAAAAAAAATCTGAAACCAATTCTGGAGGGGTGATAATAAAAAAAGAATGAAAAATATTATCATTAATAAAGCAGAAATTAATGAAACAAGAAAAAATAGGTAGCTTTGAGCAAAACTCTTTTAAAAGGTGAATAACAGTAGGTTTCTTTGGCAAATATAAATTTCTTAAAAAGAGAAGTCAGGGTCGGGTGCAGTGGCTCACGCCTGTAATTCCAAAACTTTGGAGGCCAAGGTGGGAGGGTCATTTGAGCCCAGGAGTTCAAGAAGCATGGCAAAGCCCTGTCTCTACCAAAGAAAAAAAAAAAAAAAAAAAAATTAGCTGAGTGCGTGGTATGCACATGTAGTCCCAGCTACTCAGGAGGCTGAAGCTGAAGAATTGCTTGAGCCGGGGAGGCCGAGGCTGCACTGTGATTGTGTCACTGCACTTCAGCCTGGGCAACAGAGTGAGGCCCTGTCTCAAAAATAAAATAAAATAAAATAGAAGGCACAAAAAGTTATCAGGAATAAAACAGGACATAAAATCATAACACAGATTTTTTAAATTAGAATAATACAAACAACTTTATATCAAGAATTGAAAACTATATGGATAATTTTATAAGAAAAATATAAAATTTCAAAATAGTTTAAGAAGATGTAGAAAATCTGAAATTGAAGTGGTAGTCAAACTTGTATCTCCCAAAAGGCACTAGGTCTCAGCAGTTGCATTGGCAAATTTTCTAAGCCTTCAAGAAAAAGATAATTTCTATTTTTATAAAGCACTCTAAAGCATAGAAAAGGATAGAAAATTAACTAATTTCTTTTATGTTGTCAAGCTAACCTTGATACCAAAACAAGGCAAGTTAAAAGACAAGAAAAAAAAATACGCCAATTTTATCTATAAAGACAGGTCCACAAATCCTAAGTAAAATTCAGCAATGCATGACAAGAATAATGCAAGATAATCGTGTGAAGTTTATCTGAGGAATGCAAGATTAATTCAACAATATCTATAAACATAATTCACTACATTAATTTAATAAAGAAGAAAATCAATTACTTTTTTATGTGCCAGTAATCATCAATCAGAAAATGTAATAGACTAAGTGATTCCATATTTGGTAGCAACAAATAATATAAAGAACATCTATGAAGAAGACTATAAAACTTTTACTGAATGACATAAAAGAAAATAGGACTTTTGAGACCAGCCTGACCAAATTGGAGAAACCCCATCTCTACTGAAAATACAAAATTAGCCAGGTGTGGTGGTGCACGCCTGTAATCCCAGCTACTCAGGAGGCTGAGGCAGGAGAATCGCTTGAACCCAGGAGGCGAAGGTTGTGGTGAGCTGAGATCACGCCATTGCACTCCAGCCTGGGCAACAAGAGCGAAACTCCGTCAAAAAAAGAGAGAGAGAGAGAAAGAGGGAGGAAGGGAGGGAGGGGGGGAGAGAGAGAGAAAGAGAAAGAAAGAAAAAAAGAAAAGGAAAGAAAAGAAAAGAGGACTAAGTGGATAAAAATAATGTCTGTGGATGGTAAAATTCAATACTATAAAAATGTCAGTTCTGTCCTCAAATTAATCTGTATAGGTAATGCAGTTCCATTCAAAACCCCACAATGATTTTTCATCGAGCTTTTTAAAGGAAATATTACAGAAGAACATAAGGGAAAGGAAGGGAAAATTGCTTTACCAGATATCAAAATATGACAAAGTTACAGTAATTAAGGCAGTGTGGTATAATGTAGGAATAGACAGGAGATAAGTGGAATTGGATAAAGAGTTCAGAAATAAACCTGTAAATACAGTCCAGTGGACAAGAGAGTTGGCATTCATGTAATCAGGGAAAAGATAGGCTACTTGATACATGCTATTGAGACAATTGCCTCTTCATGAAGAAAACAAAACAATACACAGCATTACTTTCTCAAACCTTTCATAATAATAAATTACAGATGGTAAAGACCTAAACATGTTTAAGCTATAAAAAAATTGGTAAAAAATGCTGGAAAATCCCTCTATCATCATTAAATAAGGAAGATCATCTTGTTTAGGACACAAAAAATTTAAAAATAAAAATTGAAGGAAAAAGATTTGACTGCATCAAAACTTTTAAATGTTTTACTTTTAAAAGCCTAAACACAATTAAATATCAAGCTACATTCTGAGAAAAATATCAGGCATAAGATCAATGTCTGGAATATATAAAGGATCAAAAATTCAAGAGACAAGAACCAAAAAAGTTGTCAAAGTATAGTAATAGGCAATTAAAGAGAAGACAAGGATTGAAAGTGTTGGTTAGGGGCTCTCTAGCCTTATATATAATGCTTTTATTCTTTCTTTTATTACTTTTTTTGGTAGAAATGAGGGCGGGGTCTTGCTTTGTTGCCTAGGCTGGTCTCGAACTCTTGGCTTCAAGCGATTCTCCTGCCTCAGCCTTCGGAAGTGGTGAATTACAGGCATTAGCCTCTGCGCCCAGCCTACTTTGACTTTTTTTAAAAAGCAGAATACCTTCATGTATTGCTTGTATAAGTTAACAAGATTGACCTTTTAAAGTATTTTAAAGGCCAGAAACAAAATAATGTTGGTTAAAAAAGCAAAAGCAGGCCAGGTGCAATGACTCACACTTACAGTCCCAGCAATTTGGGAGGCCAAGGTGAGAGAATCGCTTGAGACAAAAGCTCAAGACCAGCCTGGGTAACATAGCAAGCCCTTGTCTCTACAAAAAAAAAAAAAAAAAATTAGCTGGACATGGTGGTGCATGCCTATAGTCCCAGCTATGCAGGAGGCTGAGGTGAGAGGATTGCTTGAGCCCAGGAGGTTGAGGCTGCAGTGAGATGTGATTACATCACTGTATTCCACCCTGGGCAGCAGAGTGAGATCCTGTCAAAAAAAAAAAAGAAAGAAAGAAAAAAGAAAATCCTAGGTTTGGAAATGATATACCAAACAAATGTTAAGTGTTAATAAAAGCAAGAAGGTGTGACAAAATTAATATCAGAGTCAAAATACAATTCCAAGCCCAAAACTTGAGTGCAGCAAAGGTAGATAATTTTATATTGAGAAAAATCATAGTACACCAAGAATCCAAATCGATAAGAACCTTTGTGCCCGTGTATAGGAGTGTCAGCTCAGGCCCTCTCATGCCTATTCTAGGACCTGGACAGGGAGTTTCTTTTGCCCCTCATCCCTCACTAGGAATTCAGAGACTCACTCCCATTTTCTTAAGCTCATTGGAGGGATAGAGTTAGGGGAGTGTCAACACAAACCACACAGGAAATGAGCCCAATCTGAATTCTCAAAGGAAAATCTCACACACTCCACTCCGGAATACTCTTTGTCTCTTATTTTTCCGCAATAGCTCTTGATAATCCAGAGCTTGACCCAGAATCCTAGTTCACCTGTCAAAATATTCTAGTTTAGTAAAGGGCAAGAAAAGCAAAATGGTCAAAACATACAAACATTTACGATTCAACTTGAAAGAAAAAAATGTAGCATTTTTTATTATCTATTGCTGCTTGTGTCTTATTAGGAAGCTCCCACTCCTGTTAATGACAGGTGAAAAATTTAAACTTGTCAATTAAGGTAATTTAGTTATATTTCAGTTAGTCTTCTTCAGTTTAAGATATTCCCATTCAATTTAATTCAGTGTTTTGGATATAAATATTCAGTCAATTCAAAGCTCAAACTCTCCCTTTCTTCCTGCCATGGTTCCTGAATATTGGGAGCTTACATATACTCAGAACAGCAGAAAGGGAAGCAGTCTCATGGCTGTGTCCTCTGCTGTTCTCTGGATCCTCACTCATTTTCTATGCTGTGTGGCTATTTTAGGGGTCTCTGGGAATATTGTGCTTGTGCCCAGTGAATTGCAACAGGTCCTGTCTGCTGTTTTTGATGCCTTTCTGACACTCACTGCTGGAGTCTGGAGTCTGGAGTCTGGAGTCCTGCTATACCTCTTACTGGAGGTCTCTGCTGGATGTAGCTTTCTCATCCCCAATGCAGACTTCTGGACCTTGGGTTTTCTCAGCACTCCTGCATGCTCTTTCCAAGGCATAAAAAATATGCTGGTTGTCCTCCATTCCACACCAAGGCCACAGGGAACTGGGGTGCAAACTCAGGTCCATCTGCCTAGATACCTCTCAACCATGTAAGAACTACCTCTTGAATGGCACTATACTGCCCCAGTGTCACACTGAACATGGAGTACAAGTGAAGGACAGGCCAGAAGTTCCAGATTCTCCTTCAACTTATCTGGGGTTCCTGATGTCATGCCCATCTTCCCATTCTGGGCCAAGGCCCAAAGACTGAAGGGACTGAGGGGTTCCTTCCCAGGGATCCAAGCATCAGTTAGTCTCAACCCCTCAAACCTGCCCCCTGTCCTTGGCTCTTTCAACTGGAAGAGCACTTTACTTTCTCCCTCGGTAGACGGCAACTTCCCACCATCATACCCGAAGTGTGTTCTACCTACAGATTAGAGTAAAACCTGATGTCCAGGCTACATTTTTTGCTCTTAATATTTAAGAGGTTTTGGAATTTTGAGCTTATTTTCTCAAAAAAGCTTTCAAGACTGTTATTTAATTATGGGCTTCAAAAGCTGAATTCAAGTCCCGTGTACCTTTGCATTCCTGCTGTAACAACCATAATGCTCTCTGGTGAAAAAGGATGCCTCTGGTTGAGAAGGGAGTCATTATATGGAAGAGAATAAGAAAAGAAATCCCATTAATATTTTCAAAACAGATTCTCTACTTCATGTCAAGTTTTAGTCTGGTTAAAGATTAAGTTCTTAATTCTGAAAGTGGAACCCAGAGCAGGATTTTTTATTTTATTTTTTTTCCCCCTCTTACTGGGTCTTTATAAGAGAAGACAGTTACCAAGTATAAATAAAACAAAAGAAAGCTTTAATCTGTCTTCTGCAGACCCCTAGAATTAGGAAAATCCCCAGGGAGAGGTAGGACTACAGATACGGCTCTTACAAACAGGGTATGGAACAAGTAGGTGGCAAAGAGGATATCAGCAGCCTCTTGTCACCCTGCCGGTCCCCAAGGAGTTCCAGGTCCACTCATCCAGTCAAGGGACAGACAGCAACTTGGTCGCTGAGTTCCAGCAGGGGTCAGCAATGGACTGGACTGAAGTGCATCCAGAGGCGGTGCTAGCTAGAGGCTTTCCTTCTGGGGTCATGTGTAGTCATGGCTTTTATCTTTAATGAAACAAAACAAAAACAACAAAAAGCACCAGGCTTTTATGGGCTAAAAAATACAGTTCCACAAGGATTGATTGAGCACTAAAATATGGCAGACACTGTTGTAGGCACTTGGGACATTGAAGTGAATAAAATAAAGATCCCTGCCCTTATGATTTTCTATTCCAGCAGAAAGAATATAGAAAATAAAAAATAAATCAGCATTAGATAGCAGAAGACATGGAATTAATGAAAAGTAGAGCAGACTGAGTGGGATCAACAGTGCTAAGTGAGAGTAGGGGTTAAGGTGAGGTCATAAACAGTGTGATCTGAATAGGCTTCATTGTGCAAATGAGACGTGAACAAAGACTTGAAGGAGTTGAGGAAGTTAGCCAGCAGATATCTGGAGGAAAAGTGTTCCAGGCAGAGGGCACAGCTAAAGAAGCAACCCTAGGTGATGAGGTCAAGAAACAGTAAAGGAACTAGCAGGACTGGAGCAGAGTTATGGTCAGAAGGAGGGGAAGGTGCCAGACCATGTGTGCCTTATATGTCACTGTAATGACTTTTCCTATGGGTAAACTAGAAAGCCATTGAGGATCTTGAACAGAAACATAGGATGATATAACTTGTGTTTCAAAGGATCATTCTGACTTCTATGTTTGAGGGTTTTAGCAGAGAGATCTGTTAGGAGGTAATTTCATTAATGTAGATCAGAGATGATGGTGGCTTGGACCACAGTGATGGTAGATTCTGATATATTTTAAAGGAAAAGCCAATAGATTTTCCTAAAGGATTGACCATGGGGAGTGAGAGACAGAGAAGAGTCACAGTGACTCAAAAGTCTTTTGCCTGAGCAGCTGGGAGGATGGAGTTTCCATCAACTAAGATGAGGAAGGCTAGAAGTGGGGCAGATTTGTAGTGGAAGAAAAAGCATTCTGTTTTGGACTGTCGAGTTTGAAATAAAAATTAGACATCCCTTGGAAATTTTGATGAGGCAGTAAAATAGATACATCTGGTGTTTTGGAAAGAAGTCTGGGCTAGAGAGAAAAATTTGGGAGTTATCAGCATATAGATGTTATTTAAAGCTGTAAGTCCAAATGAGATCAACAAGAGGGTGTAGAGGGTGAAGGGAAAAAAGGCTAAGACTGATCCCTGGGGCACTCCAAGGGAAGCAGGAGGAACCAGCCAAGGAGGCGAAGAAGGCATGACCAGTGAGGTAGGAGGAAAGCCGAGAGTGTGGTGTCTTCGAAGCCTAGTAAAGAAAGTGCACCCAAAAATGGAGTAGTCCACTTTGTGAAATGCTCATGCTATGTCAAGTAGGAGGAAGGCTGGGAATCTGACTGTTGGCTCTAGCCAGGAGGGAGTCATCAGCAGCCTTGAGCAGAGTAATTGTGATGGAGTGGCAGGAGCTAAAACCCCAGCTGCAGTGGGTTTAAGAAACCATTAGAGGACCAGGTGCGGTGGCTCACACCTGTAATCCCAGCACTTTGGGAGGCCAGGAGGGCGAATTACCTGAGGTCAGGAATTCAAAACCAGTCTGGCCAACGTGGTAAAACCCCTTCTCTACTAAAAATACAAAGTTGGGTGTGGTGGCGGGCACCTGTAATCCCAGCTACTCGGGAGGCTGAGGCAGGAGAATCGCTTGAACCCAGGAGGTGGAGGTTGCAGTGAGCTGAGATCGTGCCACTGCACTTCAGCCTGAGCGACAAGAGCAAAACTCTGTTAAAAAAAAAAAAAAAAAAGGTGTAAGAGGAAAGAAACTGTAGACCATGAGTACAGGGCACTATTCTGAGACATTTTCCTGCAAATGGGAGCAAAGAAATAGAGTAGAAGTTGGCAGGGAAAAACAGGGTCAAGAGAAATGATTGCTTTTACTCTGTCTTTTTTTTTAAGATGGGAAGGAAAGCAGCCTGTTTATTTGCTAATAAAAATGATCCAAGAGGGAGTAAAAATTATTAATGCAAGAGAAAGAGGGGGAGAATTGCAGGAACAATATCCTTAAGGCAGCAAGCGCAATGGATCTAATGCACAAGCAGAGGGATTGATTTTAGCTAGGAGCATGGACATTCCATCTGTGAAGCAGTCGGAGAGGCATAATATGAGATTAAAGACACAGGTAAGTGGGTGGATGCAGTGATGGGAGACTGTGGAAGTTCTTTCTTGATTGTGTAATATTTCTCAGTGAATTAGAAAATAAGGTCATCAACTGAGCTTGTGAATGAGACATGAACTAATTGGGGGTTTGAGGAGAAAGGAAAATGTGTGAGTCATTTAGGAGAGGGGGAGAGTAATGAACTATGTGTGATTCCCAGGCAGCATTAATAATTCACTTGACGCTAGCAATTGTGAATTTAATGTGAGATTAGTCAGTCTGTGTCTGTGCACGCTTATCAGCCTCATTCAGCTGTGTGGGTTTAGACATAGATTGGGTGGAGAAGTTGAATTACCCAAAGTTTTAGTTTGACCAAAAAGTGAGAGGGGGCAAGGGAATCAAAGTTATGTGAATGGGAGTACTTACAATAAGAGACCATGGTCTTTAAACTGGATATGGAGAGGAATGAGAACAGCAAGGTGGGGAAGAATAATGGAAAATAAATTGGTACAAATGGAATGGTGTGTGTGTTTTTTATGGAAGCCAGTTTATTGCTTCAGGAAATGGCTTAAAATGTTCTTTTTATGGCTCTAAAAATGTTCTTTTTGTCTTTGGCACATATTTGCCCTCTGTATTACCTGATGTAATTTTTGTAAATAAATATTGTATGTATTTTGAGTATAGGATGCCAAAGGTTTGTTGGGGTTAGACAGTAAACTGGAAAGATAGGAGAAAGTGATCAGACAATGGGAATCATAGCACTGAGATTATGCAGGGGTCACACCTATACATAATGATAAAATCTAAGCAATGGCCATGGAAGTGAATAGTTAAGGTGAGGTGGAGAAGATCCTTGTGGGAGAGGAGGTCAAGAATTGAGAGGTTGGTCAGGCGCGGTGGCTCATGCCTGTAATCCCAGCACTTTGGGAGGCCGAGGTGGGCGGATTGTGAAGTCAGGAGATTGAGACCATCCTGGCTAACATGGTGAAACCCCGTCTGTACTAAAAATACAAAAAATTAGCTGGGCATGGTGGCACGCACCTGTAATCCCGGCTACTCAGGAGGCTGAGGCAGGAAAATCACTTGAACCTGGGAGGCGGAGGTTGCAGTGGGCCGAGATTGTGCCACTGCACTCCAGCCTGGGCAACAGAGCAAGACTCCATCTCAAAAAAAAAAAAAAAAAGAATTGAGATGTCAGGGTCTTCTATGTGTATGAGACATTCACCAAGCTTAAGGCAGGGGTAGTAATGGCAAGAGTAAAGGTAAGCCAGGAGATAAAATTTTTAAGAAATACGGGGGAAGACAGACACGGTGGCTCATGCCTGTAATCCCAGAACTTTGGGAGGCTGAGGCGGGTGGATCATTGAGGTCAAGAGTTTGAGACCAGCCTGGCCAACATGATGAAACCCCATCTCTACTAAAAATATAAAAATTAAGCTGCGTATCATAGCACGCACCTGTAATCCCAGCTACTTAGGAGGCTGAGGCAGGAGAATCTCTTGAACCTGGGAGGTGGAGGTTGCTGTGAGCCAAGATCATGCTACTTACTGCACTCCAGCCTGGGTGAGAGCGAGACTTTGTCTCAAAAAAAAAAAAAAAAAAGAAAAGAAATATGGTGGAATGACCCACTGATAGTCTTAAAGTAAATCACTAATTGAATCTTACAATCGAAACATACAATTTCTACCTCAGTTGTTTAACTATTACACTGTAACAAAACAAAATATTATTACAAGGTAATAGTTGCCTAAAGGGTAAGAAGCACAACAAAGAGGGATTTTCCTAGGGATCCCTATCCATTTCTCAAGGGTTTCTTCCTACCAGGTATACTCCTGAGAGTGGGGTTACTGCTTTATGCCAGCAATGTCAAAAAGAGACACATTCTTCACCTTAATGATACTGCTTCTTTTCAGTTTTGTTTTTTCTTCCACTAACACACAATTAATTCATACATTACATGTGTTATTCCTATAATTGCAACCACATATTATATTTATTGGTAAAAAGTCATGTCAGGTAATACAGAACACAAGAATTGTGCCAAAACAAAAAAGTAACATTGTACTATTTCTTTGAGCAATAAATTGGCTGCCCCCAACACAACAAACATTCCATTTGCTCCAATGATTTATTTATGCCTCTGTTTACTTGAGGGAGATTCAGATTTCTTCTCCATAAAGGCCTGCTGTGTGTTACAGTGGCCCCTAAGTCACTCAATTTCTAGTCTCAAACCCTTGATGGGCCATTCATCTTTCCTGAGAAATTTCCAGGTTGGACAGTAGAAAGAAAACATCTACCAAGAGTTCTGAGGTGTTAAGTTCTGATTTCCAGATCATATACACCATTCTCTTTAGAATGCTAATATCTCATGATCTCTTTTCCCGGCACCATTTTCAAGTGTGATTGGAGCATTTTGATCTCCTTTATAACTGGAGTGACTGAGACAGGCTGGCTCTTTTACTCCATTGCAGTGACATTAGTGTCCTGCCACAGGTGACCTTGACTCGTTGCTCAGGATGCCCAGGACGTGTATTCAACCCTGGTCACAGGCCCACTGTGGTTGTGCTCTCAGCATGGCCTATCCTGATGTAGTTCCTGTGGTACAAAGATGATTTTTGCTCTAAAGTCCCAGAAAATCTACCCTCCCATCTTCCCAGGTATTTGTATAGATAAAGCAAAACACTTTTCACAGATTATAGTTAGCTTAATGGGTTTTAGATCATTGACACAAGGGCATAGTGATAATCTCAAGGCATATATATCTATTCAGATATCTCTAGATAGATAGATAGATAGATAGATAGATAGATAGATAGATAGATAGATAGAAAAAAATATATATAGAGAGAGAGAGACAGAAAGAGAGACAGAGAGAGAGAGACAGGGAGAGAAAAGAGAGTATCGCTCTGTCACCCAGGCTGGAGTGCAGTGGTACAATCACGGATTCCTGCACCCTCAACCTCCTGGGCTCAAGCAATCCTCCTGCCTCAGCCTCCAAGGGATATTTATGAGATACCTCCTTAGCCCCTCACAGTGGGTTGTGCAGATGTGTAAGATTAAAGGGCCTCAGCATCTCCTCTTTATACTTTGCCGGAGACACAAGGTACAAGACACTTACTGACTTGGGAGCAGTACGTCAACTCTCCTGATATTGCCCAGAATACTGGACTCACAGTCCTCAGTCATTCAGATTTCCATCTCACATCTTAATTTTATGCAGGTCCCTTTAATCCCTTGAGTATACTTAGGAAAATATACTATATGAGAGTGAAGGAAAATCATGCCTTAGTTCCATTTAGTACCATTGGTTGGGCAGTTTGGCTCCAAGAAGCCCAGAAAACCTTATTGAAGACTTTCTCTACCTTCCTTAGTTTTGTTAAACAAATAACTGCAGGATGAGGTTGCAGTTACTGTGGTCACCTAGGGCAAAAGTTGTTCTCTTCTTTCTGGACCACCAAGCTATTGAGTATGTGCCCAGACTATGCTGCTGTACTAACTGCCTCTCTGAGAGGCACCACCCTAATGCACCTGTCCCCAGGGCACTCTTAGCACAGATCACAGATCAAATTTTACTAGGAATGGTTGCTGTAGGGGAAGGGAGAATCCAGCATCCTTAGTCCCATACAGATTTTCCATGGTCCTCAACTTGGAACTCCAGGCAAATTTAAATTGGGTACTAAGGGCCAAGCATGGTGGCTTATGTCTCTAATCCCAGCACTTTGGGAGGCCAAGGTCGGTGGATCACCTGAGGTCAGGAGTTCGAGACCAGCCTGGCCAACATGGTGAAACCCTGTCTCTACTAAAAATACAAAAAATTAGCTTGGCATGGTAGGGCACGTCCGTAGTCACAGCTACTCAGGAGGCTGAGGCAGGAGAATCGCTTGAACCTGGGAGGCAGAGGTTGCAGTGAGCCAAGATCACACCACTGTACTCCAGCCTGGGTGACAGAGAAAGACTTTGTCTCAACAAAAAAAAAATTAAATTAAATTAAATTAAATTAAAAAATAAATTGGGTTCTAAGGATAGAGGCCAGTCTTTTTATCTCCCAGTTGGAAACTGGAGTGTGATTACTATTGTATGCTAGCATTTTATACTTAAAACTGTTTGACCTTCATAAAAGAGAGAATGTAGTCCCCTGTCTAGGTCCTATTAGTATTTAGAGTATCCTTGGCCATCTCACAGAGCCAACGTAGGATCTGGATCCTAGGGGGAGAAGACGTTAGAAGCTTCTGTCTCCCTAGTGAGAAAGATACATATGTTGAAATCCTTTAATTCTGCTAAAGCACCTGTATTAGATACAATTGCTTTGGCTGGAAGCAACAGAAAACCCTACAGTAACTTAACAAATAGAGTTTTATTTTTCTTATATAACAAGAAATTTGGAGGAAAGTGCTGCTGTGATTTGTTCAGTTCACTCTATACTGGCAGGTTCAGCATCTCTTATTCTGCCATATCGTGGCCACAGAACAATAGGGCCAGCTCTAGGCATCTTACTCATGTTTAAAGCAGGAAGAAAGGTAAGGTATAATTTGAGCCACAGTGCACAAGTAATCCCAGCTACTTGGGAAGCTGGGGTGGGAGGGTCACTTGGGCCCAGGAGTTTGAGACAAGCCTGGGAAACATAGCAAGACCCCATCTCAAAAAAAAAAAATAGAAAGTAAGCTGGAACCACTGGCATCTCTCCATTTTACTCAGAAAGCAAAAGCTTTCCAGAATTGTTCCTACCCATTCCAAGTGATGAGTGGCATTTTCTTTCACTTCTCAAGGGCCAGTACTGGTTCACATAACCATCTCTAGCTGCAAGAAAGTATGGGAAAATGCTTAAAGGATTGTTGTAATGAACTTAATCTCATTGTGGTCCATATCCTGATGCCTCCCTGTAGAAAACTGAGGTTTGCTTTGCAGAGAATAAAGGGAGGATATATATTTTTGGTAGAAAATTGAGAGAATCTGCCATAGCACCCTACTGACCTTTCAGTGGCATGTGCCATCCTGAAGTAGTTGTTTACTTTTAAAGCTTGGGGGGTAGACTAGTGTCTACCAGTTGGAAAACGGGAGTGTCTACCCCCCAAGCTTTAGGCTCCCATATATCATAGTAAACTACTGACCCATTGAAAAAATATGAATATATCATAAATAAGTAGGGGCAGAGATTCAGCCCTTTGATTCCCCAGAATGTTTAATGAGTCTATTTTTACATATTTATAATTACTCAAATTACCCTTACAAATTAAAGCACAGGACTTATTAAAATTGGCAAATCAAACAGGTGACATGCCTGCTATTTGGTTATTACAAACATTAGCATCTGGCCTCTCTTTGAAATTGCACATACCAATCATTGCTACAAATATCAGACAACATTATCTTTTCCCTACCCACACTCTCCTAAACAAATAAGGAACAGGAGGATGGGAAGGAAGAGAAAATACTTTCCTTATTTTTAGGGGCTTGCTAATCTTAAATTGTAAGTAGCTGTCCCTGCCTCTGACAGCCAGTCAGTGCTGCCTTGACCTTTAGTAAGAACCTCCTGCTTTGGGGGCCATATTTCAGACTCTTAGAGCTGACATTTATTACTTTCTAATTGCTGATTGACACACGATGATCTTTGACTCGTTAAGGTTTGTAAGAAACATTATTTCTCTTGAAGATACTTTCTCTGTAAGAATGTGGCCCGGCACGGTGGCTCATGCCTGTAATCCCAGCACTTTGGGAGTCCGAGACGAGCAGATCACCTGAGGTTGGGAGTTCGAGACCAGCCCGACCAACATGGAGACCTTGTCTCTACTAAAAATACAAAATTAGCCGGGCGCGGTGGTGGGAGCCTGTAATCCCAGCTACTCAGGAGTCTGAGGCAGGAGAATCACTGGAACCCAGGAGGCAGAGGTTGCGGTGAGCCGAGATCGCACCATTGCACTCCAGCCTGGGCAACAAGAGCGAAACTCTGTCATAAAAAAAAAAAAAAAAAAAAAAAAAAAAAAGGAATGCAAGGGGATGGGAGCTGAGGCAGGAGAATCGCTTGAACTCGGCAGGAAGGCGGAGGTTGCAGTGAGCCAAGATTGCGCCACTGCGCTCCAGCCTGGGCAACAAGAGTGAGACTCCATCTCAAAAAAAAAAAAAAAAAAAATGTAAGGGGAGGCCCAGCGTGGTGGCTCATGCCTGTACTCTCACCACTTTGGGAAGCCAAGGTGGGAGGATCACCTGAGGTCAGGAGTTGGAGACCAGCCTGGCCACCATGGTGAAACCCCGTCTCTACTAAAAATACAAAATTAGCCAGGCATGGTGGCGGACGCCTGTAATCCCAGCTACTTGGGAGGCTGAGGTAGTAGAATTGCTTGAACCTAGAGGGGCAGAGGTTGTAGTGAGCCGAGATCATGCCACTGCACTCCAACCTGGGTGACAGAGCGAGACTCCATCTCAAAAAAAAAAAAAAAGCAAGGGGAAAAAGTAAAATTCTTTAGGCCAATCAATGCACGCCAAAGGTGACTAGGCATGGTGTTTTTGACAGTGAAAGTTATGAACGCTCTTACCAGGAAGGTTTGGAGGTTACTTAGCTTCAGAATCTGAGGGGGCACAGTGACAGGCAGGAGTCACAAAAACAGAGCTCAAATTCCCCCTTTGACGTGGATTGATGTGCAGAAGAATGCTGGAAGAAACCAAGCCAAAAAGCAGGTAGCCAGATGGGTCTCCACTGTATGGACAAGAGGCACCACCCAGTGGGCCAGGAAGCTGGTGTGACTGAGCAAACCCTTAGACCATGAACAATGCTGGATGCTAGAGGGGTCAACGAGAAGTTCACTGGATACCCTTGCTACTGGCCTAACGCTGAATATAGGCAGCAGGGAAATGAAATCCTGGTTACTAGAGGGAAGGTACAGACATCATGGCACGTAATGAAATGAGACTTCACAACTCTGATGGTATGAAGGGCAGGCACTGTCTGGGAGGGAAAATCAGTATTGAACCCAGAGAAAGAGACTTCCAGGGCCAGTGTATTAGTCCTGGTTCTCCAGAGAAAAAGGAACTAATAGGAACCAATAGGGCACATGTGTGTGTGTGTGTGTGCAGAAAGAGATTTATCATAAGGAATTGGTTTACCATTATGGAAACTGACAAGTCCTAAGATCTGTGGTTGCAAGCTGAAAACCCAGAAGAGCCAATGGTATGGTACCAGTCTGAAGGCTGGCAGTCTTGAAACCCAAAGTCTGAAGGCAGGAACAACATGGATATCCCAGCTTGAAAGCTGTCAGGCTGCAGGAGTTCCCTTGCACTTGCTGGAGAGTCAGCGTTTTAATTCTATTCAGGCCTTCAGCTGATTGGATGAGACCCACCCACGTTGCAGAGGGCAAACTGCTTTATTCACTCTACCAATTCAAACGTTAATCACATCCAGAATCACCTTCCCACTCAAACTGAGTCAATGGAGGAGAGTTTAATAAAGGCACTATCTTCAAAGATGTGAGCAGAGATTAAGCAAGGGATAGTTCTGTATCCTACAGCTAGTAACTTGGAGTGTCATTACCATTCTTAACTTGAAGGAGAGAGCTGCGTGGAGAGGGTCGCCTGACAGGTGCAGTTTCCTCAGTTAAGGGATAAAGCCAACTATAGGAAGACTGCAAGGGTGGAATCAAGAAAAAAATTACCCAGATCTCAGTCTCCTCCCTCCCATGGATCTTTTACTACTTGTTCACCATTGGCCAAACCCCATGAAAGCCAGAGAACAAGAGAGCATTTGACTAGGTCAGACTTCTGAGGAAGAAGAGGAGAGGAAGGTGGTAAGTGGATCTGGAGAAGTATAAGAAGACAGCCAGCAAAATATCAATAATTGTGGAAGGCTGGAGGTGAAGGAATGACAGTGGTCTTTTTTTTTTTAACTTGTTTTGATCACAGAACAAAATGTTTTCTATACACTCAAAACTGGAGCTCTAGACCACACATTACAGAACCCTGTGTCTAAGTTACATTCCCAAGAAGAGCAGTAACTATCACGTGGTTAGCATGCCAACAAGATCAACTTTGAAAAATATTGCCTTTTACCAATCGTAACACAATTGTTATGCTCCTTTGTCCTTAGTACTGAGAAAAAGCAATACATTTCCATTGTAGAACATTTATAAATATAGATAAACCAAAAGGAGAAAATAATGTGAACCCATATTCTAGCAATAATCACTGCTAATACTAGGGATTTGTTTTTAAAATTTCTTGATCATACATTGTGTATTTGCATATTTTTGAACTTTTTATTTTGACATAATTTTAGACTGACACAGACATTGCAATAATAATACACAGAATTCCCACATACCTTTCACAATGATTCCCAAATTTTAAGCATTTACCATATTTGCTTTATCCATCTCTTTCTTTCTGTATGTAGCATGTGTGCGTATGTGTGTATATACACAAACACAAATATAATTTATATACACAAACATACACTTTTATTCCTGAATCATTTGAGAGTAATCAACTTTAAAATTTTAACAGAGCCAAAAAAAATTTTTTAACAGAGGCAAGTTACATCAATATCTGTGTACCATCACTATCTCCAATTGTACTGGGCAATCTTCAAAATTAAGAATAAGAGATTAATAGTAATAACAGAACCCTTATTAAAACATTTCTGGCTGGGTGTGGTGGCTCATGCCTATAATCCATGTACTTTGGGAGGCCGAGGTAGGCAGATCACTTGAGTCCAGGAGTTTAAGACCAGCCTGGGCAACCTGGCAAAACCCCATCTCTACAAAAAACTAGCCAGGCGTGGTGGTGCATGCCTGTAGTCCCAACTACTAGGGAGGCTGAGGTGGGACAGTTGCTTGAGCCTGGGACGTTGAGGCTGCAGTGAGGCATGAATGTGCCACTTCCCACTGTACTCCAGCCCGGGCGACATAGCAAGACCCTGTCTAAATAAATAAATAAATAAAAGAAAAAAAGAAAAGAGACTTCCATCAGATCAAAATAGACTTAGCCAGAAAGAGAGCACTCACCCACAGACTTTTGTAAGTTCCCCAGAGTCTTATTGCAATCCTGAGACAGACTGATGGGTCCCAGTTGACAAATATCCAGCCATGCTCTTATTTGTGGGGATGAGACTCTCTAAACTAGGCTAGCCTGAAAGATATTGGGTAACCCTTAGTGGGCTCAGAGAGAGACCTCAGAAAGTTACCTGCGAGGCAGTGTCTGGAGGCATTGCAGCAGGTCATGAACACCAGGTCAAAGATTTTGTTGCTTGGCATCCCATCTAATTTAGAATGCAGTAAATCATTTTGGAGAAGTCAGTTCCAGGTGTCCAATTGTAAATGCTTGGTACAGAAGATAGAGGGAACAGGTTTGAAATTAGTCATTCGGGCCAGGGCATAAGCAACGTCCCTACAGTGAAATCACTAGGGAAAGAATAGAAATGAAGCCCTTCTGTTACCTGTCAGGTGTTGATTTAAGCAGAATAATGTGTTGGGATTGGGTTAAATGATTTTTCAGGCATAACACATCACTTTGAGTCTTGGCATAAAATAAAGCCAGATGCTAAAATGCCTTCCTGGATTGTTTTCCAGAGTTGGGCTTGTTCCCCAGAGGTATACAGTTGAGATTTCCAGGTTGTCTATGCTTCCAAAAGCCAAACAGGAAAAAGGCTTCGCAACAAGGCTAAAGCATAACAGAATGACATTGAGCTGCGTGTCAGTAGACAGTGAGCCAAGAGATTCCAACTCAGGCTTATCAGGGAGGAGCACATGCCTATATGATCCCAGACCTGGCCATTTGGCCCTGTTTTTATTTTTTATTTTTTATTTTTATTATTTATTTATTTATTTGAGACGGAGTCTCGCTCTGTCGCCAGGCTGAGTGCAATGGCACAATCTCGGTTCACTGCAACCTCCGCCTCCCGGGTTCAAGCGATTCTCCTGCCTCAGCCTCCCAAGTAGCTGGGACTACAGGCACCCACCACCACGCCCAGCTACTTTTTGTATTTTTAGTAGAGGCGGGGTTTCACCGTGTTAGCCAGGATGGCCTCGAACTCCTGACCTCGTGATCCACCCGCCTCGGCCTCCCAAAGTGCTGGGATTACAGGTGTGAGCCACCGTGCCTGGCCAGCCCTGTTTTTAAAGAGAGATTGCATTTATTATTTTCTCATAAACTGAGACTTAACAGGTTTCAATTAATTTGGGAGACTGCCTCTTGACCAAAAAGAGAAAGACTCATTGTTAATATAGTAATTCCTGACAGAGTGATTTTCCTGAAGATTCCTACCAATGCCCTGTAAGGGATGCTGGCAGTTGGCACTCCAAGGGAAGGTCTTCTTAGCCAAAGGACAACTGGGGGACCTGCCCCTGTGCTTTGAGATCAGGAGAAAATTATGGAGAAGAAATTATGTGGCAAGGCTAACAAAGACGACAGACAGCCGAGATGACTCCCTCACCAAGTTCCCGGTTTCTGGGAGAAACGGTATGTGGGTTCTCCAAAAGCCTGGGTACCCAAGAATTAGTTGCAGAGGGTGAATGGCAATGGGGGCCACAGGATCTCTGTCTGTCACCCAGGCAGTGGGGTGCCTTCATAGTTCACTGCAGCCTCAAATTCATGGGCTTAGTGATCCTCCCACCTCAGGCTCCCAAGTAGCTGGGAGTATAGGCATGCACCACTGTGCCCAGCTAATTTTTAAATTTTTTTGTAGATATGGGGTCTTACTATGTTGCCCAGACTGGTCTTGAACTCCTGGCTCAAGCTATTCCTCCACCATGGCTTTCCAACGTGTTGGGATTACAGTTGTGAGCCATCATGCCTGTCCAGGAGCCACAGTCTTGCTGAGACTGCCACAGTGGGGCAAAGATGTACACACATAAGGGAAATGGAACATGAGGCCCCCAGGTGAAAGTTAGCCAAGGGGGAGAATTGCTTGTGAGTGAGTCTACTGCGGAGCTTGTTGAAACTAGCAATTTGTCCACACCATGCCCATAGACAATGAGCCAAAGAGATGACCTTAATCTCTCCGTGGGCAATCCCATAAGAAGGTTTTTACCTTTGCTATCCCTCTTCTCCACTCCATCATCAGAAGGGTATGTGCCAGAGGAGACGAGTGAGAGCCAGACTCTAAGCCAATAAAAACTAGGGTGAATAAGGGGCTTACTGGGGGAGACCTTAAAATTACGCCTGTAATCCCAGCACTTTGGGAGACTGAGGTGGGCAGATCACAAGGTCATGAGATCGAGACCGTCCTGGCTGACATGGTGAAACCTCGTCTCTATTAAAAAAATAAAAATAAAAAAAATTAGCCAGACATGGTGGCGGGCACCTGTAGTCCCAGCTACTCGGGAGGCTGAGACAGGAGAATGGCATGAACCCAGGAGGCAGAGCTTGCAATGAGCTGAGGTCATGCCACTGCATTCCAGCCTGGGCAACAGAGCAAGACTCTTGAAAAAAAAATTACATATGAGGTTTAAGTTGTGAAATTAACAGCAAGAAGTTGTAAAAACTGAAAATGACCATTCTAATAGTTGAAAGTTACTGAAAATTATTGAATTGCTAGAAAAGGGAGTTTCAAAAGAAAACAGACAATAGCAGTCACTAGGAAAAATATTTCATTTTATACGTAAGAGTTGAGATTTTTCTCTAAGATAATTACATTAGACATTCAGATATTTATCTCCTCTCTCCTGAGACCCTTGGATTACATTCATACCCCTCCCTACATTCTTGCCCAGTTAGTACAGTAGCAACCTTACCAAGAATCAAAGGCGCACCGGCCAATGTCATAATCTCTTTTCTAGCCTGTTTTCCTAGTGGCATGCAGAGCAGTGTCCAAAATGTCCAGGAGGTGGATCAGCTTCCAGTTCAATGGCACCATTGTAGACCTCCTGGTGGAGGCATTCCTTCCTTTGGTATTAAGAGCTTTAAACAGGCCGGGCATGGTGGCTCATGCCCATAATCCCAGCAGCCAAGGTGGGAGGATCACTTGAGCTCAGAAGTTTGAGAACAGCCTGGGGAACATAATGAGACTCTATATCTCCAAAAATTTAAAAATTGGCTGGGCATGGTGATGCACACCTGTAGCAGTCATAGCTACTTGGGAGGCTGAGATGGGAGGATCGCTCGAGCCCAGGTGTCTGAGGCTGCAGTGAGTTATCATTATGCCACTGTACTCTAGCCTGGATAACAGAAGGAGACCCTGTCTCTTAAATTTTTTTTTTTAAAAGAGCTTTAAATAAGAGTGATCTGAGAATAGCACTCCAACATTTATCCTGACCCATGCATTCTGGTTTTGGGAAAAACAGCACCATATGTAAGTTCTGGTTCAGACCACATCCCCGGCTCATCAGGATTACAATCTTGCAATCTTGCAAGTGTTGTCAGTCAGCTGTCACCAAAACTGAGTCTTCAGAAGGCCTTTTCACCCAGCTAATTCTGGATAATGGAATACATGGTAAAACCAGTAGAAGTTAAATAAGACTTTAATCCAAAATGACTTTTGGAAGAAGCAATGCAAGCAACATTTGTAAGAACAGTTTTAATTGAGTGTTAAGGATGTCAGATGGCTTGAAGTGGGCCTAAAAAATGGAAGGAGAAATATTGGAGATAGTAAGTGCAGACAAACCTGTCAAGAAAGGTTGTTATAAAGGGAAGGAGAGAAAATGGGGATGCAGCTAGAAGGGGAAGTGGGGTCAAGAAAAGGCTTTAAAGACAGGAGAAATTTTCAAAGTCTGTTTCCTAAATCTCATTGTCATCTATCCTCTAATCTGATGCCTCGTCAGTCCCTGGTTATGTGGCCAAATCATTAAGCTCTAACTATAAATCAGTATGAATCCTCTCCTCACGTATCTGTTCATAAATCAGTAAGGAGTCTTATGCCAGATCATCTCACCTTCAACAAACAGTAGACAATAAGACAATGGGTCGTAATGCTTCAAGTCCTACCCCATGGGAGTATTTTCCTACTCCATTTTCTTTCACGATTATCTCTGATAGGGGTTAAAATGCCACTACATTCTGTTTCTGGCTAGTGCCATTATGAAGAGCCATCTATAAACAAGGGTCAATTTCCCCTTCTTAGTCAACTGTTCATTGGGAATTCCTTGAGAAGAAGCAGGTGTGAGCTGAAGTAGTTTCATCAATGTGGGCAAGAAACAAACAAATGAAAAAAGTTGGTCAATTTCATTAGTTATCAAGGAAATGCCAATAAACACAACCAGACGCTACTACAAACTCACCAGAATAACTAACATGAAACAGGCAGAAAACACCAAAATGTGGAGCAACGGGAACTCTCGTCCATAATGATGAGAGTATAAATGGTACAACCACTAAGGAAAATTGTTTGGCAGTATTCACTAAAGCCTAACATATACATTACCAGGAATTCCCCCTCTTGGATATGTACCCAATAGAAATGAGTACATGTGTTCCCAAAAAGAACTTGAATGTTCTTAGCAGCACATTCTGTAATTGTTCCAGACTAGAAACTATCTAAATGCCTAATCAACAGTAGAATGGATAAATAGGTTGTGCTATATTCTCGCAATAGAATACTCTAAAGCAATGTCAATGGAGGGCATACAACTATATACAAAATATGAATGATTTTCCCAAACATAAGGTTGAGCAAAACAAACCAGACACAAAAGAATACATACTTTATGACACTGTTTATATAAAATACAAAACCAGACAAAACTAATCTATGCTGTTTGAAGTCAGGAATAGTGATCTCTCTTGGAGGTGGATAGTAGGGAAAAAAAATACATAAGCTAAGAAGAAAATTCAAGAAGTTGACATAAGAGTGATAGAGTAAACCCAAAAAATAAGAAGGGAAAAAATAGTAAAGACAGGGTCAGAAATCAATGAGTTAGAGGACAAAACCAAAAGCTGCTTATTTGAAAGCATTAATTACATAAATCTGCGGCAAGAACAATGCAGATAAAAAGATGTGAAAGAGGCCAGGAGCGGTGGCTCACACCTGTAATCCCAGCACTTTGGGAGGCTGAGGTGGGTGGATCACCTGAGGTCAGGAGTTCAAGACCAGCCTGGCCAACATGATGAAACCTCATCTCTACCAAAAATACAAAAAATTAGCCAGGTGTGGTGGTGCACGCCTGCAATCCCAGCTACTTGGGAGGCTGAGGCAGAAGAATCGCTTGAACCTGGGAGGCAGAGGTTGCAGTGAGCTGAGACCGCTGCCACTGCACTCCAGTTTGGGCAACAAAAGTGAAACTCTGTCTCAAAAAAAAAAAGAAAAAAAATACATAAAAGATACAGAACAAAAAAGGGGAAAATAACTAGAGACATAAAAGTTTTTTGAAGTATTATAAATGGTTTGTGCATTTATTAATTCCTAGAAATATATAAAAGTCAATATTAGCAGCAGAAGAAATAGAAACCTTGAAGAGATGAAAAAATGTTACACACTTAAAAATGACCATGCTTTGCCCTCTCCTCCTAAACCCACAAATCCACATGTTATTCATGGCTTATTTCTACCAAAATTTCAAAGAACAGTTAATTTCCATCCTGCATATGAAACCTAATTTTATGAGGTCATTTTTTAAAAAGGGTGGGTAAAGTATAGGCTCATTTCATTTATAAACATAAATTTAAATAAAATTAAAAATAGCTCCTTGAATCTAATAGAGAAATTTAAAATAATACATCACAATCAATTAAAATTTTTCTCAGAAATTGAGATATTGAGGTATAATACAAAATCTGATATGTTGAAGTATATACAGGAAAATCCATCAACAAAATTTACCTCATGGATTGATTAAAGAAAAAATGCAGAAAAAGAATTTACACTAGTAGTAAGTAGTAGTAGGCAGCAAAAATATTATGTTTCAAGACTTATTTATAATTTTAAATACTTTCAGAAAATTAAGAATAGAAGAAAATTCTTCGACTTGATAAAGTTTTATATCAAAAACCAATGACAAACATAATTAATGGAAAAACTTTAAATCAGGAGCAAGACAAGGATGGCCCCATCTCTGCTGTTGTTTATACTCAAGGTCCTAGACAAATTTATAAGAAAAGAAAAAAGATAGAAGTGGCCAAAGGGAGTGGAAGGGAAGAGATAAAAACTGTCTTTATCTGTAGATGATATGACCATTGAACTAGAAAAACCAACAGATTCAAGTTTTAGTTCAAACTGTTAGAACTAAACCAGTAAAAACCACGTAGAAGATGTAATAAACATAAAACACTATTCACATTAGCAACAAAAACCATAAAATAGCTAGAAATAAATTTGATCCCAAATGCATATGATGTCTATGAAGAAAAATTAAAAACTCCAATAAAGGATATAAAATATATCTAAAAAAATTTTATGCTCTTAAATGGTGCAACTTGATGGTACAAACTTATTTTGAAGAAAACTTTAATAAAGAATATGAAAAAGATCTAAATAGAAAAAAATTATGCTTTTGTATGGTACAATTTTATAATAATATTTTTTCTAAATTAATATATAATTTTAATGTAATCCAACTCAAAATTAATTACAGCTGGACCTTTCAAGGAAGATGATAAACTTACTGTTTTTTGTTTGTTTTTTTATTTTTATTAGATATTCTTATATTTTCAATACTTTTTCCACATGTTCTAAAAACTGATGCTTAAATGTGAATAAAAGTCAACTTTAAAAACATTAAACCTTAAAAAAAAAGAAGAGTATATTGAAATTTGCCCTGCCTGATATTAACAGAATTAACATGTGATTTTAGCAGGTTTGAGGTCAAGAACTAACAGACCAGTGGAATAGAATAATTTAGAAACAACCACTTATGTATCAGAATTTAACATATATTAAAGAAGGCATGAAAAATCCATTGACAAATTAAATGTTTTTTCAGTACATGGTGTTGATGAAATTGGCTGTGTGGAGCAATAGTAACCAGATTATTACCTAATATCATCATTTTGTTGAGAAATGCAAACTAGATCCTTAACTAACATCAAATACGAAGGGAGATTCTAAACAGGTTAAAGACTTAAATGTGAAAAAATATGTCAATAGAAGCAAAAAACAGAGAAAACTTTTATATGCTAGGAGCACAGACAGACTTTTAAACAAGACTTAGAAAACACAACCATAGGATTGACTTGGCAATGCGGGCTCTTTTTTGGTTCCAAATGAACTTTAAAGTAGTTTTTTCCAATTCTGTGAAGAAAGTCATTGGTAGCTTGATGGGGATGGCATTGAATCTGTAAATTACCTTGGGCAGTATGGCCATTTTCACGATATTGATTCTTCCTACCCATGAGCATGGAATGTTCTTCCATTTGTTTGTGTCCTCTTTTATTTCCTTGAGCAGTGGTTTGTAGTTCTCCTTGAAGAGGTCCTTCACATCCCTTGTAAGTTGGATTCCTAGGTATTTTATTCTCTTTGAAGCAATTGTGAATGGGAGTTCACCCATGATTTGGCTCTCTGTTTGTCTGTTGTTGGTGTATAAGAATGCTTGTGATTTTTGTACATTGATTTTGTATCCTGAGACTTTGCTGAAGTTGCTTATCAGCTTAAGGAGATTTTGGGCTGAGACGATGGGGTTTTCCCTCCTACAGTAACCAAAACAGCATGGTACTGGTACCAAAACAGAGATATAGATCAATGGAACAGAACAGAGCCCTCAGAAATAATGCCGCATATCTACAACTATCTGATCTTTGACAAACCTGAGAAAAACAAGCAATGGGGAAAGGATTCCCTATTTAATAAATGGTGCTGGGAAAACTGGCTAGCCATATGTAGAAAGCTGAAACTGGATCCCTTCCTTACACCTTATACAAAAATCAATTCAAGATGGATTAAAGATTTAAACGTTAAACCTAAAACCATAAAAACCCTAGAAGAAAACGTAGGCATTACCATTCAGGACATAGGCGTGGGCAAGGACTTCATGTCCAAAACACCAAAAGCAATGGCAACAAAAGACAAAATTGACAAATGGGATCTAATTAAACTAAAGAGCTTCTGCACAGCAAAAGAAACTACCATCAGAGTGAACAGGCAACCTACAACATGGGAGAAAATTTTCGCAACCTACTTATCTGACAAAGGGCTAATATCCAGAATCTACAATGAACTCAAACAAATTTACAAGAAAAAAACAAACAACCCCATCAAAAAGTGGGCGAAGGACATGAACAGACACTTCTCAAAAGAAGACATTTATGCAGCCAAAAAACACATGAAGAAATGCTCATCATCACTGGCCATCAGAGAAATGCAAATCAAAACCACTATGAGATATCATCTCACACCAGTTAGAATGGCAATCATTAAAAAGTCAGGAAACAACAGGTGCTGGAGAGGATGCGGAGAAATAGGAACACTTTTACACTGTTGGTGGGACTGTAAACTAGTTCAACCATTGTGGAAGTCAGTGTGGCGATTCCTCAGGGATCTAGAACTAGAAATACCATTTGACCCAGCCATCCCATTACTGGGTATATACCCAAATGAGTATAAATCATGCTGCTATAAAGACACATGCACACGTATGTTTATTGCGGCACTATTCACAATAGCAAAGACTTGGAACCAACCCAAATGTCCAACAATGATAGACTGGATTAAGAAAATGTGGCACATATACACCATGGAATACTATGCAGCCATAAAAAATGATGAGTTCATATCCTTTGTAGGGACATGGATGAAATTGGAAACCATCATTCTCAGTAAACTATCGCAAGAACAAAAAACCAAACACCGCATATTCTCACTCATAGCTGGGAATTGAACAATGAGATCACATGGACACAGGAAGGGGAATATCACACTCTGGGGACTGTGGTGGGGTCGGGGGAGGGGGGAGGGATAGCATTGGGAGATATACCTAATGCTAGATGACACATTAGTGGGTGCAGCGCACCAGCATGGCACATGTATACATATGTAACTAACCTGCACAATGTGCACATGTACCCTAAAACTTAGAGTATAATAAAAAAAAAAAAAAAGAAGTTTACGGATAAAAGAAAAAAAAAATAAAGTTTAAATAAAGTTTATAAATTAAAAAAAAAAAAAAAGAAAACACAACCATAAGTCAAAACATTAATTAACCTATTTACATCAAAAAAGCTTTCCAACACCGAGGTAATACTTCACACCCACTGGGATGACTACAAGTGAAAAACAAAAACAAAAACAACAACAACAACAACAACAACAAAAAACCACCAGAAAATAAATGTTTGCAAGGATGTGGAGAAATTGGAACCTCATACATTGCTAGTGGGAATGTAAAATGGTTAGCCATATGATCTAGCATTTACACTCCTAGGTAAATGCTAGCACTATATGCTGCAAATAATAAAAACAGGCACTCAAATAAGCACATGTACACACATGTTCATAACAGCACTATTGATAATAGTCAAAAGGTGGAAACAGCCCAAATGTCTATCAGTGGAAGAGTGGATAAACAAATTGCAGTATATTCATAAGCATATTTTTCAGTGATTAAAAAAAAGGATGAAGTACCGTACCTAATACATGCTATAACATGGATGAACCTCTAAAACATTAGCTAAGTGAAAGAAGCCAGACACCAAAGATCACATATTGTATGATTCCATTTGTATGAAATATCCAGAATAGATAAATTCATAAAGATAGAACACAGATTGGTGGCTGCCAGGTACTGGCAGGTTAGAGAGAAAGAGGAGAAAC
Source organism: Homo sapiens (assembly GCF_000001405.40). NCBI lineage: Eukaryota > Metazoa > Chordata > Mammalia > Primates > Hominidae > Homo > Homo sapiens. The sequence goes on along the minus strand of NC_000007.14, from coordinate 130,701,282 downwards.
TGTTTAATGTGCAAAAGGTTTTACTTTAGAGTGAAGAAAATGTTTCAAAACTAGATAGATGCGGTGGTTGCACAATGCTGCAAATGAACTAAATGTCACTGAATTTAAAATAGTTAATTTAAAAAATCTTGGTGGAGGCACACACACACACACAAAAGCTTTCTATCCAGGGAAAAAATTAATGGACAGCTAATAGAATTAAAGAAAATTATTCATACCATTTAAAGCTGACTATGGGTTGATATCTAGAATATATAACAAAATCTTGCAAATTCACAAGAAAATGTCAGCAACTTCATTAAAATAATAGGCAAAAGATATGAATCAGCATTTAAATAAGGAACCAAAAGTTGATAAATATGAAGAAATGTTTAAACTCATTAATAATCAAAGAAATGCAAATTGAAACAACAGTGAAATAGGGAAGAATTAGAAAGTTGAATGATACTAAGTGTGGATGGGGCAATGTGACTTAGCTCATGTTCGCCAAAAGCCAATCTTGAGACATAGATTTATTTTCAAATAACTTATTAAGAAAGTCATCCCAGCATAAACTGGTAAGGAAGTTGGGGATGAAGGACAGAAAAATAGAAGAAACTAAAGAAAGATGTACTGTATTTCAGACAGAGTCCTAGCCTTAATCTGATCCTATAAGGGAGTTCTGGAGAGGAAATTATGCCTCAGCCTGAAAGAGTCTAAGGCAAAGGAGCTGGGCTTTCATCCTTATACTGCAGTGGTCCATTGACTACAGATGTACTGGGGGTACCTAATCTCCCAGACACTTCCTATTCTCTGGGATAAGTGGCTCCAGTAGCCCAAGGGCAATCCTTCAAAGCAGATATTTAAAAGAGGCAGCCATTGTGGAGTGCAATTTGGCATTTCTTTCTTTCTTTCTTTTTGAGACAAAGTCTCACTCTGTCGCCCAGGCTGGAGTACAGTGGCACTCTGTTGGTTCACTGCAACCTCCGCCTCCCGGGTTCAAGCAATTCTCCTGCCTCAGCCTTACGAGTAGCTGGGACTACAGGTGCGAGCCACCACACCCGGCTAATTTTTGTATTTTTAGTAGAGATGGGGTTTTGCCATGTTGGTCAGGTTGGTCTCCAACTCCATGTTGGTCAGGTTGGTCTCCAACTCCTGACCTCAGGTGATCTGCCAGCCTTGGCCTCCCAAAGTGCTGAGATTACAGGCAGCAATTTGACATTTCTCAGACAAATTATATTAAACAAATATATCTTATGACCCAGCATTTTTATTTTTTAGACATATATTCCCCCAAAATATAACATGAGGTTCATAAGGAGAATATTTAGTTGCCCACAGGGTGTGGCTTTTTCCACAGAACGCTGCAGGTCACTAATGTGATCCTACCTACTGAGGAGTCACATGGGCTGGTTTCGTCATCCCGACCTTTTCGCATCATTGGATCTACTGAATCATAAGAGCCAAGTGACAGAGCTGCTTGCTTGCAGCCTGAACCAGCTGAAGGAACTTTTCTTGCTTTAAGTCCCACTAAAATTTGTCAGTTTTTCAAAGTCACCTATTGGATTTGTCAGTGTAACACACCCAAATGTGCCATTGGTTGCCACCAAAAATTTTACATTTTTCTTACTGTAAGGCAGGCCAGTCCACTGAGGAGGAGATAACCTGTATACTCCTAAACTGGACCCTCTAGAAGATGCATTAATGTAAAAGCCCTCAGATTTTCTTCTTCCTGACATTCATGAGTTTTACCAAAGCTTTTAGGATATTCCCTGCTTTCTTAGCCCTCTCTGTAGTGGACCAGCATAATTTTCTTTGGAATGGTGAGAGGATCAAGGTTCTTCTATCAGTCAGAGTCTAATCATAAGAACGTAAACCACACTAGATATTTCAAACAAAGGGTAGTTAATAAAGGGAATTGATTACGCAGGTATTGGAACACCAAACAAGCAAAAATGAGAGGTTGAGGCAACCCACAGATTAATCTCTTTAGAAGGTACCACCTTAGACCTGGGGGAACAAAATGGAAGAAGTGATATTACCAGAACATACAGAAGAGGATACTTTACTTCTAGTGCTTAGACTGCTGAGGAAGTGTAGGCTGCACCACTCAAGGGGCTATGGCCAAATGGATAAAAGTGAATGATGGGCTTGGCTGCTACTAGTATCTTGATGGGGCATAGTGAGAATATTGCTGGGAATAACAAGCTGAAGGCTGGAATCAAATCATAGCTGTCTGCTGTAGCTGGAGAGTAAGCAAACTAGAACTGGAAACTGGAAGACACTACTTCTTACCTCCTCCACTTTATGGTTTTTGGAAGTGCCTCCAATTGGCAGAAGCTAGCTAGCAAGGGGCTCTGGAATGTGAAGTTTGCAGTGTCTAGTCACAGTGTCCTAGTGCAGAGTACAGAAAAATAATGGGCAAATATCTGACACACTTGCCGCAAAATGGTAAAGATGTATTGTTGTCCCTGCCAGATGAAAGCGAATGGTTTCTGGTATTTTTTAATCCCAGCCAAAGTAACCCAATACCTCCTAGATTTACTTGGACATCTCCAACCTGCTATAATTGGCCCTCTTGTTTGGTAGGAGGCTCTTGGACGTCACCTGTAACATAGAGATATGGTAGCACAGGAGGCAAAGTAGATAGGGGTGAAGGAATTTTTTTAAAGAGGACATAAAGAATGAGAAAAAACTCCTAGGACTACCTTTTTCAGCCATTATGTGTTACTATATTTTTGATATATGTAGGCAAATAGTACATGGCCATATTTTTAAAATCCACCCTGAGAATGTCTTTCTCTTAGGTGAACTTACTCCATTTATGTTTAATATGATTATTAATTTATTTGAACGTTTAATTTTTACCATCTTATTTTGTGTCTTCAATTTAACATGCTTTTGTTTTTGTTTTTATTCTTATTCTTTTTTAACTTATGCTACATCAATTTTTAAAATTCATTTCTATTTGTTTGAAAATTATAAATGTTCAGGCATCTCCCATTTAAGTCAATAATACTTTCCTGAAAACCAGATGTTACATATAAAAATGCTAAGTGAGGGTGTACTTCCTATAATTTTAAATGGAAATTATTATAATGGGTTACATGTCAACAAAAGTCCCCCAATCAAGTTCCTAAAACATAACTTAAGTGTCCATATATCATTAACACATTTTCATGTTAGAGAGGAAAATGCTTTAGAGTTGCTTTCTGATGAAAAACAATGAATATAAATGTTAACAAACAGTTGGTTTGATGCAATACTTTGGCCTCTCAATACCAGCAACATCTGAAACTCATATGACCCTTTGTCAATACTTGTGCTTTATAAAATGACTACATATGATTTCCACACTCTGCTAATTGTATTTGGAACGTAAATCAAATGATTACTTGCACATCTTTAAAAGGCACGTTTTTAAAGTGGTATTGAGTTTTAAGGCCATGAACATAAACTCTTCTTAGACAAATAGTGGATGAAAAATATTGTATTGAGAAATATATGTCTATAAAATTCATATTGTTTTTTGAGATGGAGTCTCACTATGTCACCCAGGATGGAGTGTAGTGGCGTGATCTTGGCTCACTGCAACCTCCACTTCCCAGGTTCGACCAATTCTCCTGCCTCACCCTCCCAAGTAGCTGGGACTACAGGCGCGCACCACCATGCCTGGCCAATTTTTTTATTTTTGTTTTTATTTTTTTAGTAGAGACAGGGTTTCACCATGTTGGCCAGGCTGGTCTTGAACTCCTGGCCTTAAGTAGTCCACCCACCTTGGCCTCCTAAAGTGCTGGGAATACAGGCATAAGCCACCATGCCCAGCCTATAAAATTAGTATCTAAAAGCAAGAAAGGCTGGGCGCGGTGGCTCATGCCTGTAATCCCAGCACTTTGGGAGGCCCAGGCAGTGGATCATGAGATCAGGAGTTTGAGACCAGCCTGGCCAATGTAGTGAAACTCCGACTCTACAAAAATACAAAAAAACTAGCTGGGCCTGGTGGCGGGCGCCTGTAATCCCAGCTACTCAGGAGACTGAGTCAAGACAATCGCTTGAACCTGGGAGGCGGAGATTGCAGTGAGATCGTGCCGCTGCACTCCAGCCTGGGAAACGGTGCAAGACTCTGTCAAAAAAAAAAAAAAAAAAAAGGCAAGAAAACATTCACAATACTAACAAGCAAGAAAGCAAGACTTTCTGTGGGATATATTTGCACATTCTTTTAGGAACTGCCTTTACAATTTCAAAATGCAATTTTTTTTTTTTTTGAGATGGAGTCTCGCTCTTGTTGCCCAGGCTGGTGTGCAATGGTGCCATCTCGGCTCACTGCAATCTCCGCCTCCCAGGTTCAAGCAATTTTCCTGCGTCAGCCTCCCGAGTAGCTGAGATCACAGGTGTACACCACCACACCCAGCTAATTTTTGTATTTTTAGTAGAGACAGGGTTTCTCCATGTTGACCAGGCTAGTCTCGAACTCCTGATCTCAAGTGATCCACCCACCTCGGCCTCCCAAAGTGCTGGGATTACAGGCGTGAGCCACCACACCCGGCCCAAAATGCAATTTTTATAAAGTTAATTTCAGGTGAAAATGGGAGACCTGGGTCAGAGTTTGCCTATAATGCCCTACACCTATTCTGTTGTGTTTCTGTCTGGCCCATGTTGGTGTATTGCATTTCCTTAGAGACCTAGCCTTGTACATTACCTGAATGTGCCCCTCGTGGCATGTGCTAGTCATGCTTTCCCGCCTACAAAAACCACATCACCTTGAAACCCACAAGAGAATACCTAGGGCTGGGCTCAGTGGCTCACACCTGTAATCCCAGCACTTTGGGAGGCCGAGGTGGGTGGATCACGAGGTCAGGATATCGAGGCCATCCTAGCCAACATGGTGAAACCTCGTCTCTACTAAAAATACAAAAATTAGTCAGGCGGGTGGCATGCACCTGTAGTCCCAGCTACTCAGGAGGCTGAGGCAGGAGAATCACTTGAACCCAAGAGACGGAGGTTGAGGTGAGCCGAGATTGCACCACTGCACTCCAGCCTGGGTGACAGAGTGAGGCTCCATCTCAAAAAAAAAAAGAAAAAGAAAGAAAGAAAAAGAAAAAGAAAAAATAATACCTAAAGTACTCCCCAGTCATGTTTCTGGCCTTCTTTTCTTAAACCTAAGTTTTCTGTAACCATCTTGGGGAGTTGTCCCTATCATCAAAGGAATGTCCCCCAATTGTTCTTGTTAAGGACTTTCTATCTGTCACCATCAGAGGGCGACTTTCAATAATTTCCTGGATCTAGGCTCCCTCTTGGGGTATAATTCCAAATTGCTCCCTAATATCATTTCATTCCTCTTCCATTAAATCTCTTGGGACCCAGGCATTTTCCCAGGTCCTCTATCATTAAAAACATGTCCGCAACCCATTTCTAGCCTCATCCCCAAATGTAGAGGCAGTTAGGTCCAGATTTAAATTAAAGGGACACCCATCTTTTTCTCTTCTATGACTAGTTTTAACGTTTCTGATCTCATGTCTTCCCCAATTATCATTCTCTCTTCATTCATCTGATGATATATCCCCAGTCTGCTTTCTGTCATCTCTAAAGCTATCCTTCTCAAGTCATCGTTTTCTGTTCATCTGAAAGATAGGTTGGCCTTGACTGCTGATCAAAGCCCTTCCACTGTTTCTGGGCAAGCCTGACTCCATAAGCAAAGGCACAGCAGATGCAGGCTCCCTGAAGTGATTTTTCTATCTTTGGGATGGGACTGTTTTTTTTGTTTTGTTTTGTTTCGAGAAGAATCCTCTTTCTCTTCAACTAGCCTTTGTTACATTGCTATCGTGGTAACAAGTGTGATTGGGTCATCAATAATGGACATGTCAGGGCCACGTTGAAAGCACAGAGCGGAGGGTGAGTAGGTAGGGAAATGCCTCATAGAGGCTGTGGATACACCATATAAATGATATTGATTCAATCTGATTTTTCCTTGGATCTAGTATGTCTTCTTTCAGAACAGGATAACAAGTAAGAAAATTTGGGATGGCTATCAAGTACCACCAACAATGACCAGAACTGATAAATCAAAACCAAAAATCTCACATAGTGTACATGGAACCTTTCAGCTGAGTTTTCAATCACTCATTCAATCAGCAGATATTTGCTGACTGTCTACCTTGTGTCAAGTACTACTGCTTCAGCCACTGGGGGTATAGTAAGGAACCAAGGTCCTTGCCTCATTAGAGGGTACATCTCATGACGGAGATGAATAATAAATAAACAAATATATGAGGGGTAAATCTAAGGGCTTTAAAAACAATAAAACATAATAGGCCGGGCCTGGTGGCTCATGCCTGTAATCCCAGCACTCTGGGCGGCTGAGGTGGGCGGATCACCTGAGATCAGGAGTTCAAGACCAGCCTGGCTAACATGGTGAAATCCCGTCTCTACTACAAATACAAAAGTTAGTGGGGCATGGTGGCACACATCTGTAATCCCAGCTACTCAGGAGGCTGAGGCAGGAGGATTGCTTGAACCCAGGAGACAGAGGCTGCAGTGAGCCAAGATCAAGCCACTGCACTCCAGCCTGGGTGACAGAGCAAGACTCCATCTCCAAAAAAAAAAAAAAAAAAAAAAAAAAGCAAACTGACAACAAAGACCATTTATCAATACCTAAAATTAAAATACTGAGGAATACTACAGATGGGCCAACTGCCTTTGTCACAGAGATGCTGATAAGAACTAGAAAACCAGGAGGATTTTTTTATTCCTTTTACCCTCCAATCTCCCACTAGCCTCTCCTTTTGTCAGAACCTAACAGGAAGTGCATTGGCCAGAGGCTGTAGGAAATGTAGTTTGCATCTCAGAGTGGAGATTAGAATGGGGGGCTTAAAGCTGAGAGACAGTAGGTGAATAGCTGTCAGAGGAGGCTACTCACAAAAAGTACAGAGTCCAGCGGGCCCATCTCCACTCTGAATTCAAACCTGAATTTCTCGATTGGGCTGACACATGCAAGAAAGGAGAATGAAGAGAGTGGAGGGCAAGAGCCTGAATAGAGGAGCAAGCCAAACCGATTTATATGAACTTTTAATATATACAGACTTCCCCCAAAGAACCAAAGCCCAAATAGTGATAAGAATTTCCTTCTTGAGAGAAAGCAAAGTGGGAGAGTGAGACAGAAGAGACTTCCTGAAGAGCTTCCTTCTCACCCCTAATCCCCATCACCCTAACTCTACTGATATTGATGTGTTTAAAGTTTTGGCCAGTGTTATAATTCAATGTATAGCTTGGTGTGAAATTTTAATATATGGGAAGATATACAGGGTAGTATGATTATGTATGATCCTGTATTGTTATTGCTGGCTATCACACCATGCAGAGTCTGGAGTTATTTGGAAAAACTAGAAGGACCAAGAAAATTTTAAAAATGTGAGGATGATGGGTACAAAAACGTTAGAAAGAATGAATAAGACCTTCTGTTTGCTAGCACAACAGGGTGACTATAGTCACTAATAACTTAATTGTACATTTTTAAATAACTAATAATATAATTAGATTGTTTGTAACACAAAGGATAAGTGCTTGAGGGGGTGGATACCCCATTCCCCATGATGTGATTACTTACTATGCTTTGCATGCCTGTATCAAAACATTTCATGTACTTCATAAATACATATGCCTACTATGTACCCACAAGAATTAAAGATAAAAAATTTAAAGAAAAAGTATGAGGTTGGGGAGAAGCTTCAAGATGCCAATAAATTAGTGGTAGTTGCTGGGGTCCACCTTTTGTGGGTAGACTCAATTATGACATTCAGTTGTGACTCAGTTGTGACACTACATCTCCCCTATCAGGGTAGAAACCTGTAATACTAACAAACTGTCTTCTTTGTTAGACAGAGGCATCTGAATTGATCATATCTATTTTCCTAAATCAGTCTGTCTTACAATTGAGTCCTTGATACTTGAACTTAAAAGCTAAGAATTTGCTACTTTTTTTTTCATATGATTGTTGGCCATGTGTATGTTTTCTTTTGTGAAGTGTCTGTTCATGTCCTTTGTCCACCCTTTTTTTTTTTTGAGATGGAATCTCGCTCTGTTGCTCTGTTGCCAGGCTGGAGTGCACTGGCGCAGTCTCGGCTCACAGCTTCCGACTCCCTGGTTCAAGCGATTCTCCTGCCTCAGCCTCCCGAGTAGCTGAGATTACAGGCACGCACCACCATGCCCAGCTAATGGGATTGTTTGTTTTTTCTTGTATATTAAGTTCCTTATAGATTCTGGGTATTATGCCTTTGTCAGATGCATAATTTTCAGTTTGCAAAAATTTTCTCCCATTCTGTAGGTTGTCTGTTTACTAAATTCAACATCACTTAGCATTAGATAAATGCAAATTAAAACCACAATGAGATATCATCTCACACCAGTCAGAATGGTTATTACTAAAAAGTCACAAAATAACAGATTCTGGCAAGATTGTGGAGAAAAAGGAATGCTTATACACTGTCCTCAAAGACCTAAAGACAGAAATACCATTTGATCCAGCAATGTCATTACCAGGTATATACCCAAAGGAATATAAATCGTTCTATTATAAAGACACATGCACATACATGTTCATTGTGGCACTATTCATAATAGCAAAGACATGGAATCCACCTAAATGCCCATCAGTGATAGACTGGATAAAGAAAATGTGGTACATATACACCATGGAATATTATGCAGTCATGAAAAAGAATGGGATCATGTCCTTTGCAGGGAAATAGATGAGGCTGGAGGCCATCATCCTTAGGAAACTAACACAGAAACAGGAAACCAAAAACAGTATGTTCTCACTTATGAGTGGGAGCTAAATGATAAAAACACATGGACACACAGAGGGAAACAACACACACTGGGGCCTATCAGAGGGTGGAAGGTGGGAGAAGGGAGAGGATCAGGAAAAATAACTAATGGATACTAGGCTTAATATCTGGGTGATGAAATAATCTGTACAACAAACCTCCATGACACATGTTTACCTATGTAACAAGCCTGCACATCCTGCACATGTACCCCTGAACTTAAAATAAAAGTTAAAAAAAAAGAGGAGGAGAAGACATGGGATTTCTCACTGCTGTCGGCAGAGAATGTCTGAATGGGGATGCATATCCACTGCTCCTTCATGTATCATCCCGCCATGTTGGAAACATTCAGAAATTTGCCATGTTGGGCATCTTCAGTCCCAGAGTTTTTCCTGAGACCACCTTCTATCCCTTGCTGTCCATCTTGTACATTTAAAACCTCATTTCCCCCCCACCCAGTTTTGTTTCTCCTTTGGTCCCCATTTTCCTGACACTCCAGTGCTAAATTGAATGTAAGTACTGAGTGGAGAGACAGCTTCCACTTTCGTAAGTAGATTTCCCCACATTTTTAATAGACAAATCTACAGAAAAATTGGATGGCCTTGATTCCTAATTCCCAGATTCCCAGCCTCCTGCTCTTCTCTGTATTCCTCCACTTCTGGCAGCTTCTTAGCTCCCTATTCTTGCCAGAGCAGCTATTGCTGCTGCTATATTCTACTCCTCATAAAATGCATTAGCCCTAAAAATCATTTTCCATTCATTCATCTCTGAATAATGCTAGCTTTGTTGAGTCTTGGTGTTGGTCAATACATGAGATTAATGAATTTATAAACTCTGCTCCTGCTTTCTTACCAGAGATGGAGGGCAGGTTGCTAGGCAAACCTCCCTGCCCAGTCCCCAGTTTCTATCTGGCTTTCATTTTTTGCTTTGCTGGGGAGATAACTTTCTCAAATTCCTACTTACATATTCTCTGGTATCTGAGTCTATGTAGACTATGTAAAATAACAGTTGTAGCATTCACTGTAGTCAGGATGTTGATTTAGGTTGGTGCAAAAGTAATATTTGAGGTGCCAATTACATCTCTTTCCCTTACCGGTTCTGAAGCAGTTAGTAAACACATGCAAAAATCTGGTAAGTTCAGAATATCAGCTTTCTGCTAGAAGTTGGTTTGGAGACTGGCTGGGGCCTGAACATACATTGGGCTTCCTAAAACATCCCCCTGAACTGGAAAGATTTACCCAGCCACTGATAAATGATAGGCCTCTCCTCAAGAAAGCAAGAGCTTCATGTGTCACCAGCAGGCTGTTTAAGAAAGAAAGAGTGGGCCGGGCACAGTGGCTCACGCCTATAATACCAGGACTTTGGGAGGCCGAGGGCAGATCACGAGGTCAGGAGATCGAGACCATCCTGGCTAACACGGTGAAACCCTACCTCTACTAAAAAAATACAAAAAATTAGCCAGGCGTGGTAGTGGGTGCCTGTAGTCCCAGCTACTTGGGAGGCTGAGACAGGAGAATGGTGTGAACCCAGGAGGTGGAGCTTGCAGTGAGCCGAGATCATGCCACTGCACTCCAGCCTGGGTGACACAGCAAGACTCCATCAAAAAAAAAAAAAAAAAAAAAAAAGGAAAGAAAGAAGGAAGGAAAGAAGGAAGGAAGGAAGGAGAGAAAGGAAAGAAGGAAGGAAGAGTGGCTAGGTATAGTAGCTCATGCCTGTAATCCCAGCACTTTGGGAGGCTGAGAGAGGAAGATTGTTTGAGGCCAGGATTTCAAGACCAGCCTGGGCAACACAGTGAGACCATGTCTCTTTAAAAAAAAAAAAAAAAAAGCTGGGCATGGTGGTGCATGCCTGTAGTCCCAGCTACTCAGGAGGCTGAGGTGGGTGGGTGCCTGAGCCCAGGAGTTTGAAGCTGCAGTGACCTATGATGATGCCACTGCACTTCAGCCTGGGTAACAGAATGAGACCCTGTCTGAAAATGCAAGAAAGAAAGACAGAAAGAAAGAGAGAGAGAGAGAGAGAGAGAGAGAGAGAGAGAGAGAGAGAGAAGGAAAGAAAGAAAGAAAGAAAGAAAGAAAGAAAGAAGGAAAGAAAGAAAGAAAGAAAGAAAGAAAGAAAGAAAGAAAGAAGAAGAAAGAAAGAAAGAAAAAGAAAGAATGAAAGAAGACAAAAATGGGGCAAACTACCCTTGCTTGGCATTCTGTGCCACTACCTTTTTTCATGAAGGGTAGATGCTTCTTTCCACACTTCCTTACTTTCCATACCAATACTTCCATAAAGGTAGCCGTTTCTATTTTATAAACAGTTAGAAATGAGAAAAGAGGACAAAACTGTTCAAAAAAACAGTTCCTCCCATCTTGTGCCCTTCCTCCTGCTCTTTGCTCCTGAGGTCACATCTCTCAGAATGCACTGTGCCACCCCAGCACCCTGTCCTCCCTGCCCAGCTGTTACCTGGGGTGTGAAGTCTCCATCTGAATGTGGAAAGTTATGTAGGTGAAGGGATAAGGGGGAGCTGTTCTTAGGCCCTGTCATAGATCAACACCCAAGGAGTAGTAGGCAGGGAGGATCGCCCTGAGTTTTGATCAATGCAGCCCCTGTATCTCTGAAAAAAGAAGACAAACAATGGGGATTCACATTCTCTTTTACCAGATGGTCTCTGTTTCTTCAAGCAAATCCTGGCATTTCCATGAACCCAAGCCTTGTAGGTTTTTTTCAGTCTAGATTTATCTGCCTTATAAGTGGCAGCATTGGATTGCTTATTAAGCTTTTGGTCATTTTTGCAAGTTTTAATCTTTTTCTATACCTTCAAAACTTGCTGCTTGAAGCTAAAAAATTTGTTTCCTTTTTCATAATAGCATCCCTTCCAATGATATCATCCCACCTGTGGCCACTTCCTCCTAGTTCTCTTTCAATCTCTGGCCACTCCTTTTCCATGTTCTTTACAAAATTCATTTATGATGCTCTTTTTTGGATGTTTACATAGTCTGGGGCATGGTTCTATGCTTTAGTCTCTTGTTAGTCCACCATTTTTCCTACTTGATCTTATCTAGTCCAATGGCTTCAATTAGCACATAATGCTTGAGGCTGACTTCCAAATGCATAATTCTACCCAAATGGCTTAGTCTGTTCAGGCTGCTATAACAAAATACCATAAACTGGGTGGATTATAAACAACAGGAATTTATTTCTCACAGTTCCAGAGGCCGGGAAGTCCAAAATCAAGGTGCTGGCACATTCAGTATCTGGTGAGGACCGGCTTTTTGTTGTGTCCTCACATGGCAGAAGGAGTAAAGATGTGCTTTTGAAGCCACTTCTATAAGTGCACTAATTGCCCCCACAAAGGCTCCACATCCTAATACCCTCATAATTAGGGACTCAGTATCAACATATGAATTTAGGGAGGCAGAGGACATAAACATTCAATCTATAGTACCAAACCTGTCTCTCCTGAGCTCCAGTCCCATATTTTAAACTACTTACTAGACAACATCCTCACCTCTGCCTCATACTCAACTGACCAGAAACAAAATTCATCATTTATCCCCCAAACTTGCTCCATTCCCTTTGTTCTCTAATTTGGTAACTTGCACCTCCATTAACTCAGGTAACAAAGCTAAAAATGTGATTATATTCCTTATCTCATGTATTCAACTAGTTACCAAGTTCTATTAATTCTACCCTCCTAACATCTTTCATATATCCTTTTTTAACCCTCTTCACTGCCACTACCTTGCTTTAGAGCAAGCTTGTCCAACCCATGGCCCATGGGCCACACGTGGCCCAGGATGGCTTTGAATGCAGCCCAACACAAATTCAAAAACTTTCTTAAAACATTATGAGTTTTTTTTGTGTGATTTGTTTTAGCTCATCAGCTATTGTTAGCGTTAGAGTATTTTATGTGTGGTCCAATACAATTCTTCCAACGTGGCCCAGGGAAGCCAAAAGATTGGACACCCTGCTTCAGAGCCCATATTAGGTTTTTTTTTTTTTTTTTTTGGTCATAAACTGCAGAAATGAACCCTAAGAAAATAAAGGATTTATTTGAAAGAATATTAGGAAAGCTCACAGAACTGAAGAGAAAATTGTGTAGTCTTGCTTTAGGAAGGACTAGATCTGGGGCAGCTCCGGGGACCTCAGCAGGTAGAGCTCAGAGCTCAGAGTCTTCCAGCCTGGGATACCACATGAGGTGGCTCAGGTGCAATCATCTTACAGCTCTGTGGGTCATTAGCAAACTTTCAAATTCTTAGTATAACCTGGTTGGCCACCTTTGAATCAATCATCCAGAGCTAGGATGCAGGAGTGAATGGCACTAATTGGTGATGGCTATAGACCCTTATAATTTCTCAACCCCTCCTCAGCACTGTCATAGACTTCTCAAGGACCTCTTTGCATCTTTCTAATCTATAGTTCTTCTGTCTTTCCAATCTATAGTTCACATGCCACTATTTTTGTATTTCTAAAATATATATTGTTCAATAAGGAGATTATACCTCATTTAAAATCTCTTGTTAGCGCTTCATTACTCAGAATAACCCACAAACTTCCTATCAAATAGTTCATTTTAGGATTTGGATCCTGTCTTCCTCTCTAGTCTCACCTCTCACTACCCTTCCCCTAAATCTTATGTTCCTGGCATATTGCAATTACAGTATTTTCAATTCCCCTAAATAAGCCAGGCTTTGTTGTATTCTCATGTTTTTGCCTCTGCTTCTCCCTCTTTCTCAAATGTCTGTCCTCTCATCACCTGGTTAATTCACACTCATCTTCCCCAGCTCAGTTTAGGCAGTAGTTCCAAATCTCTCTCAGTCTCTTCTCAGTATGGGTTAAGTCCCCTTCCTCATTGCTTCCATAGTACCCTAAATTTAGATCTAATTTGGCATTCTACTCTGTTGCAATCAACCGTTTCTTTGTCTCTCTTCCTGGCTAAACTGTGAGCTCCTAAAGGAGCTCAAGAATTACATCTGATTTATGCTTTGTTCTCATCACCTAGGAGAGTGTCTAATATGTCATAAATGTTCAGCAAATATATTGAAATAAGCAAACACTAGTTTTGAATGCATAAGATACAAAGCACTGGGAGGGGGGCACAAATATGTTTAAAATTTACATTTCCACTTTTAAGGGACTCACAGCTTAAGAGGCAGACAAGACCCGCACATAAGAAAAGTGAAAACAGAACTACAAGACACTATACAATGACATGCACAAAACCCAGTGACTATAGTCTAGAGTTTGGGATTGCATTAATCTAGAAAATCTTCTCTTTAAAGGAATGACCTGAGTAGTAACATAAAGAAAGAAGATTCAGGGCTGGGCATGGTGGCTCACGCCTGTAATCCCAGCACTTTGGGAGGCTGAGGTGGGTGGATCACAAGGTCAAGAGATCGAGACCATCCTGGCCAACATGGTGAAACCCCGTCTCTACTAAAAATACAAAAATTAGCTGGGCATGGTGGCAGGCGCCTGTAGTCCCAGCTACTCTGGAGGCTGAGGCAGGAAAATCACTTGAACCAGGGAGACAGAGGTTGCAGTGAACTGAGACTGTGCCACTGCACTCCAGCCTTGTGACAGTGTGAGGCTCCGTCAGAAGAAAGAGAAGGAGAAGGAGAAGGAGAAGATTCAAATGGCTGAAGAGATTGGGGACAGCATTTTAAGTATGGGGAATAAGAAAAAATGCTCACTGTATTTGAAGAATGCAGTGAAAACATTGGCTTAGGTAGAGGTAGATTAAGAGATGGTGAAGATGTGTGTGTGTGTGTGTGTGTGTGTGTGTGTGTGTGTGTGTGTGTGTAGAGAAGTCATAGGCTGGCAAAATAAGAGATTGGCAGATTTTGTTTAAATATGCCTTTAAGTTTTGGCCTTTTCATTCTCTGTCTCCAACACAGAACACCTCAGCATTCTAGATTGCCTATTCATCACAAATTCCCTCTGTCTCCTCCAGAATCCAGAAAAGAATAATTACGATATTTTCAAAATGGAAAGTTCCCATGCCAAAGACTTTGCCTTCTTCACCAAACTATGATTTCGTGATGTTCTTAAAGGTAGTGTACACCAGGTTTTTACATTCTTATTTTGAATGTAGTTTTAGTGTTTGTGTGATTTGTTTTTCAGCCTGGCCTGCAGACTAGCAACCCAAGACTTATACTGCCCAATTTGACAGCTCATTTTTATTTTAGTTTCACCATATACATGAATTGGACTTACAATTCCAGAAAAATTAAAGGTGAGAAAAGGGTGAAACGCTTATTACTCTATTTCCCTAGAAGGGAACTTTAAGGGTTTAGCTCAGTCTTGTCATAAACTCTAGAAATCATCTTTAGGGTTTGTCTAGACAATCAAGTTAGACATAAACCCTTGTCTATGGGCTTTCCACTAAACCTGTGGGCTTCATAGGAATTTGGGCTGATGTAGGTCTTTTCAAAGTTCTACTTAATTGTCAAGGCCCCTATAATGTGACTCCATTCGACCTACCTGCTTTTATTTCTTCCTACTTAACAACGACAAATAATCTTCCAATTAGACTACTTCATACACTATCCTGCGAGGTTCTGCTCAAGCTCCACAACCTTTAGGAAACATCCCAAGGCTCACTGACCTTTCTTTTCTCTAAATGGTTGGTTCTACCTTATCAGCTTGTATCTTCCATTTCTAATTGTCTATATCAAAAAGTATAGCAATCCTCCCATTCCCAATATATACACACACTTTTCCCAGCTTCTCAGGCCTAATCTATGAATGAGCATGGCTTTGTTGACAGGAGGAGAAAATTGGAAGATGGCTGCTTCTCCACCTTTAGCCTTCTACGGACATATGTGAATTAATTTTATTTCAGATCTTTTTATAGTTAAATCTCATCACTATCATGGAATTAGAATGTCACCTTTAAATCATTTAGTTAATACTTTCCATTTTGCAGATAAGGAAATTGAGACCCCAAGAGATAAAGTGACTTACCTAATATATTAGCATGTATTTGTCACTATTGTTTTACATTGGATAATCGCTTTCTCCCACCTCCCCCGTTTGTGAAATAAATTTAACTTCTAAGAGCAAGCATCATCATGTCTTGTGCATTTTCTACATCTACAATAGCACCTATCAGTCTTTTCTTGTTTCCCATACAGGCTCAAGAATGGGGCATGAGTACACACTGTGTGCTAAGGAAAGAATATTTGGATTGAATTGAACCCCTGCAGAACGTGGACTATTTAGAGACCTGAATTTGGCCTTGGGTGAATACCTGCCTTGGGTTGGCCAACTAGCAGTCAACAGCAATGAGCCAAAAGAGACAAACCAAGTATGTAGTCTTGTTTGCCCAACTAAGTTATAAACACCACTTTATATTAACTTATTGCATAGCCCACAGCACGTTGAATGGTGCTGGTCACAGAGTAGACTCTCATTAAACATATTTTAATTGACTGATTGTCCCTGGATCAAAAACCGGATCTTGGTCTGTATTTCATGGTTGCTTTTGTCAAAAAGAAAGCACCAGCTTGTTCCAGATGGACGCTGTTGGGCTAAAGAAGCGCTTTTCATATAGTTCTATGCCTTAAATTGGCCCTGAAGAAGAGTATCCGGGATTCTGTGCTTCCTTTTAGGTATCAAAGAATCATTTTGAAAAGTGCTACAATAAATATTATACTGTATTACTAATTATTAGATAACTTAATGAAAGGGCACAAACTTTAAGATGTTAAGTTGGGATGAATTTTGGTCTCTCCATCATGGGTCACCTACTCTGTTGGGACCGTTTTTAAGACCTCTGACCTGAGTTAATGGTGCAACTGGTGGCCAGCAACAGATGGAAGGTAGCTATGCTTGAATGGGATAGAATCATGGATTTGGGGATTATTTGTAGCACGCTATAGCCAGTTGACCTACAAACGACATAGCGTGGCTATTTCTACTTTTATTTTGGTCCTTATTCTGCTATCCTCATTTTTAAAGGAGAGAGGTCTAGTTGAGATAGTTGCATAATTCTTCTTACTTTGAGCTAATTTAACCACCCAATGGAACTATCTCCAAGGAAGAAGCAGGCCATTTATCTTAATCATTAACCAAATCTTACTGAGGAGCATTTTACATTATGTTCTGGCAGCAAATGGGTTTAAAAAGAATAGCAAAGAATAGAAGCTGCTTCACCCTATTTTCTGCAAAGAGAATTGGTATTAGGGTGAGGGTAACAGAGTAGAGTACAGAAATATTTGCCATTGTTGATTATTTTTACTACCCTAGTTCTAAGAAGAGAAGTCTTCAGAGATGTGGTTAGGAAGACATGAGAGCCAGTAATCCAAGCAAGGTCAACAAGAATTGGAAACTTAGTTGTGAGGTTCTATTAACTATATTCCTTCTCACAGATTCATTGGCTAATCATTGGCCAATCACTGGCAAAAACAGGGCAATTTCCATGTGGAAGAAGAATAGGCAGGTAAGTATTCAAAATAGTAGGTGGTTTTTAAGGGTATTGTGAGGATCTAACTTCCCAAAATAATTTCCTTAAGCAGTCGTTAGAGCACTTCTGTGAATGGTCTAAAATCCTTATTTTAGAAGAAACCAACTCAATGGATGTCACTGAGTCATCCAAAGGTCCCACTTGTTTAACTCTCCAAACTGAAGTCTTGCTTTTCCCTAGCATGCAGGCTGGATAATGAGTCTGATTTTTTTGCTACTTAGTCAATTACTGATGTGATCACCTAAATTGGACTTGTCTGAGTTAGGCTTCCAAACTTTGTTGAGGGAGACTGACAATATGCAGAAGTCCAGGCCTCTGAGCCAGAAAGTGCAACCGGATGTTCTGCCTCTTTTTCAGGTTTCAAAATGGCAAATCAAAGACTTCAGAAAATAGCTCAGCTAAACGTGAGAAAGGAATGGTTGTCAATAGCAAAGAGGTAAGGAGTGTTAGTAAGTGTTCAATGTTTAATTTTTCTTTGGAGCTGCTTAGTGTACTTAATAAGCTGGATATCACAAACTTCCCTATTGAAAAGCAAAAAGGAGTAAAAATGTATATGGAAAACAAGGTTAACTTGTCAAATGTTATTGAAGAGAAATAGAGCACAGAAAAAGAAGGAACAGGACACATCAGCAACAAATCAGGACATAAAACCCAGGAAGCAGAAACCTATCTTAGGGAGTAAGAGCGTGTCAAACCCTAACTTACGCAGACTTTACAACTACCTCTTGTAGCAAAACTCCACTGGGTATCTTGGTTGTTTTCCCATGTTTACCACATTCAAGTGAATTTTCCAGGCCAACTTTTATTTAATCAGCCACAGATAGTGAAATTCAACATAACAAAACTAAAAACACATTCCAATTTGGACAATCTTGTGGGTTTAGTCAACTGCTAGAGACTAATTTGGAACAGATATGCAATACTTCAAAAAACTTCAGGAGTAAAAACATTTTCACCAGGGAATTTCCCCCTAAAATTATTTTTTTTAAAAAACCTGTAAGAGAAAAGGTCTTCATACCTTTCTCCCAAATAAGTTTTTCCTAACTTCTATGATTCTAAATATGTCATACATTTCATAGTTGTGAAGCAGGTTTTTCATATTTCTGTTTTCAACAAATGAACTTTAGTTTTCCATAAGGTGGTAAAAAATTAAATGATTGAGTCTTTGGATCCATCCCACCATCTCATAGTTCATCCCACCCTCTCTAAAGGAATTTGTGGAGTGGCTTTGCTATGCTTCTTCCCGCTCCTTCTCCAACTGCCAAGAATTGCCAACTTCTGGCCTTTTCTTCCTGGAGCATAGCAGGGCCTCCTCTTAACTCATAGTTCTGTCCCATTCTGACTGCTTCCCTCTTCTCCATTAGCCCTCTTGCTTTATTAACTTTTCAGTGCACGTTCCCTTTCCTCTGTAAGGTGGGTAAGGCACCCACCTTACCATACTGCCTCCTGATGGGGGAGGTATAGCAATCTTTAGAAATGCTGAGCCAGGCTGGGCGTGGTGGCTCATACCTGTAATCCCAGCACTTTGGGAGGCCAAGGTGGGAGGATCACTTGAGCCCAAGAGTTAGTCAACACAGTGAGACCCTCATCTCTACAAAAAATAAAAAATAGGCCAGGCATGGTAGCTCACGCCTGTAATCCCAGCACTTTGGGAGGCCAAGGTGGGCGGATCACTGGAGGTCAGGAGTTCAAAACCAGCCTGGCCAATATGGCGAAACCCCATCTCTACTAAAAATACAAAAATTAGCCAGGTGCGGTGGTGGGAGCCTGTAATCCCAGCTACTCAGGAGGCTGAGGCAGGAGAATTGCTTGAACCCGGGAGGCAGAGGTTGCAGTGAGCCAAGATCATGCCATTGCACTCCAGCCTGGGCAACAGAGCGAGACTCAGTAGCAAAAAAAAAGAAAAATTAATAAATAATAATAATAGCTGGGCATGGTGGCACGTGCCTTTAGACCCAGGTACTCGGGATGCTGAGGAGGGAAGATCACTTGAGCCCAGGAGTTCAAGGTTACAGGGACCTATGATTGCACCAATGCCCTCCAGCCTGGGGGACACAGTGAGACCCTGTATTTAAAAGAAAAAAGAAAAAAAGAAAAGAAAAAAGAAATGCTGATCTGAACACAGGATAATGATGCACTCTTCTTTTTTTCCGATTTCTGACTATGCCAAGCCAGAAGAAGATAATTCAGAGCTTTTATATCCTTGTGTTCCTATCTCCTTGATTCATCCTTAGGCAGGGCTATGCAAGAGGAGAAGCAAGAACACTAGGTCAGCAGAAAGGGAATGGAAAAGGCTCAGCTCCTCTACTATCAGATATGACACTCAAATAATCCACTAACATCCAGGACTACCCACCAGCAAAAAAAATAAAAATAAAAATAAAAAAGCAAAGTGGTAGACACAAGTGTTACCAAAATTCAATTATTTTTTGCAACATTTCTGGAAGAATTTCATACTGCAGAGATGTTCAAAATTGTAACATGCACTGCTCTTCTTCCTTTCTCTGTGAGTAGGTCGGCTCCCAGCTCAATTGGCAGAGTTGACCCTAGGGCTCCCTTGCACCCACAACTTTTAGGTTAATGCCCTTTTGAAACTTGCTTTTCTCCTTAAAGATTTGTCCTGCATGTTGATTTTCACCTCATTTCACTCCTATAGCTATGGAAAAGGCATAAGAAAGAAGTGACTCCTTGGAAAGATTTGTCGCAATCTGAACTGATGCTGCCCTTGTCTATTTCCCCTCCTAACGGCTTTCCCTGACATTTCATAAGGCTGGCCCCATTTCCGCTGACAAGTGTCACGGTCAGGAGGTCTTAGAATCCAGGTCTCCTTGCTGGGGCCCTTGTTCCAGAAACCTAGAGTACAAAATCTGAAGCACTTCTAACTGTACTTCTCTAACTTACTTAGTGTAAGTTAGAGACCAGTTCTCCAGTGAGACTAAGGTGAGGTAAGGAATGGAATACTGTTTAGGATAGGTGCAACTTCAAACCACTAACTTTGATTATCCTCTTTAGATTTCTGATGCAGTCGGGCAATCAAAATTTGTTCTAGAGAACCTTCGGCATTACACAGTCCATCCAAATTTGGTAGGTAGAGAAAGCATTCCCCCAAGATCTCTAAGGGGAAGTTTCAGCAGTGGTGCAGATGCCCACTGCGAGTGTCCCTAATGCCTCCAAGTGTCCCCAGCTTCTGTGACTGTGCGTACTCTTAGGACAGGCAGGCAGAGCTGCCTCTAGGTTATGATGCCAGAGGCAGTGCTGAGGATTGGGGTGGCAAAGTGGGAGATGAGAACTGGGAAGAAAGTGGGTCCCCACAGCTGATTTTTTTTAAGTTGAGGAAACATATTTATGATCAGGAAAAAAATATATTTGTAATCCATTTTCTCCCTTTCACTTCCTTCCCCCCAACCCTCTGCCTTTCTCCTATTGAGAGAAAGGCAAATTTAGTGGGACCGTCCCTTCCTCACCCACACCTTAAGTGACATGCTATCTTTTGTGGCTGCTTTTACTTTTTTTTTTTTTTTTCTGAGATGGAGTCTCGCTCTGTTGCCCAGGCTGGAGTGCAGTGGTGCGATCTCGGCTCACTGCAAGCTCCGCCCCCTGGGTTCATGCTATTCTCCTGCCTCAGCCTCCCGAGTAGCTGGGAATATAGGCGCCCCCCACTACGCCTGGCTAATTTTTTGTATATTTAGTAGAGACGGGGTTTCACCGTGTTAGCCAGGATGGTC
Organism: Homo sapiens; assembly: GCF_000001405.40. Lineage (NCBI taxonomy): Eukaryota > Metazoa > Chordata > Mammalia > Primates > Hominidae > Homo > Homo sapiens. The sequence continues at coordinate 130,680,304 of NC_000007.14, read as the reverse complement.
TCGATCTCCTGACCTCGTGATCCACCTGCCTTGGCCTCCCAAAGTGCTGGGATTACAGGCGTGAGCCACCGCACCTGGCCTGCTTTTCCTTTTTTAACATTGTGCTTGTGAGTGCATGTCAATGTGGTTGTGCCTGAGAAATGTTGACGTAAATATGGAACATTACGTGGAAGATGTAAATATGGGAAGGTGTTGCACTTGGCTGTGCCAACTTCTGAAGAATTCCTTAAGCGAGATTTGGTCCCTGGTAGCTTTCCCTCGTACCTTAGAGAGAGTTGTAGAGACAAGGCCAATTAGGTTTAGCCATGTAGAAACTTCTCTGCTTGTCCCATTATATTGGAAGAATTAAGTTACCTGACTCCTTTTACCATGGAAACCTTTCCATCACATTGCGCCAGCCCCTTAGTGTATTTCCAGGGGAATGCCCCAAGGGAAGAGAGGGACTGAGAGCTTCAGACAGTTTCTGATAAACACATTTTAGGGCTGCGTGTGATAACTCACTTCTGTAATCTCCATACTTTGGGAGGCTGAGATGGGTGCATCGCTTGAGCCCAGGAGTTTGAAACCAGCCTGGGCAACATGGCAAAACTCCATCTCTACAAAACAAAAACAGAAAAACCCACAAAAATCAGCTGGACAGGGTGGCATGTGCCTGTAATCCCAGCTACTTAGGAGGCCAAGGTGGGAGAATCACTTGAGCCCGGGAGGTCTAGGTTGCAGTGAGTCATGATCATGCCACTGGGCTCCAGCCTGGGCACCAGAGTGAGACTCCGTCTCAAAAAAAACAAAAACAAAACCAAAAAACCCTACAGATTTTGCAGCAAGTCTGTCCAGCTTCTGTTCTTACCCCACAGAGGCTAAGTATCAGCCAACCGATTTGTTAACCTGCTCTTGGCCTAATCTCTTTTTCTCTCTGGAAACCTTTCTGTCTGTTCAGGCCCAGTACTATAAGCCTTTGAAGGCCACTGCCCTGCAGAAATTCCTGGCTCAAAACAGGAAAAACACCAGCTTCATGTTAAAAGTAACACAGTATGACCAGGATAAGACGTTACTGATTATGACCAACAACCCACCTCCCTGCTCAATCACCCAGCAAGACAAGGAGAGTGCATCAAAATATTTTTCCAAGGAGTTACTGCTCAAGGTCATGGTAAGCAGAAGTCTCCTGGCACCCAAAATGTGAACCCTGACGAATTAGGAGTTAGCATTGAGAAGGAAGTTAACTTAACATGGAGAATAGTACTCAGAAAACCTCTTAATTTTTTTGTTTGTTTGTTTGAGATAGGGTCTCACTCTGTTACCCAGGCCGGACTGCAGTGGCACAATCATGGCTCACTGCAGCCTTGACCTCTTGGGCTCAAACAATCTTCCCATCTCAGCCTCCTGAGTAGCTGGGGCTACAGGTGTGCATCACCATGCCCGACTAAACTTTTTTTATTATTTTGGTAGAGACGGGGGTCTCACTATGTTGCCCAGGCTAGTCTTGAACTCATGGCCTCAAGTGATTCTCCAGCCTCGGCCTCCCAAAGTGCTGGGATTATAGGTGTGAGCCACTGCACTTGGTCTATCTCTTCCTTCTTATTCCTGATCCTATGCTTCACATAACAGCATCTGGAGAACCTGGGAATCAGAATTCAATAAGCTTGGGTGCTGAAACTTCATTGCAGGGAGAAAATGGGGTCTTCACTGGAAAGTGTTCTTCTTTGGCCAAAGATATTTAATTTGTAAGTAACAAAGGGTAGACTAGCCACTGACTTTCTAGTTGAGAATAAAGTAGTAAAAGATGAGTCAGGAAATGAGGAATAAAAACAGGGATGAATATCTAAATGGGAAAGGAGTAAAGAATGATGCTTTAGTACACATTACTTTCCAGTTTCAGAAGACGGAATTTGCCATCACAGTAGCCAAACCATTTTTTTTTTTTTTGAGACGGAGTCTCGTTCTATCGCTCAGGCTGGAGTACAGTGGCGCGATCTCGGCTCACTGCAAGCTCCGCCTCCCGGGTTCACGCCATTCTCCTGCCTCAGCCTCCCGAGCAGCTAGGACTACAGGTGCCCACCACCACGCCCAGCTAATTTTTTGTATTTTTTAGTAGAGACGGGGTTTCACCGTGTTAGCCAGGATGGTCTCGATCTTCTGACCTTGTGATCCACCCGCCTTGGCCTCCCAAAGTGCTGGGATTACAGGCGTGAGCCATCGCGCCCGGCCTACACAGTAGCCAAATCTTTGAAACTCCTTTATAGACTAAAGAAATTCAAATTCCATTCAACAAGCAATTGCTGAGGATACAGTAAGCTAAAAACCAGAATATAAAGATGATTACAGGACAGTTTCTGTCTTAAAGGAACTTGGAATCTAATAGGAGAAAGATCAATAAATGAGGTATGTTAAAGTAATAGAAGAATATACAAAATACAGAAGTAATGTAGAATACAGTATTTCTGTTGGGAAAAAGGGAGTGAGTAGGGAAGTGACCCATGACAAAAGAACAGGAAAATATCAAATCAGAGGAAAGAGCAAAAGCATGAAGACATGGGAAAATGAGGTGCATTCAGGAAGATGTAAGAGAGTAAATGGCAGGGCCAGGCGCAGTGGCTCACGCCTGTAATCCCAGCACTTTGGGAGGCTGAGGCGGGCAGATCACTTGAGATAAGGAGTTTGACACCAGCTTGGCCAACATGGTGAAACCCCATCTCTCCTAAAAATACAAAAATTAGCCATGCGTGGTGCTGCATGCCTGTAGTCCCAGCTACTCAGGAGGCTGAGGGAGGAGAATCGCTTGAACCTGGGAGGTGGAGGTTGCAGTGAGCCAAGATAGCGCTACTGCATTCCAGCATGGGCGACAGGGCGAGACTCTATCTCAAAAAAAAAAAGAAAAAGCAAATAGAGTAAATGGCAGGAGACAAAAGGATGTAATCAAATTTGCATTTTAGGAAGACTGTTTTGGAGGTTGAAGAAAGGTGCATTAGTAGTTGTGGAAGAGACAAAACCCAGAAAGATGAGTTATAATGTTACTAAAATAGTCAAGGTGAGAGATACTGAAGACCTGAACTAAATCATTAGCAGAGGAAGTAGAGAAAATTTAATTATGAGATATTTAAGAATCAAAATCTGGCCGGGAGCAGTGGCTCACGCCTGTAATCCCAGCACTTTGGGAGGCCAAGGCAGGTGGATCACGAGGTCAGGAGATTGAGACCATCCTGGCTAACCCAGTGAAACCCCGTCTCTACTAAAAATACAAAAAATTAGCCGGGCGTGGTAGCGGGCGCCTGTACTCCCAGCTACTCCGGAGGCTGAGGCAGGAAAATGGAGTGAACGTGGGAGGCGGAGCTCGCAGTGAGCCGAGATCGCACCACTGCACTCCAGCCTGGGCGACAGAGGGAGACTCAGTCTCAAAAAAAAAAAAAAGAATCAAAATCTAAAAAAGGTCATGATAGCCTCAAGAGCGGGTCTAATCTAACAAGAACAAATTAAATAAATGAGTTAAGTGAAAGTGCAAACAAAGGATTCTAGTAGAAATTTTATGCTGGGCATGGGATTACCCAAGTGAGACCCTTATAATAAAATGTGGTGAATTTGGAGTTAGTGTTTCCATAGTTCCTAGATGGATGACAGTGAGAGATTCTCCTTCAAGTGGAAGATAAAATGCTAATATCCAATGGCATGTACTAACAAAGGAGTTAATGAATTTACCGCATGTGGTCTCTTGGGTCTCAGAATTTGTGCCCTTTGAAGGTAAGCTCACTGGTAGTTTCTCATGGCAGTGGGTGGACCATACATTGAGAAAGGGATAAATGCCAGGCCAGGATTGCCCTGCTTAATGCGCAGAAGGAAATACAAAGCTATCATGTAAACTGGGTGTGGGAAGAGCTTTCTTCCAACAGCCTGCACACTTTGTGAACCCTCCAGTTCAGGTGCAGAATCTAATCATATTGATGAGCAAATTGTGGTACCAGTTAAATTGTACTAATGGATAAAGTTAAGGCTCAAAGACTGGCACCATGGTAATTTTATGGGGCTATCAGACTGGAACAAGCCCAAGAAGATTGAAACGTGTGATATCTACAATGCCTCTTTAATATTCATGCAGCATCCTTTCCTTCCCTTGCTGGACAAATGTGATAATCTTTTGTAAACCTAGAATCATTTACAAGAAAAGCATTCTTTGTTATGCCCAGGCATGCATCCAAAAAGACTGTGAGTTCTAGTAGGCAAGTTATGGAATGTACTAGATATATCTATTACAGTGATTGTCATACTAACAGCCCCTTCTAAGTGAAACTGACCCTACCACAGTCTCCTGAGTAAGGGAATATCCTGAGAAGTTCTATTTTGTACAACAGGACCGTGTCCCCACTCCTAGTTGAGACCAGAGGAGGATATCAGACCCAACAAAGCAAAATTCATAGGCTGGGTAGTGACCTGTGATGTGGATTGGTACCCTAAAACCAAAACAAACAAAAAACAAATCAAAACAAAAACCAACCAACCTACCAACATCCAGAATCCCTGAGCTAATCAGATTCTTGTTTCCAGGTCTCTGAATTGAGAAATGAAAAGATTGAAGCAGTAGGAATGAAAGCTAAAAGGACACATAAGAGTAAGGCTAGAAGACTCAAACCGGCCTGGCGCAGTGGCTCACGCCTGTAAGCCCAGCACTTTGGGAGGCCGAGGCAGGCAGATCACGAGGTCAGGAGATTGAGACCATCCTGGCTAACGTGGTGAAACCCTGTCTCTACTAAAAATACAAAAAATTAGCCAGGCGTGGTGGCACATGCCTGTAGTCCTAGCTACTCCGGAGGCTAACACAGGAGAATTGCTTGAACTTGGGAGGTGGAGGTTGCAGTGAGTGGAGACTGTGCCACTGCAGTCCAGCCCAGGCAACAGAGTGAGATTCCATCCCCTCCCCACCCCACCCCCCCCAAAAAAAGACTCAAACCATGAGGAAGAAAGGTAGTGAAGAGGCCATGAAGTCGAGTATGGGAAGGCTGAAGTTATAGGGAAGTAGGAAGTAGAAGTAAATAAGCAGAAGCTATAGGTAGAAAAAAACCCATATATATATACATATATATATATATACACACATATTTATGGAGTAAAGGTGAGGAGTGAACAAGGTAAAGGGAGAAGAAGGAAGCAGATAGGAAGAAAGTAGGAGAAACATGTGAGTGATATGTTTGCATTAAGACAGTGGTCCTTCACTAGTGCTGTCTTGGATTCCAAATAACTTTTCAGTTACTGTTTTTCTGATATGAGGTCCAGCTCTCCTAGGGTTTTGCTTATGGCTGGATAGTTATCTATATCTTAGTTATTAGGCACATGTGCTCTTACAGTAAAAAACCTATTATTTAAGATAACTCAAATGGATTTCTTTCCCTTAAAATTATTAGGTTGACACAAAAGTAAGTGCAGTTTTTGCCATTATAATTGCAAAACTGCAATTACTTTTGCACCATCCTAATACAAGAGCTTAAAGAGAATAAGTTCAGAATTGAAAAGACATGGTTCAGAAGCAGCAAGTATTAAAGACAAAAAGTCTTTAAGATTCTGATAGCAAAAGCTCAATATGTTAATTAATTAGTTTGGTCATTTATTCATTCAACAAATATTTATTGAACATCTACTATGTGCCAGGCACTATTACGGGTGCTAGGGATATATTAATGACTAAGACCCAGTCTTTGCTCTAATGAAGCTTAATTCTAGTGACTTAGACCATAAACAAATGATCACACAGATAATGTAATGTGATAAATGCCATGACAAAGCAGGATAAGGAGATGGAATGTGATGGATGTGAGTGGCAATGTTAGATAGTGTAGTTAAGAAGGCTCTGCTGGGCACGGTGGCTCATGCCTGTAATCCCAGAGCTTTGGGAGGCCAAGGCAGGTGGATCACGAGGTCAGGAGTTCGAGACCAGTCTGGCCAACATGGTGAAACCCCGTTTCTACTAAAAATACAAAAATTAACTGGGCGTGGTGACACGCACCTGTAATCCTAGCTACTCGGGAGGCTGAGGCAGGAGACCCACTAGAGCCCAGGAGGCAGAGGTTGTAGTGAGCCGAGATCACACCATAGCACTCCAGGTCTGGGAGACAGAGTGAGACTCTATCTCAAAAAAAAAAAAAAAAAAAAGAAAAAAAGAAAAAAAAGAAGAAAAGAAGAAGGCTCTCAGAATTGATGACTTTTTGTTGTTGTTGTTGTTTTACTGAGATGGAGTCTCACTCTGTTGCCCAAGCTGGAATGCAGTGGTGTGATCTCGGCTCACTGCAACCTCTGACTCCTGGGTTCAAGCGATTCTCCTGCCTCAGCCTCCCAAGTAGCTGGGAATATAGGCACGCGCCACCACGCCCAGCTAATTTTTTTGTATTTTTAGTAGAGACGGGGTTTCACCATGTTGGTCAGGCTGGTCTCGAACTCCTGACCTCATGATCCATCGCTTTGGCCTCCCAAAGTGCTGGGATTACAGGCATGAGCCACCGTGCCTGGTTGACTTTTGAATAGACACTTCCATGGGGCCAGGGGATATGCCATGCAGTTACTACACCTGGCATATTGTTTTCATTTCAGATTGCCGCACATTAGTTAGAATATGAACTGTAGCTTTCTCCAATGAGATTAAAAAAAGAAAAAGGAACCCAATGCCATGTCATATGAAAAAAAGTTCAACACATTGGCAATGTTTAGCCTGGAAGAGACAGAGCTTAGGAGGAATGTGATGAATTCCTTCAAAATGTTTAAGGACTCTATGGAAGAAGGACTAGATTTGTTCCTTCTGGACTATAGGGTAAAAGTTACAGGGAGATATCTATTGGCTGATCAAAGGTGAAATCTTTTTTTTTTTAGGTAAAGAAAGATTGAGCACTTGATAGTGAGATTATGGAAGGGCTAGGAGGGACAGACAAACAGACTGGATGACTTAAGATTCTTTCTGAAAGACTTTGATTCTATGACCTTTAGTAATGGTATAATTATTACTTCACAACATCCCATTCCATGGCCTTCTCATTAAGGAGAATGGAATGTGGATGAGGCAGCCATCTCCAAGAAAGGAAGGTAAAGTCCCATGGATCTATTTCCCAATTTATTGCCAAATACTTACTTCCCCAAGGACTTCACTGGTTGAATCCTTCCCCAAACTGGGTAACTTTCTCTGCCATTCACTTCCAAGGGCCAGTAGGCAAATTTAATCAATTACTTAGGAAACTGAACAGGTTTTGGACAAGTAATCTGGCAATGAAAAGAGTGTTTTCCCTCCCAGGGAACGGCTTCCTCTGATTCTGGTTTCTGAGTTCCCACTTCCCCCTCTGACAGGTTTTGTTGCATGATTGTAGGGGAATTGGAACTTAGTCCAGGAACTTGGTCCAAACTTAAAATCCCAAGGGACTCAGCTTACTCCCTCACTCTTCTTCCCTCGTTTCCCTACAGGAAAGTCATCATCAGCACAAACCCACTGAGAACCTCTGGCTGCCCCGCATGCCTCAGAAAAAAAAGTTAAGATCTAAGCTGAAACCAATCTTCCCTTTGATACTGTCGGATGATCCCACATCCAAGCGAGAACAATGGTTTAGGTGAAATCTTGCTTCTTCTTGTACTTGCTTTCTTTCCTATCTTTTCCCTATTCACGTTTCTGGTTCTTTGCCATACAATTTAATGACATATTCTTTGGTCGTACAAAGATAGTAAGACACGACTTTCCCTACATGACCCTAACCTCATTGACACATGAATCAAAGAGAAACAGTCATGCAAAACTAAGGTTTTGCACTGGCAATGGTTTCAAGATTGAGGGGAAATATTCCAAGGTCTGTGCTTTGAAGAAACAGGAAAAAAAAAAAAGTACCCTCAATACAAGTTAGGCGCTATATCACAGGAACCATGTGCTATGAGAACACATTAGACAAAAGAGGTTTTATGTGAAACTACTTACAAGAGCAGCCTATGTGTAGTTTAGAGAGGACAGAAGAGATTCTGGAGTTCCTCCAAAGGTTTACAGTGTTAAGTTCAGAAGCATCCCTTGTCACGGAACAATATTCCTACTTGGCACCAATCAACAGGCTCCTATCATTGTCTTGTCTTCTCTGAGAATGTAGCCAACTTTAAAGTGAATGGTGGGGCTGGGCGCGGTGTCTCATGCCTGTAATCCCAGCACTTCAGGAGGCCAAGGTGGGCAGATCACTTGAGCTCAGGAGTTCGAGACCAGCCTGGCCAACATGGTGAAAACCGTCTCTACTAAAAATACAAAAATTAGCCAGGCGTGGTGGCAAGTGCCTGTAATCCCAGCTACTTGGGAGGCTGAGGCAGGAGAATCGCTTGAACCTGGGAGGCAGAGGTTGCAGTGAACCAAGATCATGCCACTGCACTCCAGCTTGGGTGACAGAACAAGACTTGTGTCTCAAAATAAATACATAAAATAAAATAAAATAAAATAAAATAAAATAAAATAAAATAAAGTGAATAGTTCCATGAATCCCCCTGCCCTAGGATCTACTAAACAAAGAACTTTCTTTGTTAAGGTTTTCCACTGACAATGATTTCAAGAGCGAAGGGAAGTATTCAAAAGTCTACGCTTTGAGGACACAGAAGAAAATGTACCCTCAGCTCACCTTTGCTCCAGTCCATGAGAGAGATATGAGGAAAGATGGTAAGCTCCTCTCTTTCAAAGCAAAGGCTTACTGGACTGAGATTTGGGCTGGAGATACAATCCATGAGGATTATAGATGTGGCAAACTGGCTTCTCTCGTGGTAGTCCTGGAGACTATTTTTCCCTATAGCATGGAAGTTAACAACAAATAGAGGCTCAAAAGGTGCAAAGCTCTGGACCCTGTTTAAATCCTCAAATTTCAAGAAAGCTCTAGCAGTGTTTACTAAGCTATATCACCCAGCACTTTAATAGTTTTTGCCATATTGATGTATTATTTGCTGTTAATTTACTTAGCATTTTTTAAAAGGATTTTTAAAAAATCTTGTCCTAATTAATACTATATCATTGATATCATGGTTTTGATGTACAAATTATATGCTTTTCTGAAACACTTATATCAAATTTATAATAATGAAATTTTAAAATGTTTATCTATGTACCACCTAGAACCACCCAGTGGTATGCATATTATACTTTGAAGAAAAAACTGCTCTAAAAGGGCCAAAGGATAAGTCTGTGTGTCTTAGAGGTACAAAAGTCTCTGGGATTGGGGTAGGGAATGGGGTAGAAGGGGCTTGGAATAAGGTTGTATGGCAGAGGGTACAATGAGAATCCTCCTCACATATTATCATTTATTTAACAGTATTTCAAGGGTTCCTACTAAGTGTCTGACACTTACCAAGCACCAACAATATCACTTTCAATATGTGAAAGAGATGAAACAGATCATAAAAGGCCTTGACAGGCTGGGCGTGTCCGTAATCCTAGCAGTTTGGGAGGCTGGGGCAGGAGGATTGCTGGAGGCCAGGGGCTTGACACTAGCCTGGGCAACATAGTGAGATCCTGTCTCTACAAAAAATAATTTAAAAAAATTTAACAGGGTGTGGCGGCATGCACCTGTAGTCTGAGCTACTTGGGGGGCTTGAGGAAGGAGGATTGCTTGAACCTAGGAGTTCAAGGTTGCAGTTAGCTGTGATTATGCCATTGCACTCCAGCCTGGGTAACAGAGTGAGACCCTGTCTGAAAAACAAACAAACAACAATAACAAGAAATCGAAAATACCACAATGCCTTAAATATTATTTAAATAAAGGTTTGGGTTTTATCCAGTAGGCAGTTTGGACCCAATGAAGAATTTCAGGGCACTGAGTACACATTTGTGTATTAGATATATATAATTGGTGGGTCCTCAGACTTCACCAGCTCATGGTTTTAAGATAAGGTCCATTTCTCCTACTGGGTTTCTCTCCTCAAACAATTCCTGAGACTCCCTAAGGTATCCTTGCCTGTCCCACAAAGCCATTGCAGTGATTGCTCAACCCGTCTGCCAGCCATCCTCAGTCCAAATAGTCCTGATACCGAAGGCCTGGGGTCATATTATACCATCCCTTAACTGGCTTCTTCAGGCTTCTCTGCTCCTGCTATACCTATCTGCCACCACATCCCATCCCATTTCCACCTACTGATGCTCTTAACTCCGTAAATACTGCACAGCTAAAAACAACCTGTGGTATTAAACAAAACTTCATAGATATACAGAAAAGCTGAAGAACAGCAGAGAATGATTGATCTTGCTTTACAAGGGGCTAGTCTTAGGGTCAGCCCCAAATCTGAACTCAGGTCCTTCTACTTCTCAGCAGGTCTCCGGGGCATTACCCACCTTGAGAACCTCTGGGCCTATTATCTACACTGTCTCTGCCTAGGTTCCCAATACCCTTGGGCCAAGGAAGAGGAAGAGGATGTTTCCTTCCCCAAAGCCTGTTTATTTTCACCCCCAGAATAAATGAGTGCAGACTTCTATTTCCTTCAAAGAAAACTCCACCTACAAAGTATGACTTGACCTTTACAAGCCATATAAAGCAAACATAGTAGTTAATAGTACATTTAGTCAAGTCGGAGTTAAATCTTAAATGATACCATATGTAGGATATCAACAGTTCATCTTAAATCTGTATTTCAGGGAAAGAATTTCTCTAGGATGTAGAATGTAATCTAGGTTAGAATTTCTCTAATTTTGCAGGGGCACGATCCTGTTGAGTATAGACCCAATTTACATTTCTAAACAAGTTATGCCAGTGAAGCCAAAGGCAGACAAAGTTTCTTAGCTACACTCTTAGACAAGAGAACAGAAAGCCAGCATACACTCTGAGAAAAAGAGGAACATGAGTTAGGAATGAATGCACGTTAATTTAGTGAGTTTCTTAAGTGTCAATATGGTTTCAGATGGAATCATTGAAAGAAATAGGCTTGAACAAGGAAGACTCTAAACTGGCAATGAATTTTCCACTGGGTTTTGATGAAATGAAGGAATCCAAAAATTATAAAATAGGTTGGGAATGGTATTACACGGTCCAAAATCTACCCTCTAAAGACCAGCCTCTGGTCCCTCCAAGTGCGTCTCCTTTACATCTCACATTAAGTATCCTTCGAGTACTTCTGAAAAGCCACATTCACCAGGGTGCCTGTGCTTTGTCGTAGCTTCCAAGAAGTCAGCGAGTGAAAGGCCAATTTCCAAAGTGATTCGGGAACCACTGACACTCGCATCGCTCTTGGAAGACATGCCCACCAGAACCGCGCCCGGGGAGAGCGCCTTCCGCAACGGGAGGGCCCCGCAGTGGATTATCAAAAAGGCCACGGTCATCGGGTGAACACAGACCCCTCAGTCCTCCCGCCTCGCTCTCTTGAGACTGAGGGGTCCGCAGAAGTCGCCACCCAAATAAAACCACATTCCTGCTGCTGCGGGCGTGGGCTCCCGGGTCGCAAGCCGGGAGGGTCGAGCCGAAGTCTCCGGCGGGCCGCAAGAGGAGAAGGGGGCGTGGCTGCGTCCCGGGGGCCGAGGGCGGCCGGGGAGGGCGGGCCTTGGCCCCGAGTGAAGGCGCGGCGGCCCAACCGGCGTGAGAGCGCGGGGCCGGCCTTCCTGCAGCCTCTTCCGCTCGCCGGCTGCGGCGCCTGGGACGGTTGCGGTGGGTCTGGGCGCTGGGAAGTCGTCCAAGATGATTAAAAAATTCGACAAGAAGGACGAGGAGTCTGGTACGCGCGGGGCTTCCGAGGCCCACCCTCAGCCGCGGGACGCCCCTTCCCCCGCCCGCCGCCACCTGCTTTCAGGCCGGCGGGGCTGGGGGCGTGGGCGCCGCCGTGCCAGGGGGCCGGAGCTGGAGCCGGCCCCTCCCCTCCCCTCGCGGCTGCCCGGGGCCTGCCCGTAGCCCCTCCCCCGGGCGCCGGAGCCTCCCTTCGGGCCGCGCGCTCCCGCCCCGGCGCCCGCGCGCGCCCCGTTCCCGCCCCTCTTGCGGCGCAGCCCCTCCGAGCCGCCTCCTCCCCTGCGCGCGGGCCTCCGGCGGGGGCCGAGGGCGTGCGCGCGTCTCCGCGTCCAGGGGTGCTGGTAGGGTCGGACCCCTAGTGGGAGCACCCTGTTCCCGGGGCTGGGGTCGACGGCACAGGGTGTGTGTGGAGGAACGTTCAGGTGCCTGGTACCTTATCGTTTTCCTGGGGTCACCGGCTCTGTCCAGGTCCCCGGGGGCAAGACTGTCCCGTGGGACACAGCTCGTTGAATGCTCAGGTGTCCAGAAGTGACCTGCGTCTTGATGCCCGTCTTTGGTCCAGAGCAAATGGGGAAGATGCCAAGCATCCTCAAAAAGAAAAAAATTCTCAGTGTTTGGTAGCATCTCCCACAGTGTGAGAGGGGGTTGGGTTAGTCAACCTCCATGGCCTCTTGCACCTTTACGCCTGCATGATTCTCTGGGAAACTTCGTTTCTGCCTCTCCTTAAGTGTTAGAAACACATAAAATACTGCTTACCTAAGGAAATCAAAAGCACCCTACTACAATCTCATTAATCTTCGTTGTTGTGGAAATGACACATTTTTAACATTCATGGAAAAAGAGGGCAGGGAAAGAAGACACTCATTTTGGAGAGGGTTGCTGCGAAAGAGAAGTCTCAGCTCTTCGAGTATGGCAGTGACAGAGCCGGGATCAAAATGATTTCATTCAGTTCGTATGCGTATTAGCCATGATTATCACTGTGCCATCCAAGTGTTCACTTCCCAAGCATTCAGTACCCTTCTCTGGAAAGTATATAAGTTTGTGTAGAACAGCTGTTCAGGACATTTTTTTGTTTTGTTTTATAAATAGGTAGTGGCTCCAATCCTTTCCAGCATCTGGAGAAGAGTGCTGTTTTACAGGAGGTATGACTGGGAAGTATCTTGTGCCCTTTCTTTTCTATTCTGTTTTAGAGTGGTGGGCAGAGAATCCCTGGGCTGCTGTGATCACGACATGCAAAACAAGAAACGTAACAGAGTTTAGGGAATATAGATTTGAGGGAAAAGAAAGAGGGGTTACTTGTCACAGGAGAATTTGGAGCTTATAGAAATGCAAAGACATGAAGACTGTCACAGGTTGGGAATTTTAAATGTAAGAACAGGTGTTTAGTGCAAGGTTATTGAAATCAGTTATCTGTATTAATCTCATTGTATTAGTATGATATAGATAAGTATTGTGATCCTTATTTAACTGGTATAGCCCATAAAGTTGAAGTAGTCAACCTAAGGGAATGAGAAAGTATAGGATGGAAAATCAAGGCCACGTGTAATAATTTATCAGATACCTTAGTAAATTGAGAACTATAGACAATGTTCTTTGGATACCGTGATTAAAAATAGTCTGTATTAAAGTTGATTTGCTATAATCTGTGATAGAAAAGGTAGAAAAGTAGCAATGTTTTTTATGTTTTTTCATAGGCTCGTATATTCAATGAAACTCCAATCAATCCAAGAAGATGTTTGCATATTCTTACAAAGATTCTTTACTTACTGAACCAGGTATATTATTTTTATTTTCCTCAGATAAGTGTGTCCTGGAATAGAAATACTGAAGATTCAGTGAAATACTTTCTGGAAAGTATATTTATTTATTTTAAATTCACTTAATTTTAACATATACAACGTTTGGTTAACAAAATAATATGTAAAACTTGAGTACGAGGACTATGACATATACAGGTTGAGTATACCTTCTTTGCAATGCTCGGAACCAGAAGTGTTTTGGATTTCAGATTTTTTTGGATTTTGGAATATTTGCAGAATACATACTCACTGACTATTGCTAATCTGAGTATCTGAAATCCAGAATGCTCTGATGAGTGTCTCCACTGAGTGTTATATTGGCACTCAAAAAATTTCTGATTTTGGAGCATTTCAGATTTTGGATTTTGAGATTAGAGATGTTTAACCTATACTTCCTTTTTATTCATGAGATCCTAAACCAGTGATGCGCATAGTAGATTCTCAATAAATCCTTTGGTTTCAATTTAATGAGTACTAGTTAGAGCATGTTGTTTACATGTATTTGGAGATCTTCATGTTTTTCTGAAAATACAGTGCAAGATCAGGCAAATTCCAGATATTTTCTTTTTTATGTGTGTAATGATGTTTTAAAGCTTTGATTGTTAATATTCAGATTTTATATTTATTATCCCTATGCTACCATTACTAGCAGAATAATTCTGGGCAGTAGCTTAACCATTTTATGTGCCTTGATGTCCTTTTCTCTACATGGGGATTATGATAATACCTGTTACAGAGTTGTAATGACTAAATGAGATAATTAGTGTAAAGCACTGAGAATAGTCCTGAACATACAGTAAGCATTCAGGAATAGTTTTCCTTCCGTCATTCAGCAAATATTTATTGCGTAGCTGCTGTGTGCTGTGCACTGTTTTAGGTGTTGGGGATATAGCAGACAAACCAGCAAAAATATTTGCGCTCATGAAATGTAGATTCTGCTTGCTGCTGTTGTTATTAATTTTTCTTTTCTTTTTCTTTTTTTTTTTTTTGCCCCAGACTTAAAAAAAACTCATGAAATGTCTAGGGCCTTAGAAAATATGATTTTGTTTCATGGATTCATATTCCCTCAGTATCAGTGGGGAATTGGTTCCAGGACCTCCATTGGATACTAAAGTCCATAGATGCTCAAGTCCCTCATACAAATGGTGTAGTATTTGCATATAACCTACACATATCCTCCCATATATAAGTTGTCTCTGTGATTATAATACTTAGACTATAATCTCTAGATTACAATACCTGGTGCAATGTTAGTGCTGTGTAAATAGTTGTTGTGCTGTATTGTTTAGGGAATAATGACAAAAAACCATCTGTACGTGTTCAGTACAAACATAGTTTTTTTTTTCCTTGAATATTTTCAATCTGAGCCTGGTTGAATCCACAGATTCAGAACTCATGGTTATGGAGGGCTGACTATATATGTCTATACACATACAGACGGACACATAAAACATACATATATACCATATACCTCAGGTGGTTTACATATGGTGCTAAGATAACCATGGTTTCCAATTTGAATTCTAAGAGAATATATTATCTTTACTTTGTTTTGTGACTGAAGACCTCACTCAGAGATTTAATAAAGTTTTCTTGTTTACAAATGAAGACTAAGCAACAAGCACATAGATTTTTTTTATTTTTTGAGATGGAGTCTCGCTCTGTTACCAGGCTGGAGTGCAGTGGCGCAATCTCGGCTCACTACAACCTCCACCTCCCTGGTTCAAGCAATTCTCCTACTTTAGCCTCCTGAGTAGCTGGGATTACAGGCATGCACCACCACGCCTGGCTAATTTTTATATTTTTAGTAGAGACGGGGTTTCACCATATTGGCCAGGTGGGTCTCAAACTCCTGACCTTAGGTGATCCGCCCACCTCAGCTTCCCAAAGTCCTGGGATTACAGGTGTGAGCTACTGTGCCTGATCATCAAACACATAGTTTTAAATAAAATATATCTGTTCACAAACAACATAATCCCTCTGTGTCAGCATATGAGAAACATTTAAAGCATAGTCAATTGGGTTTAACTTTTCATAGCACACATTGTGTCTAAGTTGGCCAAATCCATTGTATAAACAAAAGTTTTGAATAGTCAAAGTTGATTGAGAGTAACATGTATTTTTATGTTGGTCATTACCTCTTCAATGAGGCAACTCATGTTGAAACATTTAATTATCTTGATAAGGAAATTACCAAGCACAGCATAAACACAATTAACTATATAAACAGGTTTGGGAACATAAATTTTATCTCTTTGCCTAGAACTTGGTAGAGCTTTATAGAAAGATACTTTTGAATTTCTATGAGAGTTGACATATCCATGTGTTTTCTGAGTTTCAAGTAAAAAAGTAGGATGTAAGGTTTTCCTGTATAACTAAAAAGCACACAGACTTCTGGGTATTCAGTAAATAGTTGTGAAAGAAAGATAAATCTCATGCTGATGAGCAGGCTGGATACACTGATTTAAGTAAGTATAAACTTATTGTACTTTGTCTTTTATCCTAAACTGTCAGTATTTTTCACCAAAATTTATTCTTATACCTATGGCAAATAGATTGAAGACTAGTTATATTTTATGTGGAATCTGAAGCTCTGAAAAGTGATTGAGTGTAACGTATTATATAAGATTGCTTTTAGTGAAGACATTAAATATTGAAATGGTAATATTTGAGGTAATCTATGATTTGAGATGTTTTGAAATACGTTATCTAACACTTTTTCACTGCTCAGAAAATGTAGTTCCCAGATCAGCATTTGCATCACTTGTTAGAAATGCCAAATCTCAGGCCAGGCGCAGTGGCTCAAGCCTGTAATCCCAGCACTTTGGGAGGCCGAGGCAGGTGGATCACGAGGTCAGGAGTTCAAGACCAGCCTGGCCAACATGGTGAAACCCCGTCTCTACTAAAGATAACAAAAAATTAGTTGGGCGTGGTGGTGCACACCTGTAATCACAGCTACTTGGGAGGCTGAGGCAGGAGAATCACTTGAACCCAGGAGGTGGAGGTTGCAGTGAGCCAAGATTGCGCCATTGCACTCCAACCTGAGCAACAGGGTGAGACTCCGTCTCAAAAAAAAAAAAAAAAAAAAAAAAAAGAAAAGAAATGCAAAATCTCAGGCTTTACCCCAGAGCCACTGAATCAGAATCTGCATTTTGGCAAGATCCCAGGATGAATTGTCATGCTCATTAAACTGTTTGAAGCTCTGATCCAAAGCATGTTTTTAGGGGCTTGAACCAATATTGAGCTACATAGCAGCCCCTTAAGCCTAGTTTTTTAATATGATGAATCTGGTTCCTGCCCTTTTGGTTGGTCCCCTTCTTGCCATTTTGCTGAGATTCTGAATAGATAGTTCCTTATATTTTAATATTTATTATGCTCCCATGACATGTTAGGCATTGTGCTGGGCATTATAGATATGATCTCTGCTCTTAGGCAGTGTAATAATAATGTCCTATTGTGAGTGCTGTAATTTTCTCCCTCCTTGTAAACTACAATACTTCAGGAAAATTTCAGATACTTTCTACTAAAAGTTTAGAGATCACTATGCCAGAACTTTTAAGCATGGTATGCGATACTGAATTATTTTAAATAAGGGGGGATAAATGGCTATGTGGGTTTATGCATTGAAAGCCAGAAAAATTGCAGAGGCAGAATGTTTACAAAGAGATTCTTTTTTCTTGAGTTCTAAAGGATTTTTGCAGAAATAGAAAATCCTGTGTGTGTATATGTACATATATATGAATATACACTTTTTAAAATTTAAAAATTGTTTTAAATTTTACTTAGGGTGAACACTTTGGAACAACGGAAGCTACAGAAGCCTTCTTTGCAATGACGCGATTGTTTCAATCTAATGATGTAAGTCTTTTTAAATTTTTTTTACGATGAAAAACCTCCTTTTATTTATTTTCCCCAGGGAACTAAGAGTGTTCTAAATTAGGGAGCATTGCTTGAAATGTTTTAAATTATTTAACTGCTTATAAAACTTATAAATATTCATTATAAGACGTGAAAATGGAAGAATTAAAGTATGCAGTGTAAAACTTTTCCCTGCAGATCTACCGTGAAGTCATAAAGACTGTTAATACCTAGCTTCTGGCATGACACTGTGAAGGTGGACTGATAAAGAAGTCAGTGCACATAGCTACCACATTTGTCAGTTCTTAGTCAAGTTTCTGGTGGGCCTGGGATTGCTGTTAGTCAGCAGTGCTGGCAGTTGAGAAGAAGAGCTGGATGTGGAGTGGGGAAGGGGAATAAGGAATAGAATAAGGAAAAAGAAAAATGAGTACAAACTAAACCTGCCTCTCATTACCTTAGGCCACCCTGACCTTCAGAACATACAGCTGCTGCTTTTTGTCTGTCTTCTAAGTGTTGTGTACATTTTTCTTTTGCCTAGCTCTAAGGCAGAACCATACAGGGAAGGTAATTCTGGGATATGTATTTTCCAGCTTTCCATTAACATAAATTGGCCAAATCCTGCAGTTTTTTGGTATGTATTGCATATCATCACATGTCACATTTTGTGTCAACCCCCAGAACCTCTTGAGATTTGAGTCTTGTTATGGATCTAAATAATGAGAGGTTTTAGGAGTAGATCTTCAGGAAGATCAGCAGTCCCCTGTAAGGCAGCTGTTTCAGGGGAGGCCATTATATACTCTACAGGCAAAGGAAGACTAATTTCCTCACATATGGGATAAAGGACTGATGCTTCTACTAGCAGAAGATGTCACAGAATTTAGGAGTTCGGGGTACTTGGCTTCATCAGAGTCTGTCCATATATCTTCATTCTACTTTTCAGGGCCCCATTCCTTGCCAGTCAAGGTCCTAACTTTAACATAAGATGTCCTGCAAGAGTGTGAATTCAATTTGCATTGTAACTGAGCCACCTGCAGGATATACTTTGTAGAAGTCTCAGCCCTGTAGCCACATGATATAAGGCTTTCTATGAAGGCAGTTATAGATTTCTGGCCCCCTTACCCAGATTTGAGTAGTGCTTTTAAAACTCCGAGCTCATCATTTTCTTTTCCTGAGAAAAGAATTATCCAGTGTACCTAGAAACAACTAATTAACCCATTATACAACTTATTTTTACTAAAATCTTCTATGGCATCCACTAGTTAGTTACCCAAGGCTTTGTCTTCTGTAGGTCCTTGTCTGCAGATGATGATTTTAAATATTTTGCCACTGCATGCTGTGGACTACTAGTAGCCCCTTTACCATTGGAAACTGGTCATTAATACCTTCAATCAAATCAGAGAAGCAACTTCAGGTTCATATCTTTAAGGACTTCTTTTAACCACTTCCTGTAGCAGAAATTCAGGGTTCAGACAGGGAAACAGAACCACTATGAGTATTGTGGAATTAGGTGTTTATTAGAGGAATTAGACTAGAAAACTAGGCAGGTTGAGCTGCTGGAGTAGGGTTCAGAGGGAGGCTGTTACATAAGTCATGGAAGGCTATTGCCTCTTTTGTGGCTTTGTTTTTGCAGCCAGGTGTCTTCCCAAGGCTGCTGTTACTCAGAGGGCTGGCAGTTGGGAAGAAAAGCTGGACATGTAGTGGAGAAAAGGAAGCAGAGTAAGAAAGAAAAAGGATGAGGACAAACTTTTGAAGCCTGTAGCACAGAGGTTTATATTAAGAAAAGAAGATATGAAATTGTCTTCTAGGAAATGGATTAGGGAAATGTAGGATTGTTCGATAGGACTAATAGCCTGTTGAAGTTAGTGCTTATGAATTTAAAGTATTACCAATGTTTTTCTCCAGCTACATGGTGAATGTTTTTCTCCAGCTACAGCCTGCAGGTTAAAGCACTGAAGGCTTAGAGATAGGATTTAATCAGGATTGAAGTTTTGCCAGGTTAGTGAACAGAGGGAGAAGCAAAAAAGTTGAGTGGTTGGAACATCGACTGTGGAATCTTCGGTTAGGAGGGAAGCAAGAACGGGCTGACAGGGACAGCAAAAAGTTGGTAGAACCAGTGGATTGTAGGTCAAGAGAGAGTGAAAGAAGTTTGGAGTCAGGAGTGTGAGTGCTTGGGAATGAAATTAGAAAGGGATGCTGTTACTGATAGGCTGTGGCAGTGGGTGATCATTGTAGGGAGGATGGCATCATTGGAGAAGAGGAGGTCGAGGAATGAAGAGGTCAGAGGTTTAGAGATACCATCTGTATGGATATTAAAATCACCAATACTTATTACTGGGATTGCACTGGAGAGACAGTGAACAAGGTACTGGTATTTTTTAAAAATAAGGGAAGTGACCTGGGGTTTAATGGACAACCAGCAATGGTAGCAGGTGACATAGTATAAAGGCATAAGCTTCCCCACCTGTAGGCCTGGTGGTATGAGGGTTATGGGAGAGAAAACAGCTGCTATTTCAGAGGGTTGCAGGAGGATCCCTGGGAGAGAACCAGGTTTCAGTTAAAGAAAAAGATGGGAACATTCAGAGAAGAGTTTGAGAATATAGGGGATTTTGCTGATGAAAGTGTCAGAGAATATAATGGCGCTGATTAGAAGGGTGGAAAATGGAGTCAGACGAGGTGCTGTACCCAGATGCAAGGAATAAGTCTGCAGGTTATGAATAATGACCAGAGTATTTTAGGCTTTTTGTAGTGACTGAGGTAAGTAGCCATGTACAGCATGATGTGATTAGTTTTAATGATTCCTTAGGCAAAAATACGGAATTGAGGGAGTGATTGTTTTGGGACAAAGAGAGGTAGAGATTTTGCCAGAAATACGTGGAGCTCCTTCCGTTACCAGCATTCCTTTACCAGAAGGTAATTACTGTCTTGAAGTTGGTATTCTTCTATCGTTGTTTATATTAATATATGAGGATTACATAGTTTACATCTGTAATCAATACTTTGCATTTTTGTGTGTCTTAAAATATAAAAATAACATCTTCTTCTTTTGCAATGTTGTTGTTGTTGTTTTTGAGTTGTCGCCCAGGCTGAAGTGCAGTGGCGCGATCTTGGCTCACTGCAGCCTCCGCCTCCCGGGTTTGAGCGATTCTCCTGCCTCAGCCTCTGGAGTAGCTGGGACTGTGGGCACGTGCCACCATGCCTGTCTAATTTTTGTATTTTTAGTAGAGACAGGGTTTCATCATGTTGGCCAGGATGGTCTCAATTTCCTGACCTCTTTATCTGCCCGCCTTGGCCTCCCAAAGTACTGGGATTATAGGCCTGAGCCACCACACCCAGCCTGCAGTGTTTATAATTAATACATTTTTAAGATTTACTGGCTTGTTACATGTACTTCTACTTTATTTACTTTCACTACTATATGGAATTCCAATATGTGAATATACAGTAATTCTATTTATCCATTCTCCCATTGGTAGATATAAGTTGTTCCCACATTTTACCTATTACAAATGATACTGCACATAATGTTTATGTACACAGTGAGACTTTTTCTGGAGTAGATACCTACAAGTGGAATTTCTAGATAATGCTTGTTTGTTCGTTTTTTTTTTTTTTGAGACGGAGTCTTGCTCTGTCGCCCAGGCTGGAGTGCAATGGCATGATCTCGGCTCACTGCAACCTTTGCCTCCCAGGTTCACGCCATTCTCCTGCCTCAGCCTCCTGAGTAGCTGGGACTACAGGCACCCGCCACCACACCTGGATAATTTTTTGTATTTTTAGTAGAGACGGGGTTTCACTGTGTTAGCCAGGATGGTCTCGATCTGCTGACCTTGTGATCCGCCCGTCTCAGCCTCCCAAAGTGCTGGGATTGCAGGCGTAAGCTACCGCGCCCGGCCTAAGCATATTTTCATGTACTTATTTGCCATCTGTATATCTGCTTTGATGAAGTGTCTGTTAAAATTTGTTACCACTTAAAAAAATCAGGTTGTCGGCTGGGCCCGGTGGCTCACGCCTGTAATCTCAGCACTTTAGGAGGCTGAGGTGGGCAGATCATGAGGTCAGGAGTTTTAGACCAGCCTGGTCAACATAGTGAAACCCTGTCTCTACTAAAAATACAAAAAATTAGCTGGGTGTGCTGGCAGGCACCTGTAATCCCAGCTACTTGGGAGGCTGAGGTGGGAGAATCACTTGAACCCAGGAGGGGGAGATTGCAGTGAGCTGAGATCGTGCCACTGCACTCCAGCCCAGGTAACAGTGCAAGACTCCGTGTCAAAAAAAAAAAAATCAGGTTGTCATCTTACTGAGTTATAAGTTTCTTTATGTATTCTGGATAGAAGTCCTTTATCAGACAGATGTTTTGTAAATATTTCCTCCCAGTCTGTGGCTTGCCTTTTCATTTACTGGACTATTATTTTTTTTTTAAGTGTAGTTTTACATGCGGTAAAATTCATCCTTTTTAGGGTATCATTCTATGAGCTTTGACAAACACATATAGTGGTGTTATCACCACCACAATTGAGGTTTAGAACATTTCCATCTCCTCAAAAAGTTCCCCCGTGTCTCTTTATCATCTGTTTCTCCTTGCCTCCCTCAGCCCCTGGCAATCTATCTCCTTTCTGTCCTTATAAATTTGCCTTTTCCAGGAAGTCATATGAATGATATCATACTGTATGAAGCCTTTTTTGAGTTTCTTTTCAGTTACTTAGCATAATGCATGTGAGATTCATCCATATTATTGTTTGTATCAGTAGTTTATTTTTATTTTGTCGTCGTATTCCATTGAATGGATGTACCTCTGTTTATCTGTTTGCCAGTTGAAGGATATTTGGCTTGTTACCAGTTTTTGGTGATTATAAACAACATTGCTATAAACATTCATGTTTTGATTTTTGGATGAACATACATTTTTATTTCTTTTGGATAAATGCCTGGGAGTGGGATTGCTGGGCCATATGTAGGTATGGTATGTTTAACTTTGTAAGAAACTACCAACCCATTTTTCTAAAATATTTGTAATCATTCCCGCCATCACTGTATGAGAGCAGCAGTTTGCTCTGCATTCTGGCCAGCACTTTGTATTGTCGTTTTTATTTTTGTTTTTAATTTTAGCTATTCTGATAGGTGTATAATGGTATCCCTTTGTGACTTAAATTTGCATTTTTCCAATGACTGATGATCTCAAACATCTTTTCATTTGTATTTTTACCTTCCGTATATCTTCTGTTGGTGAAGGATTTGTTAATATCTTTTGCCCATTAAAAAAATTGGATTGTTTATTTTCTTATTATTGAGTTTTAAGAGGTCTTTATGCATTCTGGATACAAATCCTTTATCAGATATGTTTCACAATTATTGTCTCTCAGTATATGGCTTATGTTTTTATTTTGTTAAAGTCTTTCAAAGGGCAGAAGTTTTAAATTTTGATGAAGTCCAGTTTATCAAATTTTTTTCTGTTACAGGTGATGCTTTTTATGTCATATCATAGAAATCTTTCCTTAACCGAAGGGGACAACGATTTTCTCCTGTGCTTTTTTTCTGGGTGTTTGTAGTTTTATATCAATTACCTTATGATCCATTTCATATTGATTTTTGTATATGGTATAAAGTAATGGTTGGTTTCTTTTCACCTCTTTTCTCTTCCTCCATCCACTGCCTCTTCCTTTTCTTCCTTCTTCATTTTCTCAACACATGGTTCTGGAACAATTGAATATCCATATGGAAGGAGAAAGGGGAGGAGGGGGAGGAGATGATGAAGATGATTGAGTTACATTGGCACGTTGGCACATTATTTTGTCTCATTGACCTATATGTCTGTTCTTACTTTAGCTCTATGCTGTCTTGATTAACTATAGGTTTAAAATCTATAGTAAGTTTTATAGTGCAAATCTTTCTATTTTTCAAAATTGTTTTGGTTCTTTTGGGCCCTTTGCATTTCCATATGGATTTTAAATATCTATATTATATATAGATAATATAGAAATATGTAGATATCTAGAAATAGACAAGGTTATATTATATATAATATAATCTTTTTATATAGATATAAAAATGCTGCTGGAACTTTGGTGGGGCTTGCATTAAATCTAAAGAGCAATTTTAGGAGAATGGACATTATAGCACTATTGAGTTTTCTGCTTCACAAACATGGTATATATCCCTTTATTCAAGTCTCTCTAACTTCTGTCTGCAGTATTTTATAGTTTTCAGTGTACAAGTCTTGCACATATTTTGTGAAATTTACCCCTAAAGTAGATAGTATGTTTTGATGCTTTTGTATTTGTATTGTTTATTGGTAGTCTCTAGAATTAAATGAACTTTTATATATTGACCTTTTTCTTGTGATCTCCTTAAATGTTTGTTAGAGTTCACTATTGCAGCTGTCTTCTTAGTGGGAAGGCTTTTCGGGGTTAATTAACTTCATTTAAAAAATGTATATATGATGCCATTCAGGTTATTTGTCTTCTTGAGTGTACTCTGGTAGTTTGTATCTTTCAAGGAATTTCAGTTAAATTGTTGAACTTGGCATAAAGCTCTTCATAATATTCCTCCATTCTTTTAATGTCTGCAGAATCCTTAGTGGTGTCTCTTCCTTCATTCTGATATTGGTAAATTGTATTTTCTCTCTTTTATTTCTAGGAAGCTTGTCTAGGGATTTATAAACTTTATTGATCTTGTCATAGAACCAGCTTTCTGTTTCATTGATTTTTTTAAAAATTAATTATTTTTCTCTTCCAAACTAATTGTGCGAAAAGAAAAAAAAAAGCTAAAAAATCAAACCAAAAGAAGGGGAAAAAAAGAGGAAGAGAAACATAGATCAAATAGGACAAACATAAATCTTATAATGACCTGGTAGATATAGACCCAAATATATCATTATCCACATTAAATGTAAATGAAGAGCACAAAGATCATTTACAAAAAGTTGATTGTATATTGAGCCATAAAGCAAGACACAACACATTTCAAAGGATTGAAATCATATAGACTGTGTTCTTTATTTACAATGGGATAGTGTTGGAAATTAATAAAAAAAGAATAACTAGATAAATTGCCATTTATTTTGATAGTAAGAACATTTTTCTGTTTTGTTTACAGCCATGATAAAGTAAATGGACTGGATTTACCCTGCTACTATAAATACCTAGAAAATCAAACAAAATTTATGACATAACAGTTTTCAGATATTGGATAATAGGCATCCCAGGACTGTGATCTGAAGAAGGGAAACTAGGTCAGCCCTAGGATTGTACTAGATCATGGCCCAGAAACAGATTACAGGCCTAGTTCTCTCTCAGAGTTGAGAAAACGAATGGAGGTTGGGAGCCAGGAAAGCTCGAATTTATGAAGCAGAATACCAAAGAAGAAGGAGCTGGAGAGAAAAAAGAGGGGCGGGGAGAGAAGGAAGGAGGAGAGGGAGGGATTCCATGATCTGTTGAGGACTATCCCTGGAGTCTTTGGTTAAGTAAAAACTGATCTGTGTGTGTAAAAAAGGAAACTACTCAAAGCTAAGGAAAGAATCCGAAAAACACAGAACTCAGAATAGTTTGTATTCCCACCAGTGAGAGTGGAAAGACCTTCTATTGCATAAGACATCTGGTATAGTTCTCAAAAGGAAACCATTCATAAGTAATTATTACCTAAGTAATGGGAATATACTATAACCTTACACTAAAACTTTAAAAAGCCTGTAAGTAAGCCTCAAAGTGAAAAAAAAACAAACAAACTAGTCCTGGTTAACCTTCCCTCACGACAGAATAGAGTTCAATACTATTTAAGATCATACACCAAAATAAACTTCACAATGTGCAGCATCTAATAAATGATCAGATATGCAAATAAACAGGAAATATTATCTATAAACAGGAGAAAAATGGATCAGCAGACACAAACCCAGAAATGGTAAAGGTGATGGAATGAGCAGATGATGTCATTAAAACAACTATTAACATGATCTATATGCTTAAGTTGTAAAGAAAGGCATAACAAGAATAAAGCATAAAATAGGAGAGATACAAAGAGATCCAAATACACTTCCCAAAAATTAAAAAAAAAGAAAAGAAATATATAAAATGAAAACTACACTGCATGGGGTTAATAGCAAATTAGAGATGTAGGACAAACAAACAAACAAACAAAAAAACCCAGGGTCATTGAAGACAGCAGTAGAAGTCCAAAATAAAGCAGAGAGGAAAAAAAGACAGAGTAGAAATAAACAGAGCATCAGCAACCTGTGGGGTAATACTTTGGAAGTTTTTTTATTGTTTATATTCAAAATTGCAATGGGTTTTTGACTTATCAAAATCAAATACTCATCTTTGTGTTTTCCCTACTCATGGGAAATTCGAGAGTCTTAGGATACTCTGATTCCTTATACGTATATGAGTATATCAACATATGTGTATATATACATACACACGTGCACATTTACATTAATATATTCTATGCCATCATTTTCTTGTGAGTCTTGTTTGCTCATTGTGACTTACTCCTGTCTTTAGCACTTTTTAAAAACTCTTCATTCCTTGCTCTATTTCTGAGTTACTCTGGAATGATTTTCCTTGTGCTTGAAGAATATACCTTTTAGAACCTCATTTTGGTAGATGTTAGATACTATATTCCATGCCAGTAAGATCCTTCTGTGGCTGTGAATGTTTGGTTGTCTTCATTTCTAGCATCTGTGAATTTCTCTTTATTTTGTCCTTGGCTACACATTTAAAATTTTTGTTCTGATTTTATTCAGCATTTCTGTGTATTTGTTTATGCAGTATGTTTTAGTGGTTAAGAGCACATTTTTGGCCAACATTTTGTGTTGTTTGTCTTTTGAATTTTCACCATTTTGGTGGGTGTGAGGTAGTTTCTGAAACGTGGTTTTAATTTTTCATTGGATAAGTAATTTTCATTTCCCTGATGACTAATAATGTTGAGCCCCCATTTTTTGTGTTTTAATGAAATTTTTTTCGTATCTCTAGTTTTCTTCTGCTTCTCACAGAACTTTTTTTTTCTTTAAATTGGGGTGGGGTGTTCCTGAAATTTTGATTCTTATTTTTTGTTTTCTTCTCATAGTAGCTTTGATCTGCCCCATGTGTGTGCCTATACTGGCTTTCTGTGTGTGTTTTTTTTCTGTTTTTAATCACCACGAGGATCCTCACTCTCTTTTCTTTCCTTAATGGGTTCAGTAGTATCAAGGTTTTCTCCATAGCTTGGACTCTGGAGCTGCGTCTGATGTATTTGGGTTTCTCTACTTAAAAGAAATTTGAGGTTACTCAGTAAGGGATGAGGCTGGACAGACTAGAGGAACCTGGTGTCTGGCTGCTGCCCATTTATCCATAGTGTATGAATAAATCAGAGATCCAGTTGAGTCGGGGAGAGTAGGTGGAGCATTGTTAGCTTAGTACTTACTTGGATCCAGGTATTCATCTAGAAATCTCATTTAGGGTTCAGGAGGAAACATTGGTATACACTGAACTGAGGAAAGTGCAGAGTTTGCACATTTTCCAGGAATGAGCCTTTAATTAATACTGTACGCCGTCTCTACTAAAAATACAAAAATTAGCCAGGTGTGGTGGTGAGTGCCTGTAATTCCAGCTACCCAGGAGGCTGCGGCAGGAGAATTGCTTGAACCCCGGAGGCGGAGGTTGTGGTGAGCCACGATTGCGCCATTGCACTCCAGCCTAGGCAACAGAGCGTAACTCTGTCTCAAAAAAACAAAACAAGACAAAACAAAAAACCTTTGTCTTTGGACTCAAGCTATCATAGTCTAAGTTTGTATCTCTCAGTAGAAAGATCCATATAATTGAATTTTTAAGTTTTTACCTATTGTGTCAATGCATCAGTTGTGTTTAGGAAATATTAGTATTCTGAATAGTTTCTCACCCAGATATTAATTTTTTTTTTTGGTAGATGAGACTCTTTTAAAGAATATCTTTCTAAAATATATATCTACTTGGGGTCCTCACTTCAAATAATTTAAAAAACCATTTCCTAATCAATAATCTGTTACCTTTTATAAATGATTTTTCAGCAAACATTGAGGAGAATGTGCTACCTTACCATCAAAGAAATGGCTACCATCTCTGAGGATGTGATAATTGTCACAAGCAGGTATGTAAATGGTCAAAATCTAGGATGAGATACTTATATATTTGCTGTTTGCTTTCTGTTGATTTCATTTTTTGACCATAAGAAAGCCAATAGGAATTTAAAAGAATATAATATCTTAAAGCATTCTTTTCTAAAATGAAGTTTTCATCATGTGAAAGCCATCCTTATCTGATAAAGCAAAGGAAGAAGTTACAAAAGATAATACTGATAGATTTGAGTGCATCAAAATTTTCATAAAAATGGATAAAACTAAAAAGTAAAAGATAACGTGCACTGAAATAAAATATTTACAACAAATACATCAAAGGCTAGCATCTGTAATATATAAAGAACTTTTAAAAAGAAACAAGTGATAATTCATCAAATAACCAATATAAAGGATCTAAACGTCTTTAGATAGTCGTTCTCACTAGTAACCAAAAAACATAAATTAAAAATTCAAGAATGAGGTATAATATTTTTTACTCATCAAAATGGCAAAAAAGCAAACAGGCAGCATTCAGTACTTGTGTAAGGGAGACATACTCTTGTACAAAGGAGACAGAGTAATAAATTGATTCAATTTTTCTAGAAAGTAATTTAGCAACATTTATTGAATAATTGAAAGGCTTTATCCCTTTGACCTAGTAAGGCCACATCTGTGGAACTATCCTTGGAAAATAATCAGACATAACACAGAAAAACTTATATATATTGATGTTTGTTGCAACACCATTTACAGTAGAAAAAAGGACAAACAACTTACGTGTCTACCATTGATAAAATTATTTAATTAACCATATCATCATATTATAAAATATTTTAAAATTTGGAGATATTTTTGAAACATCTGATATAAATAAGTCTTCATAAAGTGCTAAATGGGGGTTGGAGTCAATCTACGTATTCCATATAGTCTCACTTTAAAGAACATTTTATGTGCCAGACATGGTGGCTCATGCCTGTAATCCCAGCACTTTGGGAGGCCGACGCAGGTGGATCATCTGAGGTCAGGACAAGACCAACCTGGCCAACATGGTGAAACTCCTTCTCTACTAAAAATACAAAAAAATTGGCCGGGCGCGGTGGCTCACACCTGTAATCCCAGCACTTTGGGAGGCCGAGGCGGGTGGATCATGAGGTCAGGAGATCGAGACCATCCTGGCTAACAAGGTGAAACCCCGTCTCTACTAAAAATACAAAAAATTAGCCGGGCGCGGTGGCGGGCGCCTGTAGTCCCAGCTACTCGGGAGGCTGAGGCAGGAGAATGGCGTGAACCCGGGAAGCGGAGCTTGCAGTGAGCCGAGATTGCGCCACTGCAGTCCGCAGTCCGACCTGGGGGACAGAGCGAGACTCCGTCTCAAAAAAAAAAAAAAAAAAAAAAAAAAAAAAAAATACAAAAAAATTAGCCAGGCATTGGTAGCACGCTCCTGTAATTCCAGCTACTTGGGAGGCTGAGGCGGGAGAATCGCTGGAGCCTGGGAGGTGGAGATTGCGGTGAGCCGAGATCGTGCCACTGCACTCCAGCCTGGGTGACAGAGCGAGACTCAGTCTCAGAAAAAAAAAACATTTTATGTATATATATAAAAAATGTGGATAGAAGTTATACAGACTTATCTCTGGATAGTTGGGATTGTGGCTGATATTTATTTTCTTTTAAACTTTTTATAATTTGCAAATGTCCTAGAATAAGTATATATAATTTATAGTTCTAAGTGTGTAATGAACATTATTTTTAAAATAGTTGCCTTTTTAATTACTATAACTCATTGAAGTGAATCTGGTTTTGTATAACATAATAAATTGTAGAGGAGGGTGCTTGTGTTTAACCAGTAGTAGTATGGAATGTAGTTTCAATTAGGAAAGCTTTCAGCTGAAAATAACAGAAAAGCAGATGTAAACAGTGACATAAACAAGATGGGAGTTTATTTTTTCTCATATAATCGTAAGTCTAGAGGCTTGGAGTAGCTGGTGTTGGCTCAGTCATTCAGCAGTGTCAGGGTAGTGTCTCTTGAATTCTTTGGACATTCTCCATTGTTGCAAAATAGATGCCCAAATTACTGGCAATGTACCATATTCAAGGCTAGAGGGGTCCTGGGAAGGAAGCCAGGGAAGGCCACACCATCTGCCTCTTTCATCAGGAATCTAATATCTTTTCCCAAGGCAATTTTTAGATTTCACTTGGCACAACTGTGTTATATGACTATCCTTAGGAAGCCAGGAAAGTGAGTATTTAGTATTTTATAGCCCAAGTATTAGGGACAGAAAAGGGAGAAGGGGTTGAAAATGGATGTCGGATTAGTTAACTAATGGTGTCTACCACAAGTAAAAAAACAAACAAATGAACAAAAAAACCCAGAAAACCTTCAGTTAGATTGCTAGATTCACTAATATTTTGAAAATTTTAAAATAAATTAGTTGTTGACTGAGAGTTTTTTGTTTGTTTCTTTTAGCGCTGTCAATACTTGCCTCTGAGTTTTGCTAGGCTACCTTGAATTATGGTGTATTTCTATTAATAGTTCATTTTAAGTGATTAGTAGTTGTGGTAGGCAGGATAATAGTGACCCAAAGATGTCCACGTCCCAATTCCTAGGACCTGTGAATATGTACATTACATGGCAAAAGGGAATTAAGATTGCAAAACAGCAGATAGGGAGATTATTTTGGATCATTCAGGTGGGCCCTTTAAGGACTACACTTCTTAAAAATGGAAGTGGGATGCAGAAGAGGCGTCAGTAAGAGATGTGATGATGGAAACAAGGTCAGAGATGCAGTGTTGCTGGATTTGGAGATGGGGGAAGAGGGCCATGAGTCAAGGAATGTGGTAACCTCTAGAGACTGGAAAAAGCAAGGATTCACCCTTCTAGCCTCCGGAAAGGACTGTAGCCCTACCGATATCTTGATTTTAGCCCAGTGAGACAAGTGTTGGACTTCTAACTTTTATAACTGTAAGATAAAGAAATGAATGTTGTATTTTCCTCTAAGTTTGTGGTACTTTGTTACAGCAGCAATAGAAGACTAATGCAGATTTTGGTACCTGGAAGTGGGGTGCTGCCGTAACAAATACCTAAAAATGTGGAAGTAGCTTTGGAATTATGCAGTGAGCACATCTGGAAGAATTTTGAGGTGCAAGATAGAAAACGCCTAGATTGCCATGACAATAGAAATATGGATGTTAATGACTCTATTAGACTTAGAAAAAAGTGAGCAGCAGGATAGAGAAAACATTTATCATCTTAGAGAATACCTAAATCATTGTGAACAGATGGTGGAAATGCATTAAAGGTGCTGGCTCAGAGGAAAATGTTGGGAATTAGAGGAAAAGGGATCCCTGTTATAGTGGCAGAAAGCTCATCAGGCTTGTATACTGCAATTACATGGAAAGGAGGACTTACAAACAGTGAACTTGGATGTTTAACTGAAGAGATTTCCAAGCAAAGTGTTGAAGTTATGGCCTAGTTATGGCCTAGTTTCTTTTTGCCACTAATAGTAAAATTGAAAGTAGAGAAATAAGTCAAGAAGAGACCTGTTAAACAAAAAGGAACCAGGGCTTGATGATTTTGGAAATTCTTAGTCTACCCAAGTGGCTAAGGGTGCTAAAGTCAGGAGTTTCACGGTCAGGAAAACGTGCTCTAAAGAAAAAGCCAAAGGAGTCACTGCACAACCTTTTGCTGAAACCTCAGAAAGATGAAAAGGTCAGAGCATTCACTCACACAAAACACTGAAGAGATCAAGGGGTGTGACTCATAGATTCCCTTAGCATCTAAGTAGAAGCCAGAAATAGAGATGGGATTATCTAGGCAAGATCTGTGGAGGAGCCTCTTGTCTAATGGAGTGAGTCTCTGTACTTATACAGTAGACCCACAAGGTTTTTGAGAATTCTACGTCAGCAGCAACTCAGAGCTAGAGAGAGAGGATGAAGTGAAAGACTCAAAGAGGAGGCAAAATTCCTCTTCATCTGTGGACCTATGGAATTAGAAAAGAAATGAGAGGATGAAGTGAAAGAAGGCTATCAGAGCCCCAAATTCTATAGGCAGGAAACAAGCCGATGAAACTACTCAGCTTTAAATACACGCTGGTTACCCTTTATGAAAAAGGAAGGAAGACTCTGAGGGCAAAAGGGCAGTCCTGTAGGGTGGAACTGAGAACTTTACAGAATTCTGCCCGTGCAGAGACCTATTCCAGGTTGCCTAACTGGATTTCAGAATTGCTTGGGACCAATGATGTCTTCCCTTTCACTTTCTTTCATTTTGAATGGGAATATCTGTAACTATATCCTACGGCAGTCCCGTCCTTGTATTTTGGGAGCAGGGGATTTCTTTTCTAATTCCGTAGGTCCGAAGATGGAGAGGAATTTTGCCTCAGGATGGATTATACCAAGAGTCTCACCCACACCAAATTTAGATTTTGATAATAAGATTGAGATTTTTGAGTCCATGAGATTTAGATGAGATTTTGGACTTTGAATTGATGCTGCAGTGTGTTGAGACTTTGGGGGGATCTTGGAAGGGGGTGAATGAATGTATTTTGCTTGTGAAATGGACATAGCCCTAATGACACAGTGATTTTAGCCCAGTGAGACTTATGTTGGACTTCTAATCTACAGAACTGAAAATAATAAATTCATGTTGTTTTAAGCCACTAATTGTGGTAATTTGTTACAGCAGGAATAGAAAACTAATATTATAGATGACCTTTCTGTATGCATAGAAAATTTGTTGGCTTGGCAAGAAACCATGGAGATTAAAAAAATCTGAAGGCACATACTTCACAAAAGAATATATGCAAATGGCCAATAAGCACAATGTTCTTAACATTATTAGTCATCAGGGAAATGCAAATTAAAATCTTAGTGAGATAGGCTGGGCACGGTGGCTCACGCGTGTAATCCCAGCACTTTGGGAGGCCGAGGTGGGTGGATCATGAGGTCAGGAGATCGAGACCGTCCTGGCTAACACGGTGAAACCCTGTCTCTACTAAAAATACAAAAAATTAGCTGGGCGTGGTGGCAGGCATCTGTAGTCCCAGCTACTCAGGAGGCTGAGGCAGGAGAATTGCTTGAACCCGGGAGGCGGAGGTTGTGGTGAGCCGAGATCATGCCACTGCACTCCAGCCTGGGCGACCGAGTGAGACTTCGTCTCGAAAAAAAAAAAAAAAAATCTTAATGAGGTACAGCATACCCACTAGAATGGTTACAACAAAAAAGCTTGACAATACCAAAATAAAAAAGCCTATTCCAATATCGAACATTTGGAACAATTGAAACTCCCATACACTGTAGATAGGAATGTAGAATGATACAACCACCGTAGAAAAGTTTTGGCAGTTTCTTATAAAGTTAATTATATACCTGCCCTGTGACCAGTAATACCCCTTCTAGGTATTTACTCAAGGAAAATGAATACATATATGGCCACAAAAAAGACTGTACAAGAATGTCATAACAGCCTTATGAGGGTTCTTCAAAAAGTTTGTGGGAAATGTGTGTTATGAAAAAATATCCATGGAGTTTGTATTAGTCCATTTTCATACTGCTATAAAGATACTACCTGAGGCCAGGCACAGTGCCTCACACCTGTAATCCCAGCACTATGGGTGGCTGAGGTGGGGCGGATCACTTTAGGTCAGGAGTTTGAGACCAGCCTGGCCAACATGGGGAAACCCCATATAAAAATACAAAAATTAGCTTGATGTGGTGGCACACGCCTGTAGTCTCAGCTACTCAGGAAGCTGTGACAGGAGAGTCGCTTGAACCTGGGAGGCAGAGATTGCAGTGAGCCAGGATCTCACCACTGCACTCCAGCCTGGGTGACAGAGCGAGATTCCATCTTAAAAATAAATAAATAAATAAATATATATATACACATATATATATATACATATATATATACACATATATATATATACATATATATATACACATATATATATGCATATATATATATACGTATATATATATACACACACAAACACACACTATCCGAGACTGGGTAATTTATAAAGGAAAGGGGTGTAATTGACTCACAGTTCCGCGTGGCTGGGGGAGGCCTCAGGAAACTTACAATCATGGCAGAAGGGGAAGCAGGCACATCTTACATGGTGGCAAGAGAGAGAAAAGAGTGAAAGCACAGCAAAAACTGCCATTTATAAAACTATCAGATCTCATGAGAACTCACTATCACAAAAACAGCATGGGAGAAACTGCCCCCATGATCCAATCACCTACCTCCCTCAACACGTGGGGATTGCAATTCGAGATGAGATTTCGGTGGAGATGACAGAGCCAAACCATATCAGAATTCAAAATTTTTTTGCACTAAAATATAAACTCATGACTAACTTGTTAATAACATGTCCGAACAGTAACTAGCTTGAGACACTAATACATCCGTTTGAAAATAATCCATTTCAGAGCAACATCAATTCTGCTAAAATTGAAACAAGAACAAACATTACATTTATGGTGAACTTTGGGTAGAAGAATGGTGAAATTATCGATGTGTTACAAAAAAGCATGGCAATAGTGACCCAAAGAAATCAGCAGTTTACAAATGGATAAGTTGTATTAAGAAGGGATGAGACAATGTTAACCATGAAGCCCTTCGTCTTCAGCAGCAGACCATCTACATCAATTTGTAAAACTGATGATTAACAGCAGCAATAGCCAATGTATGGACACCTCATTTGGTTCAGCCTTACCCAATTCTGACTGATAAAATTAAAGTTGAGCAAACTATTTAATGGATGTCAAAACTATTGCATCTAGATTGGCTGCAGGCAAGAGCAGAGCTTTAAGTGGAAGTTTTAAACAAGTGAGATCAAGATCCTGAGACATTTCCTTGAGGAATTATAACGGGAGAAGAAATGTGGCTAGCAGTCCAATCCTGAAGACAAAGTATGATCAAAGCAATAGCTACCAAGAGGTGGAAGTGGAAGTGGTCCAGTCAAAGCAAAAGTGGACCTGTCAAAAACAGGGCAACAGTTTTTGGAGATGCTTGAGGGATTTTGCTTGTTCACTTTCTGGAGGGCCAAGTAATGATAATAGCTTATTATGAGAGTATTTAGAGAAAGTTGGCCAAAGCTTTAGTAGAAAAACACTTGGGAAAGCTTCACCAGAGAGTCCTTCTCCACCGTGACAGTGTCTGTTCATTTGTCTCATCAAACAAGGGCAATTTTGCAAGAGTGTCCGTAGGCATCCACCTTAGAGTTCTTATCTGGCTTCTTTCTTTTGCTTCCTAATCTTGAAAAAAATCTCTAAAGAGCACCCATGTTTCTTCAGTTAATAATGGAAAAATGGGTGAGCGTGGGGGATGTGGCTGGGTGGGTGCCGGGGCTTCACCTCCAAGGCAGTGGCCGGATCATGATTGAGGTGATTGAGCCCCTGGAGCCTCTAGTGCCTGTGGATTTTGGCAGTCTCGAGGCAGTGGTCCGGTTGGAGAAAGACATCATCTTCGCCCATGGGCTCCACCCCATGGACACCGACGGGTGGAGCCCATGGAGTCGGTCCTGGAGGGCAGATGTCTATACCTGAGATCTAACAATGTAGTAGAAGGCAACTGTGCTGAAGAATTACTACAAAACTCCCATTGCGTCGTGAAGGAGTATTTTGTGGCCCCCCAGGTAATATCTCTTTGCCAAAGCTGGATGAACAAGAGCCTTTCTCACACAGCCGAGTAGCTCATTCTGGAAAGGGGGTACTCTCTGAATACGTGGAAGCATGAGGACCATATTTTCTTACTGTGAACACTAATTTTCCTGCTTTTTCCAGTCACCTGAAAAAATGGATGCTTAAGCATTTCTTTTCTTTTTTTTTTTTTTTTTGTTTTTGGGATGAAGTCTCGCTCTTGTCCCCCAGGCTGGAGTGCAATGGTGTGATCTCATCTCGCTGCAATCTCTGCCTCCTGGGTTCAAGCGATTCTCCTGCCTCAGCCTCCTGAGTAGCTGGGATTACAGGCACCTGCCACCACACCCGGCTAATTTTTGTATTTTTAGTAGAGAAGGGGTTTCACCATATTGGCCAGGTTGGTCTCGAACTTGTGACCTCAGGTGATCTGCCTGCCTCGGCCTCCCAAAATGCTGGGATTACAGGCGTGAGCCACTGCGCCCGGCCAGCATTTCTTAATAGCAGACTCTTCTGAAGACAGAATTGGGAAATATCTGGCACCAACAAGGCAATGAGTTCCTGATGCTAACTGAAGTAAAAGGAAAGCAAAAGTCAGCTTCCAAGGAAATAGCTTCCAAGGTATTCACTTAACAGGCCTGTTCAGTATGGAAGACACTATTTATCCCCCTTTAACTCTCGCCAAAGGACTATACCAACTGCATGAAAGTGAACTTTTACATCTACTTAAATGGTAGATGGAGCACCTTGATCACTATGTGACAACCTTGGTTGTCATTTTTAGTTGCTATTTGAATTGATTTGAGCAGCCCTATCTTCACCGGACATACCTGAATTTGTTCCTAGGTACCCACTTTGTTCCTAGAAAAGGGCTAACTTTCTACTATGGTCTGAAGAGTGTTCAAAGTAGACTAGAGCTTGGGAACTCCTAACCTAGAACCATCTGCCATCCCACAAAGTGATTAGATGCAAAAGGGATACTAGTCATACCTAGTGTTTCTCTTTCTGAAAAGAGAACTTATCCTAAAAGTAGCCATGGGCCTGGGACAAAGTAGCCCTTTCCACCCCCAAAATGATTATTAGATTGACGTGAGTCCAAGATTGTGGAGTTTTTTGTTTTTTGTTTTAAAACAGATACCAAGAATAAATGAAACCTATTTAGGGATTCATTCTCTAATTAATAGATTCTAAGTAATAGAATCGGAGAGAGACTTTTTCCTCTAACCAAACTGCCAAAGTTGTTTTTGGCTAAGAATTTCCCAATGATCTTTGCACTGCTGCTCATTTCTTTTATTTTTCTGAGATAGGGTCTCTCTCTGTCACCCAGGCTGGAGTGCAGTGGTGTGATCACAGATCACTGCAACCTCCAACTTCTGGGCTCAAGTTATCCTCCCACCTCAGCCTCCTGAGTAGCCAGGACTACAGGTGTGTATCACCGCCTCCAGTTAATTTGTGTGTGTGTTTTTTTTAAATAGAGATGGGGTCTTGTTATGTTGCCTATCTGGTCTTGAACTCCTGGCCTCAGAGGATCCTCTGACATGCCTTGGCCTCCCAAAGTGCTGGGATCACAGGCGTAAACCACGATGCGTAGCTTGTTACTCATTCTTAAAAGTCTGTGTTTATTTTTCCCATTCCCTTCTTTTATCTGCAGTCCTTCTTTTTTCTTTAAGGCAGCTTAATTTACAAGCTTGGCCTTGAGTTAAAAGAGAACCCCGAACGTTGAAGTTGAAGTTCTCAAACCAACATCAGAGCAACTATCTTAATCCCCATATAAACAAAGTTATCTACTCCTGGCTCCTTAAAAAAATAATAATAATGTAAAAATGACTGCATTGACATGCTTACATTCCCAGCAACTTCAATTGTTTAGGGATGGACTAAATGACTGGTATCATCACTTTAAAATGTGTCTTGAACTTGATGGAGCTATGTCGATAAATAAAATTTATAGTTTTTGTGGGTTTTTTTTTTTTTGAGACACAGTCTCGCTCTGTCGCCCAGGCTGGAGTGCAGTGGCGCGATCTTGGCTCAGTGCAAGCTCCGCCTCCCGGGTTCATGCCATCCTACTGCCTCAGCCTCCCGAGTAGCTGGGACTACAGGTGCCCGCCACCACGCCTGGCTAATATTTGTATTTTTAGTAGAGACGGGGTTTCACCATGTTAGCCAGGATGGTCTCGATCTCCTGACCTCATGATCCGCCCGCCTCGGCCTCCCAAAGTGCTGGGAGCCACCGCGCCCGGCCTATAGTTTTTGTTTTTGTTTTGAGACGGAGTCTTGTTCTGTCACACAGGCTGGAGTGGAATGGTGTGCCCTTGGCTCACTGCAGCCTCCGCCTCCCAGGCTTAAGCCTTCCAAGTAGCTGGGATTACAGCTGTGTGCCACCACGCCCAGCTAATTTTTGTATTTTTAGTAGAGATGTGGTTTCACCATGTTGGCCGGGCTGGTCTCAAACTCCTGACCTCAAGTGATCTGCCCGTCTTGGCCTCCCAAAGTGCTGGGCTTACAGGCGTGAGCTACTGTGCTCAGCCGTTAGGTTTATTTTTTAATTCCATTTTTCCACAGATTTTTTGAAGTCCCCTCGTATTTGTGATAGCCCTAAACTGGAAACATCCCAAATGCTCATCAAAGAAGAAGGAACAAATTGTGGTATATTCATGCAATAGACTATTACTCAGCAATAAAAGGAAAAAATTGCTGATTCAGGCAACAACATGGATAAACTTCTAAAACATTTATGTTGGAAAGAAAACAGACACAAAAGAATATATGCTGGATGATTCTCTTCGTATAAACTCCAAGAACAGCCCCCAAACTCATCTGTGGTGATAGAAGTCAGAAGTCTACTGGGTTAGAGGAAATTGATTGGAAATGGGCATGAGGGAACTTTCTGGGGTGATGGAAATGTTCAGTATTTTTATTTTGGATGGAGGTTACATAGATGATCACAATTGCCAAAACTGATTTAGCATAATATTTCAGTTGTCCATTTTATTGTATAAATTACAGCTCGGTGAAAAAAAAAAGAGATGTAGTTAGTGTCTTAACTAACTAAATGTATATTGACAACCTGATTTTACTGTTCTACTCATTACAAGAAGGCATACCCTTATGTGATGGCACCCACCCAGTGAAAGTCTGGAATTGAGTCCTGAGAGAATTGAGGAATTGAGAATTGAGAGAATTGAGGAATTGAGAATTGAGAGAATTGAGAATTCTGGAATTGAGTCCTGAGGAATGATCCATCACTCACATTAGGAAGTACTCTGGGGAGTGGGCATCAGTATGTGAGAAGTTACGTCCCGGTTTCAGAAAATCAAATGAAAAATTCAAAGACCATGGTTTAGGAAGAAATAAATGGGTTGTAGAAACTGTTATCAGCTAGGCAGTTTTGAAATCAATTGTGCCGATAATGTGTGGATTCGGGTAGGGGGAGAAAGATACTTTGTGCTTCCTAAGGAAACTAAATGCTAAGTTCATCCACTTAGTAAGAAATATACAAGCCCGAAACAACTTTTCTATTTGAATGGTGCAGCTGTTCCTGAATAATTACTTCTGAAGATTTACTGCCAGGAAATGGTTTAGAACAAGAAAATGAGATACTATTATGACTTAACCACCACTGTAGTGAAACTCCTCTCAAAGATTTCCAGTAACTTCTTACTTAGTTAATTTTAAAAGTTAATTTTCTGTCCACATTTTACCTGACCTCTTTCCCAGTTTTAACATGGTTAAATACTTCCTGGAGTTGTACCATCTTTGGCTTTCAGAAACCATAGTCCTGGATTTCCTCTCCTCTTTGATTTCTCCATTTTATCCTATGATAGCTCAGAAGTGGCTGGTTTTCTTCTGCCTGTCATCTAAATATTGGTATTCCCTAGGGTTCATATCAGTGCTGTAGTTCTTTCCCAAACTCATCATGCTCTTTGATACCCTTTATATTTGTACATGCTTCTCCCTGTGCCTGGAATTATTCTGTTGCCTTTTCCACATAGCTCAAATACATGTCATTATAGGTACTGACTTCCTTCTTCTTCTTTCTTGACAGATTAGTCATTGTCTTCTCTGTTGTTCTCTTTTTTTTTTTTTTTTTTTTGAGAGGTAGGGTCTTGCTATGTTGATTAGGTTGGTCTTGAACTCCTGACCTCAAGCAGTCCTCTCATCTCAGCCTCCCAAAGTGCTGGAATTACAGGTGAGAGCCACTACCCCTAGCCTCGGTTGTTCTAACACTTGATTTTTTTTTTTAACCTCTGTTCTAGTATTTTAATATATTGTACTATAATTATTTGCATAGTTTTTCTGCCTTCTGAATTATTAATTCTTTGAGAGAAAGAAACACATATAACTTTGTATCATCAATACCTGGAAAAGTGCTTTGTATTATTAGACATGCAATAAAAGTGTTGCATGAGTTAAAAGATAATCCATTTTCTCTCTTCAAGCAAGGGAGTTGGAATCAGAAGGATTATTTATTTCCCTCTCTACCTCAGGAAAGCACTCACACAGGCAGAAGTGGAGAAAGGTGTGTTAATGTGTGTTGAGAAACCTTTCTGTCTCCTACTTCCCTTCTCTTTTTCCTGCCCAGTTTGCAAGCCAACTTTCCTGATTTATTTGGATTAACACTTATTTTATTTTAAAATGAAATTGGGGCAGACTTTTCAGGAAAGATGATGAAGTGATGCCACGTCTCAAAACTTCCTTCTCTAAAGCCTAGTGAAATGAACAACAGTGAATAAAAGGGAAAGCCAGGAGACTTCTAATTCTAGCCAAGATGAAATAAAGCTACTGGAGCCCATCTTTCCCAGTGATTACAAATAATAAATAATAATAATAATAATAAATAACAACCCTGGACAAAAAAACAAAAACAATTACCTGAAGCCTCCAAATAGTAAATATAGTAGGTGAATTAGGGAGAGAAAACAATACTTAATGAATGACCAATATAGCAACAGTGAGTTTCATGGTTAATTTTCATCTTTATACCTTGAGTTTGACCCAAGGGCAGACTGAATCAGGGAACTATATAGTAGGTGTGGTCAATAGAGACTGAGAAAGAAGCCCATCTCTCTGGCCTGAGCACAGTTTACAAAAAAAAAAAAAAAAAAAAAAAGGTTGGTGGTGACTGCAAGCTGGAGAGCTGGGGGAGAATCCTTGTTTGTTTGTTTGTTTGTGTTTTTCTTGTTTTCTTTCCCGTCCTGAGGTCAGCCCTAGTTGTGGAACAACTTTACTAGGATACGACAGCAATGTTGTGAGCACTTAAAACCCTCGGAAGAAACCTACCACTGAGAAAAGGGACGGCTGTTGGGTGAAGAGTGGGGGAAAAGCCACATCATTATTTTTTCTTTCTATCTTTTCTTACCTCTTCATCATGAAGGTGGGCCCACTTGCATAGTACAGGGAGCTGAAACTCTTGAGAGAACCCCATATTTCTGGCTGACGACCTGGGAAAGGTGTCTTTGACTGCCAGATGGTATGGGAAAAAAGATATGAGGAAAGACATGGAGGAATGGATAATTTACCAAAGCACTACATGTATGGACTATTCCTAAAGAAGCATAGCAAAAGCTTTGAAGTATAAACTGACATTGGAATCAATATGCACAGAAGGCGAGGCAGAACTTGTAATCTGAAACTAACTGGGTTGATTCCTTGCTAAAACAAAAAAGTCAGTAGTCCCCAGAGGCTTTTAATAGGATCCAGAGTCTCATGACATAATCAAAATATGCAGGATACAATCCAAAACCAGTCAACCAGGAAAGGAAATTGATTCCATTGAACCAATGTTAATCTCTACAAGTGTGTCATTTTGGGGTTGGTATCTGTTGATTGGAAAAAACTTGGAAATTTTCAAGGGAAAAGATAATCAATAGATACCCCCAAAATGACCCAGTTGTAGGGATTCTTAAATACTTTAAAGCAGCTACTGCAACCATGTACTATAAAGGCAGACACTCTTGAAATCAATGGAAAGAGGAATTCTCAGCAGTGAGCTATATATACAAAACCAAATGAAAATTCTAGAAATGACAGACTATAATATGTAAAGTAAAAAGATTCATTAGCTCAGACGTGGAGGTGTGGCTGGCAAGATGGCCGAATAGGAACAGCTCTGGTCTCCAGCTCCCAGCGAGATCAACGTGGAAGGCGGGTGATTTCTGCATTTCCAACCGAGGTACCCGGCTCTTCTCACTGGGACTGGTTAGACAGTGGGTGCAGCCCCTGGAGGTCAAGTTGAAGCAGGATGGGGCATTGCCTCACCAGGGAAGTGCAAGGGGTTGGGGAACTCCCTCCCCTAGCCAAGGGAAGCTATAAGGGACTGCACCTTGAGGAATGGTGCACTTCAGCCCAGATACTACGCTTTTCCCATGGTCTTCAAACCTGCAGACCAGGAGATTCCCTCTGGTGCCTACGCCACCAGGGCCCTGGGTTTCAAGGACAAAACTGGGCGGCCGTTTGGGCAGACACCGAGCTAGCTGCAGGAGTTTTTTTTTTCATACCTCAGTGGCGCCTGGAATGCCAGCGAGACAGAACTGTTCACTCTTCTGGAAAGGGGGCTGAAGCCAGGGAGCCAAGTGGTCTAGCTCAGTGGATCCCACCCCCACGGAGCCCAGCAAGCTAAGATCCACTGGCTTGAAATTCTTGCTGCCAGCACAGCAGTCTGAAGTTGACCTGGGATACTTGAGCTTGGTGTGGGGGGAGGGGTGTCTGCCATTACTGAGGCTTGAGTAGGTGGTTTTCCGCTCACAGTATAAACAAAGGTGCCCAGAAGTTTGAACTGGGCGGAACCCACTGCAGCTCGGCAAAGCCTCTGTAGCCAGACCGCCTCTCTAGATTCCTCCTCTCTGGGCAGGGCATCTCTGAAAGAAAGGCAGCAGCCCCAGTTAGGGGCTTTTGGATAAAACTCCCATCTCCCTGGGACAGAGCACCTGGGGGAAGGGGCGGCTGTGGGCACAGTTTCAGTAGACTTGAACGTTCCTGCCTGCTGGCTCTGAAGAGGACAGCAGATCTCCCAGAACAGTGCTCAAGCTCTCCTAAGGGTCAGACTACCTCCTCAAGTGGGTCCCTGACCCCTGTGCCTCCTTACTGGGAGATACCTCCCAGCAGGGGTCAACAGACACCTCATACAGGAGAGCTCCAGCTGGCATCTGGCAGGAGCCCCTCTGGGACAAAGCTTCCAGAGGAAGGAACAGGCGGCAATCTTTGCTGTTCTGCGGCCTCTGCTGGTGATACCCAGGCAAACAGGGTCTGGAGTGGACCTCCAGCAAATTCCAGCAGACCTGCAGCAGAGGGTCCTGACTGTTAGAAGGAAAACTAACAAACAGAAAGGAATAGCATCAACATCAACAAAAAGGACATCCACACAGAAACCCCATCTGAAGGTCACCAACATCAAAGACCAAAGATAGATAAATCCACGAGGCTGAGGAAAAACCAGTGCAAAAAGGCTGAAAATTCCAAAAACCAGAATGCCTCTTCTCCAAAGGATCACAACTCCTTGCCAACAAGGGAACAAAACTGGACAGATAATGAGTTTGACAAATTGGCAGAAGTAGGCTTCAGAGGGTAGGTAATAACAAACTCCTCAGAGCTAACGGAGCATGTTCTAACCCAATGTAAGGAAGCTAAGAACCTTGAAAAAAGGTTAGAGGAGTTGCTAAGTAGAATAACCAGCTTAGAAAGAAAATAAATAACCTGATGTAGCTGAAAAACACAGCATGAGAACATCGTGAAGCATACACAAGTATCAATAGCCAAATTGATCAAGTGGAAGAAAGGATATCGGAGATTGAAGATAAATCTAATGAAATAAAGTGTGAAGACAAGATTAGAGAAGAAAGAATGAAAAGGAATGAAAAAAGCCTCCAAGAAATATGGGACTATGTCAAAAGACCAAACCTACGTTTGATTGGCGTACCTGAAAGTGATGGGGAGAATGGAACCAAGTTGGAAAACACTCTTCAGGATATTATCCAGAAGAACTTCCCCAACCTAGCAAGACAGGCCAACATTCAAATTCAGGAAATACAGAGAATATCACAAAGATACTCCTCGAGAAGAGCAACCCCACAACACATAATTGTCAGATTCACCAACGTTGAAATGAAGGAAAAAATGTTAAGGGCAGCCAGAGAGAAAGGTCGGGTTACTCACAAAGGGAAGCCCATCAGACTAACAGTGGATCTCTCTGCAGAAACCCTACAAGCCAGAAGAGAGTGGGGGCCAATATTCAACATTCTTAAAGAAAAGAATTTTCAGCCCGGAATTTTATATCCAGACAAACTAACCTTCATAAGTGAAGGAGAAATAAAATCCTTTACAGAGAAGCAAATCCTGAGAGATTATGTCACCACCAGGCCTGCCTTTCAAGAGCTCCTGAAAGGAGCACTAAATATGGAAAGGAAAAACAAGTGTCAGCCACTGCAAAAACATACCAAATGGTAAAGACCATTGACACTATGAAGAAACTGCATCAACTAATGGGCAAAATAGCCAGCTAGCATCATAATGAAAGGATCAAATTCACATATAACAATATCAACCTTAAATGTAAA
The DNA here is from genome assembly GCF_000001405.40 of Homo sapiens. Lineage (NCBI taxonomy): Eukaryota > Metazoa > Chordata > Mammalia > Primates > Hominidae > Homo > Homo sapiens. The sequence continues at coordinate 130,636,716 of NC_000007.14, read as the reverse complement.
CTGGCTAAATGCCCCAGTGGAAAGACACAGACTGGCAAATTGGATAAGGAGTCAAGATCCATTGGTGTACTGTATTCAGGAGACTGATCTCACATGCAGAGACACACATAGGCTTAAAATAAAGGGATGGAAGAATATTTACCAAGCAAATGAAAGCAAAAAAAAAAAAAAAAAAAAACCGGTTGCAATCCTAGTCTCTGATAAAACAGACTTTAAACCAACAAAGATCAAAAGAGACAAAGAAAGGCATTACATAATGGTAAAGGGATCAATGCAACAAGAAGAGCTAACTATCCTAAATATATGAAATATAAATGCACCCAATGCAGGAGCACCCAGATTCATAAAGCAAGTTCTTAGAGACCTACAAAGAGACCTAGACTCCCACACAATAATAGTGGGAGTCTTTTAACACCCCACTGTCAGTATTAGACAGATCAACGAAACAGAAAATTAACAAGGATATTCAGGACTTGAACTCAGCTCTGGATCAAGCGGACCTAATAGAAATCTACAGAACTCTCCACCCCAAATCAACGGAATATACATTCTTCTCCACACCACATTGGACATATTCTAAAATTGTCCACATAATTGGAAGTAAAACACTCCTCAGCAAATGCAAAAGAACAGAAATCATAAGAAACAGTTGCTCAGACCATGGTGCAATCCAATTAGAATTCAGGATTAAGAAACTCACTCAAACCATACAACTACATGGAAACTGAACAACCTGCCCCTGAATGACTACTGGGTAAATAATGAAATTAAGGCAGAAATAAATAAGTTCTTTGAAACCAATCAGATCAAAGATACAACGTAACATAATCTCTGGGACACAGCTAAAGCAGTGTTTAGAGGGAAATTTATAGCACTAAATGCCCACAGGAGAAAGCAGGAAAGATCTAAAATCTACACCCCAATATCACAATTAAAAGAACTAGAGAAGCTAGAGCAAACAAATTCAAAAGCTAGCAGAAGACAAGAAATAACTAAGAGCAGAGCAGAACTGAAGGAGATAGAGACACAAAAAATCCTTCAAAAAATCAATGAATCCAGGAGCTGGTTTTTTGAAAAGATTAGCAAAATAGATGGACTGCTAGCCAGACTAATAAAGAAGAGAGAAGAATCAAATAGACACAATAAAAAATGATAAAAGATATCACCACTGATCCCACAGAAATACAAACTACCATAACAGAATACTATAAACACCTCTATGCAAATAAACTAGAAAACCTAGAAGAAATGGATAAATTCCTGGACACACACACCCTCCCGAGACTAAATCAGGAAGAAGTTGAATCCCTGAATAGACCAATAACAAGTTCTGAAATTGTGGCAGTAATTAATAGCCTACCAACCAAAAAAAGCCCAGGACCAGACAGGTTCACAGCCGAATTCTACCAGAGGTACAAAAAGCAGCTGGTACTATTCCTTCTGAAACTGCTCCAAACAATAGAAAAAGAGGGACTCCTCCCTAACTCATTTTATGAGGCCAGCATCATCCTGATACCAAAACCTGGCAGAGACACAACAAAAAAAGAAAATTTCAGGCCAATAACCCTGATGAACATCGATGCGAAAATCCTCAATAAAATACGGGCAAACCGAATCCAGCAGCACATCAAAAAGCTTATCTAGTATGATCAAGTTGGCTTCATCCCTGGGATGCAAGGCTGGTTCAGCATACACAAATCAACAAATGTAATCCATCACATAAACAGAGCCAATGACAAAAACCACATGATTATCTCAATAGATGCAGAAAAGGCCTTTGATAAAATTAAACACCCCTTCATGCTAAAAATTCTCAAAAAACTAGGTGTTGATGGAACGTATCTCAAAATAATAAGAGCTATTTATGACAAACCCACAGCCAATATCATACTGAATGGGCAAAAGCTGGCAGCATTCCCTTTGAAAACAGGCACAAGACAAGGATGCCCTCTCTCACCACTCCTATTCAACATATTATTGGAAGTTCTGGCTAGGGCTATTAAGCAAGAGAAAGCAATAAAGGTATTCAGATAGGAGGAAGTCAGATTGTCTCTGTTTGCAGATGACATGATTGTATATTTGGAAAACCCCATCATCTCAGCCCGAAATCTCCTTAAGCTGATAAGCAACTTCAGCAAAGTCTCAGGGTACAAAATCAGTGTGCAAAAATCACAGGCATTCCTATATATCAATAATAGACAAACAGCCAAATCATGAGTGAACTCCCATTCACAATTGCTACAAAGAATAAAATACCTAGGAATTCAACTTATAAGGGATGGGAAGGACCTCTTCAAGGAGAACTACAAACTACTTCTCAAGGAAATAAGAGAGGACACAAACAAATGGAAAAACATTCCATGCTCATGGATAGGAAGAATCAATACTGTGAAAATGGCCATACTGCCCAAAGTAATGTGTAGAATCAGTGCTATCCCCATTAAGCTCCCATTGGCTTTCTTCACATAATTAGAAAAAAACTACTTTAAATTTCATATGGAACCAAAAAAGATCCCACATAGCCAAGACAATCCTAAGCAAAAAGAACAAAGCTGGAGGCATCACGCTACCTGACTTCAAACTATACTACAAGGATACAGTAACCAAAACAGCGTGATACTGGTATCAAAACAGATACATAGACCAACGGAAAAGAACAGAGGCCTCAGAAATAACACCACACATTTACAACCATCTGATCTTTGACAAACCTGACAAAAACAAGCAATGGGGAAAGGATTCCCTATTTAATAAATGATGTTGGGAAAACTGGCTAGCTATATGCAGAAAACTCAAACTGGACCCCTTTCTTACACCTTATACAAAAATTAACTCAAAATGGATTAAAGACTTAAATGTAAGACCTAAAACCATAAAAACCCTAGAAGAAAACCTCGGTAATACCATTCAGGACATAGGCATGGGCAAAGACTTCATGACTAAAACACCAAAAGCAATGGCAACAAAAGCCAAAATAGACAAATGGGATCTAATTAAACTAAAGAGCTTCTGCACAATGAAAGAAACTATCATCAGAGTGAACAGGCAACCTACAGAATGGGAGAAAATTTTTGCAGTCTATCCATCTGACAAAGGGCTGATATCTAGAATCTACCAAGAACTTAAATTTGCAAGAAAAAAACCACCCCATCAAAAAGTGGGTGAAGGATATGAACAGACACTTCTCAAAAGAAGAGATTATGAAATAAAGCTCATCATCACTGGTCATTAGAGAAATGCAAATCAAAACCACAATGAGATACCATCTCATGCCACTTAGAGTGGCGATCATTAAAAAGTCAGGAAACAACAGATGCTGGAGAGGATGTGGAGAAATAGGAATGCCTTTACACTGTTGGTGGGAGTGTAAATTAGTTCAACCATTGTGGAAGACAGTGTGGCGATTCCTCAAGGATCTAGAACCAGAAATACCTTTAGAGCCAGTAATCGCATTACTGGGTATATATCCAAAGGATTATAAATCATTCTGCTATAAAGACACATGCACATGTATGTTTATTGCAGCACTGTTCACAATAGCAAACACTTGGAACCAGCCCAAATGCCCGTCAATGATAGATTGGATAAAGAAAATGTGGCACATATACACCATGTAATACTATGCAGCCATAAAAAAGGATGAGTTCATGTCCTTTGCAGGGACATGGATAAAGCTGGAAACCATCATTCTCAGCAAACTAACACGGGAACAGAAAACCAAACACTGCATGTTCTCACTCATAGGTGGGAGTTGAACAGTGAGAACACATGGACACAGGGAGAGGAACATCACACACCGGGGCCTGTCTCGGGGTGGGGGGCTAGAGGAGGGATATCATTAGGAGAAGTACCTAATGTAGATGACAGGTTGATGGGTGCAGCAAACCACCGTGGCACATGTATACCTGTGTAACAAACCTGCATGTTCCGCACATGTATCCCAGAACTTAAAGTATAATAATAATAAAAAAAATCATTGGTTCATCTCAGTAGCAGAATGGAGATGTCAGAGGAACAGGTTAGTGAATTTAAAGATAAACCAGTAGAAATAAATCCCAACTGAAAAGAGAGAGAGAAAAAAGAAAACAAAAATAAACAGCCTCACTGGCCTGTGAGACTGTATCAAAGGGCCTAACATTTGTGACATTGAAGTCCCTGAAGAAGAGGAGAAAGGTATTGGTGCGAAAAAAAAATTTGAGAAAATAATGACTGAAAACTTACAAATTTGGAGAAAGATAAATTTACAGACTCAAGAAACTAAGTGAAACTTAGACAAGGTAAATTCAAAGGACTCTGCTCTCAGTCACTTAATGAAACTGCTGAACACCAAAGATGAGGAAAACTGTTGAAAGCACCAAGAGGAACATGATTCATTACATATACACATCACTGTGGGTTTCTCATCAGAAAATCTGGAAGTCTAAAAACAGTGGAACACCAACTTTAAAGTGCTGAAAGAAAGGAAGTGATGACTCAGAATACCATATCCACTGAAAATATCTTCCAGGAATGAAGGTGAAATAAAGACTTCCTCAGATGTAGGTAAACTAAAAGGTATTTGTCACCAGCAGACCTGCTCTACAGTAAATATTATAGTAAATGAAGTTTTTTCAGGCTGAAGGGAGATGACACTAGATTGATCCCACCAAAACAACATATGGATAGTACTTAAAGAAAACAACAACAGCTGAAAACAACTGTCAATCCAGAATTCGATTTCCAGTGAAAATAACTTTCAAAAGTGAAGGTGATAAAAAGGCAATTTCAGACTTAAAAACCGCTGAAAGAATTTATCTCTGACAGAGTCACATTAATTATAAAAGGGATTTTTTTCACCAGGATGAAAATGATAATGAAGATATGGATCTATGCAAAGAAATGAAGAATACTGGAAATGTTAAACTGAGTAGATAAACAAGAAATTTTCCTTGTTTACG